>NC_000010.11:24385000-25010000 GCF_000001405.40 Homo sapiens | reverse complement strand
CATCCCACTCTACTGGTACCAATTTACTCTATTAGTCTGTTCTCATACTACTGATAAGTACATACCCAAGAGTAGGTAATTTATAAAGGAAAGAGGTTTGACTCGCAGTTCCACATGGCTGGGGAGGCCTCACAATCATGGGAGAAGGTGAAGGAGGAACAAAGTCACATCTTACATAGTGGGAAACGAGAGTGTGTGCAGGGGAACGCCTCTTTATAAAACCATCAGATCTTATGTGACTTATTCACTATCCCAAGAACAGCATGGGAAAGACCTACCCCCATGATTCACTTACCTCCCACTGGGTCCCTCCCACAATATATAGGAATTATGGGAGCTACAATTCAAGATGAGATTTGGATGGGGACACAGCAAAACCATATCACATGGCAAGTACTTTGCTAGGCTACTAGACACCTCTCTCTAGGCTGATAGCAATACTTTTGAGTGTTCAGTCACCAAAGTAAACCTATTAACTCATATTTCTCTACCTTATCAACAAGGATTTAACAAGATTCTCTGCTAACATCAACATGCAAATTATTATGTCTAAAATATTTCCCTAATCTATTAATCACATAATCTTATTTTTTAATTGATTTTCATTTGTGGTGACTGAAACTCCAAATGGCCTTATGCAATCATTGCTTCTCTATGAATGTAATAAAAATTCTCTCTACAACTCTTACAGAAATTGTCCTCAGGCTCACCAGTGTAGAATTTCTGCATGCATACTTTTTTTTTTATTATACTCTAAGGTTTAGGGTACATATGCACAATGTGCAGGTTTGTTACATATGTATACATGTGCCATGTTGGTGTGTTGCACCCATTAACTCATCATTTACGTTAGGTATATCTCCTAATGCTATCCCTCCCCTCTCCTCCCACCCCACAACAGTCCCCGGTGTGTGATGTTCCCCTTCCTGTGTCCATGTGTTCTCACTGTTCAATTCCCACCTATGAGTGAGAACATGCGGTGTTTGGTTTTTTGTCCTTGTGATAGTTTGCTGAGAATGATGGTTTCTAGCTTCATCCATGTCCCTACAAAGGACATGAACTCATCATTTTTTATGGCTGCATAGTATTCCATGGTATATATGTGCCACATTTTCTTAATCCAGTCTATCGTTGTTGGACATTTGGGTTGGTTCCAAGTCTTTGCTATTGTGAATAGTGCCACAATAAACATACGTGTGCATGTGTCTTTATAGCAGCATGATTTATGGTCCTTTGGGTATATACCCAGTAATGGGATGGCTGGGTCAAATGGTATTTCTAGTTCTAGATCCCTGAGGAATCGCCACACTTCCACAACGGTTGAACTAGTTGACAGTCCCACCAACAGTGTATTTAATGCAGTGAACAGCATTAGTTTTTGTTTAATGTGGTTCTGTTTTTCATTGTGATTAATTGTAACACATAATCAGTGTTTCATTTTTGGAGCTTCCCATCCTTCTTGGACTACTTTCTGCTTTATTCAGTGTCAATACTGTTAACACTTACATGTTCTGAAGTCTTTATAACATCTCTTTGTTTAAAGTATGGTTATGTATCTGACTTTGCTGAGAAATCTGTTCCTTGACTATTAGGAACTCTTAGGTGACATGGTCATTTTCTCCTGATCCAGAGTTTCTTGTCTTACCCACTTTGCTAACTAATTACAGCCAAGAATTTAATCAAGGAAAACAGTAACCCTTTTTAATTAACTTATATTCAAAGAAAGTCTAGACTATTCCAAAGTCTCTTTTTGTTTGTCATGATGACATTTTATGCTAAAATTCCCATTGCTGCAATATATGGTCTCTTAGTATTATGAGTAGTGTTAGAAGCTATTTTAGTGTTTTAAGTGTTTAGTGTTAGAATTTAAGTGTTAGAATGTATTTTTCATCTGGCTAGGCAGTCTCTACAGACCCACAAGACTACTTCTCTTCATCTCTTACATTTTGTCCAACTGCCCTTCTCATGCTTATATATCTCATATATTTATATTTATTCATATTATATATTATATATACATATATATAATATATCACAGGCACACAAATGAAGATGTGTTATAATTAGTAGAATTACAATTGAAGGCCTGGAAAACTATGTGGTTGACAGGATAATTCAAAAGGCACCTTTCCCTTCAGGCATATGGGTGAGGGGAGAGACAACCAGATACAGGATTTTTTTCAGCAAGGAACATTGTGGCTTCCATATGCATTTACTGGCTTAATGTTTATTTTGAGTTACTGCCTATAATTCAGAAATCTATACGTGGCTGGGCGCAGTCGCTCAAGCCTGTAATCCCAGCACTTTGGGAGGCCGAGGCAGGCGGGTCATGAGGTCAGGAGATCGAGAACATCCTGGCTAACATGGTGAAACCCCGTCTCTACTAAAAATACAAAAAATTACCCGGGTGTGGTGGCGGGCGCCTGTAGTCCCAGCTACTCTGGAGGCTGAGGCAGGAGAATGGTGTGAACCCGGGAGGCGGAGCTTGCAGTGAGCCGAGATGGCGCCTCTGCACTCCAGCCTGGGTGAAAGTGCGAGACTCCATCTCAATAAATAAACAAACAAACAAATAAATAAATAAATAAGAAACCTATACATAATATAACGTGGTAAAAGGCATTAGCACACCTCTCTGGCATTTCATATATACATAAAAATGTTGAGAGAAGAAAATATGACAACAATACTCCTTAAAATCAGTTGCCAGGGAAATGTATAAGTGAGCTTTTGTGAACGTTAGACTCATTTTTTAGATTATTCGGTTACAGAACAAGGTTTAATATCTTAAGCAATACTAACAATATATTGTATATGAGAATTCATTTTTACAGATCAGGGAAATATGTCAGTCTGTTATAATCACTGTCTAGACATGATGACTCAAATTTTTACAGAATAAGACTGTGTCTGCCAGGACACAGGTAAAATCAAGTAAAGGGTTAAACAGTTTCAATTTTTAAACGTTTTATCAGGATGGATATCCAATATTCATAACCACAAGAATACTATTAATAGCAATATGTTCAATGTATTAGAATTTAAAACGTGCCAGTTATTGATCTTTTTCACAAGAATCCTATGGGATAAGTAGTATTATCCCATTGTTACAGAAGAAAAATCTCAGGCCCAGAAGTTGAGGCAATGAGGAAAAACAAGGGCTGAGATCGAGACACAAATCTAATACCAAAGCTCGTAAGTTTAATTGGTTTGCACAGTTCTTTTAGCCTGAGACAGTAAAACAAACTGAGTCCTTTTTGCTTCAGTAACATCTATAATTGTTTAGTTTTTGATAATTTATTATATATCAGATACTATTTCGTGTTTATACACAACCTTGTTCTAATGCAGTGAGGTTTTTTTTGATGAGGCTATCAAAGCAAATGGGAAATTATGATAGAAAAGTAAGGTAGAGCTACAAATGAGGACCTACATGAAATGTATGCTTCACAATCATGCACGTTTGCTTAAAGTCTGAAACAAATTTGACTCTATTAGTTAAGCAGCCAGCCCATCAAGGAAGAAAGATCCTTCCCATGCTTCTTTAAAAATCAATTACACTCTAAGTCATATTGTCCAAAGACAAAAGCAAAGCAGTAGTCACAGAGGAGCACAAATGTTCTCGGTGTGCTGCCACAAATACACTTCCTCCAGGATTCACGGAGAGAGGAGACCATGTGTGTAATACAATAAAGATTTCAGCCGCACTTCTACATTAAATCTGCTGAGTTTCATAAGTCTACTGTTGCCCTCATTATAGACCAGTGTTCCAGTACGATAACATAACTAAACAAAAGCAGTTTTGGAGACAGCAATGTGTTGTGCTCTGGGTGTGCAGCTATCTGACTGCATAGTTTAATTCAAGGATAGATTTTCCTGCTATCTAGATCAGCACAGTCTAATAGAAATGTAATGAGAGTCATGTATGTAATTTAAATTTTTCTAATCACTTTTAAAAAGTAGAAATAACGAAAAATTTACTTTATGTAGTTTATTTAATGCAATTTATCTAAAATACTATGATTTCCGCATGTGGCACCAGCCACATTTCAAGTGCTCAATATCCACATGTGGCTATATTACACAGCACAGATGTAGATGAATACATTAACTACATACTCTTTTGATATTCCACATATTATTTCACTCAACAGCTTGTGAGAGGTACTGAGCAGCACTAAGATCATCATTATACTCAATGACATATGCCTGTGTTGTCAAGTAAGTGCAGATCAGAGCTATGACAGACAACCAGGCTGGGGGAAGAATTGGCATCCATTTTTGAAAATTTAGTTACTTGATATAGACATGAGCCTGAATTGAACACTCTCATTTCAAGTCTGTAGGTGGACTTAAGGGATATCTGTGTACGTGTAAAAATTCTCCTCAAGAAATAATTTGGATAGCTTTCTAACACAGCCTAGGCTCCAGAGTTCAGAGTTCCACACGATAGTGTAATGCTGCAGTAATACTGGGAAAAATTGAAAAAGAAAAGTTGTTAATCCTTGATGCCTATTTTGCCCATTAGAGGAAAAAAAAATCTCAATTAAGCACTTTCAAACTATCCCAGCTTTTTGAGTAATATCATTTCCTTGTGTGCCCTTTGAAATAAATGGTTTTTAAAATGTAAATTTACTGTCTTAATGATGGGACTTACTATATGGTGATTAGTAAGTCTAATCTTAACTGTATGGTAAAATATAGTTTTGGTATGTTTTCTGAAGATGACAATTTTAGTTTGAGAATAACTTATCTTTAGCCCATATCTCATAATTCTAATAATAAATAGAAAATAGAGCCAATTATCCATGACACTGCCTGACTTCAAACTATACTACAGGGCTGCAGTAACCAAAACAGCATGGTACTGGTACAAGAACAGACACAGAGATCAATAGAACAGAATAGAGAACCCAGAAATAAGACTGCCCACTTACAAGTATCTGATCCTTGACAAACCCGACAAACACAAGCAATGGGAAGGACTTCATATTCAATAAATGGTGCTGGGAGAACTGGCTAGCCATATGCAGAAGAATGAAACTGGACCCATTCCTCTCACCATATACAAAAATTAACTCAAGATGGATTAAAGACTTAAACGTAAAACCCAAAACTATAAAAATCCTGGAAGACAACCTAGGCAATACCATTCAGGACATAGGCACGGGCAAAGATTTAATGATGAAGATGCCAAAAGCAGTGGCAACAAAAGCAAAAATTGACATATGGGATCTAATTAAAGTAAAGAGCTTCTGCACAGGAAAAGAAACCATCAACAGAGTAAACAACCTACAGAATGGGAGAAAATTTTTGCAAACTATGCATCTGACAAAGGTCTAATATCCAGCATCTATAAGAAACTTAAACAAATTTACAAGAACAAAACAAATAATGCTATTAAAAAGTTGGCAAAGGAAATGAACAGACACTTCTCAAAAGAAGACATACATGTGACCAACAAGCATATGAAGAAAAGCTTAACATCACTGATCATTAGAGAAATGCAAATCAAAACTACAATGAGATACCATCTCACACCAATCAGAATGGCCATTATTCAAAAGATACTGGTGAGGTTGTGGAGAAAAAGGAACACTTACTCACTGCTGATGGGAGTGTAAATTAGTTCAACCATTGTGGAAGACAGTGTGGCAATTCCTCAAAGACCTAAAGATGGGAATACCATTCAACCCAGCAATCCCATAACTGGATATATACCCAAAGGAATAGAAATTGTTCTATTATAAAGACACATGCATGCCTAGGTTCATTGCAGCACTATTCACAGTAGCAAAGACATGGAATCAACCTAAATGCCCATCAGTGATAGACTGGATAAAGAAAAGGTGATACATATACACCATGGGATACTATTCAGCCATAAAACAAGAATGAGATCGTATTCTTTGCAGGGACATGGATGTGTACATGTAAAAATTATCCAATAAATAATTTGGATAACTTTCTAACACAGCCTAGTCTCCAGAGTTCAGAGTCCCACACAATAGTGCTGCAGTAATACTGGCTGGAGGCCATTATCCTTAGCAAACTAACACAGGAACATGAAACCAAAATACTGCTAAATTCTCACTTAAAGTGAGAGCTAAATGGTGATAACACATGAACACATGGAGGGGAACAACACACCCTGGGGCCTATCGGAGGCTGGGGGTGGAAGGAGGGAGAGGATCAGGAAAAACAAGTAATGAGTACTAGGTTTAATACCTGGGTGATGAAATAATCTGTACAACAAACCCCCGTAATGCATGTTTACCTATATAACAAATCTGCACATGTATCCCTGAACTTAAAAGAAAATAGAGCCAATTATCTAATAAAGTCACCACTAGATCTTTGTAATAAAACCACACCATTCAGAAAATGGAGTAAAATGCAGCTATTTAACAGAAAGAATAAGATTTATGTGTATTAAGATATCACACTATATTAAGTTTTAAAAATCTAGTTGCAATTCTTACAGAAATAGAAACACAGGCTTGGCGCAGTGGCTCACATCTGTTATCCCAGCACTTTGGAAGGCCAAGGCAGGTGGATCACTTGAGGCCAGGATTTCCAGACCAGCCTGGCCAACGTGGTAAAACCCTGTCTCTACTAAAAATACAAAAATTAGCCAGGCATGGCGGTGCATGCCTGTAGTCCCAGCTACTCAGGAGGCAGAGGCATGAGAATCATTTGAACCCAGGAGACAGAGGTTACAGTGAGCTAAGATCACACCACTGCACTCCAGCCTGGGCAACACCACTGCACTCCAGCCTGGGCAACAGAGCGGGCAAAAAATAAATGAATAAATAAATAAATTAATTAATTAATTAATTAATTAAAGAAACACTGAAATTGAATTTATTCTGGAAAATTTATTGGAGAGATGGAGGAGACATAGATTTTAATTTACTTAATGTTATTTTTGTAATTTGGAAAATATCATTTATATAAAATAGAGTATCTTATTTTCTATAATAGATGGACAGGCTTTCAGTTCATATACCTACACAAAAATATATTGAATCATGGGTTTACAAATTTAAAAGAGGTGGAAGTAAAGACACCTTTTTTTTTTACCCCAAATGAAATTATCTTATTAATCACGAGACCATATCTGCCAGCCCCAACTTCTGTGGGCATTTTAAGGCACAGATTTGGTTTGAACATTATTTCTTGAAACTATCTAATGAGCTCATTCAGTTTGGACTATAATTGATTCCCAGCCTTTAAGTTCAGGATTGAGGCAAGGCTCCTAAAAGGAAAAAAACAATAATGTTTCTTCAAACAAATTTATCTACATAAGGAAGAAGATAATACAAGTTGTTACAAAAGCGGTATAGCTGAACTGCTTTCAACCAAAAATGGGATTTATCTTCTTGACTTAAACAACTAGAACACCAGAAAAAAAATATATGAAACAACAGTTATCAGACTCTGAACAATAAACAACATAGAGTGGTCATCTATAAAAGAAGAGAAACAAATGAGGCAAGCCCTACGACTGCCCCAGCATACTCTCTGGAGAGAAATTCCAGGCCAAGATCCAGAAGAAAAAATTAAAACAAAGCCTAGGAGTCTCCCTGAGTTAAGGAGACAGAATTCAGAGTTTGCAAAGGCCAAAGCTGCTAGAATTCACAGCACAGAGTACCAGAGAGGAGAGTTGCATAGAGAGAGGACTGTGGAAATATGAACAAGGAGTTCCCTAAAGTCTTTGGTTGATAGCACATGTATGTAATGAAACAACCAAGGCCAAGTAAATAACCAACAGAAAGCAGTAGTGCCAGGTAAAGTTCGTGTTCCCACCAGCCCAGGTGGAGACACCTCCTAATACACAGGGCATTGAGTAGTGCACTCAGAAGTATATTGCCTCAGTAGTGGGGCCAAATTAGAAATAGACTAAAAGCACTTGTGGAATTACCCTAACACTTAAAGCAAGCCTTAAAATGATCACACTGTTTCCAACTATCATAACTGAATCCCAGAAAAAAGCTAAGGAAGAAATTTAAAGAACACCAGAAAGAGAAAAAGAAGAGAAAAATTCAGCAACAAACAATGTAAAATTCACAATGTTTGGCATCCAATCAAAAATTACCAGGCATGCAAAGAAGCAGGAAAATATAATGCATAACCAAGAGAAAACATAGTAAAGACAGACACAGAAATGACACAGATTAGAGAATCAGTAGACAAGACCTTAAAACAGTTATTTTAAATATTCATCATGTATTCAAAAGGTAGAAGAAAGCATGAACCAAGATGGGGAAAGAAATGGAAGGAGAGATCCAAATCTAACTTCTAACCATAAAGAATACCATATACAAAATGTAGCTACATGTAATAGATTGGATTAACGCAGCTAAGACACTGAAAAAGAAAATTTAGATGAATTTGAAGACACAGTAATAGAACAATGCAAAATGAAATACAGAGAAAAAATAGACTGAAAAAGAAAGCAGAGAATCAATGAGGCTTGAACAATATCAAGCAGTCAAAGAATCATGGAAGAGGAGAAAACGGATGAGGAAACAGAAGAAATATTTGAATAAAGGTAAAAAAATTGTCAAATTTGATGAAATCTCAAAATCCAAAAATCCAAGAATCACAGTTAACCCCAAGTAGAAAAAAGAATACCAAGAGACATTACCATCAAATTTATTAAAACTATTAATAAAGAGAAAAAAAGTTTAAAACAGCCAGAGGAAAAAAAAGAAAAATTATATAGAAGAAGAAGAAAAAAGGACAGTAAATTTATCTTTAGAAACGATGGAAGCCAGAAGTTTAAAAATGTCCTTTATGGAGAAGGAATGGTACCAGTTAGAAATTTGGACTTATACAGCAGAATGAAGAACACTGGAAATGGCAAATATATGGGTAAATATTCAAGATTTTTTCAAATGTATTTAAAATACAATTATATAAAGGGAACATAATCACAATTATTTATGGATTTTATACCACACAGAAAAGTAAAATATATTACAACACTAAGACAAGAGTGGGGTTGGATGCAAGTATTCTTTTGAAAGGTTCTCATACCACATGTTAAATGCTATAATATTGCTTGAAAGTAGGCTCTGATAAGTTAAACCTGTATACTGTAAAGCTACAGTTTCCATAAAACCAAACCAAACAAAACAAAATGAAAAGCAAGATAGAATGAGCAAGGGGATATGTAAAAAAACAGCAAGCTGGAAACTTTAAGCAGAAACAAATTTTTATAATCACATTAAAAGTGAAAGGTATAAACATACCAAACAAAAGTGATTGGTGGCTGGATAAAATTTCTATGCAGTCTATAGGAAAACTCCAACAAGTAGAAAGTCCAAGAATGGAAAAACATATACTATTACAAATCAAAGGGATGCTTGATTAGCTACCATAATGTCAGACAGAGTAGATTCTAGAGCACAGAATTTTAAAAGGAATAGAGTGTTATTTTATAGTGATGAAGTGATCTGTTTTTCAAGAAGATATAACAATCCTAAATGCTATGCACCTACAAACAGAGTTTCAAAATACATAAAGCAAAAACTATTTTAATTGAAAGAAGAAATAGCCAAATCCACAATTACAGTCAGAGACCTTAACATCTCTCTTTCAATAATTAGTAGAATAGACAAAATCAGGAAGGATACAGAACATTTGAAGATACTTTCAGTTTGACCTAGTTGTCATTTATAGAACACTCCAGCCAACAGCGGCACAACATACTTTCTTTTCAAGTGTATACAGAACATTTACTAAAATAGAACATACTTTGTGCCATAAAACAAATGTCAGAAAATTCAAAGGAATTGAAATCATACAAAGTATATTCTCTAACCACAATAGAAATATATCTGAAATCAATTAGATATCTGGAAAATCCCAAATCTATGAAAACTAAGCATGTCTAAACAAACTTCTAAATCAAAGAAGACATCAAAAGTATTAAAGTTCAAAATAAAAAACCTAAACTTGTATCTTAAGAAAGTAAAAAAAGAAAAACAAATTAAAACCAAAGTAAGAAGAAATAATAAAGATAAGCACAGATATCATTGAAATGGAAAACATGAACATTGGAGAAAATCAATGAAATTCTGGTTCTATAAGAAGATTCATAAAATTAATAGACCCCTAGCCAGACTGATCAGCAGAGAAAGACAGAGAACACAAATTACTAACATCAAGAATGAGAGGGGTGACATCACTATCGATGCTACAGATGTTCAAAGGATAATAAGGAAATACTATGAACACTTTTGCCCTAGCACCTCTTTCTTAGGGCAGAGCTTCCATCTAGTTTATCTAAGTCTGATGGACAGGGCTCAGGTAAGTATGTTTTATGATTATGCTTTTCCATACGAATATAGACTTAAATAAATTAAAAATGTAAGATTTAAACTTTAAGTAAACTTTAGGTAATTTTTACTAGAAGTATAAATGCTACAACTTTTAAAATTCAATTTTAGGTACATATCCATTTTTAAGGCAACTGTAAAAGATGACATGCAAAAAGCTAAAACTGCAATGAAAACTATGGGACCAGCAAAAGTTGAAGTACCTTCTCCAAAGGATTTCCTAAAGAAACATTCAAAGGAAAAAACTCTACCACCCAGTAGGTTTTATCATGCTTTATTTTTAATATTAAAAGCATTAGCAGGTGATTTAACTATTATTTTATTGTTGATGAATATTAAACATGCACAGGTGATAGCAGCTTTACCTCATATTAAACAGAATTTGACTAGGAGAAAGTGGAAGTAGAGAATTGGGTAGAAAAATAGAATGGAGTGTGATAAATTGCCCCCAGAATAGACTTTAGATTGGGTTTGGACTATCCAATGAAGCCCACATGCATCACCATCTTAGTCCCTAGCTGTGGGGCTTCAATTATAAACAACAATTATAGGAAAAGTCAAGACCCCAGGGACAGTATCTGACTAATGGGCAAGATTGCCCAGCATCTAAACCCTGTCTGGCCTTTTCTCCAAGAGATGAAAATTACAACCATTACTACCAGTTGTTGAAGCAACTACTGGGCTCATTTTGAGTACGGGCTTTTACTCTCCCAGACCTTTAAGACTAACTGGACTGCAATGAGTTAGATGTAATGGAGGAGACTTCATGAATAAGTGGTAGAACCAGCTTAGGGCCCCATGCTTATTTTAATGCTGTGCTCTTGCTGTACTAAAATTTTTAATTTTTGATCAAGTAGCCTTGTGTTTTTATTTTTTACTGGGCCTCAAAAATTATATACTTGATCCCAGTTATGGAGTCTTTTGAATGATTTCAGGAAAGAAAGCTATCAGGGAAAGGGAGAGTAGATGAAAAGTGATGTGTGACAGGTATGTATGGAAGCAATTTCTTCATAGCCCAAGTATGTCTTCCCAGATGTCTTAGGGCAATAAAGAAAAGAGAGCACCTGGGCAACAAAGCAAGACCCCGTCCGTACAAAAAAATTAAAATAAAAAAAATTAGCTAGGTGTGATGGCATGCACCTGTAGTCTTCACTACTCTGGAGGCTGATGTGGAAGGATCGCTTGAGCCCAAGAGTTCGAAACTGCAGTGAGCTATGATCAAGCCACAGCCTTCTAGCCTGGACAACAAAGTGAGACCCCATCTCAAAAAAAGAAAGAGAGAGAGAGAGAGAGAGAGAGGAAGGAAGGAAGGGAGGGAGAGAGGGAAGGGAGGGGAGGGGAGGGGAGAGGAGAAGAGAAGAGAAGAAAAGAAAAGAAAAGAAAAAAGAAACGAGTCTGTCTCTTCAAAATGTTGGCTTTTTATGTCTGCTGGCATTGAGGAAATAATGCAACATCTCAAGCCCGGCTAGCGATGTACATTTTAACAAAAGTGAAACTACTTCTCTTTATGGCAGTATTTAATGTCCCCAAATCCTCTCTCAACCCATATCTCATGAAAAAAGGTGAGGGCACTATCAGGCAAGATGGCAAGATGGAAGAAGCAAGTGTGGAAATACAACATTCATGCTTAATTCGTGACTTCAGAAGTCTCTTTTGTATCTTCCTCTAGTCTTGGCCTGTTGTGACCCAGCATTCTATGACCAACAATACCATTTGAGAATATAGGAAAATGTTAAAATGGAATTTGATGCTTTCAATGCCTTAGGACCACTGGTATCCCTTGGGTCCTCATATAGCCTCTCTAGGGTTAAACATATGATATAACACAAACATATATATATATATATATAAATCCTTTGTGTCAAATAAGAAAAAAGGAAGAAGCCTATCATTTTGTAAACATTGTAAGGCAAAAGCAAACCCAAAATTTCATTGGCCTTTAGAATAATTCATCAATTCAGGGTATTAGGGCTGGGCACAGTGGCTCATGACTGCAATCCCAGCACTTTGGGAGGCCAAGACAGGAGGACTGCTTTAGCCCAGGAGTACGAGACCAGCCTGAGCAACAAAGTGAGACCCTATCTCTATAAAAAATTTTTTTTAATTAGCTAGGTGTGCTGATGCACATCTGTGGTCCCAGCTATATGGGAGGCTCAGGTGGGAGGATCACCTGAGCCCAGGAAGTTGAGGCTGCAGTGAGCTATGATTGCATCACTGCACTCCAGCCTGGGTGGCAGAGGGAGACCCTGTCTCAAAAAAAGAGGAAAAAAAAAAAAAAAAGGAATGCAGGGTTTTGCAAAAGCTTTAAAAACTCGGTCCAATGAGAGTTCTGGAGGACAGTTCTGGAGAACTAGGAGTCCAACATCAAGATGTCAGAGGATTAGTTGATTTTTGCTTTTCTTTTTTAGGAGTATTTTTGTTTGTTTTTATTTTTGGAGATAGGGTCTATGTTGCACAGGCTGGAGTGTGTGGTGGCTATTCACAGGCATGATGAAAGCACACTGCAGCCTCACACTCCTGGCTTCAAGCAATCCTCCTGCCTCAGCCTCCCAAGTAGCTGGGACTGCAGGCATGCAACACCACACGCAGCAGGGTTGGTTTCTTCTAAAGCATCTCTCATTGGCTTGTAGATGGTTATCTTTTCTCTGTATCTTTACGTGTTCTTCCTTATATGTATGTCTGTGTTCAAATTTCCTCTTCTAAGGACACCAGTCATATTGGATCAGCGCCTTCTCTAATGACCTCATCTTGACTTAATTACCTCTTTAAAGACCTTTCTACAAATACAGTTATATTCTGAGATACTGGGGGTTAGGGCTTCAACATATGAATTCTAGGAGGACATAACTCAGCCCCTAACAAGAGGCTAATCCAGTTCATAGACTTTTAACTGTAAGTATTGGCTTTGCTGATAATAAAAGTTATATAAACTAATAAAAAAGGTCAAATGATGCAGAAATGAATAAAGTCAGTCCTTAGTAATTGTGATGGGGTTAAAATTGGAAAAGGCATTTTCAAGACAGTTGTTGCTTTCAGTTCTTAAAAATAAATTATTTCACATTTTTGCATTGTGGCAAACCATTTGGCTATATTAAAATAGATCAATGGGAATGATCAAACTGAAGAGGCTGTGTAAAAACGGCCAATAAGCAAGAAATACTTCTTCCTTGTATTTATATACTGTTCATATATATATATATACACACACACACACACACACATATATGATCTTTTTTGAGACAGAGTCTCACTCCGTCACCCAGGCTGGAGTACAATGGCATGATCTCGGTTCACTGCAACCTCCGCCTCCCAGGCTGAAGCAATCCTCCCACCTCAGCCTCCTGAGTAGCTGGGACTAAGGGTGCACACTATCATGCTTGGCTAACTTTGCATTTTTTGCAGAGATGGGGTTTCACTGTGTTGCCGAGACTGGTCTCAGACTCCTGAGCTCAAGCGATCTGCCCACGTCACCGTGGGCCACCGTGCCCGGCCTCCTCAACATATTAATTGATTATGTTGCCCTTAATTTATTTCCATTTTAATTACTGACTTTTTTTCTTTTTAAAAAATTATTTTATTGAGGCCTGATTGACAGGTAAAAAGCTGTGCATATTTAATGTCTACAAGTCAATGAGTTTGGGGGTAAGCATAAACTTCTATCTTAAATATTTAAATATATTATGACTGCAACTTCAATATACAAGTGGTGAAATATCTGGATATTATAAATAGCACTGAGTAGCAGTGTTTGTAGTTTAATATTAACAAAGAAATGTTATATTTAACAGAAAAAAACTTTGATCGGAACGTGCCCAAAAAGCCTGCTGTGCCATTGAAGACTGATCATCCTGTCATGGGAATACAGAGTGGAAAAAATTTTATAAATACAAATGCAGCTGATATCATCATGGGAGTGGCTAAAAAGCCTAAACCAATTTATGTTGATAAAAGAACTGGAGACAAGCATGATCTTGAGCCTTCAGGACTAGTTCCAAAGTACATCAATAAAAAGGTAGCCTTGTGGTATATTAATAAGAGGGCTGAAATTCAAATAATTTAAATATGGTGTTCATGATGATCATCTATGTTATCATTATTAGTGCTCTCATTGGACACATTGTCTACTTTGCTGATTCTCATTCTTCTGCAATCTGTGTTTGGTCCAAATGTAATGGGATGAAGTTACAAAGAACCCATAGTAAACAATTCCATATAGTTCAGTAGATAAAAGTTATTGTTTTCCTTAATTTTGATTATTAACATATTTAACAATTTTAATAAACATTCTCTGAAAGATATTTTTGGTTAGTTGGAAATGTCACTAAAAGCAGTCATTACTGTAAATCTAGAAGGAATAAGCTGTCAGATGGTCTTAAGATTTAGTCATTAATTGCAGTAACTTGGCAGCTGAATAAGAAAAATGAAGCAGAATGCAGCTTTAGAGCCATCCATCTCATCAGTGTAGTATAAATAATTCACATTCCTATTTTAACATGAATATATTTATTTGGTTTTGGTTTTGGGTAAAGACTTGAAAGTACTGTACAATAATCTAGTCCTTTTGGGTCCTTCATTTGTATCTGAAAAGGTGTGTAATTTCATTGGTGAACATTATAGTTTAAATATAGATTTTTTTTGAGACATATTCTCATGCTGTTTCCCAGGCTGGAGTACAATGGTGCAATCTCAGCTCACTGCAACTTCCAACTTCCGGCTCGAGTGATTCTCCTCACTCAGCCTCCCAAGTAGCTGGAATTACAGGCATGCATCACCAGGCCTGGTTATTTTTTTGTATATTTAGTAGACAGGGGGTTTCACCATGTTGGCCAGGCTGGTCTTGACTCCTGACCTCAAGTGATCCACCCACCTCAGCCTCCCAAAGTGCTGGGATTGCAGACATAAGCCACTGCACCCAGCCAAATACAGATCTTTAAAATAAAAAAGCTTACAAAAAATCTTATTTAATGCTACTTTATTTTGCGCACTTATAAAGCTTAAAAGTGCTTGAAACACACAAAATATGAATGCAGGCTGGGCACAGTGGCTCACAACTGTAATCCCAGCACTTTAGAAGGCCAGGAGGATTGCTTGAGGTCAGGAGTTCAAGTCCATCTTGGCCAACATGGTGACACCCCATCTCTACTAAAAATACAAAAATTAGCCAGGCGTGGTGGTGTGTGCCTGTAATCCCAGCTACTCGGGTGGCTAAGGCACGAGAATCGCTTGATCCCAGGAGGCGGGGGTTGCAGTGAGCCAAGGTCGCGTCACTGCACTCCAGCCTGGGTGACAGAGCGAGACTCGGTGTCAAAAAAAAAAAAAAAGAGTGCAGAATTCTAAAGAATAATAAGTTGCATCAAGAAGAAATGAAGGAAGGGAGGGAGAAAGGAAAGGAAGGAAGGAAAAAGGAAGAGAGAGATAAAGAAAAAGGAAGAGAGATAAAGAAAAAAAGAAAAGAAATTGCAATAGTGATGTACAGGGACCTAAAATTGAAGAGTCCAGTGATCTACCATGATAAATCCAATGCCAGTGGAAAATCAAAACAGGACCCTCAAGGCTGTTTTCAGAGGACACTGTCTTCTCAGGAATCTAGGAGTTCCCAGGATAAGCCAATAAAGTTACTTCAGGCTTCTCCAGGTACTTCCTCCTTCTGTGGCCCCTGGAAACTGTTTTATAGTCGTTGTCCCACAGGATAGGGAAAAGTGGAAAACTCACTCTCATGGCTCTTAAAGCCACTTCCAGTCCATTATTTCTCCATGATCATATGAAAAGTCTTTACTGGTCATGCCACCACCTGTCACACACTCTGCCCCTCCCTTCTGGCTGCTCTCTAAGCTGTCCACTTGAATGCATTTTCTACCTTCAACAGGAAATTTGGAGTATCCATCATGGAAACAGAAAAATACCAGAGTTTACCAAACCATGAAAGCACTGTGCACCTAATGCCCTTTTGGTGTTGCTGACTAAGCAATCAGTGCTCATGAAAGACTTACTCAATTTACTTTTCCCTTATCAGAGTTAAGTTTTAAAGATCTATCATTGGTAGGTGAGATAGTAAATAAATTCTTTTAAAGTCAATGTCATATTTTTATAAAATGAGTGAACTCCCATTTCAGCTCCAAGTGAATTATATGCCATTCATACCATGAGAAACAATTTCTGAAAACAAGCAAGGATAGATGATCACATGAGGTATTTAGCAATACCAGTAAAGACATTCTTTCAAAGTCTAACTCTGCCACTTAGTAACTGTGATTTCCAACAATCCATTGGATTTATCACAGGGTTGTAGTGAGGATTAAATTATATAAAGTATATTGAGCACTTGACACAAAATGTGACACCTAATAAAAGAACAAAGAGTGAATAGTATAATATATGCAATTTTATTAACAGTATGCATTAGCCTCCGGTGATTCAGCCCATAGGAATATTTCAGATCATTGAAGCTTTTGCTCATTTGTGAGTTTTTTTTCTGAACTGTATCACACCATTCCCTTTCTTTTTAAAAACACTTAATTTAATTTTTTTTAGAGATGGAGTCTCACTATGTTGCCCAGGCTGGTCTTGAACTTTTGGGCTCAAGCAGTTCTCCTGCCTAGCTGTCCCAAAGTGCTGGGGTTACAGGCTTGAGCCACTGCGCCCAGTCATTCTCTTTCTTAAACAGAGTATGCCAAATATAATTTAATCTTTCTGTGATCCTGCAGAATCATCATGATGAAGCTCCATTATTGTACTAAGCTGTAATGAGGTGTTTCCTTCAGTGTTTCCTGAAGTGGATTGGCCTGTCTCACTCACTGCACCAGCTGACCAGAATACTGGCCTCCCAGAGTCTATTTGTATTGTCCTCTGCAGCTTCCAGAACACATTTATATCTAGGATTTCTATCCCTTGTTCAGTCAGGATGGGTTAAGTTACACTGTGATGACAAACAATCCCCAAATTTCAGTAACTTAAAGCAACAAAGTGTTATTGTTTGCTTTTGCCACGTGCCCTTTGAGGGTTGTTACAGGCTCTGCTTCTTGTCCTTCTTCCAGGACCCAGAAAAATCTAAACATTGCTTGTCACTAGACCAGACAGGAAAAGACACAGCAAGTCATCCACTAATTCTTAAGACTCCTATCGAGAAGTGGCAGAGGTCACCTCCACTGACACTGAGCAATTCAGGGCATATGGCTACATCTTACTTTATGAGGACAACACAGGAAAGTGTTGTCCTACCAAGTGTCTAGAAGGAGAACAGAATATTTGTCAGAATTTTAATGACTACCATACCTCCCAACTGCTGCTTCTTCGGAGAGTTCCTCCCCGACCTCCTTATTTATCTAAAATAGCCCCTATTATTTTCTTTTCCCCCACTATCCTTCTTTATTTTACTTCAGAACACATACATATTATTTCATTCTCTATTTTTGGTGAGTCTCTGTCACCATAGAATGCAAATTCCCTGAAGACGGAAACTTTGCCTTTTTTATTCACTAGTATTCCTAGCACCAAGTACATTCTCAAACATCTTTTGAAGAAGGAATACATAGTAATTCTGTTTCTATAGATGGTGAAATCAAACGCATTTACTAAGCTGAAAGAATCACAGCTGATGGCTTCACTGTCAGTCGTTGTGACATGGGAAAATTCCCTTATTCCCCTCGCAGAGTGTACCATAGGGCTGTGGCTCACTTCTTCAGTGCCCCACTGCTCACACTTCTAGGGGGAGCATGCCGAAGGGCAGGTTGTGAGGCTCTGACTCCAAAGCAGGGTCTATGGGTCGATGTTTACAGCTCCTGAAGCCGCAGTGGGCGTGTGTTACAGGGTGCTCTTTTGGTTTAGCTGTCCATAGGTGGCTTGTGTTTGCTCAATTAGACTCCCTGCCTTATGACAAGGACAGAGGGCTTCCAAAGGACTTTCTGTATCCCAGGAGTCTTGCCTTGGTATACTTGAAGAATTGGATCACACGTGGGCTTGGAGAATGAGTGCAAGGTTTTATTGAGTGGAAGTAGCTTCAGCAGATGGGAGAGCCAGAAGGGAGATGGTTTTTCCCTGGAGCCGGGCAGCTCTGTGGCCCGGGCTCTCCTCCCACCACCCCGGCCAAACTCTGCGTTGTTCCACTGATCGATGGCCTGCCGGCATGCTGGTGCCCATTGGTGTGCTCTTTTGTTGGCACGCCCCTGTCAACAGCCTCCACTTATACGTTCTTCCATTGATGTGTTCCTCTCGACGTCCAGCCATTTGTGTGCCTGCCTGCTAGGGTCTCGGGGGGTTTTATAGGCACAGGATGGAGGCATAAGTTTTCAAAGACTTTGTCTTTTCTTTAACGAGACCACGAAAAAGAGACTTCAAAATATTCAAGATATTTCAGGTAAAAACTGAAGCATGTAGAAGGTAGAAGGTAGAAAAGCCAACTCTTGAATATCTTATTCAAGATATTTCAGGTAAAAACTGAAGAACGTAGAAGGTAGAAAAGCCAACTCTTAGGAGTAAAGTATCAGCCAGGAGCAGGCGTGGGAAACATTCAGAAAAGGGAAAACAAGCAACTGCAATAACAACTCCATTTATTTATGTATTTAGAGATGGAGTCACACTCTGACACCCAGGCTGGAGTGCAGTGGCACCTTGGCTCACTGTAACCTCTGCCTCCCAGATTCAAGAGATTTTTGTGCCTCAGCCACCCGAATAGCTGGGACTACTGGCACATGCCACGATGCCTGGCTAATTTCTGTATTTTTAGTAGAGACGGGGTTTCACCATGTTGGCCAGGCTGGTCTCGAACTCCTGACCTCAAGTGATCCACCCCCCCACCCCTCAGCCTCCCAAAGTGCTGGGATTACAGGTGTGAGCCACTATGCCTGGGCAATAACAACTCCATTTTAAAAGGCAGGAATCTACTAGCTCTCAATGGAGGGAAAAAAGTCACTGAATTTTGTCAATTTACAGGGTTTTGAACAAAGGATTTAGTCTGTACCATTTCTTTTTCTTCCATCATCAGTTGATACGTACCCATATGTAAGATTGCATACAAAATATTGATTACTTTTTTCTGCAAAATCTTTTTAGGATTATGGTGTCACACCTGAATACATATGTAAGCGAAACGAGGAAATAAAGAAAGCCCAAGAAGACTATGATCGTTATATCCAGGAAAACCTTAAGAAAGCAGCTATGAAAAGGCTCTCCGATGAAGAAAGGGAGGCAGTTTTGCAGGTGTGTGTTCTGCCATTTACATTCATCTGTAACTCTTTGGATCATCTCTGAAAGAAAGGTGTACCATCACTTTGATGATTAAAGTCAGCACTTGGATTTTGAAATCAGAACAATCTCTTTGGGTTACAGTTAAAAACTACATACAGCAAAGCTGACTCTTTGGAGAGAGCAAAAAGTTGTGATATAGGGATTCATTTAATAATATTTTATTTCCAATTTGGTGAACTGTTTTTTTCCTGAACTAGTGTTGTAAGGAAGCCTACCTTCCTCTACAACGAACATGCATGAAATGAAGCAAATAAAGCATTTTTATTTTCATTTTTATGCCCCTGAGTTTGTGAAAAATAATATTCATAAATTAGATATTTTTCACTAGATGGAGCTCTAGAATAATTGAAACTGTCCTTAAAACAACTTTTTTTCCTTTCCTATAAGGCAAATGTCCAAAATTTTAAATAAACAGGTGCTAGGTTTCACATATGTTTTTCTTGTTTTTAATTACATAGACTTAAAGATATATTTATATTGGATTTTTTAATGCAGGGCTTTTATCTGAAGCATTTAAAATATTAGGGGGTGTAAGAGTTTCTGCTTCATCATTTGTATGAGCGTTTAATTAAACACCTCTTTGTACTTTTTATAGTCATACTGTCTCTTATAGAGGCAGAAATAATACTTAATTCTTTGTTTATTTTTCATTTTGAAAGCATCCCACGAAGCCATTTCTAGTTTATTATTAATCTCTGTTGAAAAATGGATTCATATGCTGTTACAACTTCTGAACATTTTATCAATGTCATCATAATCATCAATAAACATTTCTTAAATGCTAAACCCTGAGGATATTTTAAAAGGCATAAGATTTTTTAAAATATCTGCAGTGGAGTATTGTGCAATTTAATTAGTGAGAGGTACTATGGATCTATGTACATGTATAGATGTGAATATGTGTATGTGTGCAGCTCTTAAGTTTCATAAGGTTCCAAGGCACTAGTCACCCCTGGAGGATTGTAGATCGTTAGCTGGGCCTGAAAATGTAGAGTGACGGCATGTCCCAGACAGTAGGAGTGGCTCAAAGGCAAGGACGGTGTCTCTTTGCTGACAGCAGCATCCCCAGTGCCTAGCACAGTGCCCAGTGAAAACGCAGATGTTCAGAAATGGTCTGCTGCAAAGGAGGAAGGCAGACAGGCAGGAAGGAAGGCTGGCAGACATGGAAGTGAGAATTGGCATGTCATTTTCAGGGAGAGTTCTCGTCTGTGGCCCATTCTGTCTCTCTCATTTGGATTTTCCCATTTTCAGAAAGTACGTGCCTTTGTGAAAGCCAGGTTTTTACACCTAAATGATGCTGAAAAATAAGAATATGACAAAGAACTTAGAAGTGACAGGTCCTTCCCTTCTGTGTCTTTTTGGCTGTAGGAGATAAGCAGCCCTCAGCTTCCCATTACGGTCGCTACAGAGTTACCCTTTGATGTGATGATAGCAAATCATCCACTGGACGCCTTATGAGCCAGGGAGCAGAGCTGCCATAGTAACAAAGCCACCGGCTGGCCTCCTGACGAGCCCTGAGCCACACTTCCTTCCCTAGGCAAGAGTTGCATGTAGTTCGATGACAATCTGGTTGTATGTCCCTGAGTAAGCCACATTCTGCTCATTCTTCATAAAATAACAGTCTCATTATACCTGGACAGGATCATCTGGTCTAGTGATTCCAAACTTCTCATTTTTAAAATGAGGAATATATATATATATATATATATATATATATATATATATATATATATATATATATATATATATACATATGCTGTGTCACTCTACATTTTCAGGCCAGCTAAAGATCTATAATCCTCCAGTGGTGACTAGTGCATTGGAACCTTATGAAACTGAGGAGCTGCACACAGACACACATTCATATCTCTACATGTACATAGATCCGTAGTTCCTCTCACCAATTAAATTGCAAAATTCTCTATTTATACGTATTTTATATATAAATAAATTATATATAACATATGTACAATATAAAAAATAAATTTTACTTATATATAAATATATATACACATATATAAATATATACACATATATACATATATAAATATATATACACATATATAAATATATATATACACATATATAAATATATATACACACATATAAATATATATACATATATAAATATATATACACATATATATAAATATATATATACACATATATATATATATATACATTTTTTTTTGAGATGAAGTCTTGCTCTGTCACCCAGGCTGAAGTGCAGTGGCATGATCTTGGCTCATTGCAACCTCCACCTCTCAAGTTCAAATGATTCTCATGCCTCAGCCTCCCGAGTAGCTGAAACTACAGGCATGCACCACCACGCCCACCTAATTTTTTTGTATTTTTTAGTAAAGATGGGGTTTCGCTGTGTTGCCCAGGCTGGTCTTAAACTCCTGGCCTCAGGTGATCCACCCGCCTTGGCTTCCCAAAGTGCTAGGATTACAGGCGTGAGCCAATCTGCCCAGCCGTTAATACAAATACATTGTGGGCCCCTTTGTTCATTCATTTATTTATTGAATATCTAGTGTGTTCCAGCCAGAGGGATACTGTACAGAGCAAAATAAACACAGTCCTCAGTGTCAGTGAACTTAGAGTTTGATTTTCATTTCTCTTTGGTCACAAAACTATCAAGTACATCAATAGGGACTAAAACTCATTTACCAATTGCCAGGCTGGTGTTTCCCCCACTACAGAACACATACTTGCAGAGGAGGTAACAAAGGGAGGCTACTTCAGTCAGGGCTCCAGCAGGAAATCGAAGGCACACTCAGCTAGGACTTGGAAGAGAATTTATGTTTGTTTATTTTATGTATTTATTTGAGACAGTCTTGCTCTGTTGCCTAGGCTGGAGTGCAGTGGCACAATCACGGCTCACTGCTAGCTGGGATACCACCATGCCTGGCTGATTTTTTTTTATTTCATTTTTTTATTTTTAGAGAGGGAGTCTGACTATGTTGCCCAGGCTGGTCTCAAATTCCTGGCCTCAAGCAATCCTCCTCCCTCAGCCTCTCAAAGTGTTGGGATTGCAGGCATGAGCAGTGGCCACTGAAGAGAATTTATGAAGGAATTATTGACAGAAGTGAAGTAGGGTTAAGGGAACCAACAAGAAGCACTGAGGCACCCCAGGAGCAGGGACAGTAGGAATTTACCACCACCTACGCTTGAAAGGCAGCAGGCACAAGAAGCAGTGTTGTCAGAATCCAGTGAGAGCTGGAGCTGGGCTGAGGGTCATAGTCACAGATGAATGCAGCTAGAACCCATGTCTAGACTGTCCTAGGAGAGGAGGAGAAATGCCCCAACCTCACTCTCCACCCTCCAGGGCCTTCTGTGGCTGAACTCAGGCCAGAGGGCGAAAGAGCTGGGAGCACCCCACAAGGTGGAGAATGTTTGGGGGTGGGCGAGGGTGCAAAAGGAGCATGAAACTGAAAACTTCTTATTATAAGATCACTTCTCCCTGTCTGAATTTTTTCCAAAATGAACGATATTATTTCAGCTTTAAAATAGAAGAGAGGAAAATTAAGAATTAACAATAAGGGAAAATCACTATTGCTGCAACACATGAAGTATCTTTTTAGATGAAATAATGAAAAAACCTCTTAAAGTCAGCACGTAGCGTATTTCAATATAATATGAAATATTAGCTACATTTAGTTTCCATCCCTGGCTGTTGACTTTGATCCAAACGTTATTGTACACACTGGAAGATAAAAGCAAACTATCCTTTAAAAGAAAATACAGAGAAAAACTGTAGCTGCTGTGACTGCAAGTAATATGGAAACATCACCCAACTAGCTATGAAAAACCTTTGATATCCGCAAATGTACAAATACATAGACTTCCTCTCTGCAATAGCCACTCCTGTGGAGCACTGTGGGAACCTCTTTCACATTTCATAATGAAAGGCTGTGGAGAAATAGAATTCTTTTGAGGGCTTCTTTTTGGAATACATCGCATACACTGTCAAGAACTGTGTAGCCTCCTCTTTTTAAAATTTAACCTGGATACTTTTTCTTCTATCCTTTCCCTTTCCCAGATCCTTAGCTCACTCAAGAAGGCCTCATAATTTGTTGCCCTTTTCCCCAACCAACCTCTTCTATACAGTGTGCCCTGACCTGTCATCATCCCTTTTATCTAAGCATGGAAATAAATCAGTGAAATTGTATTGTCCCTGAAAGTTTCTACAAGATTAAATTTGTACAAGAGCTTACTATGACAGCATAATTATATAAGACACTTGTAATCCTCTTTTACACCTAAATGTATGGCCATAGTTTTCAAAGACCATGTTTTCAAGGCAGTATTTTAAGTTTTGGAGTTTTGGTTTTGTTTTTGTTTTCAGGCAGGGTCTCTGCTCTGTTGTTTCAGGCTGGAGTGCAGTGGCGCAATCATCGCTCACTGCAGCCTCAACCTCCTGAGCTCAGGTGATCCTCCCACCTCAGCCTCTCAGGTAGCTGGGACTACAGGCCCATGCTACCACACCTGGCTATTTTTTGTATTTTTTGTAGCGACAGGGTTTTGCCATGTTGCCCACACTGGTCTCGAACTCCTGGGCTCAAGCAATTCACCTGTCAAGGCAGTATCTTAAATTGCACTTTCTGTTTTGCTTTTGTGTAAATAAAATAATCTATGTGCCCATAATGAATAATTAAAAAGTGTTGACTTATAAAATTTCATTGAATTAATTTAATTACTAGTTTAAGACCATTTTGTCTGTGGAGCCCATAGGGCACTGTGATAAAAAAATGATAATTATGCAGAAACAGAAATAACTTTTATTGCTCCTAAGAGATCCCTAATTTTGAATTTGTTGATTTCTGAGAATAGAAACTGTTAGCTACATTATTGAATTAGCATGTGTGTTACATTTAATGACCTTTCAATCATTTATAGAATACATTAATGGGAACTGTAGATCCCTTGACTATATGGAGGGCAATTGGTTCTTTCTAATATATTGAAAGGACACTTAGAAGATCATCTTTTGTACAAGTGAATTTTGGCAATTTTACAATCCCATTTGTTAGATATAAGAAAATATAGCCATCCACATCAGAATTAGGTCTTTTATGTGATTTGTCTGTTGAAGAATGAGGATAAAAAATAAAATTTTACAAAACAATTTTCTGTTCAAAAATGTTTTTGACTCGAGGATATCATTCTAAGTTGTTTTTTACCCATGCATTTGCTGTGAGCTTTAGCTTCACACTACTCATAACTCTGCGTGTACATTTTTGATGGTAAAAACAAGTACAGTAACAACAAAAGCAGAGCAAACAAATACTCCCAGTGGGAACTGAGCACACAGTCAAGGATGGGATTTGGCCTCTGTACAGTATTTTTGGTTACCGTGGCCAAGTACTTGATAAATACATTTCATTTTAGAAGTTATTTTTGTCAGTTTCTTTTACTTATTGACATTTTTCATTACCAATTAGCTTTTCCCATTTCCTTTACTTTTGCAGTTTGCTTTGGTATTTACAAGTTTCTTGACCATTTGCAGGGGCTGAAAAAGAACTGGGAAGAGGTGCATAAAGAATTCCAGTCCCTCTCGGTCTTTATAGATTCTATACCAAAGAAGATCCGCAAGCAGAGGCTGGAAGAAGAAATGAAACAACTAGAACACGACATTGGCATAATTGAAAAGCACAAGATTATTTATATTGCCAATAAGTAAGAATGGATCTTTAAAGTATAACAATTTCAATGTAGGGGAAAAAAACATGGAAAATATAAAAAACTCCAAGTTTTTCAAAAAGGAAAATACTATGAAGAGAATAAAAATAGTCTTAATCAGAATGCTTAGGCAATATGCAAAGAATAATTGAGTTATTCACTTACACAAGAAGAAATTTTGTTTTTACTAGTGTCACGTTTTCCACATATAAACTATTAAATTTGAGAATATGTGTTCCAGTTCCACAATGTAATTCATTATTATTATGTACTTGTTTCACATAAACATTAATTTCTAGGTCCTGAAAAATAAAGTCAGCACTCAGAACTTCACTTTTTTTTTTTTTTTTCTGCAGCGCATGATACCAACAGCACAACTTTGAAAACTGTTAAGTATTTTGAACTGGAAATAGTAACACGTGCCTTCTTGCTACTCTAAACTGTCTCCAACACATTGTTTCTGAGCTCCACAAATGCAAAAGATGTATTTTCCTGTGGCCCATGACATTTGCAGTTATTCCCAGTGAGAAATATTTTCAGTATTCGTAACACTGTATATGATGAAAGGCTTCTATTTGGAGGAAGAAAAATTAAGAAGACAACTTACAAAATCAAGATGACAACTTATAAAGGCATCATTGAGGATGATTAAGGAGAATAGCCTCCTTTCTAGCATACCAACCTCGATACTCTTATTTTATTCCACAACTCACTATGCATATCTTATTTAAATGTTTTTTTCCTTTTGGTCCTTTCTACTTATCTATTTTGTGAATTCTAAAGTTACATTTGTAAGATTACATAATCTATTAAGCAATAAGTTTATGTTAGTAGAGCTGTTTTCAACCCAAAAATAAGAAAAAATAGCTCTAAATATCTAAAAGGAAAAGGTTATTTTATGAAATTTTAAATTAGAAAAATTTGGTAAAATATATGCAACTATAAAATATCAGAGAAATAACAATTTCTACTGCTTACACTGGTTTTTATCCTCTGGACAACATAAAAAACAAAATATGGGAGTCTTTCAGGCTTTTTTCACAAACACAGAATTTGGAAGCCTTATAGAAAAGCTTATTTTGGTTACTTAAAGAAAAGTAGTTTATATACAATTATTTTTTGAAAATTCACTTGAAACTTGTCCATATGAGTATCTTTATTCCTTTATTAACTTAGGGCAGATATAAAATAAAGGATAATATATGACAAATTCTCACTTACCAAGAATGGTTGGTTGCTATTTAGGGTAGGCTAACAGCTGTGACAGTACACTCCAAAATGTATAATTACGTAAACACATATTCAATTCTTGCTAACATAGCAGTACTTTGCTGTGAGCAGGTCAGCAGGAACCCTTTTCTGCAGTCACTCAGGGACCCAGACTTACAGAGTGGGTAGGATGCATCTGATCCAGAGTTAGGGAGAGGCACGTACAGGCCAGGCCTAGAAATGATGCATATCATTCCCGTTTGCATCGCTAAGTAAGCAACTTAAGTTGCTTTAACAAACTAACTCCAAATCTCAGTTTCCTGATAAAGATACATTTTTCATTTACATCACTGTGCAATGTGACTAAGGGTAGGGGTATAAGTCTGTTCCATGCAGTCACTCAGGGACCCAGTCTCCTTTTGTCTGGTGACTCTGTTGATCCAGGCAGTCTTTCTCTGCCAATTCAGGATGAGATGTTTAGGTAAGTATTTTATTTGTGAAATGATTGCTATACATACTCATTTTTAAATAATTCAAAATCAGTAGCAATGCAAAAATATTCTGATTACTTTAGCCTTATGGATATTATGCTTTGAAGTCATGAGTGGGAGTTGCCTTAAATGTTAAAATGAAAACTTTGTGGTTTTAACAGCTAATTCTTTTGCTTTCTGTAAATGTCTACTAAAGAATCTAGACTTTTCTCTATGGTCTACAGTGTTGTCCTAGATGAACATTGTTGCCTTTCTTTCACAGAGCCTTCAGAGGGAAACATTCCCATCCATTGTTCCTGGAAAGGTGATCCCTACCACGGGATCCCAAACTTGGATAGAGCCAGTTCAACCTCCCCCAATCCATACACATACATACCTAGGTCATCCTATCACCCAAAAGAGGGACAAACATCTGACTTGGACAGCTGACCAGTGACTGATCAGATTCTCTCTCTCTTGAGAGCATGAATTAAGAGACATGGAGACTGCAGTCACTTGGGAGTAGACACCTGAAACTAAAAAGTCAAACTTCATTATGCAGCTAGTTTGACTTGGTTTCTCTTCCTGTTCAAAGGAAGAATGGGTAGAATAAAGATTTGATGTGGTCTGGCCCCTTGTCTATGATCTTTTTAGCTTGATTTCTTGAAATGCTGCTTCTTCCCTACCCACTGTAACTGGCATTCCCATAGTACTGAGGTACTAGAGACCTCTGAGATCTGCACACATGGTTCCCTCCACCCAGAAAACTGCCCTTTTCTTTCTCTCATCCTACATAGCTGCCTGGCAAATCCCTAGTCTTCATCAGCTCACATCACATTTCCATGACAATCCCCTTTGATTCCTCAGAATCTGGCCTTCCTTTATAGCACTGGTCATATTGTATTGTGCATATCTGGTTATTTGCCTGTTTTCCATGAACATTTCAAGCTTATGGGGGAGAAGACACTGTATACATTTTCATCTGCATTCCTTAGAATCTGCATAACAGCTGGTATAGAGAAGGTACTCAAAAAATCCTTAATGAATAAAGTAATGGATCGTACCCAAACATGTATTTTAATGATCTCTTGATATTATTATCATGACATAAGTCAGACTTGGAGGATAGAGAATTTGACTGCTAAACAAACCAGTTGATTCCATACCAATCAGTTAGTACAAAATCAAGGTAGAAGGAGGCAATTTCACGTGGTGCTTAAGATCTCAAGTACTAAAGTCAGGTAGGCTCTGGTTTGCATTCCAGCTCAGCTGCTTACTAAGTATGCTACATAACCTTTCTAAGCCATGTTTTCCTTTTCTGTAAATGGGATTGCTAAACCATTCCATGATCTGTAGAGTTATGAGAATGAATGGAACAATACGTGCGTAACAGCATAGTTCCTGGCGCGTAGAAAGACAACTTAATACTATGACTTATTATTAAGAGCTCTCAATTCCATAGTCCTTTTGTCCAGTTGGTGCTAGGCCCATTAACATACCATCAATAGAATTTCCCACACCCATAAAATCTGGTTGCAGGAGAGGACTTGTTTGAACCACTTAGAAGTTCCAGCCTGAGATTAGCCTAGCCTGGTTAATCTCTTCAGTGGCCCACAAAAATGATAACTATATTTGGTAACTTTTATCTCTAGTAACTGGCAAAAATTTGGCAATACTTCCTAAGTTACTCAGCACAGGCATTCAAAAAGAAAGATAAGCTTAAATCAGTAATGATGCCAGAGAGTCACTGAGGAGAAAGGTCTGCAAGGTTGTGTCCAACAAAGCCTCATGGGTGATATTTATTAGTGAATTAATGTGGCCCAGGACCTGACCTGAGGGCCCATGCGTCACTGTTCTCAGGAACTCAGAGTCAGATGCACATGAATTAAAGTCTATGTGAGCCTGAGTTATTGCCTGGACATCGATTTTTAAATTAAGAAATACCTCTCAGCTAAATAAATCCCCATAATCAGTGCATTCTGTCCCAGTTGTCAAACTATGTGGGAAGATAAATCATAATCAAAAGGTACTTTGGGCCAGGTGCGGTGGCTCACGCCTGTAATCCCAGACTTTGGGAGGCTGAGGTGGGTGGATCACTTGAGGTCAGGAGTTCGAGACCAGCCTGGCCAACGTGGTGAAACACTGTTTCACTGTACTAAAAATACAAAACTTAGCTGGGTATGGTGGCATGCATCTATAGTCCCAGCTACTCAGGAGGCTGAGGCAGGAGAATTGCTTGAACTTGGGAGGCAAAGGTTGCAGTGAACCAAGATGGCGCCACTGCACTCCAGCCTGGGTGACAGAGGGAGACTCTATCTTGAACAAACAAACAAACAAACAAAAAACACCCAACAGGTACTTTGGCTAAAACAGAGTCAAGAGAAAAAAAATTTATTTTATCAAAAGCCTGTCAGCTGACATAGCTCTCTCATTGTCATTCAACCCATATTGACTATCTGCCATGTGCCAAGAACTGTTCTAGTTGCTGGGCATATAATAGTGAACAAAACAGCTATGTTGGGAAGACAGAAATAATCACACAAATATAATGCATTTATAATTAGAAATTGAAATTAGTGTTTTGGAAGAAAAAAAACAGGATGCTATGCAAGAGAATACCAAGGGAATCCTAAATCAGATTTTGTAGGATCTGACATTTTAAATGAGACTGAAGAATTAGTGGAAGTTGGAAAAAGTTGAGAAGAAGAAAAGGGTTGCAGAGGGGAAAGAACTCCAAGCAGAGAGAGAAGAATGTGTGAAGGATCTGGGGCAGGAAACCCTTGACGGATAGGCAAGGCATCCATGGGGCTGGGGTGAACTTAGAAAAGGGCAGAAAGGTGCAAGCTGAAGATGAGGAGGAAATCAGGCACCACTGATGCGTTTTAAGCAGAGAGGTGGCACGAGGCAATCAGTATTTGTAAATTATCATTCGCTACGTGGACTGAAGTGGAAGATCAGATGAGCATGGGGAGATTAGTTAGTGGACTAGTTGGTAAAGAAGATAGTGGCACAGATCAAGGTTGTAGCAGTGCAGACAAAGAGTAGCTGTTGGCTTCAAGAAATATTTAAGAGGTAAAAATATAACTTGGTGATGGATTGAACGGGGGAAGAGGGAGGTTTCAAAATTTACAACCAAATTCTGATTTGAGCAGCCAGGCAGTGGGGAGGCGGGGGCGGGGCCGCCATTTTCTGAACTGGGGAAACCTAGGGCAGGAGCAGTTTAAGAGAAGATATGGTGAAGAGATCAAGAATATGATTTTAAACATGTTAGGCTTATGAAAATTGTGGCATCTAGTTGGAAATTTAGATCAAGAGATGGAAAGATAGATTGAAAGAGTGAGAGATTTGGATCAAAGGAGATGTGGGGTAGACCTTTATGTTTGGAGATTCATCAGTGTGAATGAGATCACCTTGGGACAAAGTGAGAAGGCAATGAATAAGCTCTCAGCAACTGCCATTTAGAGGTAAGGTGGGAGAGAAGGAGTCAGTAAATGAAAGGCCAAAACAATGAAAGTTTAGTGTCCAGAGAGGTCAAAAGAAAACCAGGAAGCCAAGAAAATTCAAGAAAGGAGCACCTTTTCCCTAAAGTAGATCCTTGACAATGGGAATGACATTCTCAACACCCTGGCCAAGACTTTCTCCTGACTCTGAGTAGGACACAGGTCAACATCTACACTGGCACCTGGCCTCTGTTGCATTGTTTGTAGTCTAAACTCTTCCATTGAATCCTTTTCTCTTTCTAGATATGTTAATGCCATTAATACCAGCCACAACATTAGCATTGGACCCACTATGCTTATTAACACAGTCCACAGTAATACAGTTTGAATACCAAATTGAAGGAAACTTTTCAAAAGGTCAAGGAAATTTTTCGGCAGTTAAGGAAGCCAATGCTGGTGAACATCATATGTAACTCTCAAGAGAACAACCTAATTTCGCTCCTTTCCAAGTTCTTAGTAAACCTCAGGTGATTTATTCGTAAACACTGGTTACTCCAAGTAAGAGACAAACACAGATCGGGGGAAGAAAAGAGCAAAATAATTTTTCTGGAGGATTAGTTTCTTTCTGCTGAAATGTGCTATGGTTTAAAAAATCAGCAGGTCTGACTGACAGCAAGTTATGTAACTTTTGGAAAATCACTTAGTGAGCCTCAGCCTTATTTTCCTTATCTGTAATACAAAGAAACAGAACCAGATTTTGTCCAACCCTCCTTCCAGTCCTAATGGTCTATAACTATAAAACTCTAAGACTATTTCAAGTTACTGCAAACAAGAGTTTGGTCTCCAAACTGATCGGAATGCAGGAAAGCGCTGGCGGATACAGAACCAATGATTTGCACCAACACATATCAACCCAAGAACATCATTTGACAAGCTAGAAAGAATGATAAGTAAAACAAAAATTGTCACTAATTTTTCAATCTTTTCAAATGAAAGCTTCCTTAACAACAGTCCTTTGAGGTTTTCAACCACAGAGTGTTCGTCTTCTAAGGACTTTAAATACATGGTCTCTCTAGGAAGCCAGTGCTATTATTTATAAAGAGAGAGAGAGAGAGAAGGAGAAGAAAAGAAGACAGAGAAAGAGAGGGAAAGAGAGAGAGAGGAGAGAGAGAGAGAGAGGACAGGAGAGAGAGGAGAGAGGGAGAAGGATGGGAGAAGAAAAGTAAAAAAAAAGGAATGACATGTGTTCTTTTATCTAGAATGAGAGTTTCCAATGATAGAAGAACATTCTATGCTCTTAGGACAATGTCTGAGGCCACCAACAAAAAAAAAACTATGTGTTCATAATTTTAAAAATTGTGGAGCGAAGCCAAAGGGAATAGCATTTTTTTGTCTTTCTACATAATGTGCTTGATGAAAAAGAACTGAAGTTAGCAACAGAGTAAGTGAATACCAATTATACCTGCAAACTGAAAGATAGTGTTTCACAGGACTGGTGTAAAAAGGCCATGCACATACTAATTTTTAAAACTGCACACGCAGATATAGCCTTTAGATGTAGATTTTTTATTCTAAACGAGGTGCCTATATAGGAAACAAGAATAGATGGGTAGTATATTTTTTTGTTAAAACTGCTTTACCTTAGGCACTCAAGTCAGTGATGTCTGTGAAGCAAGAACATAAACTTATCTAAATGATATTGCTGATGTGAAAAACATCTGTGGAATTCTTTTGGAATACAAAATATCCATCCCATTCCTGAACTTCTGCTACCAAGTTCTCCTTTCCTGAGACAACTAATGTTATCAATTTTTAATGTAACTTTTCTATAAATATTGTATAAAAACAAATGCATATATATACACACATACATAATAATTACATACACACATATGTATATTCCTCTCACTTTTTAAAATTTAAATGAGAACATGCAATAACATTTGCCTTTTTCAGTTAGTAATGCTGTAAAGCTCATTTTTTTATTAATACATATTCTTCATTCCTTTTTGTGGATACATGGTGTTGAACTGTGTAGGCGTATATAATAAACTTCACCAGTACCCTATTGATGGACATCTAAATTGTTTTCATATTTCCTATTAAAAGCAATGTTGCAGTGAATGAGCTTGAAAATTGCACTTGTTGATTGTATTAGGAACTATTTTTTACTTTGCTGTTTTTGCCTGTGTGTGATTAGGTAATGTATATACCTGACCTAAAATGTATAATTTACTCAAAGGTAAGTAGGAAGAAGACATCTTTCTCGTGTCCCTTTCACATAAGCAACCACTATGACCAACTTCTTATTGTTCTAAATGTATACATTCTATTCATATAAGTATCCATAGTATGAAAATAATTATACATATATCTATAGAAGAATTACACCTATTTGACAGATACTTGGTTTTCTTCTGTCACAGCCTACAGAGATCAGAAGACTTGTCATAAAAGGCATCATGTATGAATGTAAGCCTTTATGTTAGGAATAGCTTTTTTATTATTTCACTCTTTATCAACCACACACCATCAATATTGTGGATCTCATTAAGAAAGCAATGCTTTCATTGATTTTTAATGCCTATGTTTTTATTCTGGATGGAAGAGGGGCTATGGATATGGGACACTCCCTTCCCTGTCCTTGGCCTCACTGTGTTGAATTTTCCAATTTGGATTCATTGGTAAATTCATTGGTTTAATCTGGATAAATGCTTTAAAACAAATTCCCTGGCTTTTTTGCAGAATTATTGAGATGACAGGCAGCTGGCACCCACTTAGTAAGATGATGTTCAGTACTAACTAGTAAGAATGCTTTATAGCCAGGTGTGGTGGCTCACACCTGTAACCCCAGCACTTTGGGAGGCCGAGGCAGGTGGATCATCTGAGGTCAGGAGTTCAAGACCAGCCTGGCCAACATGGTGAAAACCCTGTCTCTACTAAAAACACACAAAAAATTAGCTGGGTGTGGTGGCAGGCACCTGTAATCCCAGCTACTTGGGAGGCTGAGGCAGGAGAATCACTTGAACCCAGGAGGCGGAGGTTGCAGTGAGCCAAGACCATGCCATTGCACTCCAGCCTGGACAACAAGAATGAAACTCAGTCTCAAAAAAAAACAAAAGAAAAAGAAAAAAGAATGCTTTATAGGTATAGATGATATAAACAGTGAGATAGACGAGTTAGGCTGCAAATTTTAACATTGCAACCATGTGAGTCCTGCTTTCATTATCCCAGTGGTGAGGTCTGCATTGGGTTTGCTGCTTCCTATGTTTTGTGTTTTTCTCTTTCTTGATTGTATTTTTCCAGTGCTGAGAGTCTACTTGTTTATTAACTCTAGATTGCAGGCTGCATGCAGAGAGACCCTCCCTTCACACACAATAAAATCTCCACTATGCAGTTACGTCTCTCCATGCAAACTGTACACTTCTCGCCTGAGTCCTTCTCTTCCATATGATCTTGCTAAAGGTACTTAGGAGCAGTCGTTCTAACCCACCACAATATTCTGAGTTTTTCCAATCAGTCTCCCAGGAAGGGGTAGAAAGGCATGTGGCTTCCCTTCTGTGACAGTGCATGTGACAATTTTACCAAATGGTTTGCCATGGAATAACAAGGTCAACAGCTTTACAGCCTGCCTAACAATCTTTCCCATCACTTAGATGTCACTTTATTCAATGACTATCATGAAGAATCAAATTATGATCCTTTCTAAGATGTGGAAATTCTATCAAGTCTTATCTTTCATAGGATTCTGTGCCAAACATTCAATGTAGCTATTGTATTACCTAAGTAGACATCTGTATTAGTTCGTTTTCACACTGCCATAAAGATACTACCCAAGATTGGCTAATTTATAAAGTGAAGAGGTTTAATTGACTCACAGTTCCACATGGCTGGGGAGGCCTCAGGAAACTTACAATCATGGTGGAAGGGAAAGCAGGAACATCTTACATGGTGGCAGGTGAGAGAGCGTGTGTAGGAAACAAAAGGGGAAGAGCCCCTTATAAAACCATGAGATCTCACGAGAACTCACTATCATGAGAACAGGATAACAGCATGGGGGAAAGCATTCCCATGATTTAATCACCTCCCTCCCGTCAGTCTCTCCCTCAACACCTGGAGATTACAATTCAAGATGAGATTTGGGTGGGGACACAAAGCCTAACCATATCAACAACATAACCACAGTTTGCTATCGTGTGCTCAGGGCCACTATTCACCACTAGAGTTAATCAAGACAAAGTTAACTGTCCAATTCAAGTTTCTTTCAAGCAAGCAAAACAAAAAACAGAAGGACCCAGCAGCTGTCTACTTTCCTTTCTATCCCCTGACTTTTCTGAGGCCAATACTGAGGACAAACCTTAATCTTGTGCAATTCCCACCCTTGAGCTGTGCTGTTTTGGACTAACGTAGGTTTCTTTTATCTTTATTGGCTTTGAGAATGCAGTTCATTTTTTTTTTCTGAATAAGCTCGATGGCTCAACACAGCCAGCAGGCTTAGGCTTTAGGCCCAGAGCACCCTGGAGGCCACATGTGGTTTAATCTGGACAAATGCTTTAAAACAAATTCCCTGGCTTTTTTTCAGAATTATTGAGATGACAGGCAGCTGCCACCCACTTAGTAAGATGATGTCCAGCACTAACTAGCAAGAATGCTTTATAGGTATAGATGGTATAAACAGTGGGATGGATGAGTTAGGCTGCAAATTTTAACATTATCTTAGAATTTGGATCACCACCTCACTGTACCATTAAATTGCTGTAATTCTTTTGTAATGTACCCAAAACGTTATTAAAGATAGCTTTGGCACACCCTTTATGGAATAAAATGCAGTTGTAAATCCTGAAAGTCTGTTTTTTCTAAGAATATTTTATAACATAAAAATAAAATAATGTGCCAAGATTCTAAATCTTCAAAATTTCTAGTTATTTCGGTATTAACCAAGCAAGCTGATGACAACTGACCATTATATTTTTTATAAAGTGAGAAAAAAAGTTTTCAAAAAGCAAAAATATAAGCCAAATGCCTTAATCAGAATAATCCACTTTGTAAAATCTGCATTGTTATATTGTCATTTAGTCTTATGTTCCCAGCATTATCTCATAAGATGTATTTAAATAGTATCTGGCATTGATTCTTCATAAGACGTCTACTTTCTTTAAGAACTGTTGTGTTTTTCATGTAAATACAATTAAAGTATAGTGAGTGAATTTTCAGACTGGTATTTTATTATTCCCGACTGATATTTTATTATTACAATCCCCTTAATACACATATTGGGGCTAATTTTCTTACAATAGATTTTTAAACTATATAGAAATTGTTAGATTTTTTTTTAAAAATCACATCAGAATTCAAGCGTTCTAGACAATTTATTCAAATGTTTAAAAGAAAACAAATTCTAAAATTATTAAATTTACTAATATTTTTCTGAGGATCTTATGGTGTTTGATTTCTGCCCCATTCTCATCTCATTGAACTTCTGCTCTCCTATAATATGTTCTAATATCATACTGTGCTTATTCAATTTTTTTTACATGTCTGTATATCATTAAACCTAAAATGTCATGGTAAAAGATTACAGCCTGTAATCCTAGCACCTTGGGAGGCCGAGGTGGGTGGATCACCTGAGGTCAGGAGTTTGAGTCCAGCCTGGCGAAAATGGTGAAACTCTGTCTCTACTAAAAATACAAAAATTAGCCGGGCGTGGTGGCGAACGCCTGTAATCCCAGCTACTCAGGGGGCTGAGGCAGGAGAATCACATGAACCCAGGGAGCGGAGGTTGCAGTGAGCTGAGATCATGCCACTTCACTCCAGCCTGGGCGAAAGAGGGAGACTCTGTCTCAAAAGAAAAAAATGAGTTATCATTATCTTAAATCAAAGGAAAAAAAAACCTCTAACAATTAATTGTCATAATGTTTCCTTCTCTCTTCGAATTTTATACTTGCTGAAACAGCCCTTTTCAACTTAAGATACAATTTTTTTCATGTATTCTTATAATTTTTTTCATGTATTCTCATAAAAAGATTAAGGATAAGGTACAGTGGTACAGTAGTCCTCCTGTATCTGTGGTTTCAGTTTCTGCAGTTTTAGTTACCTGTGGTCAACATGGTTAGAAAATATTAAATGGAAAATTCCAGAAATAGCAATCCATATGTTTTAAACTGCATGCTGTTTTGAGTACTGTGATGAAATCTTGCACCGTCCTGCTCCATCCCACCTGGACCTGAATTGTCCCTTTGTTCAGCAGATCCACACTGTCTACACTCCCTGCCCATCTAGTAGCACTTAGCGGTCTCACTTAGTCGACGAGGCTGTCAGATTGACTGTTATGGTATCACAGTGCTTGGGTTCAACTCTCAATTCACCCTCATTTTACTTCATAATGTCTCCAAAGTGCAGGAGTAGTGCTGCTGGCAAGTCGGATATGCCAAAGCAAAGCCATAAAGTGCTTCCTTTAAGTGAAATGGTGAAAGTTATGGACTTAATAAGGAAAGAAAAAGAAATTGTATGCAGAGGTTGCTAAGATCTATGCTAAGAATGAATGTTCTATCTGTGAAATTGTGAACACCTTGTTGTTTTAATTGTTCTATTTTATTATTAGTGGCTGCTCATTTCTTATGTGCCTAATTTATAATTTAAAGCTTAATTTAGATATGTACAGAAAAAAATATGTAGTATATAAAGGGTTGAGTACTATCTGCAGTTTCAGGCATTCACTGGGGGTCTTAGAATGTATTCCCTGCTGATAAGGGGGACTGCTGTAATCCTAAAATATCCTTATATTCATAGCTGGACTTATCTTGATCACTTTCCTCTCACAATTGTCAGTGTCCATATTTTACCATATTTTCTGCACTGTCAGGAATGTTGCAACTTTTCACACAAGAGGACTCCAGCATTGTCTCTGGGATTTTATTCCAAGCTACCAACTCCTCATCTGCATTTTGATATTGGTCTTTCCTCCTAAGACAATCACTTCCTTCAACTAATATCAAATTCTGCCACTCTGCTCAGTTTTGGCATCTTTCTGTACACATAAAAATGTTTCCTTTCCCAGGACAAATAGTAGTGCAATTATTATTATTATTATTTATTTTTTTTTTTTTGAGACAGAGTCTTGCTCTCTCACCCAGACTGGAGTGCAGTGGCAGGGTCTTGGCTCACCACAACCTCCACCTTCCGGGTTCAAATGATTCTCCTGCCTCAGCCTCCCAAGTAGCTGGGATTACAGGCACCCGCCACCACACCTGGCTAATTTTTGTATTTTTAGTAGAGATGGTGTTTCACCATGTTGGCCAGGCTGGTCTCAAACTCCTGACCTCAGGTGATCCGCCTGCCTCAACCTCCCAAAGTGCTGGGATTACAGGCGCGAGCCACCACTCCCGGCCTAGTGTAATCTTTTGTAAAGCTTTTTTTTTTTTTAAGATAGAGTCTTGCTCTGTCACCCAGGCTGGAGTGCAATGGCGCCATCTTGGCTCACTGCAACCTCCACCTCCTGGGTTTAAGTGATTCTCATGCCTCAGCCTCCTGAGTAGCTGGGATTACAGGTGCCCGCTACCACGCCCAGCTAATTTTTTGTATTTTTAGTAGAGACAGGGTTTCACCATGTTGGCCAGGCTGGTCTTGAACTCGTGACCTCAGGTGATCCGCCCGCCTAGGCCTCCCAAAGTACTGAGATTACAGGTGTGAGCCACTGCACCTGGCCAAGACATTTTAAATGTCAGTTAAACCTAACATGCACAGAGCCAACAATAGACAAAACTCAGTTGAAATGACAATAACCAAGTTTGTTCCTCTGTGCATGATGTTGCATACATCACAACTGCCCCCTGGTTGATAGTGACTGTGAAACACCATTGATTTTAGAGATGTTCAAACATGAAAACAGCACATTGTAAGATAAATGGAATATGCTCTTCCACCAAAACATCCCACTGTTTCCTAGATGTTACCTTTTTTAAAATCTGGCTCAAATCCAGCTTATTGTGCAAGCCTTCATAATTAAAACCCCACTTGACACTTGGTATTGCTTACAGAACTCTATGTATCCACTACACAGTGGTATGTCACATTTGTTCCCTTCTTCACAATAAATACTTATGAGCCAGGCTATAAGAATCCTCTTTGATATTGCTTGGGAGGGCTTTCCAGAGAGGAGCTGGGATGATGCCCTCCTAGGAAGTCAGAGCTGAATTAAAAAGCAATGGGTGACCAGGTGCTGTGGTTCACACCTGTAATCACAACACTTTGGGAAGCCTAGATGGAAGGATTGCTTAAGCCCAGGAGTTCAAGACCAGCCTGTGTAACATAGTGGCAACCTGTCTCTACAAAAAATAATTTTAAAAAAATTAGCCAAGTGTAATGGCTTGCACCTGTAGTCCCATCTATTCAGGTGGCTGAGGTGAGAGAATTGCTTGAGCCCAGGGTTTGAGGCTGCAGTGAGCTATGATTGTGCCACTGCACTTTAGCCTTGGTGACAAAGCAAGACCCTGTCTCAAAAAAAAAAAAGCAGTGAGTGTCAAAGTGCCCTCTTTGATGGTTTGTTTAGTAAACACGTAGTTTGGCTGTTGGATGTGCAAACTATTTTTTTGAGACAGAGCCTCACTCTGTCACCCAAGCTGGAGTGCAGTGGCATGTTCTCAGCTCACTGCAGCCTCTGCCTCCTGGGTTCAAGTGATTCTTCTGCCTCAGCCTCCTGAGTAGCTGAGATTACAGGTGGGTGCCACCATGCCTGGCTAATTTTTGTATTTCTAGTAGAGATGGGGTTTCACCGTGTTGGCCAGGCTGGTCTCAAACTCCTGACCTCAGGGGATCCTCCTGCCTAAGCCTCCCAAAGTGCTGGGATTACGGGCGTGAGCCATCGTGCCCGGCCCCAAACTATTTTTTTTTTTTTTATTAATAGAGACAGGATCTCATGCTGTCACCCAGGCTGGAGTGCAGTGGCACAAATATGGTTCACTGCAGCCTTGAACTCCTGGGCTCAAGTGATCCTCCTGCCGCAGCCTCCCAAGTAGCTGGAACTACAGGTGTACACTACCACACCTAGCTAATTTTTAATTTTTTTTTTTTAGAGACAGGTTCTTGCTATGTTGCCCAGGCTAGTCTCCAACTCCTGGCCTCAAGTGATCTTCCTGCCTCTGCCTCCCAAAGTGCTGAGATTACAGGTGTGGGTCACCACACCCTTCCTGGATATGCAAATATCTTAAAGGAAGGATTCTGTCTACAGTTCCTCTCTATCTATCATCTGCCTATTTAAAAGAGTGTGTAAATATGCAGTCAGTTGGATTTGACTCCCAACCAATGCTTAATTTGTGTAGCTTAGACATTTGTGTGGAAATTTATGACAGTGATTACCCTTCCATTTAATGGGGAAAAAAAATTGTTCCTATGGTAACTGTTTCAGAAGAGTGCATACTTACCATACTTCTAAAATATGCAGCCCATCCTATGGGAGTACAGATCATCTTGAAAGGATTTTCCCTCCTTCAATAAACATTGATTTTTCCTCCTCTTCACGTGATTTCAGAATAAAATAAAACTTTGTAAGAATTGCTAAAGAAGAGCTTCAGGAAATGAGAACCATGAATGGGGCTGGCCCCTTGCAGCTCTCATGGGGGAGCAACAACACTGTCCTCAAGTGGTTTCTGGAAACACAAGCTGGTCCCTTCATAGCTGTATTTCTCCCAGACTCTTTTTCTTTTCCGTGTATCATCATGTTTGCTGTGTTTGGGATGTTGCTATGCAAAAGGATATAAAAGAGTGGGTTTTTTCTAAGGCAATCAAGCTTAGCAGATGCAAGTTCAAGATGATGCAAAAGTTTCTTAGAAAAGTTTTAGACTTCCTTAGGGAATGTTATAAGAAATATTCATGATAAGAGAGGATAAATATTGATGAAGGCCTAAAATGTCGTTCCACGTGATAAAATTCATCAGCTACAGGGGCTTTGTAACTATGGACAGCACTTAAGTAGCCGTTTTGAAACTGCTCTTATTTGTATTTTTGCAAACAAAGGGCACCCTCCAACTTTTTTCTTCAAATTCACTGCTCTCTGTGAATTTTTTCCTTTAAAAACTATATCTTACAATCTTATTAAAGCAGAGAAATAAGTACACCAAACTACAGCTTGTAGTATTTGTTAGAAAAGTCAGCATCATGGTCTCCTTTTTCATTTTTTCCATGTTATATGATTTTTTCTTCAGAGCTCACTTATAAAAACAGACCTATTGATTCTGTAGTTCTGTGATGGACATACAGAAAAAGAGTTATGAAACGTTCATAATATCTTAAGTACGTAACACTCATCCTGAGCAAACATGACTTACAGACTCTAAAATTGTGAGTCTTCACAGCCAAAGGAGTAGCATGGGCTTACTTAAGGACTGAAAACATTCATCTTGCTACTTATAAAGTAGTCAAATGTGGCCGGGCGCGGTGGCTCATTCCTGTAATCCCAGCACTTCGACAGGCCGCGGCGGGTGGATCACTTGAGGTCAGGAGTTCCAGACCAGCCTGACCAACATGGTGAAACCTTGTCTTTACTAAAAATACAAGACTTAGCCGGGCATAGTGGCACATACTTGTAATCCCAGCTACTCTGGAGGCTGAGACAGAAGAATCACTTGAACCCGGGAGGCAGAGGTTGCAGTGAGCAGAGGTCACACCAGTGGACTCCAGCCTGGGTGACAGAGCGAGACTCCGTCTCAAGAAAACAACAACAACAACAAAGAAGTCAAATGCAATAGTTGGGAAAATAGAGGCGGAGTGAGTGATCATATGTGATTCGACTTCTGTCTCTCCAAAGGTAGCAAGCTCTGTGTACAACAGAGCCTTGAGTAACATACAGAATACCTAGGTGAAATTATGGGTTTTCGAACAATTGGTCTGCTTTTTTCAACTCACTACAGTGTCTGAAATCCCACCATCAAATCTTTTCAGGCAGTACTGAATTCACTTATCCAAATACGCTAAGGATAGAAAGGCCGCAGCTGAAGGAGTCAGAGGCATACAAAGGAGGAGAAGAGGCAGTGTAGGGGCTGAGAAAAGTCGTGGGTGTGCAGCGGTACTGTGCAAGGCAGGTCTAAGTACGGCACCACTGGAAGGATCTTAGACAACGAAGGATGCTGTCTAACACCCAAGGAGGATGTTAGCTCCTGGATGAGCAAGGGGATGTTGGCACCTGTGAGGTAGAGATGGGTTGAAGATTGGTAGATTCCTATTTTTTAAGGCTGCCTTGTTGGCTAGGCAAGACATTGAATTTGTGCCTTCTTAGGCTTCACGGGCAGGAGCACCTCACAATGGGTAGGCTTACGCTTCGTCTTCCTTGTGCATCAGCCCTGGAGAAGGACTGATGTCAGAGACAAAGGAAAAAGGCAACAGAGAGAGAGTTCTTTCCTCTGGGCCTGGGAAAACCTTGCTCCCTATATTAGAATCAAAAGTAAGAAGGAATGATAGCCCAAGCTCTTACTTGCAGATAGGTTTTCAAAAATCTATCAGGTAATGACATTTCCCACTAATATTTTGCACTCTTTGCAGCATCCCAGTGATGATGTAACTGGTGGCCAGGACTACCAGCAGCCTGTACACACACACACACACACACACACACACACACACACACATCATACACATATATACACACACATCATACATACACACACATCATACACATACACACATATACACACACATCATACACACGTATACACATACATCATACACACATACACACACAAAATACACACACATCATATACATCATACGCACACATCATACAGACATACACACATCATATACATGCACATATACACACATCATACACACATCATACGCACATACATATACACACATCGTGCATATACATACATCATACATACACACATCATACACACATATCACACACGTATACACACATCATACACACATATGGACACATCATACACACACATCATACACACATGTACACACACACGCACATAGGAGTCATTACTATCCAATCAAGGTCATCAAAGGCATAAAGGAGGGTCAGGATTACAGCGAGACTGATGAAAAGTCTCTTGTAAAATTTGTTTGAGGACCTAAACATTGAATTAAGCAAAGAGTAACACAATGAGAACTATAAAGCTTCACTGAAAGAAAGAGAAGAGCTAAAATTCCCCATCCTTCCCCCACTACCTCCATGGTGAGCATTCAGCTCATTTGGGGGTTTATTCTCAGTTGTAAGAGCCAAAGCCTTTCATCATTTCTGGGCAGAACATCCATTAAAGGCAGACCAGGTGGTACCAGCTGCACCTGATGAAAGAAATCACACGGTTTCACTATGTAGAGTAATGACAGAAGAACGGGCAGTCTGGACCAGCTGGATCTGTCTCTGCCACTCTTCAGTGCATGCACGCACACACATGCACACACATGTACATGCACACACACACGCACACACACATACACACATACCAGAAAAAGAAGACTCAGGAGCTCTGAATTCGTGGAGCCCAGAAATTGAACCTGGTACCCATGGAATCTGGAATCTTTCTGGCCTGTTATGATGTGCAAAGCAGCAGACCTTGTTCATAACTGGCAGTAAATCTGCTTATTTAGTTAGGTAAAAAAAAAAATAAATTGTTATGACTTTTCAAAGCCATGAATAGCCAATAAAGTGAAAAACAGACACTACCACATTTTCTTCTCTGTTGTAGTAACAATAGCAAACATATATAGTTCTTACTAGGGTCTGCGTTATTCTAAGTGCTTAATCTAAATTAACTCAGTCCTCATAATAGCCTTATGATGTAGATATGATTATCATCCTCTTTTACTGATAGGGAAATTGAAGCATGGAGAGGTTAGGTAATTGTCCAAGATCTCACCATCAATAATTCATAATAGAGGTGTTGATGGGTGAGAGTGTGGATGCCCATAAATAAAGGAATATACTCAGATGCCTAAAAAGGTACAGGAAGTACTCTTCACTAAGATTTCACTTAATCTCCAGCATCCTTCTTGTACCATATTCCATCCGTTTTAATCCTTACACATGTGGAGTGACACATTCTAACAGAGTGTGATTCCATTAAGAGAATAATGAAAACGGTGTTGGGGCACCAGGCTTGCAGCCCAGGCTGCTCAGTTAATGCTGGAAATTGTCTCAGAGAAAAGGTGTTTCTGATGTCCAAAAAAAGGCCCACAGCACTGGGAGAAAGGACTGAAGAAAGCAAGAGGGTGTTGTGGTCTCAGCAAAAGTTGGTGCTGCTTTCAAAGTTAATGAGAAGGTTGCATGTACAACACATTGGGGTCTCTCCTTTATTAGCCACTTTATTATTAGGGCCTTTCTTTGCACACATTTCATTTTTTCTTCTTTAAATATAAAGGTGGCATTGATGCCAAAATGGCAAATTGTGTAAGTGACATATTTGATTTTCTGTTTTCTGGATGCAGCAGAGAGGTTCCAGTTTCTACTCTCCTTGCACTGTGCTTCACACTTATTCTTCAGGAGGGAGGTGATGAATCTGGATGTGTTCTTGGCAAAGTATTCTTAAGGGCATCCTCTATTGAGTCAATATCCAAATACTATTGCAGGCAAAGCCAAATATAACTTATTTTCTCTGCCAGTTATATCTCTTATTCTGAAATTTTAATGTTCATACTTCAGAAATCATTTAACTAAAGAATCAGGTCAACCTCCCAAGTTACACAACCTCTACTAAATGCAAGAAACAAGACCAGGTTTCAGGTGGTTGTGTGGCTGTGGAATTCGTTTCATTATTTTGTATTTGATGTATTCTCATATAAAATCTTTAAATGCAGCAAGTTTATAGGCCCACGACTTGCTGATTTCTGTAGCTTATTAGTGAACAAGGAAAGAGATTCAACCAGTGTTGTTCCAGAAGAAAAATCAAGAGGAAAGTATACACTTTTCAATAACTAGAGCTGCTCAAAAATGAAATGCAGGGCCCTGCAAAGGACTGAGTATCCATCCATAGAGGAATCCTCGCCAATATTCCTTCCACTCAACCCAAAGGCATTTCTGATTATATTTCACAGAGAACTTAATTTTCCATATTCATAGACATCTAAGCACTTGGAAATTTGAAGAAATCATTTCAAGTAGTAAGAAATTGACAGAGATAATTTGATGAAGCATGTAAGCTTTTTCTGAAAACTCTGCAGAGGTTTGCATAATCTCTCTTTAGGGCTGGGGCTCAGAATCAGGGCTGGGCAAGTCAATGAGGGCTGTGGCCTCTGGAGGCCAGTGGACCAGACACAAGTGGAGAGGAAAGAAGGAAAAGGAGGAAACGCGGAAGAATAAAGTGGGTGGCGGTGATAGTGATACTAAGATAATCATCACAACAGTCACATCAATCAATTGCAGTTGTTCTCATTTTTCACACAAAGGAAGTGAACCTTAGGGTTGTGAGTCCCAAGATCACACAGTAAGTGACAGAGGCAGGACATGGTAGATTTCAGGGTTGGGATTCCTGATTCCAGGTTTTCCCACAATAGCAGGACAATGGCTTGTTCATCTTAGACTGGATGGTTCTAATTTTTTTTTTTTTTTTTGAGATAGGATTTCGCTCTGTCGTCCAGGCTGGAGTGCAGTGACACAATCATGGCTCACTGTAGCCTCAACCTCCTAGTCAAGTGATCCTCCCACCAAAGCCTCCTGAGTTACTGGAACTGCAGGTGTGCACCACCATGACCAGCTAAGATATTGATTTTTAGTAGAGAAGGGGTTCCTCCATATTGCCCAGGCTGGTCTTGAACTCCTAGGCTCAAACCATCTGCCCACCTGGGACTTCAAAAGTGCTAGGATTACAGGCGTGAGCCACGCTGCTCAGCCTGGACAGTTTTATGTCAAAGGCAGGTCTAAGAAGGGAAGCTCACTTCTGGATCCTGCTGTAAGCCTCATGAATTTAAAATATCATTACTGTGGATAGTCATAAGTACATTGCTTAGTCTCCCAAGAGTCATTTTCCTTTATATGAAATGGAAGTAATATCAATGAATCTTGGACGTCTATTAATATTATAAACTGCAAATTCCAATTTTGAAAGACTAAGAGAAAATGGAAATGATTGATTTTATATTAAAAAGAAAGTGCAGGTCTCTAATTTTGGCTTTGCATTTTGACCTGAGCTTCATTTAACTTATGTTTCTCTATGTTTGAAACAATTTATATTTTCTTTGTGTTTATGTTTTTTATTCCAGGAAGCATGAAAGAAAGAACCCACACACACAAACTTTTCTCTCGTTATTCCCATATTCATGAGAGCTACAGACCTACTGTCTACGGGTCTATCAGCTATGAGCCTAACATTTTCATTTACCTCCTAAAAACAGAGTAGGAAACAGCTGAGGTCAGTATAAAGGCTGTTACTCTAGGGCAGTGATGTTAAAGAATAGCAGGGGATGAGTTTGGGCTATCACCCTCTACCCCCAGCCACCATGGACATTTGGCACTTTCTGAAGACATTGTTGATGGTTACAATTGGGGGTGCTACTGGGTTCTAAGGAGCAAAAGAAGCCAGGAATGTTGTTAAACAGTTTACAATACACAGGACAGTTTCACACAAAGAATCATGGAGCTCCAAGTGTCTATATTGCTAATATTGGGAAACCCTGATCTTTATAAAACCAGGTAAAATTCATGGCGTTTTACAAACCTGGGTACTTCTGTTGGCAAAATCTTCTAAGCTCCCAAACCTAGAGAATGACAGCATGACAGAGCTGTCCACAGCTTTTCACAATGGATAGAGAAGCCTTTCCTGCATGCTCCATTAATCTTCAGACGTTCCTAGAATGTGCTGTGTGAAATGGGGAATGTTTCTTAGATCATTATTTCTACCGTTTTTATTTTTCTCTAGGAAAAAGCAAACGGGCTTTTGGGAATTTTTGGTTGCCTGATGTTTTACATCATTTTTCATGGTTTGCTTTTAATGTCAAAATTTTTCTTTTTATTTGTCTTTTGCAAGAAGAAAAAGAAAATATGGAAAGAGATTTGGAAAAAACTTTTAGAACATGTGTAATGTCTCTAAGAATAAGAAAAATCATCAGAACTGTACGTTCCAGGTTTCCCAAACCAACTGAAAGAGGTTCCTGAATAATAACAACCTCAATAACCATTCTTCATATTTGCCATTTTAAAAAGTCTGCTACTTTTAAAAATCAACCCAGTTGATTAGGCAATTGGTCTGAACCTGAGAACTACGCCTAAAGCAAGAGCTCAGAAACACAGACTAGTTTTAAAACTTAGAAAATAAATGTCGAAAAAGAATACAGAAAGGTCACAGGTAACACTGCACACAGAAAAACAGAATACAAAAGGTAATATGACTTGACTAACACGGTGAAAGGTAATGAGTACAGAGTCCAGGTATGACTTTCACAATTGCTAAGGCATTCTGTCTATATCGCTTAAGCTTTGGCAAAATACCCAGACCCACAGAAAAGTCTGAGTCACCCATCTCTCATCCCTTTATTCTCTGGAAAAGGTGACCTAGGTGTCAGCTGTACTCTGTGGCTGATTGTAATGAACATGCTGAGAAATCTGAGAATGGAAAGCCAGTGACATCAATCTTGGAATTAGAAAGAAATTATTATTTCTGGGTTCAGCATCTGGCCTTACCATGCAAACTAGATTTTTCTAGTCTCCTATTCTTTGAATTGCCTTAATTTAAAGTGTGTTGAAAAGTTCTCACCTGTGTGTGTGACTTTTAGGGTTGTTTGCTTTGTGTGTTTGATATGAACTGAAGAGAATCTGAAAGTTCTTTCTCAAGCCAAGAGACAAATTGAGATAATGACAATGTTGGCCTGAGCTTTAGGTTCAGAAGGATCATGATCATTTTGCTGAGCTAAGACGCAGAAGAGAATCTAAGGTAAAGTGAGTTCTAAGGCAAGAAAACCACTGACCACAGTAACCGAATGGCATATACAATGGCTATGGAAAGAGAAAACTGCTTCAAACCAAGTGCCAAATTCAATGCCCACTTCTGCATTGAGGGACAATCTTTCAACATGTATGTTACACTTCTTCTAATCCTTTTTACAGACACTTAGAAAAATGTTTAAATGATTTTTAAAATTCGATCCATTTACATTTGTTCCTTAGAAATAAACTATAAATATTGAGATTTAGTGATGTAGTTATGTTTGCTATAGAGCTTATTTTAAGTATATTCATTGATTTTGAAGTTAATGTGTGTTGTTGTCCTTTATATTCCAAACATTAAGGGCATCAAATCAGACTAATATTTTCTTCCTAATGTAAGATAAAAATAGTAAAGCAATAATTTAAAAAATGGGGCTCTTAATTCAGAACCCATCACTATTTATACTAACTAGACAGAGATATTCTTGTAATTTACTTTTGTTTTACATACTCACATATAAATATATGATATAACATGTATAGAACGAGTTGATAACGCAAGACATAAATATAATTTCATGGGAGCGTGTTAGCTCATCTACATGATGAAGCTTTTACAGATTGTAGGTTTATTTTTTAAAACTGCTAACTGACCTGTTCATCATTAATAACACAGAACTTCTGACTGACCAGGAATTCCACTACAATAATTCTATTTTAATATTGGGTAAAAGGTTTTGAGCACTCCTTAGGTACTCAGCACTCTGTATACATTATTTTCTTTAATCCTCACAGTAACCCTAAGAAGCAGGAACTGGCATGATCTCCATTGAACAGATACGAAAAATAAAGCAAAGAAAGTAAGAAACTTGCTCACGGTCAAAATCAGGTGGTAGGTGGTGGAGTCTGGTTTTAAAGCTGAGTCTGCCTGAGTTGGAGCCAAAACCCTGAAACACAGCACCATAAACTTTTCATTAGTCTAGGTATTACTTTATGGAGTACAATGATAAAACCACATTGTTTTAAAATAGTGTATAGTAAAGAATGAATCACAAATTCAAACTGACTTTTTTTATTAGTTCCAATTACTACGCTTTTAACATATGTTAGCTAATATTCTTTTCCCTCGAACCTCAAAGTGTTTTCACAGTAAAATTTAATTCACTTTCAGTGAAAAATCTTGTAAGATTTACTGTATTCTTCCATTGAAAAAAAAAGACACTAATATTGTAAGCTAAATTTAGCAAGATATATATCAAGAACCTTAAAATATTTATACTCTCTAACTTAGAAATTCCATTTCTGGAGAGTTTATCCTCTAGAAATAGTTAAAATGCATATAAATGGTTTATTACAAACACATTTATTTATATATTTATACAATCAAAATTTGGAAGTAGTATACTTATACTGGGGAATGGTTAAATAAGTGATGGCATTGCTATTTCAAATGATGTTTATAAGGAGTTTATTATACTATGGAAAAACACTTGTGTTATATGTTTATTTTACTTAGAATGTGAAGCAGAGAAGAAGGGAACAGAACTACAGCCTGTGCATTTAGTCACAACTAGGTAAGATAAACTTTCCAGAATCACAAAACTGGAAGAAGGCACCAAAATATAACACGGTTTTCTATTTTACTTCTGTTTTTCTATATTTTCCAGTTTAAAACAACTTGTACATACTAATTTAAAATGGAAAAATACCTTTGCACTGTCTTTTAAAAAGTTATAAACAGAATGGCTGAAACATAGCAGATTTGACCCTCTATGAGTCAGGTTCAACTTGCCATGGATCCTACAGTCCCAACTGAGGAAGGGAGTGTAGGTAAGAGATGCCTAGTTAGAAAACACAAGGAATGGCAAGGTGTGGTGGCTCATGTCTATAATCCTAGCACTTTGGGAGGCCAAGGCGGGAGGATGGCTTGAGCCCAGGAGTTCGAAACCAGCCTGGGCAACAGAGTGAGACCCTGTCTCCATTAAAAAAAAACAAAAAATAGGCTGGGTGCAGTGCCTCATGCCTGTAATCCTTTGGGAGGATTAGGCGTGGTGAGGGTGCACTTTGGGAGGCTGAGGCAGGTGGATCACTTGAGGTCAGGAGTTCATGACCAGCCTGGCCAACATGGTAAAACCCTGTCTCTATTAAAAATACAAAAATTAGCAGGGTGTAGTGGTGCACGCCTGTAATCCCAGCTTCTCGGGTGGCTGAGGCAGGAGAATCGCTTGAACTCAGGAGGTGGAGGTTGCAGTGAGCTGAGATTGCTCCATGCACTCCAGCCTGAGAAACAGAGCAAGGCTCCATCTCCAAAAAATAAAAATAAAAATAAAATAATAATAATAAAACAAATAAAACACAAGGAACCCAGTTCCTTCAAGTGCAACCCATAGGACTCTTAATGTGAGAGCTGCAATAGATTCCCACTGGGAGAGTTCCTTGAAAGGAACCATGAGCCCAGTATGCCCATACCTTTGTATGACTTTTAATACCACATCCCAGCTCTGCTTCTTGGTTCGCTGGGATATTCCACATGCTGGCAATGTCTAAAAACAAACAATTACCTTTGCAAGCTACCACATGGTCACTGAGAGAGACAAAAGGGAATTGCCGCAATGAGATGGCTTTCATCTCTCTTGCTATTCAGAAGGCTGATTTTGTTCACACATGAGAGAGAGAAAAATGGCAAAAATGGGAAAGGGGGTGGGGGATGGAGGTGGGGGTAGGGAGATGGAAATAAGTTCCTTGTCTTCTAGGAAAACACCAAGTTGCATGTCAATCTGAAGGATAACCCAAATTGCAAATCCAGGATATTTCACAAGATGAGAAAGGCCTTAGCCATTTTCATTTAAATTCCTATTATATATTTTTACGAAGAGAAAATATCTATGCACAATTTGAAAACAGTGTTATATATAAAATATTTAGTCCTTTTAGTGTATCTTTAAGAATATATAAAACCTCTTACTTGGAGAAAACATTAAAAGCATAAATTTAAACATTTCATAATACTGCAATATTTTTAAAACACTTATAAAACACCTTCCAGAAAGGTTTGCATAGACAAAAAAAAAAAGTTTGGGAAACGTTGCATTACATTGCATTTTGCAACAGTCTTCCTGAATATTGGCAGTGCATATTGGCGTACTAAAGACTCCTAGAAGACCTACAACATAGAAGTTGGCTTAACTTTGCTTACTTAATTGTTTCTCAAACCTAATGAATCAAAACGCCATTTTCTTCAAATATAAAGTGGATCAAACTCACAATTAGGGAAGTGTTGCTCTATGTAGATCAGTGTCCAATTTCTTTTACTTTCTCCATCTCTCCCACTCTCAAGCCACATCTCTCAACCTCTTTCCCAAGCTCCTCTCACCTTAACTCTAAGATGCAACCCATAACCTGGCAATCACTGGATCATGTCTTGGGATATTGCCAGTGGCTGTTATACATCAGCTCTGATCTGAAGAGAATCCATGTACAGCTAAGAGAATAAACAGCTCCATTCCCATTCTAGCTGATCGTCTCCCCAGGACACCAGGCAAAGTTGCTGCTGACTAAGGAGGCCCCCCTTTTTTTGTTTTTGTTTTTGAAGTGGACATCTTTCCTTTAGAAACTCAGCACTGGCTGAGGCACCAATTAATTTTGCATAAGCTGCTACAGGACCCTCAGATGCTAATCAGTTTGTTCATAACCACAGAGTATTGTTTTAGGGTCATGTACGTAACTTCTGCCTCCAGCCCTGTGGATTTATTTACTGCTTAGTCCCTAGTTCCTGCAGCTGTGTCCTTTCAATGACTGCTTTATGGTGGCCAAGAGAGTTGAGGTCGACTGCCAGGACTCAGAGATCTGGAGGAACACATGGACACATTATTCTTTTGCTCTGAAGCTATCCAATTCCTGTTCCGGTCAGAAGGGGAGATAGTGGGAGGATATCTCTGAAACTGCCCAGCGCTTACTGCTGATATTCCTCAGGTCTGACATTATTGCAAGAGAACAAACTTAGATCTACCCTCTGTGTGTTCTTCAGTGGAAGGTGAATTACTAACGAAAGTGTAATAATACAAAACACAATTGAGTGTAGCCTTGGCTTTATTTGTAAGACCTACTCTGGAGATATTATTTTCTTTACTCCAAGACTACACATTGGATCCAGTCTGCTTCAAACAAGAGACCGGGAAAGACGGGTTACTATGCTAATTGAATACTAATGAGGCCTTTGCTTAAGTTGGGTTTTGTTGCAATTATTTGCCACTACATTTCTTTTGTATTTATGTAGAGGGAAAAATAAACTACTTCAAAGTTAGCAAGAGTCTTACTTAGCCTGAGCACTTGCAGAAAAAATGTCTTGCTACTCTTTCTTTTGTACTTGTAACATTTGTAAAGAGTTTTGTTCGGCACTATGGAAAAGCAAAATATCATCATCATTATTACTGGCCTTTGTCCACAGTGGATTTCATCCAGATTCTAACCAGTGACTCTGTGACTAACAATCTGAGTCACTAAGTTTCAGATGTTTATGGATTTCAACACAATTCCCAGACTGAAAGGTTTTTTTTTTTAATTTACTTTCATGTTTCAAGACTCAGAAAGAATTAACTGCCTTTCTGTATTTCCAGTCTAGTGCAGAAAGAATTAAATGCCTTTCTGTATTTCCAATCTAGTGTCACTGAGTGACGGGCTAGGAACAATTCAGTGGATAGACTGAACTGTTCCTTCAATTACAGATTTGTATTGACAAAAGTCAATTACCAAAATGTCAAAAAAAAATTAGTATATACTTCCAGGACAAAAGCCTCCAGGCTGGCAGAGAATTCAGTGAATTATAAATATTTGTGTTTTCACCATGGTAGTGGCACAGGATGATTACAGAATTTAAAATGCAGAGAATCACGGTGATGGGAAAACTGAATATCCACATGTGGAAGAATGAAACTAGACCCCTCTTTCTCACCATATACAAAAATCAACTCAAGGCCGGATGCAGTGGCTCATGCCTGTAATCCCAGAACTTTGGCAGGCCGAGGCAGGCAGATCACTTGAGGTCAGGAGTTTGAGACCAGCCTGGCCAATGTGGTGAAACCCCATCTCTACTAAAAGCACAAAAATTAGCCGGGCGTGGTGGTGGGCGCCTGTAATCCCAGCTACTTGGGAGGCTGAGGCAGGACAATCACCTGAATCTGAGATGCGGAGGTTGCAGTGAGCCGAGATAAAACCACTGCACTCCAGCCTGGGCAACAGAGCAAGACTCCGTCTCAAAACAAACAAACAAACAAACAAACAAACAAACATCAACTCAAAATAAAGACTGCCATGTAAAACCTGAGATGATGAAACTGCTAGAAAAAAAACATAGTGGAAACACTTCATGACATTGGTCCAGGCAAGGATTTTTTGGATAAGACCTCAACAAAAAGAATGAAATCCTGTCATTTGCAACAACATGGATGAACCTGGAGGACATTATGTTAAGCAAGAAAAGCCAGAAACAAAAGGCAAATACGACATGATCTCACTTATATGTGGAATTTTAAAAAGTTGATCACATAGAAGTAGAGACTAGAATACTGGTTAGCAGAGTCAGGTGAAAGGTGGGGAGGAGTGGCAGGAGTAGGAGAAGTTGGTTAGTAGGTACTAGGTTATAGTTAGATGAGAGGAATAAGTTCTGGTACACTAACGCAGTAGTCTCAACCTTTTTGGCACCAAAGACCTGTTTTGTGCAAGACAATTTTTCCACGGATTTTGAGGGGGGATGGTTTCAGGATGAAACTGTTCCATCTCAGATCATCCGGCATTAGTTAGGTTCACAGAAGGAGCATGCAACCTAGATCCCTCCCATGTGCGGTTCACCATAGGGTTTGTGCTCCTGTGAGAATCGAATGCGGCTGCTGATCTGACAGGGGCAGAGCTCAGGTGGGAATGCTCGCTGACACTCACCTCCTACAGTGCAGCTCAGTTCCTAACAGGCCACAGGCTGGTACCAGTTTGCAGCCCGGTAGTTGGGGACACCTGCTGTATGGCACAGCAGAATGATATATTTAACAATAATGTGTTGTATATTTCAAATCAGCTAGAAGAGACAATTTTGAATGTTCTCACCACAAAGAAAAGAAAAATGCTTGAGATGATGAGTATGCTAATTACCCTGAGTTGATCATTATGCAATGTATACATGTAGTGGAATATCACACTGTACCCCATAGATAATATGTATAACTATTATGTGTCAGTTAAAAATAAAACTAAAAAAAAAAGTAAGTAAACACAATATAAACACCAAAAAAAAAAAATAAATAAAATGCAGAGAAACTACTGCTAAAATGTAATAAAGAGAATGATAGAAAAATACAAGTATATTGACTGGTTATTAACTTTGCAAAGATGCACATCTTTATTCTTATAGCTCTTTCAAAGGTATATTAGAAAATGGACAGTCTGACCAGGGCCTACTTGAGGGTGGAGGGCGGGAGGAGGGTAAGGATCAAAAAACTATGTATCAGGTGCTATGGTTATTACCTGGGTGATGAAATAATCTGTACACCTAACCCCTGCGACATGCAATTTTCCCAAACAAACCTGCGTGTGTACCCCCAAACCTCAAATAAAAGTTGGAAAGGAAAAAAAAAGAAAAGGAAATGGACAGTCTGAGCTAAAATATCCCTTTTTATGAAAAATCTCATTATTTTAATAATTTTATCATTTTTCTGTATTCATTCTCATACCAGCTCTAGACTATCCCTGGACTATAACTATCCCTGATTGGTCACCTTACGTCAATCTTTTATTATTATTATTATTATTTGTTTGTAGGGACAGGGTCTTGCTCTGTCACCCAGGCTGGAGTGCAGTGGTGCAATTATGACTCAATGCAGCCTCAAACTTCTGGCCTCAAGCAATCTTTCCAGCTCAGCCTCCCCAGTAGCTAGGTCTACAGGTGCCACGCTACCACACCTGGCTAAGTTTTTAATTTTTTATAGTGATGTGGTCTTACAATGTTACCCAGGTTTGGTCTTGAATTCCTGGCCTCAAGTGAGCCTCCTGCTTTGGCCTCCCGAAGTGCTGGTATTACAGGTGTGAGCCATGGTGCCTAGCCCCATCAACCTTAAAAGACAATTCCTTGTCATTTTCACATGGAATAATTTTACAAACATTTGGTCATACATTTTTACAGCATGTCAGGTTAATAATATCTTACAGTTTTATAGCATTTTGCAAAGAATTCTCTTGCATGTTATCTCACATTCATCTCATCATCATATGCAGTAGAGAATAAATGGGTGGCTCCATTTTATGGATGAGAAAATTGATGTATATTACACTGATATAATTGGCTTAGACTCATTGGCTAAAGTAACATGGATTGTTACAGAAAAATAGAGGTCCTAGTCCAAAGCTATTCCACTAGACATGTGATATGGTTTGGCTCTGTGTCCCCACCCAAATCTCATGTTGAATTGTAATTCCCAGTGTTGGGGGAGGGATCTGGTGGGAGGTGATTGGCTCATGGGGGTGGATTTCTCCCATATTGTTCTCGTTATAGTGAGTGAGTTCTCACAAGATCTGATGGTTTAAAAGTATGTGGCACTACACCCTTGCTCTCTCTCTCTCCTGCTCTGCCATGGTAAGACGTGCTTGCTTCCCCTTTGCCTTCTGCCATGATTGTAAATTTCCTGAGGCCTCCCAGCCTTGCTTTCTGTACAGCCTGCAGAACTGTGAGTCAATTAAACCTCTTTTCTTCATAAATTATCCAGGTCTAAGGTAGTTCTTTATACCAATATGAGAACAGACTAATACAACATGTAACAGAAATTTGAGGTTTAAAAAGAATTTTTGCCTCTAAATCCTCATAATGCAAGATTAAGAATAAAGCCTTGGACAGATGAGCTGTTATTTCTGGATACCGGTCTTTGCAAATACTATTTGGGTTATCAAGTATTATTTTGTATTATGTTAATGCTCTCCAAAGTATCGAAGTGTAATCAGACCGCACAAAGTATTATCAAAATATACAAAGATAATAAAATGAATTAGATTTTTAAAAACTATTTACTCATCATTCTGTGCCCTTTATAGGATGACCTATATAAGTCTATGTAGGATGTTCTTGAGCACACATTCATAAGATTCCTGTTGTCTTTCAAGCAAGTTACATTTTTCACTGTGAACTTGTTGGATTTTACGTTTAAACTAATAGCCTTTCTAAGGGAAGAAGATTTATCTACCATTTCCCTTACATCTTCCGCAGTGTCTAGGCTGGAACCAAAGTTGATGCTTTTTGACTTCTGTATGGCAACTACTCCTGTGACATATTTTGAAGTTCCTGGTACCCCCCAATCTGGCCCTGCACCCACACTGAGCCTCATGGCTAAGTTTTGATATCCAAGCAGTAAGATGGTCTAGTGGAATCCCCTAAAGCATGGGTCATGAGCCACCCACATCACACCCATCTGGTGTCTCTCAGCAGGTACAGGATTCTAGGTGCTTCCACAGATCTTCCCCACCCAGTGAAGCTGCATTAACCAGCTCCCCAGGAGAGTCTTGTGAACTCTAAAGTTTGATCATCATCCTAATGATAGCACTTTTCTGCTCCTGGAAATTTTAATGATGTTGCTTGTGAATATGGTTCCTGGGCCTGGTCTTTGAAAATGAAAATAAAAGATGGTGCTTGACTTTGGGGAAAAGAAGTGAGATGCAGACTACAAAAATGGCTCAAAACAACGCCCTCTCACAATTACTAGGAGAAAATGTTTACCCGTGTGCTGAGAAACAACACCCCCCATTTCTGTAAGGCAGTTGCCAAGCAGATGCCTGATTTCAGGGATCTCTGGAGCTGCACCCTCCAAGGCGCTGGCGCTTAGAAACGACATGAAGAGCCAGCCCTGCTGAGCAGGACCAGGGCGCCAAGTCTGAATGACTAATATTTTTCCAACCTAGAACGTCATTAACCGATTGATAACTATTTCCCCTTTAAACTAGGCAAAATCAGCATTCCTCTCCCCTCTGTGTGCCAGAATTCGAAGATGAACAAAAGACGCCTGCATCAGGAAAACTGTGTTAAGTTCTCTTGGATTCAGGGCTTCGACCCGAATTGGGCTGAGTGAATGAAGACGCTGGTGAGATGTCAGGGACCTGGGGAATGAAGACACACCCAGAAAAAGCAGGAACCTACAGGAGTGGACAAAGAACCGGAGCATAGGCATGTGAGAGGGGTTGAAATGAACAACAGACTCATACAAGAAGGATTTCTAATCAGAAAAGAGCGATTGCTTTAGTAAAGCTGCAACCTGGAACAATTACAATCTGACCAGATGTTCTTGCAAAACTGGTAAAGCAGAGAATGTGTAAAAATCTCTCCCCCTCCTCCCCTGAATGCAGTTGACGAAAGGCCGAAAGGCTGGATCCTCAAAGCCCAGATCTGATCACTGCAGATCCGGGCCACCCTAAAAGCAATCGGGTGTAATCTTTCCAGCTCCAGGCCCTGGGATGAGGGAGGTGGGGGAAGGTGGAGAAAGGTGGAGGAAGATGGAGGGAGGTGAGGGGAGGTGGAGGGAGGTGAGGGGAGGTGGAGGGAGATGAGCGGAGGTGGAGAGAGGTGGGTGGCGGCTCCAAGGTTTGAAAACACATCCAGGACACTTCCCATCCTCCAAGAGCACGCTGGCTCACAGGCTCTTTCACGCTTCTGCTTGGGACAATCGCGTGCATGAAATCTGGCAGGGAGGAGTCAAGGAGATTGTTAGCCCGAGGGCTGGGACGGTGGATCTGGGAATCAGGGGCCTGGGGGACACGTTCTCTTCCTGCCGCGGGCTTCCTGCTCCAGAGTCCCCGCGGGGCTTGGCGGCGGGGCCGGGGGCTGCACGCGACCATCCGGCAGGGGGCGGCGGCGACAGCGGCGGCCGCAAGGGACGCGTCCGGGGCCCGCGCTCAGGGGGAGCGGTAGCGGCTTGGCAGCTGCTCCCCGCGCCCCCGCGGCCTAGCCAGGGGAGGGGGCGCAGCGCCGGGGCCATGGATCCGCGTCAGGCCGCTGCTTCCCGCCGGCGGGCCCGGGGCGGGGCGGACCCGTCCCCGTCCCCGTCCCCGTCCCCGTCCCCGTCCCCATCCCCACGTCCCATCCCCCACGCAGCCTTCGCCCTCCCTGCTCCTTCCCGCGCCGTCTTCCCTTCCCGCGTTCCCCGGGAGAAACATGGCCGGGAGCAGCGAGGAGGCGCCAGACTACGGGCGAGGCGTCGTGGTAAATGCAAACTCCCTATTTTGGGGCTCGGCCCGCTCCCCTCCCTCCCTGGCACCCTGCTTGTAGATTAAATGCTTGCCGTGCGTCGGGGGAGAGAGAGGGCCACCGCTTTGTTCTCCCTCCCGGCGGGGATCGCTTCCATCCTCGGACCCGGGCCTCCTCTCCCCGCCCCCAATCTGACGAAACTCTGAGTCCCGTCCCTTCACCCCGAGTTCCCAGCGTCCCCCCGTGTCCTCCGGCCGGTAGCTCGCTCCTGCAGCGTCCCGCCGGCGCCCAGCCGTCCCCATCCCCGCGAGCCACGGGGAGTCGCTTCTGCGAGCCCGGCAGGGCCCCAGAGACCCCCGCGTGCTGCTCTGGAGGCCTCCTTCTTCCTGGGTCTCCTCTTGACTCCTCCAGGGCGGGCTTCAAGTTTTGTTTTTAAAAAGCACACTGAGGGGTTTTGAAGGCAGCTAGGAAATAAAGTAGCTCAAGTGGACAGAGCTTGAGATTTGAAGCCTTTGGTACCCAGGTTGGGGGCTCTCTGGCAGTGGAGGCCTCTGCAGGAGCTCTAGGACACGCTGGCGGCTCCTGAGTGACCTATGGCTTGTCTGTAAAAGGGAGCAACAGCAAGCTGGGCTCTGGAGCCAATTGGGAGGATGCATGTAAAATATCTAGCAGTGTGTCCGGATGGGAGGGTGTGGGGTGCTGGTTTCCCAGAACTGAGCCTCATTAACCCTGAGAATCCTGACGGTGTCAGCCAGAGGGTACCCATCTCTCAGTGTGCTAGGATCCAACCCGTTCTTGACCTTGTGGCCACGTCCTCCCTGCTCCCTGAGAAGTGGTTTTCCTAGAAGGTGGTGGTTATAACTTGTGTCAGGTTCAGTGTGAAACTCAATGGTGGTGAGGATGGTGGGTGGGGCTAACTTGCCATCTCTTTCCAGGGATCAGCTTGTCATTCACAGATAATCTGTTTATGAATATGAATGGCCTGAACTAAAGTAAGTGGGCTGGGGAGGGAAACGTGTCACATTCAGACAGAAGGGTCAGGTTGAAATGTGGGGCTCAGTGCTTAATTTAACAGCAGGACCTTTCCTTCTGAAAGGATGAGGAGTTGATTTATTCATTCCACACGTTTATTGTCCTGCTGGGTTGTAGGAGGTGCTGTAGGCTCTGGGGTGCAAAAGACAAAGGCCTTGTCTTCATGAGCTTGCGTTCTAGAGAAGACATAGGCAAGCAGTGTGTAAACAAATAGAGAAAATTTCAAATAGAGATATGTGCAATAGGAGGAGGGTAACAGGATAGAGGGTAATTGGAGGAGAAGGGGGGAGTGATGCTTTTGCTCAGGTGGTCAGGGCAGCCTCTCTGCGGTGACCTTTGAGCCAAGATCTGAAGGGTACACAGGAGTAGCCATGTGGACTGCAGGCAGAGACCCGCATACCAAATGCAAAAGAATCATTGTATCCGATTTATGCTTTTACAAAAACCATTCCAGTTGCCCCAGGAGGAGGGGCAAGCCTAGCGGTGTGATGGATGGGAGGGGGACTAAAACGCAAAAAGGGCAATCATTAAGTTCATTCTGGACAAATTGAGTTTGTAGTGCCTGTAAGGCCCACAGGTTGGCCTGCACTGTAGGCAATTTGAAATTCACATTTGGAATTCTGGAGAGTGATTGGAGAGATTTGGAAGTCATCAGCAAAAAGAATAATATGTAATGTTCGGGAGTGCTCAGTGAATATGGAAAAAACAATTAAAGCAACTGTTAAGGATGGAAGCCTGGAAAGTCCCAAATATAAGAGGCTGCCTGTGGGGGAGAAGCTGGTTGAAGGAACCGAGAAAGAACTTTGAAGGGTGGGAGGGCAGGCAGCATGGTGGGTGCCTTGGGAATAGAGCATTGTTGAGCAGGAGGGGCGGGGTCAAGAGGTCATCAGAAGTGTCAGATGTTACAGGGACAGCAAGTCGGATACCAAGATGGAAAACAGCCACTGTATTTAACAATTACAAAGCCATTAGTAGGGAGAATCTTTTAAACAACCACTGCATTGGTAGAATGGTTAAAATATAGTACAAGTTGAGCATCCCTAATCCAAAAATCCAAAATCCGAAATGCTCCAAAATCTGAAACTTTCTGAGCACCAACATGATGCTGAAAGGAGATGCTTACTGGAGCATTTTGGATTTCGGATTTTCAGATTAGGGATGCTCAACCAGGAAGTATAATGCAAATATTCCAAAATCCAAAGGAAAAAAAATCTGAAATTGGAAACGCATCTGATCCCAAGCATTTTGGATAAGGGGTACTCAACTTGTACTACCGTAACATACTACATACTTTTAGAAAAGAATAAGGTGAATCTAGATGCACGGATAGAGTAGGTAAATTGTTGAAGTCTAAAAAACAAGTGAGAGAACACTGTAAATAGCCCAGTCTATTGGTGTCAACAGAGGTCCTCTTGGAAGCAAGGTAATTTTTTGAAAGATGCAAAGAGGTAGTGAGAGGGGTATCAAGAGAGTAGAGGGCCAGGTGAGGTGGCTCATACCTGTAATCCCACCACTTTGGGAGGCCGAGGTGGGTGGATCTCCTGAGGTCAGGAGTTCAATAGAATCCTGACCAACATCGTAAAACCTTGCTGCTACTAAAAATACAAAATTAGCTTGGCATGGTAGTGCATGCCTGTAATCACAGCTACTTGGGAGGCAGAAGCAGGAGAATTGCTTGAATCCGGAAGGTGGAGGTTGCAGCAATCCAAGATTGCACCATTGCACTCCAGGCAACAAGAGTGAAACTCCTTCTTAAAAAAAAAAAAAAAAATAAATAAATAAATAAATAAATAAACAAAAAAAATGAGTATAAACTGGACCAGCTGCCAAGGGGCTTGGTGCTTGCATGAGAGCCCACAAAGGTGGGAAATAATCCACATATAATGGAGATAGTCCCTACATTTACATCCTTTTCTCCAGTAGAACTTGGAATAATTAGATTAACCTCAAGTTGGATATAAGCAGGCAACTTCAGAGCGAATCGAAGCTGCTGGTAGAAGGCAGCTCATGGCATGTAAGGCAGGAGGGAAGGGAGAGCTGGAGAGGATGAGTTTACTGGGAGAATAGAAAGCTCTCAAGGATGGGATACAAAAAATCAAATTAGTACCAGTTTTAAAAAGGGGCAGGTGGCTGGGAGTGGTGGCTCACACCTGTAATCCCAGCACTTTGGGAGGCTGAGAGAGCAAATCACTTGAGCCCAGGAGTTCGAGACCAGCCTGGGCAGCCAACCCTCTCTCTACAAAAAATACAAAACTTAGCCAGGCATGGTGGTGCATGCCTGTAGTCCCAGCTACCGGGGAGGCTGAGGTGGGAGAAGCACCTGAGCCCAGGAAGTCAAGGCTGCAGTGAGCCATGATCGTGCCACTGCATTCCAGCCTGGGTGTCAGAGTGAGACCCCATCTGAAAAAAGGGGCAGAGGGCAGGTAATAATAGCAAGCATTTCTTGAGCACAAATCTGTAAGGGAGGTCTAGTGTGCTCCCCATTTTACAGAAGAGGAAACTGAGGCACTGAGAGATTAAGTAAATCACCCAGGTCGCATAAGTAGCAAATGGCAGAAGCGGGATTTGAACCAGCTTTCAATCACTATACTACATAGCAAGCTGTGATTCCAGGATGGAATTTCAGGGTTGGGGCCATCTGTAGGACTGGTCTGGCTATGTGAATGTATTGCTAAATGGGGAATAAAGATGTGATTTGAGTTAAGAATGTAGTTTGAGCTAAGGCTGGTGAAGGAGCTACAAGATGAAGTCGTTGGAAAGATCGTTGAGGTAGGCATTGGAGTAAATCAGCCAAGGAATTGTCCAGGAATGAGGTAGAGAAGAAAATTCCGAGTTGGTAGAAATCTGTTGATAAAGATGGCAAGGGATGTAGAGTCAGATGATATAAATATAAAACGAGAAGTAAAGTTTGTGCAAGAGAAGGGAATATTAAGAGATTTAAGATGGCTCTTGCCTATAAATTGGCTTTTGGTTGAACTGGGGAGGTAGGACATTTATACCATTAACAATAAATGGTAGCAAATGCTAATTGCCACATAAGAGAGGTAGATCCTAAGGTCAGAAATTTTGCTCAGAGTTGGCTTGTCACTTGATCTGGAGCTAATACAGTCACCAGATTCCTGGTTGATACCTCTTTGTTACTTCTCAGGGAGAGATAAAGATCTTCTCTATCCACCTGGCTTTTGGGGATCGGGTTATTAGACATGTTTTTGTTTGTTTGTTTTTGTCTGGTTTGGTTTTGCCAAATGATTATCAACTGAGCTATTATTAGTACTTACCTAAGTGAGTTTGGTAGGAATCAGGAGAAGAGAGAAATCAGAAATGATTGTTGTGTTTCTGTTATGGCTGGCTTCCTGTCACCCCCCATGAAAATACGGCAGTATCAGAGATAAGTAATCAGGTAATATCAGAGATAAGTAATCCATCGAAAGCACAGCTCTACTAGGTGGTAATGAGTTTTCCTTCTGTGGGGCAAACCCACCACAGAAGAGGAAGGCATGTGGATAGGAGGTGGTTGGCCTGTCGAGCTTCCTTCATTCCTCTGTGAGCAGAACCTGGGAATCTTTTAGCAAACCACTTGTCCCCACTTTTCAAGATGTATGGTTGTGAGGTGGGGCCCTTCCCAGGGTACCTCCTTCCCTGGCTCTAGGGCTAGGACAGGAATCCCAGAATTCCTGTCTGGGATTCTTTGAATTAGAGTGAAGGGATGAGACCCCCTTTCTCTTGCTGGTGGAGGACAGATGAGAGCTATGGCCTGAAGGAGAGAACAGGGCCAATCTGTGGAGCTCAGCAGGGGAGAGGAGCAGAGATTAGCTTCTTGTATGTGTTTTCTCCCTTAGGGAGAAAAATGATGCAAAAAATAGTCTAAGCACAAAAAAAATTATTTTTAATGACTTACAAAGTTTTCAGTGCATCTTCAGTGCGAAAAAGAGAATCAGAATTACTTCTGGGATTTGGATGTTGCATAAAATGACTCACTTAATGGGTTTGTCACTTCCCCCAGCTTGGCTATGTTTTGCTGTTTTGAACAGAGAAAGCATTGTACTGAATACACTTAGAGCATATTATCTGTGATACTGAAACTATCTACAGACTCTGGTTTTGATTTTTTAAAAAGCAAGTGAATAACAGTTATCTACAGTTCATAGCAACCTCCATTCCTGCAGGTTTTGATTTATTTACAACACGATTTGCATGCACCATTGAAGTTAGCAAAGCATAAACCAGTATTTCCATCGTCTTGAATCGACTTTCATCTCAACAATGAAAACTCACTATTTAAGATTAATTGAAAATAATGGCCAATTTGGATTATAGAACAGTTTTAGAGAAATATATTTCTTCTACTTTTATACTTTTTGTTTTGTTTTCTTGAGACAATCTCACTTTGCTACCCAGGCTGGAGGGCAGTGATGCGATCATGGCTTACTACAGCCTTGACCTCCTAGACTCAAGCCATCCTCCTGCCTCAGCTTCCCAAGTAGCTGAAACTACAGGCACACGCCATCACACCAGAACAATTTTTTTTTTTATTTTTTGTAGAGATGGGTTCTCATTATATTACCCAGGCTGGTCTCACACTCTTGGGCTCAAGTGATCCTCCCACTTCAGCCTCCCAAAGTGTTGGGATTACAGGCATGAGCCAATGTGCCAGGCCTCAAATGTATAGTTTTAACTAAGATAATAACACTGGCATATAGGTTTGAGGCACTTCTTTAGATGAATTAAAACATATAATTTGTTGTTAAATGATTGATGTTTCAGTTCATCTAAATGATTAGCATTTATTGCATAAGTACTGTAGACCAGAAACTGATATGAGTCTTACATTCATTATCTTATTTAATGCTCACCATAGCCATATGAGGCAGGCACTAACTCCATTTCATAGATGAATACACTAAGAGAATTTAATATGCCCAAGGTCTCATGGCTGGCAGGCTTGTCCCAGGTGTGTGAGATTTCCATGTCCATGCTCTTAACACACTACTCTGTGTGGCCTCTGGGCTATGGATCCATATTACAGTTTATAGGTTTGTTTCATTTGTGATTTTCTTATCATTTTTTTCCTATTTTTGGCATTCATTTTTGGCACTTTTAGTCTGTTTCCTTTTTTTGGCATTATGCGTCAAACATCATGTATTATACACCATGCAGTGTTCCAGGTATTCTAAGTACATTATCCTTATAATAACCCTATCCATAGGTTTTACTGTGTCTTATTTAAAGCAAGGGGAAACTGGATCTCAGAGACAGTAAGTCATCTCCCTAACATCACAGTAGTAAGTGTCAGAGCCAAACTCTTGAACATGGAGTGGAGAGTATGCTCCAAGATTCAACCAGAACGGGGGCAGTAAAGGATTGATGTGGTTGGAGGAATGGATTCAGAAGACCACTAGTTAATGGTGCCACTGGTGGAGGAGCTCCAGAAAGTGGGGTAGATAGTACATGTGGTCTGGAAGGTGATCCAGAAAGTGCTGTACACCTGGATGATCCCCCTGGGGCCTGGGGCCAGTCAGGGTTCTCCTGGTCTGGTCTTTACTGTGGCCTGCCAGAGGCTCTCCTAGAATCTCCTCATGTACAGCTGGTAGTCTAGACTCTGGCCAGCTGCTGTAGTGTTAGAGGTTATAGCAGGTACAAGGAGTTCTCAGGGTGGCAGCCAGAGGAGCTTGGTGCAAATCCAGCAGTCCCACCGGCCAGTTTGATGGTAGAGGGAGAGCAAACGAGACACTTTTCAAATCAAATATGCAGATTGACCAGGCATGATGGCTCACACTTATAATCCCAGTGTTTTGGGAGGCCAAGGTGGGAGGATCCCTTCAGGCCAGGAGTTTGAGACCAGCCTGGGCAACATAGCCAGACCTCGTCTCTACAAAAGAAATTAAGAAAATAAGCTGAGCGTGGTTGTCCACTCCTTATCTCCAGCTACTTGGGAGGCTGAGGTGGGAGGATCGCTTGAGCCTAAAAGTTCGAGGCTGCAGTGAGCTATGATTGTGGTACTCCACTCAAGCCTAGGCAACAGAGGGAGATTCTGTCTCTTAAAAAATAACATAGATGATATACACCATGTGGCCATCAGTCAGCCAATGGATATGACACATTGGAATCTCCAGAACCTTGAACAGTGGTGCTCTTTATCACAAGGAGACAAACTGAGAATTCAGGTTGGAGTTCAGGTTTTCAGGTAGCCGGAAGATGGAGACTGTGTCATCCATTCATTCATTTAACATTTTTGAGCACTATACCATATTCCAGATCAGCATTCTGGGCACTGAGGGATTCAACAATGAATCAGAAAAAGTCTCCGCCAGAAGGAGCTCATGTTCTGACAGAACACACCCATGCACACACACATCATCCAGTGGTAAAACAGGCTATGAAGGTCAGGGAAGGCGTCTTTGCAGAGGTGACATTGAATGGAGACTTGAAAGAAGTAGAGGACAGCCATGTGGAAATCTGGAGGAAGAGTGTTGCAGGCAAGAGGAGGCGCCAGTGCAAAGCTCAGGAGGCAGGGGTGTGATTGGCAGATCGGAGGACTTGAAAGAGAGCAGCTGCTGAAGCAGAGGGAAGAGGAAGAGTGCCAGGAATGAGTCAGACAAGGTAATCCCTGGTGAGCCACAGTGAGGACTCTGGTCTTTACTTGGAGTAAAGTGATAAGCCCTTGAAAAAAATCTAAGCAGAAGGCTGCCATGATAGGATGTCCTTTGTTTTTTATTTTTATTTTTCGAGAGACAAGGTCTTGCTCTGTCACCCAGGCCGAAGTGCAGTGGCACAGTCATAGCTCACTGCAGCCTCGAACTCCCGGGCTCAAGTGATCCTCCTACCTTGGCCTACTGAGTAGCTCGGACTACAGGCAGACACCACCTTGCCTGGCTAATTTTTTAATTTTTTGCAGAAACAGGATCTTGCTGTGTTGCTCAGGCTGATCTCTAACTCCTCGCCTCAAGAGGTCTTCCCGCCTCAGCCTCTCAAGTGCTGGGATTACAGGCATGAGCCACTGTACCTGGCTGTGATGTGCATTTTTAAAGGAGCATGCCCGCTTCCATGTGGAGGGGCTGCAAAGTGGAAGCAGGGAGGCAAGTGTAGTGGCTCCTGGGACAGTCCTGGGAGAAATCATGGTGGCAATGGACTGGCCTGGGGGTGGGGGAATAGCAGTGGAGGTGCCGAGAGGTAGTCCTGGATAAATTTCGAGGGAGTTGAAGATAGTTTTCTGCTGTGTTGCCTGAGGGCGATGAAAGAAAGGAGTCAGTGACAATTCCAAGGGACAGGAGCCTTCTCAAGGATCCTGCATGGGAGCCTTGGGTAAGACAGAGAGCTACAAGGGGCACCAGGAATTTGGGAAAGAAGATCAGAGGCCGGGGGCAGTCAGCAAGGCCTCCAGGAAGAAGTGGGGTGTGACCTGGGCTTCTGAGTTCGGAATACAGAGGTAGAGGAGGAAAGGGGGAGAGAGGATGAAGGGGTGCACGGCAAATGAATGAATGAAACCCAGAGCTGGGAAGGATCCTGACTTGACTGCAAACCATTCTGAAGGCAGGAAGCAAAGGTGTAGGGAGTTGTGCTGGAAAATTAGGGTGGGTCTGCATTGTGAAAGGCCTCAGAAGCTCAAAGCTGGACAGAGGAGTCAAAGTGTGCAGGAGTGAGTAAAGAATGGGAAACTGAGGCCAGTTGTGCTGGCTAATGCGTGTAATCCCAGCACTTTGGGAGGCTAAGGCAGGCGGATGGCTTGAGTCCATGAGCTCAAGACCAGCCTGGGCAACGTGGCAAAACCCCATCTCTACAAAAAACACATAAAAATTAGCTGGGCATGGTGGCACACACCTGTGGTCCCAGCTACTCAGGGGACTGAGGCTGGACAATCAGTTGAACCTGGGAGGCAGGGTTGCAGTGAGCAGAGATCGCACCACTGCACTCCAGACTGGGTGACAGTGCGGGACCCTGTCTCAGAGAGAGAAAAAAAAAAAAAAAAGAATGGGAAACTGGAATACAGCTAGAGTATGATCTGAGTGTGTAACACTTCATTGTTACATCTTTTCTTGATGTTCCAAAAGTAAAAGTAACTCCACCTTCACCTTCCATTTCTCCCCCACCTCTTTACTATTCTAACCGTAAAACTAGCACATCAAGTCCTAAGCGAGAGGGAGACTTACTATCAGTCCATCCACTATGTGAATAGGCCAATTTTCTGGATCATCAGTTTCTAATAGGACGGTTTAAGTGTCTAACATAGTACATCCTTTTAAAGTCTTTACTATAGTGACTAGACATTCAAAAGTTTGGGTCTACTCTGATCCCAGGAGATACGTACTTTTAATAAGAAATCTTTTCCAGGCAGATGAGGCACTTACAATGAATAGAAATGTAATAGTATGTATAATATAATAATGATACTGCATGTATTTTAGAATTACAAATATGTTGTTTATTATGATATATTTATATTTAAATATATTATATATTATAAATATATAATTTGGAGAAAAATTATATATTACACATATGCCCTCACAAATAATGCTATCGGGTTAGCTATAAAACACTGACTTTATATTTTTATTGTATGATAGGCCAGGTGTGGTGGCTCATGCCTGTAAACCTAGCACTTTAGGAAGCTGAGGCAGGTGGATCACTTGAGGTCAGGAGTTCAAGACCAGCCTGGCCAACATGGCAAAACCTCATCTCCACTGAAAATACAGAAATTATCTGGGCGTAGTGGCACATGCCTGTAGTCCCAGCTCCTCGGGAGGCTGAGGCAGAAGAACTGATTGAACCTGGGAAGCAGAGGTTGCAGTGAGCTGAGATCACCCCACTGCACTCCAGCCTGGGTGACAGAGAAAGACTCTGTCTCAAAGTCTCAAACAAAACAAAACAAATATTTTATGATGCCAATAGTTGGGAATGGAGTGCTCTGTTCACTTTAGTACTGCGCCTTGTATCAGGTTGTGGAAACAAATAACCTTGTTCCACTAAACTTTTCATAAGTTGAGGGAATTCTCCTCTCAAGTGATACTCTTTTGTTATGTTTTAAACAAATTTCTGATGAAAAAATACCATAACCAAAATAATTTGATTTGCAGATTATGGATGATTGGCCAGGGTATGACTTGAATTTATTCACGTACCCACAGCACTATTATGGAGACTTGGAGTATGTCCTCATCCCTCATGGTATCATTGTGGACAGGTGAGTGTGATTTCCTGTGTCAATCTTGGTCCTGCACTGGGCCGGCCCACACTTGTGTGAATCCCACAATATACTTTAGGACCCTATTCCTGAGCTGCGTTTTATAGTGGTAGAGAGAACTTTTATATAGGGCAGTGAATTTGGAATAAAATGAATGTATGCTTAAATTGAATGGTTTACCTGGACATTTGTTCAGGCGGTATGGTAATATGGTAAGAAGGATATACATACATAAGCTATTATAAGTAACAGCCTCAAAATAACAATGTCCTAAGATGGCTTTTCCGTGGCAAAGAAGTCCCACCCTCACAGAGGGGGGACGTTCCGTGATCAAATAAACTTTGGAAATTTTGTGTCTTCCATATTTTTGTCTCTCAGTTGACAAATCAAAACAAACATTAGCATATTGAAAATATGGAAATTCCAGCCAAAAGAAAAGAAGAACACAGAAAAGAAACCTGCTTGACTTTAACAATTAAAGCAACCTTTTTTTGTGCAAAGGGAGACTTTGTACTCAGTTTACCTATTTACAACTCTCAGAAGAGATTTCCCTTAATACCAGTTTGGGAAGCTCCTAATTTAAACAAATTCTTGCATTTCTTACCTGAATTTTCTAATTTAAAATTAATTTAAAATCAGTCAGAACATGATTGACTCCTGGGTAGGGGGTAGGGTTACCCTAAGCCTTTTCTTTGTACAAGAGAATCATCCAGTAAACTTGTTAAAATGCATATTCTTAAGCTTTATGTCTAGAAATTTCAAATCGATATTCTAGGGTGGGGCCCAAGAATGTCCGTTTTCACCTTTGAAATAAATTTATAAGCCAGGGGCTATGGCATGCACCTGTAATCCAGGCTACTCCAGAGGCTGAAGTGTGGGGATCACTTGAACCCAAAAATTTGAGACTAACCTGGGCTAATCTCAAATACTGAGATCTTGTCTCAAAAAAAAAAAAAATTAAGATGTAATTTACAGGGCTGGGTACAGTGGCTCGTTCCTGTAATCCCAGCACTTTGGGAGGCTGAGGCAAGAGGACTGTTTGAGCCAGGAGTTTGAGACCAGCCTGGGCAATGTAGTGAGAACCCGTCTCTACAAAAAAATAAAAAACATTAGTCAGGCATAGTAGCACAGGCCTGTAGTCCCAGCTACTAGGGAGGCTAAGGCGAGAGGATCACTTGAGTCTGGGAGGTCAAGGCTGCAGTGAGCCATGATCACACCACTGCACTGTAGCCTGGGGAACAGAGCGAGACCTTGTCTCAAACACACAAACACACACACACACACACACACACAAGATTAATTTATATACTACTGCACAAAATTCACCCATTGCAGGTGAACAACTAAATGATTTTTAGTAAATTTTTATGGTCAGGCAACCATCAGCACCATCCAGTTTTACATTTCCATCATCCCCAAAAGTTTGTTTGCAGCCAATCCCTGCTCCCACTTCCAGCATCTTTTTCTATAAATTTGTCTTTTCTGGCCATTTTGCGTAAGAAAATCGTACAATAGCTAATTATTGATTGACCAGTTGATGTACATTTGGATGTCCCATTTTTGGCTATTGTGGAAATGCTTCTATAAACATTCACATATAAGTTTTGTGTGGACATATCTTTTCATTTCTCTTGGATGGATTTCTCATTGTGGAATTCTGGGTTTTCTGGTAAGTGTAAGAAACTGCCAATTATTTTCCAAAGTGGCTGCACCTTGTTACATTGCCACCAGCAGCATATGAAGGTTTCAGTTTTTCCACATACTTGCCAACATTGAATATTGTCTGTCCTTTTGATTATAGCCATTCTTGTGGCTGTCTAATGGTATCTCACCGTGGTTTTAATTTGTATTTTCCTAATCATTAGTATACTTGTTAGCTATTCATAAGCCTTCTTTGGAGAGAGGTCTTTTCAAGTCTTTTGCCAATTTTTAAATTCAATTGTTCATCTTCTTATTGAACTATAAGAGTTCTTTATATATTTTGGATAATAGTCCTTTATCAGATATATGATTTGCAAATATTTACTCCCAGCCTATGGTTTGTCTTACTATTTTCTTACTGGTATCTTTTAAGAAGAATGTGTATCCTGCTGTTGTGGGGTGAAGTATTGTATATGTGTTAATTAGATCCAGTCAGTTGATGGTGCTTCTCAGTTCAACTATATGCTTACTGATTCTCTGACTGTTGGACCTGTCAATTACTGATAGAGGGGATGTTAAAGTCTCCAAATAGTGCATTTGCCTGTTTCTCCTTGCAGTTCTATTAGGTTTTTGACACTTTGTTTTTAGGAGCATATATATTAGGAATTGTTATGTCTCTTTGGATAATCGACCTCCTTATTATTGTGTAATGATGCTCTTTATCCCTGCATATTCCTCACTCAGAAGTCTGCTCTGTCTGAAATTAAAATAGCTACTCCAACTTTCTTTTGATTAATGTTAGCATGGCATGTCTTACTCCATCCATTTAATCTATCTGTTTTTATATTTATATTTAAAGTGAGTTTCTTTTTCTTTTTTTTTTTTTTTTTTTTTTGAGATAGAGTCTCACTCTGTCACCCTGGCTGGAGTGCAGTGGCACAATCTCGGCTCACTGCAACCTCCAACTCCCGGGTTCAAGTGAACCTCCTGCCTCAGCCTCCCAAGTAGCTGGGATTATAAGCATGCACCACCACACCTGGCTAATTTTTTGTATTTTTAGTAGAGATGGGGTTTCACCATGTTGGCCAGGATGGTCTTGATCTCCTGACCTGAAGGGATCTGCCTGCCTTGGCCTCCCAAAGTGCTGGGATTATAGGTGTAAGCCATAAAGTGAGCTTCTTGTGGGCAATATACAGTTAGATCTTTTTTTAATCCACCCTGACAGTCTGTCTTTTAATTGCTATATTTAGACCATTCATATTTAAAATGAGTATTGATATAATGTTTAGTATCTATCGTATTTATAACTATTTTCTATTCATTGCTGTTGTTGTTTCCTTTTTTGTCTTCCACTCTGTGAAATTCTACTTTTTTTTTTTTTTTTTTTGAGTCAGAGTTTCACTCTTATCACCCAGACTGGAGTGCAATAGCACAGTCTGGGCTTACTGCAACCTCCGCCTCCTGGGTTCAAGTGATTCTCCTGCCTCAGCTTCCTGAGTAGCTGGGATTACAGGCGCAGACCACCAAGCCCGGCTAATTTTTGTATTTTTAGTAGAGATTGGGTTTCACCGTGTTGGCCAGGCTGATCTTGAACTCCTGACCTCAAGAGATCTGCCCACCTCACTGTGTGACTTCTGATGTCTGTGAGGTTTATTTTTCTCTTGTTTTTATTTTTAAGCCTCACTTACTAGGGATCACCCTGTGTTTGAATAGCTTAGTGTTTGGCCTACAATTGGTTAGAAGTTGTGCTCAAATACGTCAAGCCAGTAAGTCTTCCACTCTCTGCTGATGGGGGTGTGTGGGGACTTGAAAGTAGATTCAAATTTCCAACCATTTTCAAATCTTTCGATGTTTACTTTCCCCTGAGCTTTCTTGTGCCTTCTCTGCACATGTACACAGCCTTCACTGTCCAGGGATGTGTGGGTGGCTTGAACTCACTCTGCTGTGCATATGTACAGCCTCTGGTCAATTGAGATGCATGAAGAACTTATTGTGTGCCCCTGTTCTATGACTGTCTAACCTCCTCCCTGGAACTTCCTATCAAATCCCCAGCCAGCCTGCCAGTGCACTGCTCAGCGGTGACTGCACCTCAGGATAGTGGAGCCCTGCCACCAAGGTGACCATTTTAGCTTACAGTGTTCCCTATCAGGTGAGCTCCCTCTGGCAGTGCACCACCTTGGTGGAACTGCCTGTTTGAACAACAGAGCTGGGGATAGGGGCTGGGGGGTAATAAGAGCATCCCCACACAAGAATGCCCCAGACTCATGCTGTTTCCACCCAGTGTTCAGGGTTTTCAGAATTAAATGCTTCTCAGTTTGTTGTATGCCTTTGGTTGATTTCCAACATGATGAGATGGTTGTTTTTGGCAGTTTTGCCCAGTTTTATAGTTGCTTTTCTGGAGAGGATGTGTTCACCTCCTTACTTCATCATGTTGGAAACAAATGTTCTTTTTTTTTTTTTGAGAAGGAGCCTTGCTCTGTCGCGCAGGCTGGAGTAGTACAGTGGTGCAATCTCAGATCATTGCAACCTCTGCCTCCTTGGTTCAAGGGATTCTCCTGCCTCAGCTTCCCGAGTAGCTGGGATTACAGGCACCCGCCACCATGCCCGGCTAATTTTTGTATTTTTAGTAGAGACGGGGTTTCACCACGTTGGCCAGGCTGGTCTCAAACTCCTGACCTTAAGTGATCTGCCCATCTTGGATTTCTTAAAGTGCTGGGATTACAGGTGTGAGACACCACTCTTGGCCCAAATGTTCCTTTTTAAGGAGCATGCCAGATATTCTGATGTACATTTTTTATGATCGTGTGTCTTCTTTAGAATTCAGTAAATACTGCCAGGCATGGTGGCTCATGCCTGTAATCCCAGCACTTTGGGAAGCCAAGGTGGCCAGGTCACCTGAAGTCAGGAGTTCGAGACCAGCCTGGCCAACATGGCAAAACCTCGTCTCTACTAAAAATACAAAAATTAGCTGAGCATAGTGGCAGGCGCCTGTATTCCCAGCTACTTGGGAGGCTGAGGCAGGAGAATCACTTGAACCCAGGAGGTGGAGGTTGCAGTGAGCCAAGATCGTGCCACTGCACTGCAGCCTGGGCAACAGAGTGAGACTCCATCTTAAAAAAAAAAAAAAAAAAAAGCAGTATGTTTTGAACACCTTATGTTCAACCTTAACAAAGCTTTTCTATCGGTGGGTTTCTGTTTCCCAAGGTTTTCCCCACATTCCTCTGAGTAATCGAATACGTACAATACATCTTGCATTTCATTAAAGCAACATAAATACTCAGAAGTAGTTGTGCCTTAATATATCTTTTATCCTTCTTTCAGAATTGAGCGGCTGGCCAAGGATATTATGAAAGACATAGGATATAGTGACATCATGGTCCTGTGTGTGCTTAAAGGAGGTTACAAATTCTGTGCTGATCTCGTAGAACACCTTAAGAACATCAGCCGAAATTCAGATCGATTTGTCTCAATGAAGGTTGATTTCATCAGACTAAAAAGTTACAGGGTAAGTTATTACAAGTTCCGCTTTATGACATTTCATTTAACAATGCTTTAGGATAAAAGAATCAATAATGTTATGAAAATGAAGAGTGCAATTTTTAAAAATGGAGATGAAAATGAAGGGTAATTTTAATTTGCAAGAATACGGCAACCTAACATAAGAATTCAAATGATACTATTTAGGGCGTGGGGTGGGGACCTTCTCTCTATTTTCACATATATGGGAAGACTCAGCAGTAATGATTTGTGCTTTCTTTTATGGTGATAAAGTGAGTGGTTATATCCTGGTGCCCAGCCCCACAACTGTGTGTGGTCAGAGTGTGAACACTGATTTGTTTTTTCTACTCTGGATGTCACTATGGGTCCTGGGGACCTATGGGAGGGTGTCCAGCCCAGAGAGGAGTCTTAGTACTTGGGTGGCTGCAGTTGTGGCCTGGAAGTAAAGAAGGGAAGGCTATAGGGACAGCACATTGCCAAGTGTGAGGAAACAAGGCCAGGGAGCTCCAGCAGAAGGCCCCTCCACCAGTTTACTCCATTAATTCTGTCTTTCTGTGGGCACCACTGGGCAGAATTAATGGAATTATTCTCCAAAGATGTTTCCTAACCAGATGCAGTGGCTCATGCATATAATCCCAACACTTTGGGAGGCCAAGACAGAAGGATCCCCTGAAGCCAGGAGTTCGAGACCAGCCTGGGCAACATAGTGAGTCCCTGTCTATATACAAAAAGAAAATTTTTAAAATTAGCTGAGTGTGGTGGCATGTGCCTATGGTCCCAGGTACTCAAGAGGCTGAAGTGGGAGGATTGTTTGAGCCCAGGAGACAGAGGCTGCAGTGAGCTGTATGGCACCACTGCACTCCAGCCTGGATGACAATGAAACTCTTGCCAAAAAAAAAAAGCTGTTGTTTCCTTAGTCTCCCTCCTCCTCCCTCTATGATGTTAACTTCTTTGATGCTTTTTGATTTAATGCATAGTAAAACATTAAAAATAACTTACTATTGGGTGAGGAGCTCTTGGAGTCAAACCATGAAAATATTCTCGTTGACTAAACTAACTTGACACATTTTAATTCATGAATCACTCTTTGAATTGGCCTTCTATTGCTGTGTGGCAAACTCACCACAAACGTAGTGGCTTAAACCAACATACACGTGTATTATCTTAAAGTTTCTGTAGGTCAGAAATCTGAGCATGGTGTAGCTGAGTTTTCAGCTCAGAACCTTACAGGGATGAAATCAGTGTGTTAGTTGGGATTTTGATATCATCTGAGGTTTTCAAGATCACTGACTGTTGGCAAGCTCAGTTCCCATTTCCTTGTTGACTGTAGGCTGGAGTTGGTAGACTCTCCACTCCTAGGGGTTGTCCCCAGGTGTTTGCATCAATTACCCCACAGGTCGTTCACAACACCATTAGCTGTTTGCTTCTTCAAGTCTGACGGAATAATCTTAGCCCTTCTTTTATAGCTCACCTGATTAGATCATGTTCACCCAGGTAACCTGCCTTTTGATGAACTCAAAGTCATCTGACTAGTCACCTAATCTTTGGTGCGAATTCCCACCACGTTTACAAGTCTTACCCACACTCAAGTGGAGAGGATTATGCAGGGTGTGTACACCAGGGGACAGCGGTCTTCAGGGCCACCAATCTGTCTTCCACATTCCTCATGTGACTCTCAGTTGCCTCAGTTCTAGAGCAGCTGGAAATTAGTTCTGATTTCTTAAGATACTCTGTGTTTTCCTGATCACCTCTCAGGCCAGAGTGAAGCTGGTTTTTGAAGACATCTTAGCTCTGATTTCTTGGTTTTATCTTCTCCTGAGAATTTTTTCTCTCTTTAGATTATCTTCCTTCTGGGTTAAATCCCTGTGCTTCCTTCATACCAGATTTCTCTCATTCACTTGGCCCTGACCCTTATTATATTTGTCCCTGGTTAACAGCATTTTAAAAACCTGTTAACATTTTTTTTAATTAAAGTCAGGTTTATTGAGCCACCGTTTACATGCAGTAACATCCATCCTCTTTAGAGTTCAGTGAATTTCAACAAATGCATACAATCATGTAAATCACCACAGTCAAGATATAGAACAGTTTCCTTAACAATGCAAAGAATGTCCTTGTGTCCTTCACAGTCAACCTCCTGAACCCCTAAGCCCTGGAAACCACAGATACGTTTTCTTTTCCTAAAGTTTTGCCCTTTCCAGAATGTCTTACAGATATAATCATATATCATGTAGCTTTAGTAAATCCCTAAATCATAACATAATGCATTCATCCATATTGTGTGTATTGTTGATGAAAAGAGTCAAACTCCGTAAAATATTTCAACAGATTTATTCTGAGCCAAATATGAGTGACAAGTAACCTGTGACACAGCCCTCAGGAGATCCTGAGAACATGCGTCCAAGGTGATCAGGACACAACTTGGTTTTATACATTTTAGGGAGACAGAAGTCATCAATGAATACATGTACAGTGTACGTTGGTTCGGTCTGGAAATGTGGGACAACTAGAAGCGGCAGCTTCCAGATCATGGGTAGATTAAAAGAAGTTCTGATTGGCAATTGGTTGCAAGGGTTATTATCAATAGAAAGGAATGTCTGGGTTATGATAAGGAGTTGTGGAGGAAGCCAAGGTTTAATCATGCAGATGAAGCCTTCAGGTAGCAGGCTTCAGAGAGAATAGATTGTAAATGTTTCTTATCAGACCTAAGGGGTCTATTCTATCAGCAATTCCTAAAGGGAGGAGGGGATCACGAGGCATGTCTGGCTTCTTCTTCCCATCGTGGCCTGAACGAGTTTTTCAGGTTAACTTTGGAATGCCCTTGGCTGAGAGGAGGGGTTCATTCCCCACAGCTGGGGGGCTTAGAATTTTATTTTTGGTTTACAGTATCAGTTCTTCTTCTTCTTCGTATCAGTTCTTCTTCTTCTTCTTCTTCTTCTTCTCCTTCTTCTTCTTCTTCTTCTTCTTCTTCTTCTTTGTGTCCAGTAGAATTTGATTATATAGATAGAGTGCAGTTTGTTACTCCATTCATCAGCTGAAGGATATTTGGGTTGTTTCTATTTTGAAGCAATTAGAAGTAAAGCAGCTATAAATATTCACATGCAGGTATTTGTGTGTACTTATGACTTCACTTCCCTTGACTAAATATTTAGGGGCAAGATGGGAGGTCATATGATGAGTGTATATAATAAATTGCCTGGCCAGGTGCAGTGGCTCATGCCTGTCATCCTAGCACTTTGGCAGGCCGAGTCGGGCAGATCATCTGAGGTCAGGAGCTCAAGACCAGCTTGGTCAACATGGTGAAACCTCATCTCTACTAAAATACAAAAATTAGCCAGGCATGGTGGCAGATACCTGTAATCCCAGCTACTCAAGAGGCTGAGGCAGGAGAATCACTCGAACCTGGGAGGCAGAGGTTGCAGTGAGCTGAGATTGTGCCACTGCACTCCAGTCTGGGCAACAGAATGAGACTCCATCTCAAAAAAAAAAAAAAAAAATTGCCAAACTCTTTTCCCAAAGGATTGAATCATTTTGAATTCCCACCAGCATATGTGACAGTTCCTGTTACTCCATGTTTTCAATAACACTTAGTATTATCAGTTTTTCCTTATTTTTTTCTTGATTTTACCTGTTCTAATAGGTGATGATATCACATTGTGGTTTAATTTGCATTTCCCTAATAAATGATGATTTGAACATAGTTACATTTGCTGGTTTGCTATTCATATAGCTTTTTTGATGAAGTGTTTGTTCAACTATCTTACCCATTTAAAAAATTGGGTTGTTTTCTTATTATTGTATTTGAGAGTTTTAAAAAATATATTGGCCATGAATTTTTTATTAGATATGTGTTTTGATATATTTTTTAGTCAGTGAGGTTTTTTCATTTTGTTTTTCAAAGAGCATTATTAAAAAATTTTTTAAGTTCAGTTAATCTAGTGTGTCCTTTTGTGGATCATGCTTTTGGTGTACCTAAGAAATCTGCCTAACCCAAGATCACAAAGATTTTCTCCTTTTTTTAAAAAGAGAAGTTTCATAGTTTTAGATTTAAATTTAGGTCTGTGAGACATGTCATGTTAATTTTTTACTACGATATAAGGTATGGATTGCGATTCCTTTTCTTTTCATTTTTGCATGAAGTGTTCGATTATTCCAGGATTATTTGCCAAAAAGATGATCCTTTTCCATGGAGTTGCTTTTGATCTTTCACTGAAAATCAGCTTACTTTATATATGTATGTTGGTCTATTTCTGGACACTATCAGATCTGTTCATCTACATTGTCACTGCTTTGATTACTGTAACTTTATAATAACTCTGTAAATTAAGTAGTATGTGTCCTCCAACTTTGTTCTTTTTCACACTGCCTTGGCTATTCTTGTTCTTTGTCTTTCCATATAAATTTAATATCATGTAGCTGATTTCTACAAAATAACACATTAGAATTTTATCAAGATTGCCTTGAATCTATAGATCAATTTGGGGGGAATTGACATTGTAACACTATTTAGTCTTCCATTCCATGAACACGGTATATCTCCTAATTTATTTAGATCTTATTTCAGTGTTTTCTGGTTTTCAAGTGTCAGATCTTAGGCATATTTGGTTAGATATATACTTATATATTTAATGATTTTGATCCTATTATATTCAGTAAGTTTTTCTTTGAATTTCAAATTCCAATTATTTATGGGTAGTATTTAGAAATACTATTAATTTTGTATATTGAATCCTATGACTTATGAAACTCACTTATGAGTTCTAATAGCTTTTTCATAGATTCTTTTGGGTTTTCTATGAAGATAATAATTTCTTCCTTAAATAGAGATGATTTTGCTTCTTCCTTTATACTTACAGACCTTTTATTTCTTTTTATTGCATGATCATGCCAGTTAGGACCTCCTATACACTCCTGAATATGAATGGTGGGAGAAAACATCCTTGCCTTGTTTTCAGTCAGTATAATACTGACTGTTGGTTTTTTGAAGATGTTCTTTATCAGGTTAAGGAAGCTCCTTCTATTCCTAGTTTTGCAAGAGGTTTTTTCATATTTTCTTAAAAAATTATGAATGAATATCATCAGTGCTTTTTCTAGAGATGTTGATATGGTAAAATACATTGATTGGTTTGCTAATGTTGGACTATCTTTCCATTAATGTAATATAATGACATATTATCCTTTTCATGTATTGGTGGATTCAACTTGCTAATTTTTTGAGGAATTTTGCATTTAAGTGCTTGGAGGATATTAAACCATAGTTTTTTGTTTTTTTTTTTTCTTATAGTGCCTTTTTCTGATTCTGGTATCAGGCTTATATTGGTCTTTTAAAATAAACTGGGAAGTATTTTCTCCTCATCTTTTTTTCAGAAGAGTTTGTGTAGAATTAGTACTAATTCGTCTTTGGTATTTGGTAGAATTCACCAGTAAAACCATCTTGACATGGAGCTTTCTTTGTCAGAAGATTTTTTTAATTGGAATTAAGTTTATTTAGTAGATATGGGAGTATTCAGGCTAATAGTTTTCTCACTCTTTAATAGTTTGTGTCTTTCAAGGCATTTGTCCATTTTATCTAGTTTTTACATTTCTGGACATAAAGTTGTTTATAATATTCCCTTATTATCTTTAATCTCTGTAGTGATATTCTCTCTTTCAGTCCTGATAGTATTAAATTGTATCTTCTGTCTCTTTCCTTTTCTTCACCAGTATGCCTAAAGGTTTTTCAATTTTTTTATTCTTTCAAAGAACCAATTTGTTGCTTTCTCGATTTTCTCTTTTGTGTTTATGTTTTCAGTTTCATTGATTTATGCTTTTATGTTATTTCCTTCCTTCTGTTTGTTTTGGGGTTAATTTTCTTTTATTTTCCTAGTTTCATAAAATGAAAGTTGAGTTCATAGATTTGAGATTTTCTTATTTTCTAATACAAACATATAATGCTGTAAGTTTTCCTTTAAGTACTTCTTTAGCTGCCTCTATACATTTTGATATATTGTGTTCATTTTCATTCAATTCAAACTATTTTCTAATTTCCTCTTTCACTCATTGGTTGTCTCGTGTTGTTTAATTTTCAAGTATTTGGGGGATTTTCCATACATAATTCCTGTATTGTTTCTAGTTGAATTCTGTTGCAGAAACTGTATTTTGTATGATTCCAATTCTTTTAAATTTTTTGAGGCTTGTTCTATGGCCCAGGATATATTTTATATTGCGGAAACTATCACCATTGTAATCCATGTCAAACTAAATACTACTATTTCTTTCTAATTTCTCATACCTTTTCCTTGCGTATTTCTCTAAACAGCACCTCTTAAGGGTGACCACTGAAAAAATAGGAATGTTATTTATAATTTTTCAGCTAGTAAAGAGGATGAAAAGGAATAAAGGAAACTCCAAACTTGATTAATTCAATAGTAGACACAAAATAAGAAACAGGCAGCCTTATTATATTTGTACTACACATAATGAAACAGACACCTGAGATGTTCAGTAACATGCCCAAGGTCAAGCAGCATGTAAGTGGTGGATCTAGTATTTAAATCAAAGTTCCACGCCAGAGCTCAAGACTGTGACCACTGGAGTGTACAGTCTCCCTAGAGATGTGTTGAGATAAATTAGGCTAAAAGGAAGAACATTTGACCAAATGAATCAGCATTATTTTTTCTTGAGCTTTATTTTGACATTCACCTAACCCGGCTAAGCCAGCTTCTATTATTGCTGGAAGAATGACAATATCCATAAATAGACAATTACCTGCTTTTTTTTCTGAAATGTTTTATATGTTGAATTAATAAGCTATCAAGTAGTACCTTCTAAGAAAATGAATATTAACACTGGGTTTTTCTGTAAATTATGGAAAACTATGCTTTGCTTTTCCTCTTTCTGCCCTGCACCATGGAGATACTCCACAAGACATGAACTTTCACTCTACCTGCTTGTTCTCTGGATTCACTTAAAGCTTGCTTGCTGCTTTTAGGAGGCCAAATCCAGAAAAATTCGGAAAGAACCTTGAGCTTCAGGCTTCATACTAACTCCTGAGCATATAGAGACTCGAATCAAAGAGAAACAGGCATAATTCAGCAGTCCCTTGAGCTACCCGATTGTGTGTGTGTGTGTGTGTTTGTGTGTGTGTACATGTGTTTAGAGGCAGGGTCTCGCTCCATCACCCAGGCTGCAGTACAGTTGTGTGATCATAGCTCACTGCAACTTCAACCTCCCTGGGATCAAATGATCCTCCTGCCTCAACTTCCCAAACAGCTAGGACTGCAATCAGATTTAGTGTGTTTTGAGAAAGCTCTATCAGGGTGGAAGTGGGAGGCCTTTTGGGATATCTATTCTAAGGGACTTTGAGTGGAAAAACAGGAGGATTTGAGGGAAGTATTGTTAGGTGCCAGCAAGTGACTTTTTAGACAGCTTTTTTGTATGTGGATGCATTATTTGCCAAGTTTTTTCCCTTTATTCTCTCTCAAATGTTGCCCTGGTTTAAAAGCTCATTAATTTATATGCAATCCAATGTGAGGATAAAGTGTAATTCAGAGGTGCAACATTCTGATCTCATTGTTTCCCACCAATTTGGTTAGCTAACCTCTGTACAAAATACAATCTTCAAACTACAACTTCAAGGCTTTAAAAATTGAGGATGAATGTTATTTTAGGCAAGCCACAGTTGCCCTAGATCCTGCCCCATGTTGTTTGAATGTGCCCTGCTTTGTATGAATAATTCCTGCATGTTGGCAACACCAAGAGATTTTTTGGAGCTAAAATACAACTCACAGTGTAACCACAGTAGGGCCGAGAGATTTGCCACACAGGGGATGTGGGCCCCTGGGGAAGCTGGCGTTCGTATTAAAGAAGCTCATTAGAGCTAAGGGTTAGCCACAAACCTGCTCCCTTGAGGGAAGAGAAACGCTAAATACATTTTTTCTCTCTCATTCCCACAGTTCAGAACAAAGGGTTTAAATCAGTCAGCTCTTGTTATCTGTGCTTGTGAGGAATGGGAACAGAATGGATAAGCCAGGTTCAGTGTCTTTAGTTTTAGTGAGTAGTCTTTACCCTACACCAGGGTGAACTTTTGCTGAACTGTTTCCAAGTAGCAAGGGTGCCTGGAATTGAAAGCCTCCCTTTCTTTCTTTCTTTCTTTCTTTTTTTTTTTTTTTGAGACGGAGTCTGCCTCTGTCGCCTAGGCTGGAGTGCAGTGGCTGCGATCTCGACTCACTGCAAGCTCCGCCTCCTGGGTTCACCCCATTCTCCTGCCTCAGCCTCCCGAATAGCTGGGACTACAGGCGCCCGCCACCACGCCCGGCTAATTTTTTTGTAGTTTTTTAGTAGAGACAGGGTTTCACCGTGTTAGTCAGGATGGTCTCTATCTCCTGACCTCGTGATCTGCCTGTCTCGGCCTCCCAAAGTGCTGAGATTACAGGCGTGAGCCACTGCGCTCAGCCGAAAGCTTCTTTTTCTTGGCACGGTGGCTCACACCTGTAATCCCAGCACTTTGGGAGGCCGAGATGGGCCAATTACCTGAGGTCAGGAGTTCCAGGCCAGCCTGGCCAACATGGTGAAACCCCATCTCTACTAAAAATACAAAAATTAGCTGGGCGTGGTGGTGGGCACGTGTAATCCCAGCTACTTGGGAGGCTGAGGCAATAGAATCACTTGAACCCGGGAGGTGGAGGTTGCAGTGAGTTGAGATTGTGCCACTGCACTCCGGCCTGGGCAACAGAGCGAGACTCTGTCTTAAGAGAAAAAAAGAAAAAGAAAGCCTCCTTTTCTTTCTGAGACAGGAAATCTGTGTTTAGCAGAGTCTCACCTTGGGCTTTGGGTGAAGAAAAAAGACTCCAATTCTTTGAAGATAGTAGAAGAGTTCCTCAGTTGTGGGGGGGTGCCAGATGGGTCCAAAGTAGGTTTATAGGTAAGCACATGCACACACACATACATATTTTTAAGTAAAAATGGAGAGGAAAAATAAAGAAATAGGAAAATAGAAGAAAATAAAGGACTAGAAGAGGGAAGATGAGAGACCACAAAAATTCTAAAACTTACCATATTTCACTAAATCTAAAGGCATCATAGATTGTTACTTTATGTACCACTATGAAAGAAAAAATGCTCTAAATTAAGCCATGATTTGACATGGATTGTATGTAAGATGCATCTTGATTTGGGAGATATTATAACAAAAAATGTGTAACTTGGAGTTAGTGAAAATTGGTAGCGCCTCATCTTTTTCAGCAATTTTATTTGCAAGTGTTCAAATAGCTGAAATATAACAGAAAACATTGTCTTTACTCTTTGGTCATTTAAAAATCTTGGGTCCTGTGCCGGGTGCAATAGCTCACGCCTGTAGGATCCCAGCACTTTGGGAGGCTGAGGCAGGCAGATCACAGGGTCAAGAGATAGAGTCCATTCTGGCCAACATGGTGAAACCTCACCTCTACTAAAAGCACAAAAATTAGCTGGACGTGGTGGTGTACACCTGTAGTCCCAGCTACTCGGGAGGCTGAGGCAGGAGAATCTCTTGAACCCAGGAGGTGGAGGTTGCAGTGAGCCAAGACTGCGCCACTGCACTCCAGCCTGGTGACAGAGCAAGACTCTGTCTCAAAAAAAAAAAAAAAAAAATTGGGTCCCGCAATATCACTTCAATACTCTTTTGCAAACAGTTGGGTATTTCCTTTGAAGCTACAGATTTTTTCCATGTTAGTGTCTAAAATATTTTTTAACATCCTCAAAACATTTTTGCAGACTTCAAAGGGAGAGTTATTAACTAAAGAGTACATCAGGAATAGGCCTGGGTGGTTTGAATCAGTTCATATAAATCATTAAAAATTAATCAGAAGTATTTATGAAAACCAGAACATAATTTCTCTGTGACCTCTGGATAGAAACGCTGAAACATCTGTCTTATTCCTATGTGTACTGAAACAAAGAGTATTGACAGTCCTGTTTTCTCTTTGACTTTTGGTTTTTAAGAGGTATTTATGATGGGCTTTCAGCAGGGCATGGATGAAGAAACTTGGCATGAAACAAATATCTAGTTTGGCCTAAAAAGAGATCATCTAGCATTGCTCTAGGCAAGTTTACTCTGAGATAGTTAATTCTATGAAGTGAAATTTTTTTTTAAAGTGAAACCAAAGCCCATTTATGTAATAAGGTTAATCTCAGTATTTTTTGTTATCACTCCTTACAGCCTTTTTATTTTATAAATATCCATGCATTTTCTTGACATACATTCTTCATATTCAAATTTATTCCTCTAGAGAGATTCTCATTAGAGTTTGTTTTTCCTTGTGAAAAGCAAACACTGAGAGGGAAAATAAGAGAATGATGCAGAAGGAATTATTAAATTATAGTATCAATCCAGTGTTGAGAGATCACTCTGGGGACAGAGCTGTGCTCAACTTAGCTGACTGCAACAGGCTGGGGTTGAATCCAGGACCAGGAACAGGACCCGGCCCTGGAGCAGACATCTCGGGGAATGGACTCACTCTGCTACAGATGTGAGTTGAAGTCCAGTGCAGCAGGGGTCATAAGTAGTTGAAAGATGGATGAAATGGCCGGACGCAGTGGCTCATGCCTGTAATCCCGGCACTTTGGGAGGCCGAGACAGGCAGATCACTTCAGCTCCGGAGTTCGAGACCAGCCTGGGCAACATGGTGAAATGCCAGCTCTACTGAAAATACAAAAATTAGCCAGGTATGGTGGCGGGCGCCTGTAGTCCCAGCTACTCAGGAGGCTGGGAAGGTTGCAGTGAGCTGAGATTGTGCCACTGCACTCCAACCAGGGTAACAGAATGAGACTCCGTCTCAAAAAAAGATGGATGAAAGATCACAGCCTTCAGAACTCCAAGTATTAGGTAGCCAGTATCAGCCCACTTGTGTATGTTGGTACCACTGCTAATAAAACATAATATTCACTGAGTACTTAGGGCCAACTATTGTCCTAAGTGCTTTATATCTATTAGCTTATTAAGCCCTTGCAAGATCCTTATAAAGTTTCACAGGTAAGAGCATGGAGGCCAGAGGGGTTAGCTGGGTTCCCAAGAACACACAGCTAGAAGTGACATCCAAACTAGGTCCTTTAACACCATGTCTGTCTCCTGGATCTGTGGAAGAGGAAAAGGACTCCAGTCCCTAGGAGGTGGACTGGCAGGAGAAGAAAGCCCTCTAGTTCTGCAGGAGTACTGGGCAAGTTCCCAGGAAGAGACGTGGGCACAGGACAAGGGACAAATCCAGAGCACACAGTGGATACTGGAACTTGGGAACAGAGCAGAAAGACCAAAACCATTGTGAGAGGCATAACATTCAGTTGCTGGGCATCAGACTCCAGTTGGCTGCCTAGCAGTTCCACAGAGTTCCAACCCCACCTAAGGTCGGATTTCTTCCTAGCGATTTGATGAGGTCGAGCCAGTAGATGAAGTGGGGATAGGATAGGGAGCAAGTGACTTAACAGTTAGGAGGGAGGAAGCTGGAAACTAGGAAGGGTCAGACCCACAAGAAAGTGTATGTGTTATTAGTATTAATCACAACAGATGCCTGAAGATTTCAGTTGTATTTCACGTTGTCTGCATTTCCTCCGTTTATCATTTGAAAGCTTGCTGGTCCCATGAAACTTAAGCATGCTATGTATATATACAAAAAATATGCTTGTATTAATCTGTTCTCATGCTGCTAATAAATACATAACTGAAACTGGGTAATTTATAAAGGAAAGAGGTTTATTTATTTTTTTAATTATATTTTAAGTTCTAGGGTACATGTGCACAATGTGCAGGTTTGTTACATAGGTATACATGTGCCATGTTGGTTTGCTGCACCCATTGACTCGACATTTACATTAGTTATTTCTCCTAATGCTATCCCTCCGCCAGCCCCCGACACCCCCTCCACAGGCCTCAATGTGTGATGTTCCCCGCCCTGTGTCCATGTGTTCTCATTGTTCAACTCCCACCTATGAGTGAGAACATGCAGTGTTTGGTTTTCTGTCCTTGTGATAGTTTGCTAAAAATGATGGTTTCCAGCCTCATCCATGTCCCTGCAAAGGACATGAACTCATCCTTTTTTATGGCTGCATAGTATTCCATAGTGTATATGTGCCACATTTTCTTAATCCAGTCTATCATTGATGGACATTTGAGTTGGTTCCAAGTCTTTGCTATTGTGAAGAGTGCCACAATAAACATATGTGTGCATGTGTCTTTATAGTAGCATGATTTATAATCCTTTGGGTATATACCCAGTAATGGGATCCCTGGGTCAAAGGTATTTCTAGTTCTAGATCCTTGAGGAATCACCACACTGTCTTCCACAATAGTTGAACTAATTTACACTCCCACCAACAATGTAAAAGTGTTCCTATTTCTCCATATCCTCTCCAGCATCTGTTGTTTCCTGACTTTTTAATGATAGCCATTCTAACTGGAGTGAGATGTTATCTCATTGTGGTTTTGATTTGCATTTCTCTGATGACCAGTGATGATGAGCATTTTTTTTTCATGTGTCTGTTGGCTGCATAAATGTCTTCTTTTGAGAAGTGTCTGTTCATGTCTTTTGCCCACTTTTTGATGGGGTTGTTTTTTCTTGTAAATTTGTTTAAGTTCTTTGTAGATTCTGGATATTAGCCCTTTGTCAGATGGGTAGATTGCAAAATTTTTCTCCCATTCTGTAGGTTGTCTGTTCACTCTGATGATAGTTTCTTTTGCTGTGCAGAAGCTCTTTAGTTTAATTAGATCCCATTTGTCTATTTTGGCTTTTGTTGCTGTTAGTCTGATGGGCTTCCCTTTGTGGGTAACCCAACCTTTCTCTCTGGCTGCCCTTAACATTTTTTCCTTCATTTCAACCTTGATGAATCTGACAATTATGTGTCTTGGGGTTGCTCTTCTCGAGGAGTATCTTTGTGGTGTTCTCTGTATTTCCTGAATTTGAATGTTGGCCTGCCTTGCTAGGTTGGGGAAGTTCTCCTGGGTAATATCCTGAAGAGTGTTTTCTAACTTGGTTTCATTCTCCCCATCACTTTCAGGTACACCAATCAAACATAGATTTGGTCTTTTCACATAGTCCTATATTTCTTGGAGACTGTGTTCGTTTCTTTTCACTCTTTTTTCTCTAATCTTGTCTTCTCACTTTATTTCATTAATTTGATCTTCAATCACTGATATCGTTTCTTCTACTTGATCGAATCAGCTATTGAAGCTTGTGCATGCGTCACGAAGTTCTCGTACTGTGGTTTTCAGCTCCATCAGGTCATTTAAGTTCTTCTCTACACTGTTTATTCTAGTTAGCCATTTATCTAACCTTTTTTCAAGGTTTTTAGCTTCCTTGCGATGAGTTAGAACATGTTCCTTTAGCTCAGAGAAGTTTGTTATTACCGACCTTCTGAAACCTACTTCTGTCAACTCCTCAAACTCATTCTCTGTCCAGTTTTGTTCCATTGCTGGTGAGGAGCTGCGATCCTTTGGAGGAGAAGAAGAACTCTGGTTTTTGGAATTTTCAGCTTTTCTGCTCTGGTTTCTCCCCGTCTTTGTGGTTTTATCTACCTTTGGTCTTTGATGTTGGTGACCTACAGATGGGGTTTTGGTGTGGATGTCCTTTTTGTTGATGTTGTTGCTATTCCTTTCTGTTTGCTAGTTTTCCTTCTAACAGGCCCCTCAGCTGCGGGTCTGTTTAGTTTGCTGGAGGTCCACTCCAGACCCCGTTTACCTGGGTATCACCAGCGGAGGCTGCAGAACAGCAAATATTGCTGCCTGATCCTTCCTCTGGAAGCTTCATTCCAGAAGGGCACCCACCTGTATGAGGTGTCTGTCGGCCCCTTTTGGGAGTGTCTCCCAGTCAGGCTAAATGGGGGTCAGGGACCCAATTGAGGAGGCAGTCTGTCCGTTCTCAGAGCTCGAATGCTGTGCTGGGAGAACCACTGCTCTCTTCAGAGCTATCAGACGGGGATGTTTAAGTCTGCAGAAGTTGACTGCTGCCTTTTGTTCAGCTATACCCTGCCCACAGAGGTGGAGTCTAGAGAGGCGGTAGGCCTTGCTGAGCTGTGGTGGGCTCTGCCCAGTTTGAGCTTCCCAGCCACTTTGTTTACATACTGAAGCCTCAGCAATGGTGGACGACCCTCCCACTGCCCAGCTACAGCATCACAGGTTGATTTCCGACTGCTGTGCTAGCAGTGAGCAAGGCTCCATGGGCATGGGACTGCTGAGCCAGGCACAGACAGGATGGAATCTCTTTGTCTGCCAGTTGCTAAGACTGTGGGAAAAGTGCAGTATTTGGACAGAAGTGTACGGTTCCTCCAGGTACAGTCTGTCACAGCTTCCCTTGGCTAGGAAAGGGAAATCACCCAACTCCTTGTGCTTCCAGGTGAGGCAATGCCCCACCCCACTTCGGCTTGCCCCCTATGGGCCGCACCCACTGTCCAACCCGTCCCAATAAGATGAACCAGCTACCTCAGTTGGAAATGCAGAAATCACCCATCTTCTGCATCAATCATGCTGGGAGCTGCAGACTGGAGCTGTTCCTATTCAGCCATCTTGGAAGCGACCCAGGAAAGAGGTTTAATGGACTCACAGTTCCATATGGCTGGGGAGGCCTCACAATCATGGCAGAAGGCAAATTAGGGGCAAAATCATATCTTACATGGTGGCAGGCAAGAGGGCATATGCAGGGGAACTCTCCTTTATAAAACCATCAGATCTCATGAGACTTATTCACTATCATGAGAACAGCATGGGAAAACCCCACCCCTGTGATTCAATTACTTCCCACAGGGTCCCTCCCATGACACATGGAGATTATTACAATTCAAGGTGAGACTTGTGTAAGCGCACAGAGCCAAACCATATCAATGCGGTAATCAGTTTAACTGATATATACCTGATCTTTTCCAAAAAGGATCTAATGATGTATTTTATTAATTATGCCCAGATAATTTCTCATTTTCTGCAGGAAAATAATTGCAGGCAGCAAAATATTAACAATTATCCTTATTTTATGTTAGGTTATTTTTATCAACATTTTGTAACTGATATAGAATGTAAAATTTAGCATCAAGACCAGGAAAATCTTTTTGAGATTACATATTCCATTTGTATTTTATAAAACACATGAACTTTAAAGTCTAGGAAAGTTACCAGGAAATAATTTGGATTTGGTGGGAAAAAGCAACACAGTTGGATATATAATAAAATGGTTTGGGGAAAATATTTATGGAAAAATAATGCCTTTGACAATTGTTTATGATGCTCATTGTACTATAATAAAGTTTGAGTTTAATGGTTTTATTGTCGTTTTAACCCATAGTGTATATTCCTTTCTTGCATGAGTTTGCCATTATTAAACACAGCATTATTGTTAATCACTCAGGTAATTCAACATGCTTACAATCTGTAGCTTTCAAGGACAAGAATTATTTAATTTTCTACTTATTAATTTGGGATTCATTTGGAGGAGGACAGTTTTGACATTTTTTTGTTTGCCTAGCTTTTTTTTTTTTTTTTTCCTAGAGAACAGAAATGAACTCAAACAGACATTGACAAATAGGAGAATAATGTCATTAAAAACAGGATGACTCTTGGTGAGGAAAAGGGCACAACAGTACGTCAAGGGCCCCCACAGCCCACGCCACAGAGAGGAATGACTAGGCAGGAGTGGAAAGGAAAAGGCCAGCAGTTGGTGATGAGTCAGCAGTACTTTTGCTAAAAATGCTAATCTAATACAGCAGTGGGAAGTGTTGGTTAGCATGTGATCATCGAGGCCTGGAATGACTCCTTCCTCTCTGCAGCTCTCAGGAGTCCCTGTTGAAGGACCGGGATGGGGGCTTTGGTGCCCTATAGACCTCTGTGTGTTGTTTTGGGGTGTGGATCCTCCTCTAATTAGGAAAGATAGCTAGAAGGCAGGCTCAGAAGTCTGCCCCAACTCACACTTCCAAAATTCACATTGGCGTGTGTAAGAGATCTGAGAAATGAAAATGTGTGATATTCTCCCTCATCTTCATATTAAGATAATTTCTTAGGACAAAAATGATTTTTAAACATACCCCTTACTCCAGCGATATCTGAGCCCTGATCACTCAGGAAGTGATAATGACACCTTTGTTTTTTGTTTTTTTGTTTTTTTTTTAATCACTTGTAACCGCTGTGTTGTAGGCAGGGAAATACTTAACCATGAAAGTGACATATTCTTGTTTTATTCCTATACTTAAAGCAAAAGCTACTTACTTTCAGTGTAGGTCAATTTAGATCTGCAAAACAGAATACCATTTTAGATGCTTTGAGGCAGTGTTCCTGTAACAGAATTGTTAGTAATTTTAGAAGATTAGTGAAATATTTTATTTTGAAAACCATTATGGAATTCCATGTTTGTTTCTTTTAATGGATAAATTTAAATATATATCAAATGGATAGATTATTGTAGACTTTTTCAGGGATAGTTATTTTTCCATCAGCAGTACTGTTAGACTACTCTATGCAGAATACATCTACTAGAATGACTTATTTCCTTTTTTGAAAAAAAAATTGAATTTTATTTTAAGTTCCAGGATACATGTGCAGGACGTGCAGGTTTGTTACATAGGTAAATGTGTGCCATGGTGATTTGCTGCATCTATCAACCCATCACCTAGGTATTAAGCCCCACATGTGTTAGCTATTTATCCTGATGCTGTCGCCGCATCTTCCATCCCCAACAGGACCTAGTGTGTGTTGTTCCCCTCCTTGTGTCCATGTGTTCTCATTGTTCAGCTCCCACTTGTAAATGAGAACATGTGGTGCTTGGTTTTCTGTTCCTGCATTAGTTTGCTGACTATAATGGCTTCAAGCTCCACCTATGTTCCTGCAAAGGACATGATCTCCTTCCTTTTGATGGCTGCATAGTATTCCATGGTATATATATATATACACACACATATATATATACACACACACTCATATATATATACACATATATATATAACATTTTATTTATCCAGTCTATCATTGATGGGCATTTGGGTTGATTCCATGTCTTTGCTATTGTGAATAGTGCTTCAGTGAACATAAGTGTGCATGTATCTTTATAATAGAATGATTTATTATATTCCTTTGAGTATATACCCAGCCATGGGATTACTGGGTCAAATGGTATTTCTGATTCTAAGTCTCTGAGGGATTGCCGCACTGTCTTCCATAATGGTTGAACTAATTTACATTCCCACCAACAGGGTAAAAGCTTTCCTATTTCTCCATAGCCTCACCAGCATCTATCGTTTCTTGACTTTTTGATAATCACCATTCTGACTGGCATGAGATGGTATCTCATTGTGGTCTTGATTTGCATTTCTCTAATGATTTGTGATGTTGAGTTTTTTTTCATGTTTGTTGGCCACTTAAATGTCTTCTTTTGAGAAGTGTCTGTTCATGTCCTTTGCCCATTTTTAATGGTTTTTTTTTAATGTAAATTTGTTTAAGTCCCTTGTAGATTCTGGATATTAGCCCTTTGTCAGATGCATAGATTGCAAAAATTTTCTCCCATCTATAAGTTGTCTGTTCACTCTGACAATAGTTTCTTTTGCTGTGTGGAAGCTCTTCAGTTTAATTAGATCCCATTTGTCAATTTGTGCTTTTGTTGCAATTGCTTTTGATGTTTTTGTCATGAAATCTTGGCCCATGCCTATGTCCTGACTGGTATTGCCTAGATTTTCTCCTAGAGTTTTTATAGTTTTGGGTTTTCCATTTAAGTCTTTAATCCATCTGGAGTTAATTTTTGTATAAGATATAAGGAAGGGGTGCAGTTTCAATTTTCTGCACATGGCTAACCAGTTCTCCCAGCACCATTTATTAAACAGGGAGTCCTTTCCCTATTGCTTGTTTTTGTCTGGTTTGTCAAAGATCAGATGGTTGTAGATGTGTGGTCTTATTTCTGAAATCTCTATTCTGTTCCATTGGTCTATGTGTCTGTTTTTGTACTTGTACCATGCTGTTTTGGTTACTATAGCCTTATAGTATATTTTTAAGAGAAAGACTTATTTCTAATATATCCTAAGATATCTTTCTAGTTTATTAGTACCAGGTATAGGATTTTAAAAGTTGAATTTGATTTACTTAAACTAATAATAATATATTGATTGATTACTATTGAAAGTACTATTTTAAGTGCCTTATAAATATTATTTCATTAGTGCCCACCACAACCTGATAAGTAAAGTAATTTATTATCCCCATTTTACATGTAAGGAAAGTGATCCACAGACAGTTTAAGATAGAGCTGGCCGAGAATGGGGCTAAGATGTAAAACTACACAGGCTGATTCAAGAGCATGGAGGCCACAGTCTTTCCACACTGCTTCCCAGAAGGAGGGCCCCATTACCACCGTTCACTTTGGCAAGGAACTCATTTTTATGGGTTTTCCTTTGTTCATTTGTAAAATGATGAGGTTGGATTTCAAGATCTGTAAGGTCCCTGACAGATTTGAAGTTATATTATCTTTAATGTCTTGGAACGTCTATTGAAAAAGGACAGATTGGACCAGGCATAGTGGCTCACACCTGTAACCCTAGAGCTTTGGGAGGCTGAGTGGGGAGGATTGCTTGAGCCCAGGAATTCAAGACCAGCCTGGGCAACATAGTGAGACCTAGTCTCTACAAAAATCTAAAAATTAGCCAGGCATGGTGGTATGCATCTGTAGTCACAGCCCTTGGGAGGCTGAGGCAGGAGGATCCCATGAGCCCAGGAATTCAAGACTGCGGTGAGCTATAATCCTTACTGTACTGTAGCCTGAGCAACAATGTGAAACCCCATTTCTTAAAATAAAAATAAAATAAAATAAAAAAGATATTAACCACACATATTTGATTTGCATTCTCCACTAAAATGACATGGATATATATAATATGATATGATATGATATGATATAGTTAAAAGTGACCTCATATGACAAACTGGACAAGAGAGAAGACAGCAGGTCCAGAGAACATGAATGTAATGGCATGGAGATAAGTTGGACCCAAGTGCCTGCAATGAATGACACCAAAGAAGAACCCAGTTAAATGAGGCCTTGAGAGACTTAGTGCTCCAGCAATGTCAGGGACAGCAGGCAATGAGATGATGTCATTGTGAAGATCATTGGGACTCCCTGGTCCTCCACCCCACTTCCATTGTTGGAAGTCAGGTGACAGCTCTCCTCCCCTCCCACCCAGCCTCATCCCCTTCTACCACTATTGCAGGAAACTGAAGATTAATTTTTCAGAAAAAAATGAACCAAAAAAGTACCAAAAACACGGACACCAGGTAAAACAGAGGCCTGGGGAGATCCAGCTAAACTTTTTATATGAGATTCTGAGACCATCAGCTCTCTTCCTTAGCAGCCGGGCATGTGACCACTCGTAGCCCCCACCAATGAGGCACTGAGGTTTGACAGTGAATGTTCTTTGAGGAAACTGAATGGTTGTAAAGAAAAGACCTCCATCTATTGCATTTGGGACTCCCCCACTGAAAAGGACATCTGTCTCCATGGGAATCCACTAGTAAATCCATCTGTCATCAATCTCTGCCCCCTGATGGACACATAACTCTTTCCCATCAGCTCTTTTGGTGTCTCACTTAGAAGCAAGGAGCACAGTGTCTAGCATGAAACACCAGATGAAACAGAACAAAATAAAACTAAAAAACCCTAAAAAAGGAACCCCAAGAAAATAGAGCGAGAACAGAGAACAGAAGAAAACATCAAAATATTATGTTTAACATTCCCATGGAGAAAGAATAAAATCTTGGTATCTCTAAAGTAAGAACAAGAGTCTGTAACAGAATAAGAGAAGACAAATAAGAGGAGAAGAAAAATTTCTCGGAAGTTAAAAAAATGTGTACTGCAACAGACACACTTGCTTTTTCTATCCAACAACCATCCCTACCCCCACCACACTTTCTGCATCCCATTGCAGAGGCTGCTCACACCAGCGGCTTGCTTTCCCAGCCTCCCTTGCAGTTAAAAAATGGGGCATTTGACACAGTAAAGGGAAGACTGCTGAGAGTCCTCCCAGAGGGAATGGTTTACTTCCCTGATGAAAAGTAGATTATGGGAGGAAATCTCGCTCTCTTTAGCAAAATGTTATTTTGTCTTTAAGTGACTCCTGGAACTATGGCAATCTCCTTGGGTCATTGAAAAGACAAGCATATGAATGCAGCTAATTACTGAGGATGGCAAAGGGGAAGGGGACAGAGCCTGGATCCTCGAATACACCATTGAGCTGAGGATCTACATACAGGGTAATGAGAAGATACACATATATGGTAATTGGACTGTAAGGGAAAATCTAAAGTTTAGGTGGAAGAGATAGCCTTGTTGGGAAAGAGGTGATGTTATTGAGGGTTCCAACAAGCCCTAAATTGCATAGCCCATTCACTCGCCAAATAGTTACACTCGTATGTCAGGATTTTACATTCTAGGTAAAACAGACAGGAAATTGAAAATAAAACAAAACGAGAAAAGAAGAAATATGCCAAAAAGTGGAAAATGCTGTGGAGAAAAAGAGACAGAGTAGGCTGGAGGGGTTGTGGGGAGTGGTCAGAGAAGGTGTAAGTAGCGCCATTGAAGCAGAGACTTGAAAGAAACAAAGGCTCCCCATGCAGACAGGGGAAGTCAGTCCCAGGAAGAGGAAGCAGCAAGTGCAATGGCCCTTAGGTGGCAATGTGCTTGACACATTTGAAGAAAAGCAAAGGAGGCCAGAGAAGAGTGAGAAGAAATTAGTCAGAGGTGACTTGGAGAAATAATGAGAGGTGAAATCTTGTAGATTCTGTCAGGCCACTGTATGGAGTTAGCCTTTTTCTCTGAGTAAGTAGGAAGATTTCACTGGGTTTTGAGCAGAATGTCATTATCTGACTTATATTTTAAAGAATAAGTCTGTGTGTGGTGCTGAGAATAGAATGAAAGGGGTAAAGGTTGAGCAGGGAGATGGCTGAAAAGATATTGCAGTAATTGCAGTGAGAGATAACGATAGCTGGAACCTGGATGGTCACAGAGGAGCTGGTGAGCAGTATTTGGATTTCTGTATATATCTTATAGGTAAAGACAAAGCCATCACCCATACGTGCTGATGAATTTTACATTAGTGGACATTGACATGGCTGTAAGGTTTCTGGCCTGAGCAAGTGTATAAACTGAGTTGCCATTTACTAAAATGGGGAAGATTGTGAAAAGAGGAGCTTTGGAAAGGAAACCAGGGGTGTGGTTTTGGAATATTTTTCCTCCTAAACATCCAAGATAAGCAGGCAGTTGGATATACCAGTCTGGAGTTCAGGGAAGAGAGGCAGAGGATTAAGATGTTTGTTTAAACGTGGTCAATGTATAGAAGGGATTTAAAGCCGTGCTGAAGAATGGGTCATCCAGGGAGTGAAGGTGGATAGAGAAGAGCTCTAAGGACTGATACCTGGAGCTTCCCACTATTTGGAAGCTGGGAGGACAAGAAGAAACTAGTAAAGCAGTCTGAGGAGGAGCAACCAGGGAATCATGTCCTGGAAGCTGAGTGAAGCAAGGGCTAATCAGCCACTGAATGCAGTTAATAGAACAAGTAAGAAGACTGAATGTTGACCACCATAGTTAGCAAGATGGATACTGTTGTTGACCTTGATAAGGGCTCAAGTGTCTTTAAGAACAAAGAACCAGTCAGGTTCAGCCAAGGATGATGTGTCAGCAGTAGCAGCCTCTCTGGACACCCAGTTATGGGAAGTGGAGTGAAACAGTGAAATGACCCCTTGCCTAGGGAGTGGGCACAATTCCAACATTGCCTATAGGGATATGGAAGCCAAATGTGAGAAATGGTCATGAAAAGGAACATAAGAAGCTCTGATTTTACCATTTAAGTCAAGCAGTTATGCCTTTTGGAGCTGTTATTTATTTGGAAGCACATTAAAGGAAGCTAGAGGACCCATTTCCCTGTCCAAATGTCAGGAGTCTTTGAAAAGGCAAGCATAATGAAGAGAATATGGAAACCATAAACACAAACTTTAGAATAAAGACGCATCTGGTGCAAATTCCAATATCACATGCTAATTTTTGATACCAAGTTACTGAACCTTTCTGAATCTTAGTGTTCTCTTCTATAAAATAAGGCTAGCCATGTGTGTCTCATGAGATTGTTTTTTTCAACTTTCATATTAAATGCAAGGGGTGCATGTGTAGGTTTGTTACATGGGTATATTGCATGAGGCTGAGGTTTAGGGTTCGATTGCACCCATCACCCAGGTAGTTAGCATAGTACCCAGTAGGTAGTTTTTCAACCCTTGACCCCTATGAGAAGATTTTTTTATGAGTAATAATTGGATGGCATATGGAAGGCCCCTAGAACTGTATCATCCAAACAGGTGACCAGCAAGTGACAACTTTGATTATTCTTACATCTTAGCTAGGCCTGAGGTAGAAGCTACTTGTTTTAATGTGAGAAAGATGAAGCATTTGTTGACATGAACCTAGTCAGAGAAGGAGTTGGCTAGAGCTGTAGTTTTAATAAAGTTCTTTAAAAGGCATTTATTATGGCCTAGACCTTGGAAGAAACAGAGCAGAGGTCTCAAGGCCTTATTTTCTTGATATATTCCAAAATAAATCTCACTGACTTCTCTTAAACTCTGCCCTTCAAACCAGATCGTAGCATGTATAAGGTTAAGATAATATCACACCCATGGGATGCTGAGGGCAAAAAAGTTCACCTTGCTGCCTGAGAGTGTGCCAGATGCCAAGAAGTACATCTTTGTGAGGCACAAAATGGCCTTAAGCTCACCTTTCTTCTGTGTTTTTCTTCTCAACCTTACGTATTTTTACATTAGAGCTCTCAGTACACATGGGTGTTGGCTTTATTCTCCCTAGTTCACAAAATAGAAAGCAGATAGCAAATGCCTAAGAAATAATTTTTTGAGAGTACACTATGACTCTCTTTTTATTTTCATAGTAACTCAGACCAAATTGGAATACTTCTAGTAGAAATAGTCACATTCCTCACTCTTGAATAAAATATTTAGATATTTAGCAAATGGATTCTGTGTCCTAAAACAATGTTTACTTGTGGCTATGATTAACTACATTTTCTTATTTAAATATATGATTTTGAGTCTTGGTTCTATGATTTATTATTTATTTTCTATCTGATTTGACTGTGAAACTTGATGGCATGAAAGCACTTTGGCCAAGAAATTCATAGGGCAGTGTTAGTTTTGGATTTCACTTTTCCTACTAGAGTTCATGGTCATTCAGTTTATCAATGTACAAAAAATTAGACAAAGTGGATATTTCCCAGAAGTCAAGCAATTTCCCCAGAGGGAAAATAAAATTTCATCAGTCCCTGAATTTAAAAATCTCCAAACCCCATTTAAAAATAACCATACAAATCCTGTTTCTCCACATAAGACTCAAAGATTTGTTTGTGCATCTTGAATCTACAACTGCTTTGTGTGTTTCCTGACCTTTACTTATATAAGTTCTAGTCCCCATTAGAGGTAAATGGATTCTAAAGTTTGCTTTAAAATCATTGCCAAAGTGGCCTTATCTTTATTAGTTTCTGACTATATAATCTGAGTGAGAATACATTGTAATAGGGGCATTGAAAAATCACTGAGATTAACTTGAAAGGATTATTTCTGGCAGAGATGACAATTTCTAAATACTGAGATAAGAGATATTAAGCTTAACTTGATTCTAACCTCTTTGTTGTCATGATCATGGTGGAAATTTACTTAACCAATTCTCTGGGACAAAGAAATTGTCAGTTTGGGCCTGAAATAGGTTACAGTGTTAGGAATTACAGTAAGAAGCATGTCACTAATACCCAATAGAGAACTTTCTTGCAATTTAAAACTGTGCAATGAATCATCTTATAAACCTAATAAATACAGATGCAGTTACCCAAAGGGTCAGCTAAAAGAACAGTAAGAACCTCAAGACTGCCTGACGTTATTCCTTGACAATATTACACCTTCCAAAATGATAGCTAACCTAAGTGAACCAACATGGGGAAGCTAATTACAAGGTTATCTCAGCTTTGGCATTGAATTATTCTGCTCAGTGACTTTGCTGTGAAAGCTGGGCAGCCCTAGTGAAGTTCGTGTTTTCTCCATAAAGTGGCTGCCATTTCAATGGCTGATGGGCTTAAAACTTTTAGTTGCCATACTTGAAATCCATTGTATTTTATTTGGTGAAAAGATTTCATTAAACTGGATTGTCAAATCTGATTTCGAAAAATTGTAAGTGGAATTTTCTCTATTTCTGTAAGTGTCTGTAGTTTTTGACTTAGTAAAGGGACGGCTTTGGAAGTTTTTGAGTGGAAAGGCGACATGATATGATTTAAGGGTTAAAAGGCTCACTCAGGATGCCATGTTTAGGATGGGAGGTAGAAGCAAGGCCAGTTCAGAGGTGACTGCAGTAATCCAGGTGAGAGCTGATGGATCACGGTGGGTGAGTGGAGATGGTGAGAAATGTCAGATTCTGGATACATTTTAAGCTACAGCCACGAGGATTGGATATGAGGTAAAAGAGAATGAGTGGTGTTAAGGATGACTTCAAAGTTTGGGAGACTGATTGGGAGAAAATATTTGCAAAACGTATGTCTGATAAAGATCTTATATCCAGATATATAAAGAGTTCTTACAGTACATCTGTAAGAACACAGCCCAATATTTTCAAAACAGGCAAAGGATTTGAATGACACTCTACCAAAAATGACATATAAATGGCCTGTGAGAACATGGGAAGATTTTCAATATCATTAGTCATCAGGGAAATACAAATCAAACCACAAAGAGATACCGCCTCACACCCAGAGGATGCCTATAACCAGGAAGTCAGATAGGAACAGTTGTTGGTTGAGGAAGTAAAGTTGGAACTCCCCTACACTGCTGATGGGAATGGAAGACGCTGCAGCCTCTCTGAAAAAAAAAAAAAACTCTTCAGCAATTTCTTTCTTTTTTTTTTTTTTTTTTTTTTTTTTTGAGATGAAGTCTTGCTCTGTTGCCCAGGCTGAAATGCAATGGCCTGATCTCTGCTCACTGCAACCTCTGCCTCCTGGGTTCAAGCAATTCTCCTGCCTCAGCCTCCTCAGTAGCTGGGATTGCAAGCATGCACCACCGTATCTGGCCAATTTTTGTATTTTTAGCAGAGACAGGGTTTCGCCTTGTTGGCCAAGCTGGTCTTGAACTCCTGACCTCAAGTGATCCACCCGCCTCAGCCTCCCAAAGTGCTGGGATTACAGGCATGAGCCACAGCACCCAGCAGGCAATTTCTTATAAAGTAAACCCACACTTATCAATGTGATCTACAATCATACTCTCCTATGTATTTATCCAAATGAAATGAAAACAGGTTTTTGTTTGTTTGTTTGTTTTGTTTTTTTTGAGATGGAGTCTTGCTCTGTCACCCAGGCTGGAGTGCGGTGACGTGATCTTGGCTCACTGCAAACTCCGCCTCCTGGGTTCAAGTGATTCTCCTGCCTCAGCCTCCTGAATAGCTGGGACCACAAGCATGTGCCACCATACCCGGCTAATTTTTTGTATTTTTAGTAGAGACAGGGTTTCACCATGTTAGCCAGGATGGTCTCAGTCTCCTGACCTCGTGATCCACCTGCCTGGGCCTCCCAAAGTGCTGGGATTACAGGTATGAGCCACCATGCCTGGCCCATGAAAACACTTTTTATACAAAGGCTGGTATGCAAATATTCATAGCAACTTTATTTGTAATAACTCAAACTAAAAACAATTCAAATGTCCACAAACTGATGAAGGAATGAAAAAACTGTGGTACGTCCATGAATGGTGTACTACTCAGCAATACAAAGCAACGGACTGCATGCAAGGAATGCCAGCAGCAACACAGGAGAATCTCAAGTGCACTGTGTTCAGTAAAAGAGCCACACTTGAAAGGATATATGCTGTATGATTCCATTTAAATGAACTTCATAACAGTTCAAAAACTTTCATAACAGAAAGCAGAACTGTGTTTGCCAGAGGCTATAAGTGGAGAGGAAGAAAGCAATTAAAAAGGGGCTCAAGGGAGCTTTTGGGGGTGATGGAATTATTCTACATCATGACTGTAATGATAGATGACTGTGCATTCATCATAACTCATTGAATTATATTCTCAAAAATGGCATATGTAAATTATACCTCGAAAGAGCTGATTTTTTTAAACAAGTAATTCTAACTATCACTGTTTTTATTTTTGAGGTCAGCACATTTTAATTGGAATTCGATAAAGAAATAGGTGTACAGTCCTTAAGCAGTCTTGAAAAAAAGTACTTAGCTGCTGGGGATGCTAAGGTGGGAAGATCACTTGAGCCTGGGAGGTGGAGGTTGCAAAAAAAAAAAAAAAATTACCTAACTCTCTAGGCATCTGTCTCCTTAGCAGGAAGATGGAGATCAGGGTGCCTGATTTGGTAATTTTTTTTAAATTTTCTTTTTGATTTGTTTTAATCTGAAAAGTCATGAGTAATCACTATTTTTGTAAATTGTATTGAGTTTTAATTGCCTCAAGTTCAGCTTTTATTTAATGAAATCCAGTGGTGGTCCATTTTATTAAGTATCTTTTTATAGTGAAATAAGTGGGCTTGCATTATTTTGTAGGCTTGTATTTTTGTATGCTGGGTTTTATTAAAGCTAGATGGATCTATAATTACATATTCCTGAAGGGAGAAGAATGCTTGCTCTTATAGTGACAGCCTAAAATTCTGGGTTTTTAGTGATTCACTCACACTCAACATTGATTATGATGTTTACTAAGATCATACACTGTATTTTCATGTGCATTATCTTAATTGTCCAGCAGCAGTTTGAAGTAAGTCTCCTTACCTCCATTATACATGAAATGAGACAAAAATCTATCAGTTGTTAGATGACTTACTTGTGGTTGGCCAGCTTTTAAAACGAGAATTCAATCTTAGGTTTCCTGGTTTTCAATGCAATGTTCTTTCCTCAACCAAAGCTGTCTTCTTCCCCTAGTTCTTAAAATATGTGTGAGCTGTCAAGATTCTGATTGTTCTTAATTTGCTGAATCTTCAGCTTCCACCATTGTTCAGGTTATTGGAAAAATTTATTTATTTATTTTTGAGATAGAGTCTCACTCTGTCACCTAGGCTGGAGTGCAGTGGCACGATTTCGGCTCGCAGCAACCTCTGCCTCCTGGGTTCAAGCGATTCTCCTGCCTCAGCCTCCCGAGAAGCTGGGGTTACAGGCATGTACCACCATGCCTGGCTATTTTTTTTTTTTTTTTGTATTTTTAATAGAGACAGGGTTTCCTCACGTTGGCCAGGCTTGTCTCAAACTCCCGACCTCAAGCGATCCACCCGCCTTGGCCTCCCAAAGTGCTGGGATTATAGGCATGAGCCAACACGCCTGGCCAAAATTTATGTATTTCGTTGGAATGTTTCAGTAAGGTCAGGTTATGGGCATTGAGAAAGGCTCTACACTGCTAGATTAGACCCCCACCTAATTACTGAGGTGCTAAGGGCATCATGAAATTTCAGTAGGAGGTGAGATAAAGCTAAATGGCCTTTCTCAATGTAGAGGGTAAAATCTGGAATGAGAACATTTGAAATCTAAACTTATTGCCAGGTATAGCATATTTGTCTTTAACTATTCGAACAAGGGGATTTTTTTCCTATACAAAGCTATACAAATTAAAAATATATATGCAATATTTTAAAATTCATCCATTCAGCTAGCATTTGCTGATACTCTCTGCATCAGTGATTCTGCTAGATCCTGTGAATTAGGGGGACAAAAAAGGCTATATACAATTCTCATCCTTAAAAGGATCCATAGCCTAGTAAAGGAAGCTGACTTGCAAACAACTAAATGAAAGCTGGACCATGAGATAAGGGGTAATGGATATTTTTTAAATAAAAAGATAGCTTATAGCCACATATGTATTAAAAGTTCTACAATATCTCTTTCTTACCTTTGAGTTAGATAGTCCCCTTTTTTTTGAGATGAAAGTCTCACTGTGTTGCTCAGGCTGGAGTGCAATGACACAATCATGACTCACTGCAGCCTTGAATTGCTGTACTCAGGCAATCCTCCTATCTCAGTCTCCCAAGTAACTGGGAATATAGACACACACCACCACGCCTGGGTGTTTTTTGGCTTTTTGTTGAGATGGGAGTCTTACTGTGTTGCCCAGGAAGGTTTTGAGCTCCTGGCCTCAATCAATCTCCCAAAATGCTAGGATTGCTGGCATGAGCCACTGCACCTGGCCTGAGGTAATTATTCTTATCTCCACTTAACACAGAAGGTAACGGAGGCTCAGAAAGGTTGGATGCCTTGTTTAGAGCTGATCTTCCTAGGATGAGACTTTACATTTAGAACAACTGACCTCCATCCTGCATTCTCACCCCAGCCAGAGGTCTTCTGGTTTTCTTGAGGTGGCTGGAATCAAATGGGCTATTTGGAAAAGGGGGATGTGAGGGCTATCTGGCTGTGGCATCAGTCACCCCATTGATCGCTAGGGTTGATCAGGCTGATCGGGCTGGCTAGGTAGGTGTCTCCTTCCTCCCTCACTGCTCCATGTGTGTCTCTCCCAAAGCTGCGTGCTCGGTTGAAGAGGACAACCATCTGTGATAGAGGAGGACTGGCCTTCAGTCAAGGGTATATGAGTAGCTGTGCTCCCCTGCAAGAATCTCCAAATACCCTCTGGAGAGGTTACCTCCAAGTGCTCATTCCCTGTTTCCACATCCGGTTTCAGTTACCAAGATCAGAGCAGAATTAGGTCTGAGATCCAGTGAGGTGTACAGTAGCACCTGGACCATTCTAGGGCTCACTGTCTTCAAGCCCTGGCTGTGCCCACAGTCTTCATGAAGAAACTGGACACTGTGTCTGCTGGATGATGTATTTCTTCTTGCTTGAGGTTATGAAAAATATCAAAATATGTAAAGAAACATGCTGGATAAAAATATTGCCTTGAAATACAATGTGGTAGTCTTCTAGTTCTTTATTCCGTAAAAGACAGAGGGCATGACATGTTCAATTCAACGCAACGCAACGCAACAAAAATGTATCTGCTGCAGTGGTGGGGATACGAGAGTATGATGTAGCCCCAGGCCCTGGGGGACTTTGGTGTGGATCTCGCAGTACTCAGTGAAACTTACTATAAAAGGCCTTATTCAACATTCATTTTAAATGTCTTGGACCATATCCTAGAAAGCAGTGTTGCCCTCAAGTAAAATTTTCCCACATTTTAATGTTCCAAACACTTGGTTGCTAGAAAACTTTATAAAGAAATTTTACTGAAAATCAAACTCTTAGGACAAAGGTCATGCCATTTTGTTGCCTAGCCCTAGAATGAAATAGTCTTTTATTCTGTGTTCTCTATTTATATGAGTTAGAATACTTCACTTTGAAATGAACTTGTAGTTTTAAAATAAAAAAGGACAGAAAGTAAAAGAAAGAAAACAATTATTCCAATTTTTTTATTCTAACAATAAATGTATAACACATTACATTTAAAAGAATGTAACTTCTTTAATAGTGTTAGTGAAGCTACCCAGGATATTCAGAACTCAAATGAAGTGTACAAATGCCAAAAACGATTATGTTGCTATTTCCACAGATGTTTTCTGAGGAATTTGCCTTGAAGTGATTTAAGATGAATACTTGATTTTGATTTTTATTTTTTTGAGACAGAGTCTCACTCTGTTGCCCAGGCCAGAATGCAGTGGCGTGATCTCAGCTTACTGCAACCTCCATCTCCCGGGTTCAAGTGATTCTCCCACCTCAGCCTCCCGAGTAATGGGGACTACAGGCGTGCGCCACCACACCCAGCTAATTTTTATATTTTTTAGTAGAGATGGGGTTTCACCATGTTGACCATGCTGGTCTCGAACTCCTGACCTCAAGTGATCCACCCGCCTCAGCCTCCGAAAGTGCTGGGATTACAGGCATGAGCCACCACACCCAGCCTAAGGTGAATACTTTTATTCTACAGAAATTCTAATTCATACAAGTCACTGTTAGTCCTCATTTCCTGAGTAATTTTCCATTTTTACTTCATTTTTTTTTTAGAGACAGGGTCTAGCTCCCTTGCCCAAGTTGGAGTGCAGAGGTGCGATCATAGCTCAGTGCAGTGTCTGACTCCTGGGCTCAAGCGAATCTCTAGCCACAGCTTCCTAAATTGCTAGGATTACAGGTGTGAGCCACCGCACCTGGCCCCATTTTTATACTTATCTATACTATCTCATTTTTCTGTAACGTGTTCATATGACTTTTATATTCAGGAAAGTAAAACATAAGTTGCTTTATATGCTAAATGTATATAATGATATGCCTATATTCCAAACATATAAAGAAAGACGAACTAACAGTAAAGCCAATAACAGTGCCACAGCCTCCTGACAGCTTGTCCATTTCTCCCCTCTTTGGCCCTGTGCCTTTTAGAACCAAAGATTGTGATGCTCACACGGGAGCAGGTAGCTCAGAGCCCTCAAGCCAGCTCTCGAGAGCAGGTGAGGAAAACCTACACATGGGCTTCGTGGCCACAGTTGCTCCTGTGAAATGAGGTCTTATAGCAATCTCCTTTTTATTTCCTTGATAAGTAAAAACGTTCCAGTTAACTGGTCCCTTAGCAGAAATGCCACAGATATCAAGCAATTAAAGACAGCTTTTGTGTGATCTACATTCTGTCCATTTTTCAAGGGAGTGCTCTTTGTTCCACATGGTAAGGCACATCCATTCATTCATTCATACAAGTCATTTGTTCATATATCAGCATACTCCCTCTGTGTCTGGGACTGTGTGTGTGTGGGTGTGTGTGATGTAAGCATTCAAATGACACCATGTTTTTGTAATTCTTACTATTTCTTCATATTCCATATATCAGAGTCCTCGTAAGCTGGGGGTCCAGGGGTATCTTGACCTCAGAGAGTAGCTGGCGCTTGCAGTGTGATCAGAACCATAGTGAAGCACAAGCACAAAGCATGGAGACAGAGGCAGAGGCTTTTTCAGCTGAGTTAGGAACGTGGAGTGGGGCTCTCTACACAGCCAAGAGGAGATGGGGAGTCAGAGAAAGCAATGAGAAAGCATTGAGAAAGCAATGTCTATAGTTGCCCAAGATTACAGGAGGAAGCCTGATCTGGGATGGAAGGAGCACGCCATGCATGGGAGGTGACAGGACCAGATCTACAAAGAACAGCCTGGACATCCTATCATTTGCAACATGGATGGCACTGGAGGACACTCTGTGAAGTGAAACAAGCCAGGCACAGAAAGACAAACTTTGCATGTTCTCACTTATTGGTGGGAGCTAAAAATTAAAACAATTGAACTCATGGAGATAGAGAGTAGAAGGATGGTTACCAGAGGCTGGGAAGGGGAGTGGTGAGAGGAGGGAGCGGGGATTGCAAATGGGTACAAAAAATAATTAGAAAGAATGAATGAGACCTCAAAATATTATTAAATAAGTAATCAATAACTACTAGTTCCTCTAGGTGATTAAATTAATAGATAACTGATGGAATACAGTTGATAAAAGGAAGAGACTTGTGGTTTCCAGCTTGGGCATATGATGGATAATGTGCCATCACTGAGATAAGGAAGAGAAGAGAAAGAAACCATCCAGCAGGAAAGATAAAGATGGCAGACAAGACACTTTTAAAAAATTTCTTGGCTTGGCAAGGTGGCTCACCCTTGTAATCCCAACACTTTGGGAGGCCGAGGCAGGTGGATCAAAAGGTCAGGAGACCTTTTGGCCAACATGGCAAAACCCTGTCTCTACTAAAAATACAAAAATTAGCTGGAAGTGGTGGCACGTGCCTGCAATCCCAGCTACTCGGGAGACTGAGGCAGAAGAATTGCTTGAACCAGGGAGTCGGAGGTTGCAGTGAGCCGAGATCGTGTCACTGCACTCCATCCTGGCGACAGAGTGAGACTGTCTAAAAAAAAAAAAAAAAAAAAAAAAAATTCTTGAGACAGGGTTTCACTATGTTGCCCAGGCTAAAGGGCAGTGGCATGGTCTCGACTCACTGTAGTCTCAATCTCCCAGGCTCAAGCAATCCGCCCACCTCTGACTCCTAAGTAGCTGGGACTACAGGTGCACACCACTGTGCCTGGCTAATTTTTTTTTTTTTTGTACTTCTAGACACAAAGGGTCTTCATGTTGTCCAGGCTGGTTTAAAACTCCTGCGCTCAAGTGATCCACCCACCTCGGCCTTCCAAAGTGCTGGGATTACAGGCATGTGACACCACACCTGGCTAGCATAGACTTTTGTACATAATGACTTGAAGGACCCATGGCACACCCATGTGGAGACTTCCAGCAGGACATTAGGAAGATGAACCTTGGTACTGTAGAGATATCTTGATAAGAGATAAAAGTGAAAGGAGGAGTCGTTGGCATAAGGTGGAAATTGACACTATGGAAGGGATTGACTAGGGAATATGAAATGGGGTTGAAGGTGGAGGATAGAATTTGGGATGAAATCCACAGAAGGTGTCAGGCTGGTGAAGAGGGGCACATGGACAGGATCAGTAGCATAGGTAAAGGAACAAATAAGAGTGGTCTCTCTAAACCATGGCTTAGTCTCTTTTCCAGGATTCTTAGAGATCCCTAGAAGTTCAGATGTATTCTTAAGGTGTTTCTAGAAGAGAAGGCTCTGGAACCTTAAGTCAGGGAGCCAGGTGATCCAAGAGGTGGCATTGAAGGTGACAAGTTCACGGGGCTGAAGTGTCCCCAGGCTTCCATGTAGCAGACTTGCCTGCCTCCCTGACATGCTGTCCCAAAGACTAGCACACCTACTCGAAGACTTGCAGGAGCCCTTTCGTACTTTACACCTGATGGAAATGCATGATTGTGCAGATGTCTTTGAGGGGGGACATCTCAATAAAGATATACATTAATGTGACCTGCTCCTCACAAGTGGGTCATTCCCACAGACTAGCTTTTGTCAGCTTCATAATAAGAATATTTGCAAGTCTGAGATTCCTTGTGTGTGTGTGTGTGTGTGTGTGTGTGTGTGTATTACATTTTAGATGAAAGAGAATCTTAGTGGTATAAATGTGCAGCCCACTCAGGGCCGGTACTGAAACAACTCCCTTTGTTCCCATCAGATAAATTTCATCCACACAAGCTACCTCTGTTAAATTTTAGTGCTTTACAGTTTAGTTAGCCCAAAGAAAGACTAAAATTTTCAGTTTACAGTTTAGAAAGAATAGAACAAGGCCAAGAAGGAATAAAGTGATACTTTTTTTCTCAGTGACCCTCTTCAAATACAGTTCTTAGAATAGAACTCCAGCTCGGTGCAGTAGCTCACAGCTGTAATCCCAGCCCTTTGCGAGGCTGAGGCAGGAGAATCACTTGAGCCCAGAAGTTTGAGACCAGCCTGGGGAGGTTAGCAAGACCCAGCCCTATAAATTAATAATAATAATAATAATAATAAATTAGCTGGGTGTGTGGTTGTGTTCGCTTGTAGTCCCAGCTACTTGGGAGGCTGAAGAGAAGATCACTGGAGCCCAGGAGCACTGCACTACAGCCTAGATGACAGAGCAAGACCCTGTCTCAAAAAAAAAAAAAAGAATACAACTTCATCCTGAGAAGGAGTGGATACACAAAATGAAGAGAATATCAAACCAGAAGACCAGCTCCTACTCCTGGCTCTGCCCAAGCCAGCTGTGAGACCTCTCTAGACTTCAGTACTCTCTGGGACTTCGTTTTCCATAAATAGTGTAGGATGATTGTATTAAAATAGAAGCTTCTTAGGAACTAGGGCTGTGCCTATTAATTTCTTCCTATACTTGGCACCTTTTAAAAACTTTGAATTGAAGTGCAATATACATTCAGAAAAGTGTCCACATCATGAATGTTCAGCTTAATGAATTTTCCACCAAGCGAACAACCTTGTGTATAATCATTACCAGTTAACAAATAGAACATTACCAATCGTTGGCTTTATTAGTCTTCACTTTATAGGGGATGCCTAATAAATAATTTACTTAGTAAATGCACCTTAGTAAAAGGTGCAAACATGTTTTCTCACAACAATCCCTATATTTTCTTTTTTCTTACTTTTTTTCTTGAGATGCAGTTTCACTCCTGTCACCCAGGCTGGAGCGCTCACGATCTCAGGCACGATCTCAGCTCACTGCAACCTCTGCCTCCCAGGTTCAAGTGATTCTCCTGTCTCAGCCTCCTGAATAGCTGGGATTACAGGTGCCTGCCACCACACCCAGCTAATTTTTTGTATCTTTAGTAGAGATGGGGTTTCACTATGTTGGCCAGGCTAGTCTCGAACTCGTGACCTCAGGTGATCCACCCGCCTTGGCCTCCCAAAGTGCTGGGATTACAGGCATGAGCCACTGCATCTGGCCCCTATATTTTCTTATTAAATTCACAGGAGAAAACTTGAGCCAAATAATCTAACTCAGTCTTTCACGACCTTCTTAAAATCAGCAGATATTTGACAAAAGAATAAATGAATAAATATCCAAACCAATAATTATGTCAGAGTATCAAGGCAATGAGGAAGAAGGAAATCTAACTGTAATCTTGTTAGAGTCCATTTTACTTTCCTTCTTGTTACCTTGTCACTGGGTGATGAGAAAAGACAGTTCTCTGAATTTGTCATTCTCTTTGCTCTAAGTTTGAAGAAAAATATAAAAGTCAACTTTCTCTGGAGCACCTAGAAAAATCGCCTTTCCTAAGACAGTTTGCACTGCAATGGAATTTATGAGGAGGAGATTCTAGTCTTGGTTCTGATGTACTCCACCAAACCACCAGATCTTGGACAGAAGTTGACTGGGTCTTTCCTTTGCAAAAGGCCTGAACTACACATTTCCTAGAATTCATTCCTGCTCAAGGTTCCAATGACATGCACCTTTTCAAGATGATCAACTGTACTGAAGGTTACAGTCTGTGGCCCTGGAGCAGATAAAAATAAAGTGGGGCCCTGTAATAGTGAGTCATTGGCATCCGTCCACAGCTCTATGAGTTGGCCAAACTAACCAGGCAGAGATTAATGCCTAACTAGAATGTGGATTGCTGCTTTGCAAAAGAGCAGTTGGAAGATTAAGGAGAAAAAAAAAAAATCCTGGATAATCACCTCCCTCCTCCATCCAGCAATGAGGCAGCTTTGATGAGTAATCCATTGATTGCTATGAGCCATCAGTTTCCTTCTTTCCCTCCCTTTGCTGCAGCAGTTTTCACTGCCAGTAACCACTGCAGCTGTGCAGGGATCGTCACCAGGACACACCCCTTCACTCTGTTCTCCACCACCTCCTAACAACCAACCACGCCTTAGATAAAGGGTGCAGGAATTGCAGCAAGGGGCTTTGGCCCTTGTGGGTGGATACCTGTGGCAGTCACCGTGCATTTAGACCATCTGTGGTTGGGGAGTTGGCTGTTCATGCATGTTCTGGAAGAGAAATTCACTGCAAATGCAGAGTGAGCCAACACAACAGTAAGAGATTCTCTGCATGACTAGTATAAAATCATGTGAAAGATTAGAAATGAAGTCGCTTTGTTTCAGCCTCTATTTATCTATTTACTTACTTATTTGAGACTGGGTCTTTCTTTGTCACCCAGGATGGAGTGCAGTGGCGAAATCACAGCTCACTGCAGCCTCCTCCTACCAGGCTCAAGCGATCCTTTCGCCTCAGCCTCCTGAGTAGCTGGGACTACAGACATGTACCACTATGCCTGGCCAATTTTTTTTTTAACTTTCTGTAGAGACAGAGTCTTGCTATGTTGCCCAGGCTGGTTTCACACTGCTGGACTCAAGCAATTCTCTCGCTTTGGCCTCCCAAAGTGCTGGGATTACATTCCTGTTTCAGCCTTTAAAATAAAAAACATTTTAGGGTATGTTAGTAAGTGAGGTGGTGGTGGTCATTTCTCTTTAAATGAGACTTTCCATCTATAATTTCTATTTTTATTACACTCTCTCAGGCCTGCTGGGTTCCTTCACCCTTAATTGCTGACATTCTGCCAACAAAGAAACACCCACTTAGTTTCTTTCTTACATAGTTGCAAGTTCCTTTTTTCTTATTGACTTGATGTTACCCTGCTCTGCCATTCAAAAAACAAGAAACAAGAGCATGATCTGGCCATGTGAGAAACAGAGGAATTATAATTGTGGCTTGTGATACACATACATATAGGAACCAAGACACAATTTTCTGTTAGATTTGTAATGATGTCTGAAGCATATGATTCTGAAAAATTCGAGAAAACTAGACACATTTCCGATGCTATAATATGATTCTGAGTTGTACTTGCTTTGTACTTTGACAGTTTCAGGTTCCATATTCAGACCCACAAATTTCAAAATCTAATTGCAAACACCTGTTAGCGACAAGTTACCACAAAATAGTCTCCTTTCGTAGGGTCATGCCTGGGAAACAGAGCTCTTCCTTTTTAGGTACAAGCTTTATGCATAGATTTTTATTTATATAAAATGTTCGGCCCAAGTCTTTGTAAACAGTACTTACCCAGGTTATTTATTTTTTAATTCTAAATATAAACATGTACAAAATGTAGGAACTAAAATTTCCAAACTAACTGGCTTGCAAACAATATTATATAGATTTGTTGATTTGGTTTGTAGAATGTTTTTTATTCAATGAATTTTTTTCATTCAGTGAATCACTTTGATGAGAATATTTAAAAGAATAAAGAGCTGTATATCAAAAAGATCATATTTTTCAGCAAGTTATCCTTTCACAAAATTATTCCACACATTCCTTCTCCCTCTGTTTCCACTCAAGATTCTAGAAGGATCTGAGGTGTTGCCTTTCTGTTAATAAGAGGATAACTTTATGGAGCTGCAAAAGTTGATAGGAAAAATTCAGATGCAAAAGTTCTAAGTTACCTAAGGGTAAAATATCACCCACAGAGCTTCCGAGTTCCTGGCTTGTTAGTTTCTCTGCCTCTTTGAGCCTAGACATGGAACAGTGCGTAAGCTACACACCCAGAGCTAAGACACTGGGAATCAAGACCAGGGCAATGTTCCGTTTCTCACATCTGCTCAGTATTGGCTTAGGTTTTCTCAAGAATTTACATTTGGGAGGAAATTCTGTAGGGGCAAAGTTACTTAAGTTCTCCCAATCCAACAGTGTGGGAAATGGTATCAAATAAGTAGGCCACTTTTCAAAAGGGAGAGGCTGCATCAGTAAATTAGGAGAACTGTGGAATTCTGCCCATTGATGGAATAGCTTAAGTTTTTTTAAATTGATTTTTAAACTGTCACCAGCTAGCAGTCTCCACATATCTACCACTTTCTTCATAAATAAAATGTGTGAGTTCTATAAAATTTCTGAGTTCTTTTCCAATCCATTTTCCACCAATGCCCTAAATCCCCCAATACCAGTAGATGAGAGTCCACAGATACCCATATCTGTAAAATAAAGAAATCCACAAAAGCAGCATTATTGTTCAACTCGGAATACTTCCCGCAACATTGTTGGCTGTTCTCTAACTGAATTAGAGCATTTTATTGTTGTGGGAACATGTTTAAAATGACCATCATTCATCATTGTCATCTGTCTCTATTATCTTGAAAACTTGGATTTTTAAAGAGCCATGTTGTATTTTTTCTTTGTCTCTAAAGTATATGGTTCAGATGTCAGATGTGGCATCTCTGATGATAGCATGGTAGAGTCCACTTTCTGGTTAGTTAAAAATCAGTATGCTCTAGAAATGCTCTGCTTGATTTCCATATAATGGGTAAATTGTTATTTCCCAAAATCAATTCCCACCCCCTAAGTTTTGTGGAGGATGCGGTCGTTGGTCAGAGGTGGCAGGTCATTCTGTTTGGTCCCACTCAAACAGTATAGCCGGGAATAGTTATACAGAGCTCCAAGCGTATAACCCCAATCCAGTTGATCTCAGAGCATTTCCCAACCACACAGTCACAAAGGAATGCCTTCACTTGCAATAAAATAAGACAAAGTTGTGCTTTAACCTCACAAGAAGAAGAGGTCCAACTACTGTGGAAAGAAAGCATTGACCAATAATATTATCAACTGATGTTGTGGGAGACACAAATTGGGGGGTGGCTCCCTGGTTCCAGCAATTTCCTCAGTTGCCCCAACGGTGGTATTCCATTCACTCCACTGCTCTCATAGGAGATCCACATGGCCCCTTGGTCACAGCACTTGATGGAAGGGTAGGTATTTTAGTCCGTTTGGGCTGCTGTAACAAAGTGCCATAGACTGGTTGACTTATAAACAATAAAAATTTATTTCTCACAGTTCTGGAGGCTGGAAGTCCAAGATTAAGGTGCTGGCATGGCTGGGTTCTGGTGAGGGCTTCCGGGTTGCATGTGGCCAGCTTCTTGTATCCAGAAAGACAAGCATTCTGGGGACTCTTTTATAAGGGAAAGAATCCCATGACTTAATTACCTCTCTGAGGCTCCCCCTCCTTATAGCATCATATTGGGGGTGAGGATTTTAATGTGTGAATTTGGGGGAGACATAAACATTCAGTTCTTAGCAATTTCTCATACACCTAGGCTGATCCTTGTGGTACACGTATACTTGGCCACAATGACTGGTCCAAGGGTAGATGTGTCATCCAAGCCAGACCAATCAAGTCTTTCTTGGAATTTTTCACACTGGAGTTTGGAGGGGGAAATCCTTTCTTCTTGGGTAATGAGGCAAGAATGTGAGCCTAAAGATGGAGGAGAAGCAGAGACAAGAAGGAGAAAAGGAGAGGGAGACCCGAAGCCATCTGTGTTCCTGGTTCTATTATAGAGTGCCACTGTCACTTGAACTGCCTTCCTAAGCCTGCTGGTCCAACTCTTCATTCCTTTTTTTTTTTTTTTTTTGAGACAGGGTCTCATTCTGTCACCCGGGCCGGAGTACAGTGGCACAATCATGGCTCACTGCAGCCTCGACCTCCCAGGCTCAATTGATTCTCCCATCTCAGCCTCCCGAGTAGCTGACACTCCAGGTGTGCGCCACCAGGCCCAGCTAATTTTTGTGTTTTTTTTTTTTTTTTTTTTGTAGAGACGGGATTTCCCCATGTTTCCCAGGCTGGTCTCAAACTCTGGTTTTAAGAGAACTGCCCACCTCAGCCTCCCAGAGTGCTGAGATTACAGGTGTGAGCCACTGCGCACAGCCTCAGCTCTTCTTTTCCATCAGTCACCTTTCTGTTTAAATTAGTTCAAATGGAGTTCTTGTCACTTGCAGCTGAGAAAATCCTGAATTGGACACTTATCAAAAAAAAGTACTTTACAAGATCACTGTTAATGGCTGGTAAGCATCCCGTGATATGCACACCTTTACATACTTTTCAAGTCTTCCTCTATTATAGGACACTTAGATTCTTTAAAGACGCCCTGCACCATAAATAATGCTGTGATAAACATCCTTATTCATAAAATATTGTGCACCTCTCTGACTGTCCCATTAGACTTGCTGCTAAGACCACATGCACTTTGAAAGCTTTTGAGACCTTATGATCAAATTTCCCTGCCAAACAGTTGCATTTCATGTATATATCTGACAGTCATTCATGAAAGAAAGCGTCTATTTTTTCACGTTGTTGCCACATATTAGATATTATCACTATATTTCTTTAACATGTTTCTCGATGTTATAGGCCAAAAGGGCCACCTCATTGTGTTTTTAGTTTGCACTTCTTGGGAAAAACAGTTATGCTTACAAAGAAGCCCCGGATTTCCATCAAGTTGTGGAGTGTCATGCTGGGGACACTCTTATCACTCCCCTGAAGGCCTCAATGGCTGACTCACTCTATCAAAATGCTAACAGGGTTTCCTGCCATCAAAGGGTTTTGCCAAAACATCACATTGCCTCATTTTTTATCCTAAATACCACAACCTTCTTAATTCTGAGAGGAGGGGAAGAGAAGCCATCAGTGAACATCCTAAAAGAGGACAGCAGGTAGTAGGAGTACCTTTTTATTTTGTTTGGTTTTTGTTAAATTTAGACTTAGGGATAGGGATAGACTTAGAGATAGACTTAGGAATAGGAATGCCTTTTAACTGACTCCAAGGAGGGGACTTCTACTGGTTCAGAATGCTCTCCATCTGGGGGATGGTTCATTTATTTATTTATTTTTTTGAAACAGATTCTTGCTCTGTCAGGCTGGAGTATAGTGGCTTCATAATTGCTCACTGCAGCCTCAAACTCCTGGGCTCAAGCGATCCTCCCACCTCAGCCTCCTGAGTGGCAGGGACTACAGGCACATGCCACCATGCCCAGCAAATTTTTGTATTTTTTGTAGAGATGGGTTTTTGCCATGTTTCCCAGGCTAGTCTTGAACTCCTGGACTTAAGCAATTCTCCCACCTCAGTCTTCTGAGTAACTGGGACCACGGACTCGCACCACCACACCTGATTAATTTTTAAATTGTTTGTAGAAACAGGGTCTTGCTATGTTGTCCAGGCTGGTCTTAAACTCCTGGCCTTAAGGGATCCTCCCTCCTTGGCCTCCCAAAGTTCTAGGATTACAGGCGAAAGGTACACACGGCCTTTTCAACTTTTTAGAAGAACACGCTAAGTGGTATGCACTTTTGTTTGGTATTGGAAAGACCTTGAATTTCACAGAGGACATTTCAGGATTTTTCCAGAGTGTTTAGTGCTTGACCACCCAGTGCTCCTCACAACAGACCGAGTGACATACTTTCTGACTTTCCTCTGAAGTGCCTCCAAATAAGATGCATTTGCTTTCATCTTTTTCTCCCTTTCCATTAAGAAAAGACTAAAACTAGCATGGCACTGTCAGCAGTTGAGCTAGTGAACTCTGGGATTCTCATGAGGAGGCCCAGTGAAGAAATGGCCTTTCTTCCTAATTAAAGACTTGGGGAAGCACCCTCTAGAAGAGCAGTCCCCGACCTTTTTGTCACCGGGGACCAGTTTTGTGGAAGACAGCTTTTCCATGGACTAGGGAAGGGTTGGGGGATGGTTTCCAGATGAAACTCTTCCACCTCAGATCATCAGGCATTAGTTAGATTCTCGTAAGGAACATGCAACCTAGATCCCTCGCATGCACAGTTCGCCATAGGGTTGTGATCCTATGAGAATCTCATGCCCCCGCTGATCTGACAGGAGGCAGAGCTCAGGCAGTAATGCTGCCTCTCCTGCCACTCACCTCCTGCTGTGTGGCCCTGTTCCCAACGACCACAGACCAGTACCAATCCACAGCCTGGGGTTTGGGGACCCCTGTTCTAGAACACCTACTGTTGACTTCTGTGCCCTAGTTTCCCAGGACCAAAAGCCCTTCTCTGTACATGTGTGGTGGGAGCACCATGTGGCCAAAGAGTTAGCTGAGGCCAGAGATGTTTCACTGTGTCAGTGCAGTGAAAGAAAGAAGGGGGGGAACTAGTTTTATTTTGTTTTTAGATTAAATATGCGTTGACATAACTTCCAGGTGTCTGAAAATTATGTGAAAACATTTTTATATGGAAGGTCTGTACTCATATTATTGTTGTAATGGGTTAAAAATTGCATCAAGGGATATTGATTTCCATTTTTTAATCAGTCTCCCTCTCTAGATATATGGATAGAGAATGTGTGTATGCATGTGTATGTATTTACAGATATATATATATATATATATATATATATATATATATATATCCACCCCAGCTCTTGCCCTCCTAGGTTTTTAGGTTTTCTTTCTCTTCTGTTCCAGTGCTGTTCCTTTTCCCTAAGCAAGGCCGTTCATGCACCACCCCCCACATTCTCTAAGGCGTAGAAAACTACTAATAAAGTGAAGACTGGGCGTGGTGGCTCACACCTGTAATCTCAGCACTTTGGGAGGCCAAGGCAGGTGGATCACCTGAGGTCAGGAGTTCAAGACCAGCCTGAGCAACATGGAGAAACCCCATCTCTACTAAAAACACAAAACTAGCCAGGTGTGGTGGTGCATGCCTGTAACCTCAGCTACTCAGGAGGCTGAGGCAGGAGAATGTCTTGAACCCAGGGGGCAGAGGTTGCAGTGAGCCAAGATCATGCCATTGCACTCCAGCCTGGGCAACAAGAGCGACTCCATCTCAAAAAAAAAAAAAAAAAGAAAGTGGAGATTTCCAGAAGAAGGACAAATCCTACTCGGATATAAAAATAGAATGTTTTGCAGGATATAGCTTTCTAATTTAAATCTGGTACAAAGCACAACTTCCTCAGGCCTCAGTTTTCAGTTTATAACAAGACAAGGATTGCCTTTTCTCTAAGGTGGCATCCAGTTTTGTGATCTTAGGAGACATTGACTGGTACGACGTAGGCAAACCCCTCTCTGCTTCAAACCTGTCTGGGAAGCCAAGCCCAGGGTTTTCTTTCATGAACCACTCGGCTTCTCTGTCTCTCTTTGAGTTTAACCTGGTTTCCTTCTATCTCACCACCCACGGGTGGGGCCAGACAGTGGTGTGTGTCGCCACTACTTCCTGATGCCCACTCTGAGCCAGGCTGCATTTGGGGCTCAAAAGGGTTCATTTGCCCAAGGCATACACAATCCACAGGAGCGGAGCCTCGATTTGAACCCATGTTGTCAAACTCCAAAGCCACGATCTTAACCACTATCCTATGCTGTCTCCCAGGAGGAGGGTGGTTTTCAAACTTTTTTTCAGCACTGAAACATTTTAAGTGATGTCTTCCATAAAACCTCAAAAATGGAGCTGCCCTGGGGATCGCAGAGCAGGAACCTGGTTGTGAGCCACTTTGCCTCATCCACAAACCGAGATTGGCTCCCGGGTGCCTTCACAGAACTCTGAGCTGCATGAAGTGGAAAAAGAAACCACTCTTCTCCACTGACTACACATGACTGTGACAGACAAAACCCACCTTGCCTGTCCAGAGCCTGCTGGTGATGGTCAGTGGTCAGCATCCACAGAGGCCGAAGCCTAAGAGCATGACTCACAGCTCATGCAGCACTTCCCACGGCCAAAGGGCCAGCAGTGCCCTCCTATTTTCTTTTCTCTCTCTTTTTTTTTTTTTTTTTTTGAGATTGAGTCTAGCTCTGTCGCCAGTCTGGAGTTCAGCAGCATGATCTTGGCTCACTGCAACCTCTGGTTCCCAGGTTCAAGCGAGTCTCCTGCCTCAGTCTCCCGAGTAGCTGGGATTACAGGCACATGCTGCCACGCCCAGCTAATTTTTGTATTTTTTAGTAGAGACAGGGTTTCACCTTGTTGGCCAGGCTGGTCTCCATCTCCTGACCTCGTGGTCCCCCACCTCGGCCTCCCAAAGTGCTGGGATTACAGGCGTGAGCCACCGCGCCCGGCCAATGAAGTCCTATTTTCACACTTCCTTTGAGGACTACAGTAATGTTATCAGGAGACAAGCAGTTTCTGCACCTCCTCTGCCTTGACCCAAGTACATTCCAATAGACGTCATGAGGTGACAAACTGTGGGTGCCCATGTTGAGCACTGCTACCGCCAGCATTGCCAAGTTGATTTGTATGGATTTGTGTCATTTCCCTGAAGTTCAACATAATGCTCAAACAGGAGGGCTCTGCTGTGGGGCAGGCCTGGGTTCACATTCAGGCTCTGCCAATTACTGAGTGAGCTTGGACCAACGATTTAATTAAGATTCCATTTTCTCATCTAGAAAATGAGATCAAGTAAGTACGACCCTGCACAGTATCCATCACTATAAAGGTTAGACTAGCTATTATTATTACTATTATAAGCTAATGAAACATATTCTTCTAGTTACAAGAAAATGAAGCTGGGCACAGTGGCCCTCCTGTTGTTGCAGCACTGTAGGAGGCTAAGGCAGGAGGATCACTTGAGGCCAGGAGTTTGAGACCAGCCTGGGCAACCTATTGAGACCTGTCTCTACAAAACAAACCAACAAACAAAACAAAACAAAAAAACACTAACTGGTTGTGGTGGCACTCGCCTGTAGTCCCAGCTACTTGGGAGGCCTAAACAGAAGGATTGCTTGAGTGCAGGAGCTCAAGGCTGCAATGTGCTATGATTGCGTCACTGCACTCCTGCCCAGGCAACAGAACAAGACCCTGCCAAGAGAAAGAAAGAGAGAAAGAGAGAGAGAGAGAGAAAGAGAGAGAGAGAGAACAAAAGAATCAGTGTTTTCAGAAACTTTCTGACTATACATGCCTATCTAATTATTAAGAGATGGACTCATGAAAATTTTTTCAAGTTTGGATACCTTCCTCTTAAATTGTGTTTGAATTTCAAGTGAGTTTTCATTCTCAAATATATAACATTATGTAACATAGGATGTGCTACTTCTATTTTTCTTTCAGTCAGGTGTGCTATTACAAAGACTGATACTGTATGAGCAAAATTTGGGTGGATTGTCTTATCTACGGATAGCTAGATCCCAGGGTTTTAAGAGATCTTAGAAACTCTTTCTCCCCATACTCCTCAGCCAAATATAAACTGGAGTGATAAAAATCAAACATTTTATGTGGCGGGTTTAAAAATCACTCGTGTATCCTTAATATGTACCCATGCTTGCCAGTGGTACCAACACTGGCTTTTAGGTCTTTAATGCCCCAGAAATAAGAATCTAAAATGCCAGTTTTCTACTGAAGAATACTGACTTCATTGCCACTTGCCTTGTGAAATACCCCAGTCTCTTTCTGCTTGTGGACCAGTGGATTTATCATACGCACAATTTGTTACTAAATTTGAATTGTTGAGTTAGGAGTGCTTGAGAAATATGTGACTGCAGACCAGGACTGTGTCACCTACTTGGCCTCGGTGTCATTTTCCCGTAAGAATCAGGAAAAGATTATTTTTTCTGTTTCTATGAAGAATGTCACTCGTATACGAATGGTCAATAGGTACATGAAAAAATGCCCAATGTCATCAATCTTCAGGGAAATGCAAATCAAAACCAGATGGGATACCACTTCACACCCGCTAGAAGGGCTATTATGAAAAAGACAAAAAAAAAATCACAAATGCTGATGAGGATGGAGAGAAGGGAGACCCTTATACACTGTTTTTGGGAATGTAGCATAGCTACTATGGCGAACAGTATGGGGGTTCCTCAAAAAATTAAAAATACAACTACTAGGTCAGTTGCAATGGCTCATGCCTATAATCCCAGGACTTTGGGAGGCCAAAGTGGGTGGATTGCTTGAGCCCAGGAGTTCAAGATCAGCCTGGGCAACATAATGAGATCCTGTTTCTTAAAAAAAAAATAGAACTACCATATGATCCAGCAATCCCACTGCTGGGCATTTATCCAAAGGAAACAAAATCAGTATGTCAAAGGGATACCTGCTCTCCCATGTTTATTGCAGCATGACTCACTATAATAGCCAAACTAAGTGTGCATCAACAGATGAATGAAGATGATGTGGTAGATACACACTCAGCCATTAAAAATAATGAAATCTTGTCATTTGTGACAACACAGACAAACCTGGGGGAGGTTATGTTAAGTGGCCTGAGAACTCTAGCAGGACAGTAAGCTGAGGCAATCGTAGGGCCCACCTTATTTATCTCTGTCTTGCAAGGATTTCTGTCCTTTATTGCTTGATGTCTAGTATCTTGAAACTGTTGTTTCATATATTTTGTCTTTTTTGTTGTTGTTAATGAGACAAGTTCTCACTCTGTTGCCCATGCTGGAATGCAGTGGCACGATTACAGCTCACTGCAGCCTCCTGGGCTCAAGCAATCCTCACACCTCAGCCTCCCGAGTAGCTGGGACAACAGCTAATTTTTTTTTTTTAAGAGACTGGGTTTCATGTTGCCTTGGCTGGTCTTGAAGTCCTGAGCTCAAGCCATCATCCTGCCTCAGCTCCCCAAAGTGTTGGGATTATGGACAGGAGCCACTGCACCCAGCCTGAGCCTGTCTTTTTTATTTTTAAGGAAAGAGGATAAATCTGGTCTTTGTTACTCCATCTAGGCAAGAAGCAGAAGTCACAGGGGCTTATCCAAAGTATAATGACATTTTTAAACTACAGCAATAAAAGTCATTCCCTTCAAATCATTTAAAATTAAAAAGCAAGGTTTTGTTATATTAGGAAACAGTTTTATAAACTGCATTATGTTAAGGGTATATATCCTGTATATGTAAGGATATATACCCATACTCAGTGGAGTTTCATGATATATCATGAATTTTACAGCAAATTAAATTTACATGATCACAAGAAGAATAAATCGATTCTGAATAAGTTACTGAAATTTCTAACACCAATTGTCATTTTCTATGTAGCTTCAACCCTTGGCATAACTGGTCAGTAAATACAAAATTGGGTCCTTTTATGACTATGCCCAAAGTACATTGGATTTGGGTTTAACTCTTCCCACCTTCCTGAGAATTTCTCAGGGTTCCCAAATGGGTCCTCCCTTGCATCCACAAATGAGCCTGTCAGCTGCAGTTACCACAGAGCATCTGCCACCTCCTCCGCCAATCCCTGCTGCAGTTCCTGCTTTTCCTGGTTCTCCCTGAGAAGCCTCTTCTAGGATCCTTAGTGAAGCCTTTGCTGATGGTGCCTTTTGAGGGAGTGCCCATATAAGTGCCAAGGGCTGCCCAAAGCTGCCAGGCAGGGCTAGGTTTCTCACAGAGGCAGGCGACCCTGAACAGTTCTGAATATAACCTGCTTCTGGCCTTTAACTCCTCCCAGGATCTTACAGTCTCTGATGAAAGCAGTTCAATCAATTTATGGGCAAAGGAGCCAGACAGGGAACAGAGTTCATATAGCCCTCCCTCCTGTTCCCTCTTCCCTGCCACCCTGACTCAGTCAAACTTCTTCTCCTCCCTCCCTTACAAAACAGAAGCTCTCATGCTCATCAGCCAATGACCAGAAATATTTGATGGGGACAGAGGGAGAGAAGAGTAGATGTTTTATGTACTAGCAATATCTGAATGCAAAAACTGGACAACCCACGTGCCTTGTTCCATAGCCACTGGCCCTTGCTAGGCCATGTAGTGTGGATGTGCCTGACATTTGGAGCTCAGCAGTTGCCCAGTATGCAGCCTCAGTGGAATGTCTCATTGAAGAGCTGTTCCTAGATCCTCCCACAAAAACCTAAGAGCAGAGGTCACCTTCCCCAGGTGATTTTGCATTGCTCATCGGCAGCCTAGACTATGGTACTCAATAGTAGCTTCTGATATCGAACCTCACATTTCTCATGCTCAAAGAAGGCACAACCTAAGTCAGACACAGCTGTGGTCGGCTTCCTTCTCCCACTCCTCTTCCAGGCTTCCGCCAACAAATTGGTACAGCAGAGTCTCATTTCCTTAGGGGTCCTGGAACTTCCTTTTCACTGTGATTTCAAAAACATTTATTAGAGGATACATTTATTCCTCAGCACATTAATGGAGTCCAGATTCTGCTTGGATAATATGGACAGACAGATGTGCAGTGTTTTGTGCTACTTTTAGATGAGCAACGCTGTTTACACAGAATTTGCCCAAGACCACCCAACTCATTTCACATGTAGCCTCCAGCTTTCCAAGCCCTTAGCCTCCAGAGGAAAAGAAAAAATTTAATAACTCAGCACCCCACCCAGTTTTGAAGACATGACTTAATACTGAAGGAATTTGCAAGCCTGCACTGCCAATCAACATGCCTACATCAAATAAGCCATCTTTTCTTATTCTGAAAAATGGAAGGTGGTTCTAGAAACATTCTGCTCTCTGACTTTCTTCCACAGTGTTCATGTCTCATTTGAGACCTGGAGAAGTCTGAACAAAGACCTTAAGCCTAAAAAGTAATAACAATGCATAAAACACTTGATATTTGCCCTTCAAGTCTTCCACTTTCTATTTCACATCAATTGCCTTTTCCCCTTAGCTCTATATTATGCCTAATGATATTGTTAATAATTTTTTGCTTAAAGTTTCTTACATTTTTCCTAGCATTTGCATATATCAGTAATTTGTTGGCTCCTTATGTAACTTTGAGAAGTGGGTAAGGTGCTGTCTTAGTCCGTATGGGCTGCTGTAACAAAATACCATAGACTGGGTGGCTTATAAACAACAGAAATTTCTTTCTCATGGTTCTAGAGTCTGGGAATTCCCAGATCAAGGCGCTGGCAGATTCAGTGTGTGGTGAGGGCCCACTTGCAGACGAGATCGGGCGTGTTCTAGGTGGTATGGCCATAGACGAGGTCCCACTTTCATGTCCATAGATGGTGCCTTCTTGCTGTGTCCTCACTTGGTGGAAGGGGCAAGCAAGCTCTTTGGGGTCTCTTTTCTAAAGGCACTAATCCTAATTCACAAGGGCTCAGCCTTCATGACCTAATCACCCCCCAAAGTCCCCACCTCCTAGTATCATGGTGATTCGATTTCAACATCTGAATTTGGGGCAGGGTCGGGGAGGGGGGTAACAAACATTCAGACCATAACAGGCAGGTGGTAGCAGCATTTCCATTTTCCAGATGAAGTAAATGAGAAATCAAATGAGTTTGCCACAGTTTCCCAGAAAGTAACTGGTTAAGTCAATTATTCCAGCTGATCATAATAATTTCTTTTTCCACATTGCATCTGGAAACCATTGCCTGCTTTTAAGTTTTGCTGTGTTGAGTTATGTAGAGATACCACCACATTATTGATGTATATTATATATTATGTTACTTTATGGCTTACCAAGACCTAAGGGTACATTGATACCTTTTCTTTCTAAGCCCTATCTGACTTTGGTCAGTGATTTGTATAGAAAATGTGAACCCAGTAAATAACATTCTAGTGTTTTTCTGTAAACACTAACAAATTTTAGCTACATGAATGACAGCTACTCATAGAATTAAAAGGCAGCAAAGCTTGGGAGAGTGGAAAACGTATTGGAATAAAAGCTAAGACACTCGGTGCCAGGTCTGGTTTTGTCCTTAATTCACTCCCATGTCCGCTCCCTTCCCTTTTACAGATAATACAAGAGGCAAATTCAATCCAATAGACATTTTATCAAGGGCCTATTGGGTAAAGCACTTTACATATGACATTTAAATTAAACCTCACAACAACCCAAACGGGTAGGTGTCACTGAACTCATTTTCTAGAAGAGAAGACTAGCATCAGGGAGCTTAAGACAGGGGCAGGGCAGGGTCTGAGCCACTCTTTGAGTCCTACACCATGTTCCTTTCTATGTCCAAGGCCCTGTTCAGTACTAAGGAATCTTTAAGGAGATAGGTGTAAAGTCCCTATCCTCGAGCTGCTTTCAAAACAGCAGAAGTGGGCCTGGTGCAGAGGCTCATGCCTGTAATCCCAGCATTTTGGGAGGCCAAGGCATGAGGACCACTTGAGCCCAGAAGTTTGTGACCAACCTGGATGACACAGCAAGACCCTGTCTCTATAGAGATACAAAAATTAGTCATTCCCAGTAACTCAGGAGGCTGAAGCAGGAGGATTGCTTGAGCCCGAGAGTTTGAGACCAGCCTAAGCAATATAGTGAGACCCTGTCTCTACAAAAACTACAAAAATTTAAAATTTAAAAACACAGAAGTGAACAGATGCATATGCAGTGAACAAGGGGTAGCTAATATAACAAGGAAGTAACCAGTGCTGCCTGAACGGGTGCTACATGCAAAGGAAGTGGGTTGGCTGGAGAGATCACTTCTGGCCTACAGTTGTGGTGGGGTGAGGTTCAGGTGATAGTTTATAATGAAAGTGGAACTTAATTTGGATATCTAAGCATGATTATGATTTTGACAGGCAGAGATGTGACAGAGAGCCATGCTGGATAGAGGGTATATTAGTCCGTTCTCATTCTGCTATAAGGACACACCGAGACTGGGTAATTCATAAAGGAAAGAGGTTTGACTCACAGTTCTGCAGGGCTGGGGAGGCCTCAGGAAACTTGCAGTCATGGCAGAAGGGGAAGCGAACACATCCTTCTTCACATGGTGGCAGCAAGGAGAAGTGCAGAGCGAAGGGAGAGGGGGGAAGCCCTTATAAAACCATCAGATCTCGTGAGAACTCACTATGATGAGAACAACATGGAGGTTGTTCTCCATGATAATTGAATCACCATGATTCTCCACCAGGTCCCTCCCATGACACGTGGGGATTATGAGAACTACAGTTTAAGATGAGATTTGAGTGGGGACATGGCCAAACCCTATTAGAAGGAGTATTAACGGCCGGGCGCGGTGGCTCACGCCTGTAATCCCAGCACTTTGGGAGGCCGAGGCGGGTGGATCATGAGGTCAGGAGATCGAGACCATCCTGGCTAACAAGGTGAAACCCCGTCTCTACTAAAAATACAAAAAATTAGCCGGGCGCGGTGGCGGGCGCCTGTAGTCCCAGCTACTCGGGAGGCTGAGGCAGGAGAATGGCGTGAACCCGGGAAGCGGAGCTTGCAGTGAGCCGAGATTGCGCCACTGCAGTCCGCAGTCCGACCTGGGCGACAGAGCGAGACTCCGTCTCAAAAAAAAAAAAAAAAAAAAAAAAAGAAGGAGTATTAACAAGATACAAAGATGTAAAATACAAAGATGGTAAAATGCAGGATACGCACTAGATTTAGCCCACAAGTTGATGTGTGTGGAACATAGACCCTGGCTACTCAAAGGGTGGCCTGTGGACCTGCAGCACCCCCATCACCTGGGAGCTGGTTAGAAATGTGTAAAAAATTAGCTGGGCATGGTGGCACGCACCTGCAATCCCAGTTACTCTGGAGACTGAGGCAGGAGGATCTCTTGAGCCCAGGAATTCGAAGCTGCAGTGAGCTATGATAGCACCGTTGCACTCCAGCTTGGGCAACATAATGAGACCCCGAATGTAAGGGGGTAAAAAAAGAAAGAAACACAGACTCTTAGGCCCCACCCCACACATACAGAATCACAATCTGCACAAGTGATCCATGCACAGTGGAACACACTAGAGTGCAGGTCACACTGAAAGGCAGATTGTGATCAGGCCAATACGGAAGCTGCCGAACCTGTTGGTCAGGTGGAGGCTTTGGAGCAAGATGGGGTCGTATGTGAAATCTCCAGCCTGGCTCCAGCAACATCACTTCCCAGCTGTGGGAACTTGGGCAAAGTTACTTAACCAGGTTACTTAAATTGGGGTGATAACAGTACCTGTTCCTTGTCTCATAATATTTAAAATAGACTTCATTTTTTCAGAGTAGTTTTAGCTTCACAGCAAAGCTGTCTGGGAGGTACAGGATTTCTCATATAGCCCCACATAGACTCCCCGCTTATCAACATCCCCTGCCAGAGTTGAACATTTGTTACAATAAAACCTACATTAACACATCATTATCACCCAAAGTTCGTAGTTTGCATTAGGGTTCACTCTTGGTGATGTATATTCTATGAGTTTAGATCTGTATGATGATATCAATCCACTGGAGTAGTATCATACAAGATAGTTTCACTGCCCTGAAAATCCTGTGTTTTTCCTCTTTCTCCCTGCCTCCCACCTAACCCCTGTTGACCACTGATCTTTTTACTGTCTCCACAGTTTTGCCTTTTCTAGAACGTCATTTAGTTGGAATCTTACAGTGTGTGGCCTTTCAGAATGGCTTCTTTCACTTAGTAATATGCATTTAAGTTTTCTTCATGTCTTTTTATGGCTTGATAGCTCTTATTTGCACTGAATAGTAATACGTTGCATAGATGCATCATAGCTCATTCATCCATTCACCTACTGAAGGACCTCTGGGTTGTTTCCATAGTTTAGCAATTACAAATAAAGCTGCTGGCCAGGTGCGGTGGCTCATGCCTGTAATCCCAGCACTTGGGAAGCCGAGGCAGGCAGATCACTTGAGGTCAGGAGTTTGAGACCAGCTTGGCCAATGTGGTGAAACCTCATCTCTACCAAAAGTAAAAAAATTAGCCTGGCATGATGGCGCACATCTGTAATCCCAGCTATTCAGGAGGCTGAGGCAGGAGAATCACTTGAACCTGGGAGGCGGAGGTTGCTGTGAGCCAAGGTCATGCCACTGCACTCCATCCTGGGCAACAGAGCAAGACTCTGCCTCAAAATAAATCAAGCTGCTAGAAACATCTAGGTAACTTTTTGCAGACATAAGTTTTCAACTCATTTGGATAAATATTAAGGAGTGTGATTGCTGGATCCTGCCTCATAGGACTGTGTTAGGATTCATGTAAGTAATGTGCTTACTAATGTGCCAGGCACTTGGTAAATTTAAATGCTCAGTAAATGATTCTGAGAGTCAGGCTTGCCCCTAACATTTATGGGTCCCAGGACGAGAATACAAAGGCAGATCCACATACCCTTTGCTGAAATAGTTAAGGTTTTGAAACTTGATAGCTTTGTTCATGGCCAAGCTCAGGTTTTCACTTGACCTGGAGATTGACTAAAGGAGCCAGGCTCATCCCTCCAGGCTGCAAGCCCAGGCAGACATGGTATCTGCTGGGCAAGGCTGGGCATGAGTTGAAGACAGGGCCCCCAGGTGGGGACAGGACCCTCCTGCACCCTGGATGGGACTGATCCAGGAAGCTCTTAATAGCACTGAGAGTCCTGGGTCCTTCTCCTCCATGTCCCTCTTTTCCAACTCAGATGCCTCCAAGACTATACCTTCTGAGCCAGGGGCTGAAGGGAGCATCATTATCTGGGGAGGCCGTCCTGCTGAGACCCCTACCCTGGTTGATTTAGGATGGCCAATATCCCTTTCTCTTTGCCTGTTTCCCCAGGTAGGCTGTTCTTTTCTCCACCACTGCCCCTAACTCTACCCTGCAAAGAGGAGGGCAGGCCTACTTCAGCATACATGTCCTCTTGAATAATTCCATTAGCTCAATCTGTTACAGAACTTTCTAAAGAAAATCTTCTTCATAAGACCAAAAAGAAAAACAGCAACAATAAATGTCTTAGTGTTTTGGTATTTGTGATATGCAGGGCTCCTCTTGCCTGGCTCTGCGGGTGGCTCTGCCCATTGTTATGACAAAACCAGACTTTTGCAGGCATGGGAATCTTCAGAAATATTTTGAGCTGAGAAGTGACACACAGAGCTCAACTTTTTGGGCCCAAATACGGTAGCATGGACATGAAGATAGATTCAGTCAAATGCTGGAAGGTGGGTGAGTATTCTAGAAGTTTCCATGGCTCCATGGCACAGAATCTGCTGCCACTTCTCTCCCTGGGCCCTTCCTCAACACCATGTCATCCTCCTGGCAATCTTAAAACAGTTTCATGAGAGCTGGTTTAAGATGTTGTTACTTTTGAAAAATCATTTTCATTTAATTATTTAAGTGATAATTCTAAATCTTCCTTTTTTTTTTTTAAACAATTGTGTGGAGAAAATCGTCTCTTGGCCGGGCACTGTGGCTCACACCTGAAATCCCAGCACTTTGGGAGGCCGAGGCAGGTGGATCACCTGAGGTCAGGAGTTCTAAAGTAGCCTGGCCAATATGGCAAACCCTGTCTCTACTAAAATATAAAAATATACAAAAATTATCCAGGCATGATGGTGCATGACTGTAGTCCCAGCTACTCAGGAGGCTGAGGCTGAGAATCGCTTGAACCCAGATGACAAAGGTTGCAGTGAGCCAAGATCACGCCACTGCACTCCAGCCTGGGTAACACAGTGAGATTCTGTCTTATAAAAAAAAAAAAAAAAAAAAAAGGTCTCTTAAGAAATGATCACCGCTAGGATATCATCAACTACATTTTAAAACATAAACTTTGCTGGAGTCTTTGGGGAGTCTTTGGGGTCATTCAGATGTGTCAAGAGGCTCCATGTGTTTGTCCCTCTGCCTCATGATTTAAAAACATAATTTAAATCAAAACAAGAAGTCCATACCAAGGTTCAAAACAGAAGGATATCCTGCTTCAAGGTTTCAAACAAAGTTCATGTAAAGCAATGCGGCTGAATCTGTTTTTAAACTGAGTTTCCTCTTTTCCTGGGGTCATCTATAACTAAACTGAAATAAAGATCCATTCCCTTCTCCCCTCCCCTTTTTCCTTTTTCGTGGTGGCCTTTCTTTCTTCCCACTAGCCTGTAGCTTCTTCCCATTATTGTGTCCCTCCTTCTGACCCACCCTCCCTTTATTTCTCATAAAGAAAAGCGCCTTTCTCTGTGCAGTGGGGATTAGCTAACCAGGACCCCTTTTGGAAACTGGGTGGAGTAGAATACCAATCACAATACAGTGATTAATCATTGTCATTAAACAGAAAGCCATTTTGTCTTAGAAGAAAGTCACATCATGTTTGGAGAGTTAAGCACACCAAAGTCAGGAAATGCAAGATGGATGTGTACTTTCAAATGAGCTAAATTGTATAGATGAACATATATATATAATATTTATGTTATATTATATTATTTATAATTATAATACATTTATATTTATATTCTATGTGTTTATATATAAATATTGGTATATATAAATTATGTATATATGTTTATATATAAACATATTTGTATATATGTAATTACATATATATAGATACAATTTTTTTCCTGGCTAAAATTGCTAGTTTCACTTGAAAACTGTATCCTTTACTCATTATCCAATGAACTACTGGTATTAAAATATCAAGAATTCATATTTTTATATTTTCGGTGTTCAGAATTCACATGGCCTTTTGCATTTAGATTTTTTTTTACTTTTTTTATTTGTTTTTTTAACATTTTGAGGATGTGGGGCATGGTGGCACACACCTGTAGTCCCAGCTACTTGGGAGGCTGAGGTGGGAGGATCACTTGAGCCCAGGAGTCCAAGACCAGCCTGGAAAACATAATGAGACCCCATCTCTAAAAAAATAAATAAAAATAAAAAGTATATATTAAGGAGGCTTTTCAGGAACTGAGATAATAAAATAATAGTAATAAGAATAAAGAAATGTAGTTTGGGTGGGAATCACTCAGACATAACAGGAAGTGTTGCTTGCCAACATTTTGTGGCTAAAGTGGGTGGGGAAGAAGCATTAAAAATGCAGCTAACATGCGCGCTTACAAGTTTCAGTCTGGCTCAACAAACGCTGAATGCTACAACGTGCCAGCCACTGGGGGTACAATTAGGATGAAAGTCGGCTGCTGTGCTGAAAGAGTTTTCATTCCATCGGCAATTGCTACATTCACAGAAAATTTCAGTTGGATGTGCTTTGTTGACATCCAGATATGCATACTGTCATTGGGGCACCCATGCAGAGGAAGCCAGGGGGAGTCCAGGAAAATCTCCTAGAAGAGATGATGCCTGAGTCTTTCTCTTTTTCTTTTCTTTTCTTTTTTTTTTTTTTTGAGGCAGATCCGCTCTGTCACCCAGGCTGGAGTGAAGTGGCAAGATCTCGACTCACTGCAACCTCTGCCTCCCGGATTCAAGCGATTCTCCTGCCTCACCCTCCCTAATAGCTGGGATTACAAGTGCGTGCCACCACACCTGGCTAATTTTTGTATTTTTAGTAGAGACAGGGTTTTACCGTGTTGGCCAGGCTGGTCTCGAACTCCTGACCTCTGGTGATCCGCCTGACTCAGCCTCCCAAAGTTCTGGGATTACAGATATGAGCCACCGTGCCCCGCAAACTGAGCCTTGAAGAAAGAATAAGAATTATCCACTCGAAGAGAGATGGAAAGGTGTGGTATGAGCTATGCCCAGCCAAGACCAAGAACCAAATTGCATTTCCTGTACCCAGAACTCCAGGGCCCTCAGTGCAAAACGGTGGTCGGTGTTCATTGGCCATGGTGAGAGGGGTTGCAAGGAATTGGTAATTAACAATGTTTATCAAAATTTGTGGAATATTGACTTTTCCTGTAAACTAGAGTGATTGTTGAGGTTCTTTTGTTTACAAGTAGTGAATTCTTTATTAAATTCCCACAAGCTAAAATGGTGGTTTTATAGAAAGGAGTTGACCTGATCCCCAAGATAAAAATGCAGCCAGACCTGGAAAAATATCAGGAACTCCATGCTCATGTTCTACCACAGATCTTCTACCTCCATCCTGCAAAGCAGTTTCAGGATCACTCCATGCCCTGCTGACTGTAAATAGCTCTCTAGAAAAACCAACATGGGTCCAGGGAGAGCCAATAAGTACAAACGTGGGTCAGAGCATGATCTCCAGGTGACTGCTGTCCATTGAGAGAAAGGATGAAAACAGCAAAGTGGGGCCAGGTGCTTTGGGAGGCCAAGGCAGGAGGATCACTTGAGGCCAGGAATTCAAGACCAGCCTGGTCAACATAGTAAGACCCCATCTCTAAAAATAAAAATAAAAAAATCAGCTGGGTGTAGTGGTGCACATCTGTAGTCCCAGCTACTTGGGGGGCTGAAGTGGGAGATCGCTTGAGGCCAGGAGTTTGAGGCTGCAGTAAGCTATGATTGCACCACTGCTTTCCCATGTGGATGACAGAGTCAGGCTCTGAGAAAGAAAGAAAGAAAGAAGGAAGGAAGGAAAGAAAAGAAAGAAAGAAAGAAAGAGATAGAGAGAGAGAAAGAAAGAGAGAAAGGAAGGAAGGAGGGAGGGAGGAAGGGAGGAAGAAAGGAAAGAAAGAAAGAAGAAGGAAGGAAAGAAAGAAAGGGGAAAGAAAGAGGGAAGAAAGAAAGATGGAAAGAAAGAAAGGAAGGAAAGAGGGAAAGAAAGAAAGAAAGAAAGAAAGAAAGAAAGAAAGAAAGAAAGAAAGAAAGAAAGAAAGAAAGAGAAAGACAGTAAAGTGGAATGATGGAAATTTTGCCCACGCAATGGCTCAGTGTAAACATCAGACACTGCAGCATGGGAACTGGGGGTTCACTGAGAAACCCCAAAGGAACACACAGATGAGTGCATTTCCAAGGTGATAGCCAATCAATAGATTGGCACCAGAGGGACAGCAGTCCTTCTTAACCATATGCCTCATGGGGTCAGTCCACCTCAGTAAACCCTAACCACAGAGCACATGGCTTACATGTATGTGTTATCTGCTGTGTGAATGAACAAAGAATAAATCACAAAACCAATGTCAGGAGACTCACACAGATGTGTATGTTTCTTAAGATTAAAGGCAAGACTAAAGACATGGTGAAACCCCATCTCTACTAAAAATACAACAACAACAAAAAATTTAGCTGGGCCTGGTAGCCTGTAATCCCAGCTACCTGGGAGGCTAAGGCAGGAGAATCACTTGAGCCCAGGAGGCAGAGGTTGCAGTGAGCTGAGTTCACGCTACTGCACTCCAGCCTGGGCAATAGTGCAAGACTCTGTCTCAACAAAAAAAAAAAGAAAAAAAAGAAAAAAAAATACTAAAGACAGATGTCAAGAAGACAGAACAAACTTTATGTACTATTTATTATAAAATACCAGGCACTTTTCTAAGTGCTTAATGCGTACTAATTCATTTAGTCCTCCCTATGCTCCTATGAAGTAGGAACCCTGAATGTACTCTTTTTATTCATAAGGAAACTGAAGCGCTGAAAGGTTAGGTAACTTCCTCAAGGTCAGTGCACAAAAAGTGGAGCTGTGGCCGGAACCCAGGCAGCCTGGTCCCTGAATTCGTGAGATGCCAGCTGCCTGTTCGCTTGGTCTCCACATTCTCCCTTCTCCCCACTCACCCCACAGAGATTGCAAGCATGAGTTTCTCCACAAAAACAATCTAAGCACCAAATGGGTATTTAAATGAACCGGAAACTGAAAAGAAGGTAAGTTGATTTCAAGGGATAAAAGCATTAACATGATATTAGGTTGGTGCAAAAGTAATTGCAGTCCTTGCCATTTGATAAAAGGCAAAAACGACAGTTACTTTTGCACCCACTTAATAGTTTTCAAACTTTTGGGTTTTTTGGTAGCAGAACATTTCCTCCCCAGTGTCTTCTTTAGAATTCAGTAAATACAGCTGGGCATGGTGGCTCATTCCTGTAATCCCAACACTTTGGGAGGCCGAGGCGGGCAGATCATCTGAGGTCAGGAGTTCCAGACCAGCCTAGCCGACATGGTGAAACCCTATCTCTCTACTAAAAATACAAAAAAATCAGCCGGGCATGGTGGCACGCACCTGTAATCCCAGTTACTTGGGAGGCTGAGGCAGGAGAATCGCTTGATCCCGGGAGGCGGAGGTTGCAGTGAGCCAAGGTCGCACCACTGCACTGCAGCCTGGGTAACAAGAGCGAAACCCCATCTCAAAAAAAAAAAAAATCAGCAAATACAACAGAGACAGGTAGAACAGCTCTGGTGGAAGCAAGGGACAGTGCGAGAGCTTCACTGACCCTGGCTCTGCATCAACTTCCACTTTGGCTCCATGCAGCTTAAAAGACTGAGGGACTCAATTACAAGTCACATCTCACATCAACGAGTGATTGGAAAACGAGGAATACTGGAATCAATTCACCTGTCCTTATTATCTGAGCTGGTATCAAATGCTCAGAGTTTTGAAAAAAATCAATTCGAGCCAGTTGCAACATTTTAATTAGGAGCTCTCCAGCTTGATCATTAAATATTCTTATAATGAAATGTTTCTGACTCTGTTTTGCATCTCTGTCCATTTGATAGAGTATCAGCGACCTCTTTGAGAACAGGAGAATAGCTGAGAGGAAGGATTAGGATGAAAAAAGGGGAAAAGCAAAGTTAAGGCCTCTGTGGGGGCGGAGAATATTGAGACAGCCTTTGTGTAGAGATTTTGAAGCAAGTTGCGCTCTGACTCTTGAAATGAATGGCTTAGAGGGTGGTTCTCTTGTTTATTTGTTTTCTTTACTTTTCCTCTTCTGGTTCCTCAAAAGGACAGGATATTTAGGATATGTATTCTTCCTCGGTTTGTTTTTTTCCTGAATGTTCTCAAAGCAGTCCAAATTGTCTGTTTGGTGAGGAATCGTCTCCCCTGCTGCGCTATCTGGCGTGCTCTATGTAGTACCTAGAGCCCAGGTCACCTAATATTTCCAAAATGGTTTTTCCAAAGATGCATGACTAAAGGTCAGAGGTTTCCTTTTGTATTTAAGTAAATCCACACATCCTCTGCCACCAGCATTCCTACGGAGATGTTGATTTCTCCTGTCCATTTCAACTTATGCCTCTGACTTCACTGATGCAGCCAGATCCTGCACCCCTTGGTGTTCCTCTCCAGGGAGGACCCACTATGTGCTTCTTCCCTCCAGGAATACTGGTGAGGGTCAGGTGCTACACAAGAATGTTGTGCAGTCAGGCGAATCTAGGATTGAACTGGGCTCATTCGCTTACCAGCAGCACCTCTTTGGGAAAGTTTCTTTCTTTTTTTTTTTAATACAGTCTTGCTCTGTTGCCCAGGCTGGAGTGCAGTGGTGCAATCTTGGCTCACCACAACCTCCACCTCCCAGGTTCAAGCGATTCTCCCACCTCAGCCTCCTGAGTAGCTGGAATTGCAGGCACTCGCCACCACGCCAGGCTACTTTTTGTATTTTTAGTAGAGATGGGGTTTCACCAGGTTGGCCAGGCTGGTCTTAACCTCAAGTAATCCACCTGCCTCGGCCTCCCAAAGTGCTGGGATTACAGGCGTGAGCCACCACACCCAGCTCTCTTTGGGAAAGTTTCTTAAACTCTTATTGTCTCTGTTTCTTCATTTGCAAATTGGAGATCAAATAATACCTATTCTGGCCAGGCACAGTGGCTCATGCATGTAATCCCAGCACTTTGGGAGGCTGAGGCAGGCAGACTGCTTGAGGCCAGGAGTTCAAGACCAGCCTGACCAACATGGCGAAACGCCATCTCTACTAAAAATACAAAAATTAGCCCGTCATGGTGGCACATACCTGTAATCCCAGCTACTCAGGAGGGTGAAGTGGGAGAATCGCTTGAACTGGGGAGGTGGAGGTTGCAGTGAGCTGAAATTGTACCACTGCACTCCAGCCTGTGCAACAGAGCAAGACTCTGTCTCAAAAATAAAATAAAATGAAACTATTTCTGAGCTCTACTGAACATTAGTGAAACAGCTAAATCCATTTATATACAGAATCTTCTAGTGCATAGAAAAACCAACTTATTACATGAAGCTAGCATAACTTTGCTTTAAAAATACACAAAGGTAGCAAAAGAAAATAAAACAATGGACCAATCTGACTTATAATATTTTATTTGGGATTGTTCATCTATCTTCAAACCAGCGACGTTCATTAAAAACACACAAACATCAATCCAAGAAATATAGGATGATTTTGAACCATTAGAAAAATATCATGGTTAGGCCTGGTGGGATGGCTCACGGCCATAATCCCAACGATTGGGAGGCTGAGGCAGGAGGATCACTGTAGCCCAGTTGTTTGAGACCAGCTTGACCAAAATAGTGAGACCCAATCTCTACTGGAAAAAAAAAATTAGTCGGGCATGGTGGTATGTGCCTGATTAAGGAAGAGCACTGACTCAGCCTAATAGAGAAAGTGAACATCAAAATGCCTGTGGAGGGGACTATCACTGAGAAGTAGGGGGGTCGTGCCACAAATTCCTGAAAGGTTCAGGAGTAGGTTTTTAGAAGGTGGAGTAAGGAAGGAATGGAATAAAAACAACAAGGTTGGTTGAAAGCCTTTGAATGGAGAAGCTGAACCTCTAAGTTTCCTTCACCATCCCAGTGGGAAATAAAAGGCTTATTTTTCTGGAGTGTTTAAACCAGGGGAGCCCTAGACTCCAGTGTACCAGTGGAGGACTGAGTAGCCATTTCCTCAGGGGCTGAGTCGGGGGGCGGGGGGTTGGGGGAAAGAAGAAAAAGAAATTGGGAGACTGAGGTGGGAGGTTTGCTTGGGGCCAGGAGTTCGAGACCAGCCTGGGCAATACAGTGAGACTTCATCTCTATAAAAAAGTAAAATAAATAATAATAAATTTTTTTTTTGAGATGGAGTCTCGCTCTGTCACACAGGCTGGAGTACAGTGACATGACCTCGGCTCACTGCAACCTCCACCTTCCAGGTTCAAGCGATTCTCCTGCCTCAGCCTCCCGAGTAGCTGGGACTATAGGTGTGCACCAACATACCTGGCTAATTTTTGTATTTTTAGTAGACATGGGGTTTCACCATATTGGTCAGGCTGGGCTTGAACTCCTGACCTCGTGATCCGCCTGCCTCGGCCTCCCAAAGTGCTGGGATTACAGTTGTGAGCCACCGCCCTTGGCCATAAAATTTTTTAAAAAGAAATTAATCCTGTCTAGCATTTACTGAATGCTAAACATGTGCCAGGTTCTGTTCTAAATGTTCCACATGCATTAATTCAGTTAATCTTTGTACAATCTACCAGACAGGAAAAAAAAAATGTACAAAAGTAACCAAGACAGTTTTGGGTTTGTTGGGTTTTTTGTTTTGTTTTGTTTTGGTAGAAACGTTGGTCTCACTATGTTGCTCAGGCTGGTCTCAAACTCCTGGGCTCAAGCAATCCTCCTGCCTCAGCCTCCCAAAGTGCCTGCCTCTGCAGGCATGAGCCACCACCCTCAGCCTCAAGGCAATTTTTAAAAAGAACAAAAAGTAGACTTGCCCTATCAAGTATTAAAACATACTAAAAAGCTCTGATAAGTCCAGGCGTGGTGGCTTACACCTATAATCCTAGCACTTTGGGAAGCCAAGGCAGGAGGATTGCTGGCAGCCAGGAGTTCGAGGGTGCAATGAGCTATGATTACATCACTGCGCTCCAGCCTGGATGACAGAACAAGACCCTGTCTCTTAAAAAAAAAAAAAAAAAAAAAAAAACTATGAGAATTATAACAATATGATTTGGGTGTTGGAAATAGACAAGTTAGATTAATTAATTGGACATGTTAGATTAATTAATGTTGAAGTAGACATGTTAGATTAGAAAAATATAGAAACTGACCCTTACATATGAGAATGAAAGACAAGATCAAAATGATGTTTCAAACCAGTAGGGAAAAATAATAATTCCATAAATTATATTGGAACAATTGACAATATACCCACTTGGAAGATATAAATTCCAGATGAATTAAGGGCAAATCTAGTATTAAAAACATGTATATACATGAAAGGACTGAGAACATTATGCTGAGTGAAATAAGCCAGGCACAGAGTGATACATACCATATAATTGCATTTATATGTGTAATATAAAAAAGCTGAACTCATAGAAGTAGAGAATAGAATGGTGCTTACCAGAGGCTGGGGGCAGCAGGGGAGAATGGGGAGAGGTTGGTCAGTGGGTGCAAAGTTACAGGCAGATAGGAGGAATAAGTTCTGGTGTTCTATTGCACAGCACAAAGACTACAATTAATAATAATGTATATTTCAAAACAGCTAAAAGAGGATTTAAATGTTCTCAACACAAGAAATGATAAATATCTGAAGTGTTGGATATGCTAATTAGCCTTATCTGATCATTCCATAATGTAGAAACGTATCATAACATCGCATTGTACCTCATAAATATTGTATTAGTCCATTCTCATGTTGCTAATACCAACACATACCTGAGACTGGGTAATTTATAGAGGAAAGAGGCTTAATTGATTCACAGTTCCACAGGGCTAGGAAAGCCTCCGGAAACCTACAATCATGGTGGAAGGAGAAACAAACATGCCCTTCTTCACATGATGGCAGGAAGGAGAAGTGCAGAATGAAGCAGGGGGAAAAGACCCTTAATAAAACCATCATATTTCGTGAGAACTCACTCATCATCATGAGAACAGCATGAAGGTAACTGCCTCCATGATTCATTTACCTCCCACTGGGTCCCTCCCCATGACACATGGGAATTATGAGAACTACAGTTCAAGATGAGATTTGGTGGGGACACAGCCTAACCATATCAAATATATATAGTAATTGTTGGTCAATTAAAAATTTTAAAAAAACACGTTTGTACACTTGGAAGAAGTAGGACTTTCTTAAGTAACACTTGCTTGGTAACATAATCTATGACTTTTAGCACATTATTTAGTTATCTGATTTTTGTGGTTTTTGGTTTTAATCAATAGAATGAAGATGAAAATAGTAGAATTATTGTGAAATTTACTCTGATCTGACAGACTATAAATCTCACTGGTTACATTAAACTTTGTAGTTTAGTAGTTGTATTCAATTCTGTATAACCCAGTCCCTGGAAGTACTGAAATTTTATTTTTCCTGCTGCTATTAACAACATATTTAAGTCTAATGTGCAGAAATTCTTCCTGTGTTAATTCCTCTATTTCAGCATCTCTAGCAGTGACAAGAAAATTTTCTCCTTTGACATTTTTGACAAGTCCTTAACCACTGTCATGACTACTTGTGAATATCTGGTGATATATGAACAAAAACAGCAAAACATCTGTAAATTCAGAATATCCTTTGATTTTTCTCCTTTTGACATCAATTCCCATAAGAAGAAAATCACTGGTTTTATCTAACTTAGTGGACCACTTTCAGGATGAGCTAGTGTGTGAAGCCTCTCTCCTTGTCTGCCTGTGCCCCCTCCAACCATCCATGGTAAGGAGTGAATGCTTTACCAAGCAGAAGTAAAAATATATTTGGCCAGGCATAGTGGTGAGCACCTGCAGTCCCAGCTACTTGAGAGGTTGAGGCAGGAGGATCGCTTGAGCCCAGGAGTTTGAGGCAGCAGTGAACTATGATTGCACCACTGCTCTCCAGGCTAGGTGACAGAGTGAGACCATGTCTCTTAAAAAAAAAAAAAAAGGTAAAAAATTATAAGGTCTTTTTTTTTTTTCGTTTGAGCAGCAAGGTAAAAAGACAAAAGGTGTTTCATTGGCAAAACTGTCCTACTGGTGGTTTGGCTGTTTTTTCCCTTCCCAGATGACCAACTCCATAACAAAGTAACTGTACTTCTAGATAGAGACACAGTTACAAGTGAGAGAATCCAATTCAAACCAGCCCAAGAAAATTCCTAAGGGAATTGGCTTGAGTAGCTGGGAAGTCTGAGACTGGGTATAGCTTCAGGCCCAGCTGGTTGGCCTGCACTGCAAAGGCCTGGCCCTACCTGAACCATGTGGAATGGACTCCCCCCAGGAAGAGGGAGGGCCTCTTTAGGAGGAAAGGTGCTGAGCTAGCAAAAGTGACAGCTGTCCACAGCAGTAACTAAAGACGTTTCCTGGTTCAGCATGTAGCACATATGGTGCGTATATTGTTTTTTTCTCCCCAAGGTTATTGTTAGAATCAAGGGATTGCAACATCACAGCATTCTTGCTTGGTCATGAAGCAGACTGCCGGAATGTATCGGCTTTGGTTCCTTTAATGTGGGTCTGTAATGAGGCTGGGAGACAAGTGGCTGGTTCTGTTTCTTGTTTTGCCTCTGTGTCATTCTATCATGATGGTCACTATGTAACAATCCATTTTGTTTGTTTGTTTGTTTTGTGAGGTTTCATTAGGACAGGATAATATACCATACATAAACATGATGAAAGTAAATGATCATAAACTCTAACAGGATTTGAATGAAAAGTCTTCTAAATATGGCTCTGAGGCCAGGCATGGTGGCGCCTATCTGTAATCCCAGCACTTTGGGAGGCCAAGACAGGAGAATCACTTGGGCTCGGGAGTTCAAGACCAGTCTGGACAACATAGCAAGACTTTTTCTGTACTAAAAATAAAAATAAATTAAGAAAAAAATTAGCCAGGCACTGTGGTATGTGCCTGTCTGTAGTCTCAGCTACTTGGGAAGCCGAGACAGAAGGATTGCTTGAGCCTGGGAGATTGAGGCTGCAATGAGCTAGGATCACCCCACTGCACTTCAGCCTGGCCAAAAGTGAGACCCTGTCTCAAAAAAAAAAAAAAAAAAAAATATATATATATATATATACACACACACACATATATATATACACACACACGTGTGCACATATATTTGTATATATATATATATTTTGTGTATTATATATATTTTGTGTATATATATATATACACACACACACGTATAGTTCTGAGTGTCATATTCTTAGGACTGCAGAAATTGGCTGAGACCTCATCATTCATGTCAGAAGGTCTAAGTGCAATACTTCTTGATTCATGGCCTGTTAGAATTGCCCTGGATGTCAGATGAGGGGCTGGATCTCCAATGGCGGGGAGTAGAGGAGGCCTCCGGTCTCTCAGGGAATCAGAATCTGACTGTTCTCCACTGCAGATCTTTAATCAGAGCTTGGTGGCAAAGCTGACACATACTCAGTCCACCCCCAGCTAGGCAAAACACAGAAGCATGACTGTCTTCTCCAATTTTCTCTGCTCCAGGATAGGCTCAGACACCTTCCAGAGTGTTTTGTTTCATGTTAGATTTGTCTGTCCTCTCTCCTCTCTCCCACTCCCCCTGCACACCCAGCCTCTCCCTGCCAGCCATTAGAAAGCTTTGTCTCAAGGGCAGTAGCAGGAGCATGGCTCTTGGTAACCATAGGCAACCATGAATCCCTATTAGCTATTTGTGCTATATTTGTAAGGCACATTCCGGCCACTAACTGGGTAGACAGGAAAATGTGCTTTAAAGGTTTTCTTGTGCGGTAAAATTGTCTCCCTTTTTTTTCTTCTTTTTTGCAGAATGACCAGTCCATGGGTGAGATGCAGATAATCGGAGGCGATGATCTTTCAACGCTGGCTGGAAAGGTTTGTTCATGTAACTGTGCTCAGACCGCATTGAGGTCTGGGGGCATCGGTGACCTGCATTTCAGGTCAGCACTCACAGGACATTTCAGACATGCTCCCGGGTTTTCCAATTCATACAAATGGCTGCGTGAATCCTTTTAATGATCTCCCCTTTCTAAAACATTCTTTTTAGAATGCTTCCAAGACACCATGCAGACCAAATCTTTCTTCTCCGAGCTTCCTTCCAATCTTGTTTCAGACAGCAAAACCCCTTTGCCCACCTTGTTCTAATCCTTTTCTACTCATCTTTCCAGGCACCTTCTGAAAAGGAAGCTTTCCCTTTATTTATTCGTCTGCCTTTTTTTTTTTTTTCATCCATCCTCTGCACCCAGGCACGTCAGTAAGACATTTACACAGGTTCATTGACAAGTACAAAATCTGGGGAGGGAAGAGAAAAGGAACTCTTAAGAGTGCGTTTTCAGCACTTTGCCTTTTTTTCTATTAAAAACAATGTAAACTATTAGATAATAGGAAGAACACCTCCAGTTTTAACTTGGAGTTCCAAATCTGCCAGTGCTTAATAATTAAGTGAAAAGACTGTTTAGATCTGACAGAAATACATAAACTGGAAAGAAGAGTTGTTTCCTAACGAAGATGATGTTCGTGGAATGTTACTTGAAATGCACATTTGCTGTGAATAAAAGCAATCCGGAATTTGTTTTTGTTCAGCCGTACTGACCTAGCTTGTATTCCTTATCCCTGAACTGCTTGGCTTTCTAAGTTAAATGGATTAGTCTATTACACAAGCTTAATCTCTCATACTTGTGCTTGTTATCGTTATGCAATGCCCGGGTAGGGAAAAAAATAGCAGCCACATTTCATAAAAATATGTGTAATAATCATAGGATGGCTATAGAGCCACAAGGACTTTTTTTTTTTTTTTTTTTTTAGACAGAGTCTTGCTCTGTCCCCAGGTTGGAGTGCACTGGCGTGATCTCAGCTCACTGCAACCTCCACCTCCTGGTTTCAAATGATTCCCCTGCCTCAGCCTCCCAAGTAGCTGGGATTACAGGCACCTGCCACCATGCCCGGGTAATTTTTGTATTTTTAGTAGAGACGGGGTTTCACCATGTTGGCCAGGCGGGTCTCAAACTCCTGACCTCAAGTGATCCACCTGTTTCGGCTGCCCAAAGTGGAGCCACAAGGACTCTGACTACAAAACAGTGCACTTCCCTCTACTCTGAAGACAGCATAGTAGATCTATGTGTTAAATGGCTATCTAGCAGTAAATTGTGTTCCATAAAAATCAGAATTAACTTGTTGCTGTTAATGCATCACTAAGCCACCATTTGATGTTACTGTTACATTGGTGCATAAAACAACATCCTAGAAAGCTAAAATACTCAAAGTAATTTCCAGAAATTCATAAGTTTTAACGACCCTGGAGTGGTCTTTAGCTAATACGTCATTTTAGCATTTTATTGTAGGACACTGCCTTACAGGTTTATTACACAAAAGAAATAGTTTACCTTGTGCTTTTGCTATGGAGTCTGTCAAAGTGACAACTCTAAAATTCCCAAATGAATGCCAAGAAGAAATTTGCACATAGACGGCTGGGCATGGTGGCTCATGCCTGCAATCCCAGCACTTTCAGAGGCCGAGATGGGCAGATCATTTGAGGTCGGAAGTTGGAGACCTGCCAGGCCAACATAGCAAAACCCTGTCTCTACTAAAAATACGAAAATTAGCCAGGCATGGTGGTGCACACCTGTAATCCCAGCTACTTGGGAGGCTGAGGAAGAGGATCACTTAAGCTCAAGAGTTAAGGCTGCAGTGAGCTATGATGGCACCAGTGCACTCCAGCCTGGGCGACAGAACAAGACTCTGTCCCTTAAAAAAATAATAATAATAATCTGTATATCCATACCTTGTTTCCACTAGAGCCCTTTCCACAAGTTGCAATGTTTACCTTAGGGCTTATTTTTTATTTGCCTGTCTCCCCAACCAGGAAGTCAGCATGAAGTGGGCAGAGACCATACCTGGTCCATAACAAATTGGAATAAATATTTGGTGACTGAACAAGTGGATGGTCCTCTTATATAGAAATTAGAAAGAAGTCTTTGATTAGTTTGGGGTAAGAGAGGACAGGGCAGAGGGAAATGGTAAATAAGCCCACATGGTCACACCCAAGGACACACCCACCAGCTGGTTAGTTGAGAGGTGGAGAGAAAGGTGCTGAGTGAGGGAGGAGCACCCTCTTTGTTGAGGCAGAAAGGCTTCCTCATAGGAGATTCAACGGGGACTGAGGAAGTGAATGCAACACAGCTGAGGTGGAACAGTGAAAAAAATTTCACTTAGCTTTTAAAATTTCCTTTTCCTTAAAAAAGATAAAGGCCTTCCAATATGCCTTGGCATAACACCAAATAACCACCAGAAGTAGCCAGAGCCCAGTTTGAGCATCACAGTTGTAAATGTTTTAGAAGCTATTTCTGGCATGAGTCAACGGATCATGTAGGTAGAGGCAATGTATTGTTTGTGGAGTTTTTCAGCTGTAGGGGAACTATTAAAATCCATTTGTTTCCATTTGATAGGTAATAAAAATCATTAGTTGTCACTGGGTTTGGGAAACTTAAATGCCCATTACAGCCCTGGGGAAGGGTTTTTGGTCTTATGGAGTGAGTTTGTTAGCATTTACATTATAGTTGCTGCCTTAGGATAGTAGGCTGCTACAATGACTTCTTTGGGTAGCCATTTTCATAAGAAATAAAATACAAGATATGAGTAAGGTTAAAAAAAAAAAAGATAAAGGCCTTCATATGACCCACGCTGTTCACTCATTCTTCATTCAGCCTCTCCGTGAAAGGTTATCAATTAAGTTAGATAGAACAAATAAGCCCCACTATTCAATGGCAATGTAGAGCGACGATGGTTAACAGCAATGTGTTGTATATTTCAAAGTAGCTAGAAGACTTGAAATGTTCCCAACACATAGCAATAATAGACAGTCAAGGCAATGGCTACCCCAAATACCCTGACCTGCTCATTACGCATTCCATGCATGTAACAAACACTCATGTACTCCGTAAATACATAAAACATTGTGTATCAACGAAAAAATAAAATTTAAAAAATAAGGATTGGCAAGATTTTAGAAATAAGTTTTAGAGGCTCTCCAAAATCTTCCCATCATGCAGAATATACACTAGCTGGAAAAAAAAAAAAATGTAAAAGGAAAAGGCACCCAACAGTTAGTGGGTACTTGTTTTAATGGGTGTAGAAGAAAGTCTGAAACTGCAATAAATATCTGCAGTGGATGAAAGGATTGTTGAGGCCAGGAGTTTGAGACCAGCCTGGGCAACATAGTGAGACTGTGTCTCTACAAAAGAAATTTAAAATTTAATTTATTTAATAATTTAAAATGGTGGTGCACACCTGTAGACTCAGCTACTCAGGAGGCTAAGGTGGGTGATCACTTGGGCTCAGGAGGTTGAGACTGCAGTGACTTCTCCTTTCTCCTGTAGTGATAATACAATTTGTCAGTCATTCAGTAAACTTACATTTAAAGTACATTTATCATCATGTTATTACTCTGCCAGGAATTTGTTCCCAGGAAACACACCTTCTCTTATTTCATGCTTGGCACTCTAAGAAGAGCCCCATAGGTCTTTCCATGCAAGACTCTTTCCTTGGATTTAAAGAAATCCAAAGAATGAAGGATTCCTTAGGATTCAGATAGTCTTAGAGAGGGGAGGGTGAGCTTTTACCTGGAATAGAAGGGTTTGTGACTAACACAGAAAAGAGAGCAAGGGCCCCCCAAGGGCAACAGTTGACCCCCAAGCCTCAAGGTACTCCTCCATAGCTATCACTGTCATGTACCCAAAACCAACGATCATTCCCTCCAAATAAATTTAAAAAACCATTAAGCCAGCCAGCCACGGTAGCTCATGCCTGTAATCCCAGCGCTTTGGGAGACTGAGGCGAGTGGATCACTTGAGGTCAGGAGTTTGAGACCAGCCTGGCCAACATGGCAAGATCCCGGTCTCTACTAAAAATACAAAAATTAGCCAGACGTGATGGCACACACCTCTAATCCAAGCTGAGGCAAGAGAATTGCTTGAGCCCTGGAGGCAGAGGTTGCAGTGAGCCAAGATCATGCCACTGCACTCTAGCCTGGGTGACAGAGCAAGACCCTGTCTAAAAAAAAAAAAAAAAAAATTAAACCTACAAAAACCCCACCAAAATTTAATACAATACCGCAACCTATCCCCCACTAATAATTAGCCCTAATCCTTCATAAATAGGTGACGGCTTTGAAGAAAATTCCACAAAGCCTACAACAAGAATAAAACTTAATAAAAATAAAAATATGGAATGGGGTAATCGAGAAAAGAGTAGGATCACTGGACATAAGTGGACCAGCATGACTGAAGGAAATTAATCAAAAACAGGGAAGTAGTAGGAAAAAAAAAATGAAAACACGGGGTTTGATGTGTAGAATACATTGAAAGTCTCAATGAAGAGCTGAACTTGCTCAGCAAAGCAAACAGGAGACACAAAAGTATTTGAGCAGAGATGACATCATGGAGCTGTGTTTTAGGAAAATGAAACTGACAAGAGGGAAGAATGGCTGAAAGAGAGGAGAGAGCAGTTTGGAGGCGGGGTAGGCGGAGCCTGCAGGAGCACTTGAACTACAGGAGCCAAGTTAGGGTGGAAGAGAAGGAATCGTGGTATCAAAAGGAGCCGTGACAGAGTTAAATGAAGGAGGGAGGGCTAGAAAGGATTTTTTAAAATTAAATTTGTGTATGAAAGAACTCTATAAAACATGGGGAAATAGCTCACCTACATAATCTTGTCATGCTGTGAGTTAGAGGCATTATGAACCCATAACTGTATAATACTTCTGGAGCCCTTGAAGACATGGGATTAAAATATTTAGAAAAAAAGGAGACTCTACACAGCCCTCTCTCTCTCTCTCTCCCTCCCTCCATCTCTCTTTTTCTTTCTTTCTTCCATTTCTTTCTCCCTTTCTTTTTTTTAAATAAAACATTTTTTACTTTGAACCCCGAGAAACTACCTTTCTTTCTCATCTCTTCCTTGCTTTTTTTGTTCTCTTTCTTTCTCTCTTCCTTTCTCTCTTTTTCTTTCTTTTTGTATTTTTTTGCTTTTTTTAAAATTCCTTTCTCTCTCTTCCTTTCTCTCTCTTCTTTTCTCTCTCTCTCTCTCTCTTTCTTTCTTTTCTTCCAAGGAAAGGAAGCTCACAAGGGAAGCTGTCTGAGTCATGGTTCTAAATAGGTCATTGCTGTTGAATAAAGTGAGCCCTCAATGATTAAGTTAAATGGCCTCTTCAGTTCATGATGTTAAAAGCATTTTATTCGGTGTGTTTAAGCTGTCTACACAATGTACTCTCTGGCTGATTTTTTTTCCAAAGTTGATTTAATATTGGCACTTCATAAAATGTGTGTATCTATTAAAGTAAGATTTTATTCATATTCACGAGGAACCTCTGAAAGGGTGGAATAAAACAAAATGCATGGAAACAGGCTCAAATCTGGCACCATGAAAACACAGATGTGCAGGTTAAGCCCAAGATTTTGGGAGACATGCCCCCCAAACCTGCCCTCAAATAAGTTTTTTTTTCTTTTTTTTTTTTTTTTTTTTGAGGCAGAATCTCGCTCTATCGCCCAGGCTGGAGTGCAGTGGTACGATCTCAGCTCACTGCAACCTGCACCTCCCACGTTCAAGCGATTCTCCTGCCTCAGCCTCCTGAGTGGCTGGGATTAGAGGAGCCCACCACCATACCCAGCTAATTTTTGTAGTTTTAGAAGAGATGGGGTTTCACCAAGTTGGTCAAGCTGGTCTCAAACTTCTGACCTCAAGTGATCCACCCTCCTCAGCCTCCCAAAGTGCTGAGATTACAGGAATGAACCACTGTGCCCAGCCTAAGATTCTAATTAAATGCCAGAGTGAAGCATCGGAAACTGCCAAAAGTTCCCCCTTGGCTGCCTTAACTGTTTAAATCATTCTTTTTTTATTTCATCTGACTAAGCTGAGAACAATAATGGAAAGACCCACTGACTGATGATTCTGGAAATTTTGTGAATTATCACATAAAACGAAATGCTAAACTACATTCCCTTTTCCATGGGGTTTATATTCACATTCCTACTCATTCTCCATATCCCCAATACAGCTCATTGTCACTGCTGCCATTGCTCTTGATTAGTGTGATCACGGCCACCAAACTACACTGCTGCAGATGAGACGGTGTGGTGTGCAAATCACTGTGTGCTCTAAAATACTAGAAGTAGGAATAACCTATTTAAGAATATCATGTAGGTTTGTGCAATTCTTTCCTCCCTTCTTTTCTTCTTTCTTCCTTTCTTTTTCTTTTTTGTTAGGAAACCCCTTGTGATTAGTTTTGATCAGAATCATGCAACAGCAAAGAAAGCACACCCCAGAGATTCCTCATAGAGTTTTTGCCTGCAGCTCCTAGGCTGCAGATTTTACTGGCTTTCTGGGAGGAAATGAGCTAGGTGTGATGAGATGACTAAGACAGTAACTGGCAAACATCTCAGATGCAGTGATCAGAGTTATCAGATTGGAAGTGTTTAGGAGGCATGGTGTGTACTGAAAAGAGAAGTTGCCCACTCAAAAAACCTGAATTTTAGGAAATTGCTTAGTGCAAAATTAAAAGCAATAGACATTGATAATAGCTTGGTTAAGGAGGAATTGCAGATTGTTAAGGAAAAATGGAGGGGATGAATCAGAAATACAATGAACCAGAGAAAGTGAAAGAAATGAGGTCAAAATTGTTGATTCACTACACAGGTATTTCTTGAGTACCTACTAGATGCCAGTCTCCATGTTATGTATTTTTGTTCGTTTGTTTTGTTTTGTTTTGTTGAGACAGAGTCTCACTCTGTCACCCAGGCTGGAGTGCAGTGGCACGATCTCAGCTCACTGCAACCTCTGCCTCTCCGGTTTAAGCAATTCTTGTGCCTCAGCCTCTCGAGTAGCTGGGACTACAGGCGTGCACCACCATGCCTGGCTAATTTTTATATTTTTAGTAGAGACAGAGGTTCACCATGTTGGCTAGGATGTTCTCAAACTCCTGGCCTCAAGCAATCTGCCTGTCTTGGCTTCCCAAAGTGCTGGGATTACAGGTGTGAGCCATCGCACCCAGCCTCCATGTTATATATTGATTATATAAAGATAAATAGTTTTGGCTCCTTAGCTCTTTGAGCTAATCTTAGGCACAGCCATATCTCAGAGTTATTGTGGATTTGGTTTCAGATCACCACGATAAAGAGAGCCACACAAATTTTTTGATTTTTCAGTGCATATAAAACTTATGTTTATACTGTATGGTAGTCTACTAAGTGTGTGATAACATTATGTCTAAAAAATAAGGCACATAACTTAATGAAAAACTACTTCATTGCTAAAAAACAATGCTAATGATCATCTGAGCCTTCAGTGAGTCATCATCTTTTTGCTGGTGGAGGGTCTTGCCACGATGTTGATGGCTGCTGACTGATCAGGCTGGTGGGTGCTTCAGAAGGTTGGGGTGGCTGTAGCAATTTCTTAAAACAAGACAACAGTGAAGTTCACTGCTTAGATTGACTCTTCCTTTCATGAAAGATTTCTCTGTAGATTGTGATGCTGTTTGATAGCATTTTACCCACAGTAGAACTTCTTTCAAAATTGAAGTTAATCCTCTCCAGCCATGCTACTGCTTTATCAACTAAGTATATATAATATTTTAAACCCTTTGTTGTCATTTCAACAATGTTCACAGCATCTTCACCAGGAGTAAATTCCATCTCAAGAAATCACTTCCTTTGCTCATCCATAAGAAGCAACTCCTTATCTGTTCAAGTTTGATCATCAGGTTACAGCAATTCAGTCACATCTTCAGGCTCCACTTCTAATTCAGTTTCTCTTGCTATTGCCACCACATCTGCAGGTACTTCCTCCACTAAAGTCTTTTTTTTTTTTTTTTTTTGAGACGAGTTGTTGCTCTGTCGCTGGTGTGCAGTGGCATAGTCATGGCTCACCACAGCCTCTACCTCCCCAGGCTCAGGTGATCCTCCCACCTCATTTTTTGTAGAGACAGGGTTTTGCCACGTTGCCCAGGCTGGTCTCAAACTACTGGGCTCAAGCAATCCGCCCACCTCAGCCTCCCAAAGTGCTAGGATTACCTGTAGCAGCCACCGCCCTTGGCCTCTCCACTGAAACCTTGGGCCCCTCAAAGTTATGCATGAGGGTCGGAATCAACTTCTTCCAAACTCCTACTCATGTTAATATTTTGATCTCCACTCATGGACGATGAATGCTCTGAATGGCATCTAGAATGGTGGATCTTCAGGTTTTCAATTTACTTTACCCAGATCCATCAGAGGAATCACTATCTATGGGCAGCTATCACCTTACAAAATCTATTTCTTAAATAATAAGACTTGAAAGTTTAAATGACTCTATGGGCTGCAAAATGGATGTTGTGTTAGCAGGCATGAAAATAATCTCCTTGTAAACATCTCCATCAGAGCTCTTAGGTGACCAGGTAGATTGTTAATGAGCATAATATTTTGAAAGGAATCTTGTTTTCTGCGCAGTAGGTCTCAAGAATGGCCATAAAATATTCATTTCAATAAACCATGCTGTAAGCATGTTGTAAGCAGATGTGCCTATATAAACAGGCTTTGCTGCTCCATTTATAGAACACAGGCAAAGTTGATTTAGCATCATTTTAAGCACCCTAGCATTTTTGGAATGGTAAGTGAGCATTGACTTCAACTTAAAGTCACCAGCTGCATTAGTCCCTAAAAGGAGTCAGTCTAGGGGGCGTCACAGTGACTCACACCTCTAATCCCAGCACTTTGGGAGGCCAAGCCAGCGGATCACCTGAGGTCAGGAGTTCAAGACCAGCCTGGCCAACAGGGTGAAACCCCTTCTCTACTAAAAATACAAAAAAATTAGCTGGGCATCCGGCGTGCACCTGTAATCCCAGCTACTTGGGAGGCTGAGGCAGGAGAATTGCTTGAACCCAGGAGGCAGAGGTTGCTGTGAGCCGAGATTGTGCCACTGCACTCCAGCCTGGGCAACAGAGCAAGACTCTGTCTCAAAAGAAATAAAATAAAAACAAATAGTACATTAAAGATCGCTGATCCCAGATCACCATAACCACAATGACAATGAAAGTATTTGAAATATTGCAAGAATTTCCAGAATATGACACAGAGACACAAAGTGAGTACACACTGTCAGAAAAATGACACCAATACACGTGCTCAACACAGGGTTGCCATAAACCTTCAATTTGTAAAACAGAAACAAAAACAAAAAAAAACCACAGTCTCTGTAAGGTGCAATAAAGAGAAATTTGGGAGGCCAAGAGGGGCAGATCACCTGAGGTCAGAAATTCAAGACCAGCCTGGCCAACATGGTGAAACCCCATCTCTACTAAAAATACAAAAATTATGCATGCGTGATGGTGCACACTTGTAATCCCAGCTACTCGGGAGGCTGAGGCAGTAGAATCACTTGAACCCAAGAGGCAGAGGTTGCAGTGAGCCAAGATCGCGCCATTGCACTCCAGCCTGGGCAATAGAGTGAGACTTCATCACAAAAAAAAAGAGAAATGTAAAAAACAAGGTATGCCTATACTGCAAAAGAGACTGTTCTAAATTAAAAGAGAAGGGAAGATCCAATCCATGGTATAGGTTGGATAAACCAGCTACAAAGGCCATTTTAAGGACAACTGGGGAAATTTGAATATATAGTAGGCTTTATATGATGTTAAGAAATTATCATCATTTTTGTTGGATGTTATAATAGTTTGGCTATACATAATAAAGAATTCATGATACCTTTAATCTATTTTAAAGCACATAAAAATTTTATATACTTTAAACAGTTAAGCATGTATCAAAAATTTAGAAAGTCTTTAGACTTTTCTGGTTTTCAAGCATTTTATAATGTTTTATATTTATATATTATAGAAAGTACAAACTTTCTTTGACAGGTATATATTTATATGTAAGGAAATATGTGCACTTTCTATAATAAGAATGAATACACGGCTGGGCGCAGTGGCTCATGCCTGTAATCCTAGCACTCTGGGAGGCTGAGGAGGGAGGATCACTTGAGGCCAGAAGTTCAAGGTTACAGGGAGCTATGATCGAGATCCTGTCTCTAAAAAATAAAAATAAAATTTAAAAATACGCATTTGTACTTAAACCCTTTTTAAGAAACAAGCAACCTAAAAGTCAATAAATGATTTAAATATGTTTTTAAGTACAGAAATAGCTATGTGAAACATGACTAAGTCTATTTTTTAGAAATAAAAAAGTAACAAGCAGAAAAACAGCTAAAAGAGTTAAAAGTGACTGTCTCTGGGAAGCAAAATTGGGAGCAAACAGAGGTGAAGTGATGGAGGGGTGTTTTTCTTTTAAAAACCTTTCAATCTATTTGATTTGGTTTTTTGTTTGTTTGTTTGTTTGTTTTTGTTTTTTGTTTTGAGATAGAGTCTTACTCTGTTGCCCAGGCTGGAGTGCAGTGGCACCATCTCAGCTCACTGCAACCTCCACTTCCCAGGTGCAGGCACTTCTCCTGCCTCAATCTCCCAAGTGGCTAGGACTGCAGGCTGGCCACCAAGCCCAGCTAATTTTTATATTTTTTGGTACAGAAGGGGTTTCAATATACTGGCCAGGCTGCTCTCGAACTCCTGACCTCAGGTGATTTGCCCGCCTCAGCCTCCCAGAGTGCTGGGATTACAGGTGTGAGCCACGGCGCCTGGCCTCAATCTATTTTAAACATGTGTATGCATTACCTTGATTTGAAGATGTATTTGAATAATTTTGACAGTGTCTTTCAATATCTCTCAATATCAGTATACATCCAAATCCTACTTCCCACTTACCACTATATCTTAGAATTGAAGCTAATCTTTTCAAAGATGACTCTATTGTTTTGCAAGGTTCTGTACTGTCAAAAAAATATTTAATTACATTCAACACATACACTCTACTTAATTAGGCAGGAATGCAGACTAACACATTTTAGAAAGGTTTTTCTTTTTAAAGTTGAAACAAAAAGAGATTGTGAGCCAGAAAATTAAATTAACCACAACATTCTCCAAGTATTCTGGTTGGTTTATAGGTCTGATTGGTAAGCGTCAATCAAACTAAAAATGCACATATCAAGTAACTACTGCAAATTGGTTGTTAGGATCATAGAAATTCTTGTTGAAAATACCAAGAGGACTCCCCTGGCAGTATGACTCTTGTATTTTTTGTTAGAGAAGGGGTTTCAATACACTGAAATATACTGAAAGAGTGGAGGGTAACGTGGCATGCCCTGCTTCAAAAATGGACAAAATAATCTTATACATTTCCATGATAAAATTAAGATTTTCAATGGATTTAATGAATAAAAATGTCATAACTGACAGAAAAACACTTCCAAGAAGTTATTTTAACATAAGAATGTGTTTGATATACGGTGCAAAGTTAACAGAGTTGTTGGTCGGCTGGTTTGGTGGTTGGGTGGTTAACATTTTTATTAATTAAATCTTGCATTAAACATAAGTAAGTTATCGAATGTGTAGTATTTGATCTGATTTTTCTTTTTTTCTTTTGAGATGGAGTCTCACCCTGTCATCCAGGCTGGAGTGCAGTGGTGCAATCTTGGTTCACTGCAACCTCCGCCTCCCGGTTTCAAGTGATTCTCCCGCCTCAGCCTCCTGAGTAGCTGGGATTACAGTCACCTACCACCACACCCAGCTAATTTTTGTATATTTTAGTAGAGACGGGGTTTCACCAAATTGGCCAGGCTGGTCTTGAACTCCTGACCTCAGGTGATCCACCCACCTCGGCCTCCTAAAGTGCTGGGATTACAGACGTGAGCCACTGTGCCAGGCCATGATTCTTAAAGTATTGTATAAATCATAGAGATAAATGAAACATCATCTGAAGAAAGAGAAACACCATTACGTTGAAAGGATAGTCTCACCATTTAGTAAACTGGGATGGCATATTAACAGTCATATTTTAATTTGGTGGGGCAGCATTAACATGTCACTGCTAATCCAATTAATCAGTCAGTTTTAACTCAGTAATAAGTTTAATCAGTTATTATTGCTTTATTCAACAAATAATTATTGAGCATTTATATGCAGGCATTATGCTAGTTTCTGGCAATGCGGTAGGAATCAAGACAAACATGATCCCAACCTCATGGAGATTAGAATATAGTGGGGAAGACAGATATCAAACAAGAAATTAAAATGCAGTACAATCATCGTGTATTAGTCCTTCCTCACACTGACATAAAGAAATACCTGAGACTGGGTAATTTATAAAGAGAAAAGGTGTAATTGGCTCACAGTTCCGCAGGCTGTATAGGAAGCATGGTGCTGGCATCTGTTCTGCTTCTAGGGAGGCTTCAGGAAACTTAAAACTGTGACAGAAGGTGGCTGGGTGTGGCGGCTCGTGCCTGTAATTCCAGCACTTTGGAAGGCCAAGGAGGGCAGATCACTTGAGCTCAGCCTGGCCAACATGGTAAAACTCCATCTCTACTAAAAATACAAAAATTAGCCAGGCGTGGTGGTGCATACCTATAATCCCAGCCACGTGGGAAGGTGAGGTGGGAGAATCGATTGAACCCGGGAAGCGGAGGTTACAGTGAACGGAGATAGCACTACTGCACTCCAGCCTGGGTGACAGAGTGGGACCCTGTCTCAAAAAAAAATTATGGCAGAGGCAAAGGGAGAGCAGCACTTCAGATGTCTGGAGACAGATATGGAGCAAGAGAAAGAGGGGGAGGTGTCATACACCTTTAAACAACCAGATACAACACCACCAAGGGGCATGATGATGCTAAACCATTCATGAGACCCACCCCCGTGATCCAGTCACCTCCCACCAGGCCCCGCCTCGAGCACTGAGAATTACACTTCAACATGAGATTTGTGCAGGGACACAGATCCAAACCATATCACAGTGTTCTTAGGGGAGAGGTAGAGGAATGCCTTGAGAGCTTGTTGCAAAGAATCTAACCAGCTCGCTAAAAATACAGACCAGGCACCTCCCAGCCCTTTCTCTAGCCTACCCTCTTCATCTAGGTTGACAATCCAAGAGGAAATCCTGAGTCCCCAGGGATTTTCGTGGCTGTGCAAGAGTAAGGCTGTCACAGCTGAACCCATGATGCATTTACCGAGCACGGTCTCCATTAGCAATGCAGTTCATGTTGCATTGTTTTCCTGGTAAACTCTCAACAGGCTTTGCCTCCCAAGGGAATGCTGGGGGTGGGAGGCCCTTGGCAGAATTACTGAAATGGGATGACTTTATGGAGAGCTCGTCAGACAGGTCTAAGATAAGCTTGCTTCTAACCTAAATATAGATACTAATATTGCACCACCAACTAATTCCAGAGGACCTGTTAAAATGAATCTGGAAAACCTAGATCACCTCTAGTCCTTTGAATTAGATGGATGGGGAAGGACCGTCTAAGTAAATTGTGAAATTCTAACTATAAGCAAAAAAATGTGTATGTATCCTGTGAGTCAGATTGGCATCACATTCTAAAATATGGGTTTTGTTTATTTCAGAATGTTCTCATTGTTGAGGTAAGCTGGCATTTCCTTTTCCATACTTGGAGGTTGAAAGAATCTAATGGTGAGTTTTAAACGGTAAACCTTGTTATCAAATTGACCAAGGATTTCTTGAGCTCCCACTGGGTGCATGCTCTCCAAATTTAATGAATAGGGGCCAGATAGCGTCCCTGATTTCAAATAATGTAGAATAAAAGCTTTGCAACAGTATTTGTGGGCGACTTTATCCTTTTTGTGTATCCAGTTCCACATATCTCTGTGTTGATTCTTATACTTCTTTGTGAATCAGACAACTTTAAAGAAGAGGAAACTAGCTCACTGAACCAAATTCATTTCACAGTAAAACCAAGGTTAGAACTCTGTTTACCCTGAATTCAGTGTCTTTGCTAAGGACCTCTGATGATTTCAAGAATTCTCAAATACTTTCAGCATCAAAATCATAAACACAATCAATTAAAAATGACGAGCTATGGGGAAAGCTATGTTTTTTTGTTTTTCGTTTTTCGTTTTTTTTAACTTTTGTTTTTCTGTTAAAAAAAAGAGAGAAAAGAGAACGTGGGATCCCTATGGCAGTAGTGGACTAATACAGCAAATGGCCACGTTTCCTTCAGGAGCACGCTTGTCTCATCAAACAGCAAAAAATTCAGGGGAGCTGTTTTCAACCTTTTGTTACACAATTGCCTGTGTGCGCCATGTGCATCTGGAGTTCTTGCTCAGTATAACCCATGGAGTAGACCCTCTAACCAAATGAATTGCCCAACCCTGGCTACATTCAGACCTGTTGTTTTGATAATCAGCTCATGACAGCTGATTCCTGTCCTTAGGACAATAAATCGCCGCTGCCCATTCTCCTCTAATTGTGCAGCAGCTCATCAGCAGAGATGAGCCCGAGCTCACTGCAGCCGTGGACCCTCAGAATTCACAGGCTGTCACCAGCTGCTGTCCAGACACCTCTCACTTCCCAGCCATAGAATCCCCCATTGAGTGGGGGAGGACAAGGGGGAGGTTTTTATCCATTCAGTGTATTCAGATGTACATATCCATGAAAATTCATGTGCCTTGTATTGTGTTACATAAACTCAGGGCCAAATTTAGTCCTTGAATGTGCAGACACAAGTCCAAGTGTACTCAACGAGGAGTCCTACATGCTGTCCAAAGACTAAATTTGGCCCTTCAACACAGCTAAAGGATTCAAGGAGGAAAGAGTCTCCAGTAGATTCCCCAAAACTCAGCTTCCAGAAAGAAGCGCCTGTCTAAATAAAACATAACCAACTCTTCCTCCTACTGTGGCTCCAAATTGGATGGCATTTTTAATTACGATGCATTATTAATCAGGAGTATCTCCCTGGGTGAAAAGTCTATTGTGCTGCTCAAATGCATTTTGTTGAATTTATCTGTCCTTTTTGCAAAGGATGTTGTCGGAACTGGGAGGACCATGAAAGCACTACTCAGCAATATAGAGAAATACAAGCCCAACATGATTAAGGTAGCCAGGTGAGTTGGACATTCATAGCATGGTGATTTCTAGTTTTCCAAGCAAGCCCAAAAGGGATGCTAACACAGGATGCTCTTTCCAAAGAGTGTAATATATTCCAAACTAGTGACCTTTTCCCCTGGGGTATTACAGCTTGACCACACTGAAAAACAGCCCTTGACTGCTAGCCTGAGAGAAGTAAGGGAAGAAGACGTGCTTTGCCGTGTTTCTGAGTTCCTCTTTACTGTGCCTCCATTAGCTGTTTCCAGGAGCAGCTGGATGAGCCCCCGTGCAATTGCTCCGCTCCCTTCATTTTTTTTGTTCTTTGTTTGTTTGTTTTGAGACAGAGTCTTGCTCTGTTGCCCAGGCTGGGCTGGAGTGCAGTAGCACAATCTCGGCTCACTGCAACCTCCACCCCCTGGGTTCAAACAATTCTGATGCCTCAGCTTCCCGAGTAGCTGGGACTACAGGCGCCTGCCACTGCACCCAGCTAATTTTTTGTATTTTTAGCAGAGATGGGGTTTCACCATGTTGGCCAGGCTGGTCTGGAACTCCTGACCTCAAGTGATCTGCCTGCCTCAGCCTCCCAAAGTGCTAGGATTACAGGCACGAGCCACTGCACCCGGCCCTTTTTTTTTTTCTTTTTTATTCTTTAATATGAGACAGGGTCTTGCTCTGTCGCCCAGCCCAAGCTGGAGGGCAGTAGTGTGATCATAACTCACTGCAGCCTCAAACTTCTGGGCTCAAGTGATCCTCCCACCTCAGCCTCCTGAGTAGCTAGGACAGCTACCTTTTTTTTTTTTTTTTTTTTTTTTTTTTGAGACGGAGTCTTGCTCTGTCACCCAGGCTGGAGTGCAGTGGTACAATCTCAGCTCACTGCAACTTCACCCTCCCGGGTTCGAGCAATTCTCTTGCTTCAGACTCCCATGTAGCTGAGACTGCAGACACGTACCACCATGCCCAGCCAATTTTTGTATTTTTAGTAAAGATGGGTTTTCACCATGTTGGCCAGGCTGGTCTCAAACTTATGAGCTCAAGTGATTTGGCCTCCCAAAGTGCTGGAATTACAAGCATGAGCTACTGTGCCTGGCTGACAGCTACCTTTTTAAAAAGTTTTTTTATATTTTATCTGCTTTTTGAGACAGGGTCTCTTTCTGTCACCTAGGCTGGAGTGCAATAGTGCAATCAAGGCTCACTGCAGCCTTCAACTCCTGGGCTACAACAATCCTCCCACCTCAGCCTCCCAAGTAGCTGGGACTACAGGCAGGTGCCACCACACCCAGCTAAATTTTTTAATTTTTTGTAGAGACAGGGGTCTCGCTATGTTGCCCAGACTGGTCTTGAACTCTGGGCTCAAGTGATCCTCCCACCTTGTCCTCCCAAAGCACTGGGATTACAGATGTAAGCACTGTGCCTGACCTGCTGTCTTCTTTTTATCCAGAACCATCTATATAGTGCCACAGTAGCAAAATATGTATTTCAAGTACATCTTTTAATGATGCTTGATTCTATTTACAATTCATAGAGATTTGATTGGGTTCACTAAAGCATGTCTTTTTTAATGGTAGTTTGTTGGTGAAGAGAACATCCAGAAGTGACGGCTTTAGACCTGACTGTAAGTGTTTTTCAGTTTTTTGTTTGTTTGTTTGTTTGTTTTGTGCTTATGGTGTTTCATTTTATGTTTAAGAATCTTTGGTTTCCTATTTGACAGCATTGCATGTGGATTTGAAACTGTGTAGGGCTGATAGTCCCACGGATTCCTCATGATCTCCCCCACCTTGATAGGGAAAACAGAACCCTTCAAAATGAGGGTCTTCAATGTTCTAATTTGCATCTTTCACAGGAACTCTGTTCCGTGCATTGGGTATTTTTATTTGTATGTTTCACACAGCACCTTAACTACAGAGAAGTCAGCTGAAAAGTTTCAGGGAGTAGAGGAAGACCTGATCCCGCTGGACTGACTCAGACACATAGGATCCCCGCCTTGGCCTCTATTCTCACCAGTCAGACAAGGAGAGGTGCTATGGAGGTTTAGAGGGATTCTTATGCCATCATCCGGAACTATTACCAGACAACGCACAATGGTGACCTTTAGCAAGCCTGAATTGTAACGCACAGAAGGGGAAATCTAAGACAGCTCCCCTTCACCTCCAAACCAAAGCTCCGTAACACAGAGAATTAGCAGAGCAGGTATCTCTAGATACCATCTTCACACTTGACTTCAGATGTGTGTTCTCTAGGGCTTCCTCATCTAGGACACTCTCCTCCCTTCTCCCCATAATAAGCCTAGTTCTAACACCAAGAAGGATAAACACGCAGCCTAATTATTTATTATTCTAACACTAGAGGCGATTTTTTTTCACTTGCATAGGCAGACTTCAGCTTGATTTTTATAACTTACATTTGCTCCAAAGCTCCTGGGATAATTTGGCTACAGTTCTCTTCAGCAAGCTGAACAAACATTAGCGAAAGAGAAGTGCAGTATGGATGGGTGACATGCCAGCGACATTTAGCCAGTGACTCTACATTCTGAAAACAAGTTTCATGCCTGTGCTGGATGTGTTAACTCTGGACCATGTCAGTTCTGGGCAGAGAGACCCAATCGCATGTTCTCATCTATTACTATTATCAAAGGTATAATCTGGATGTAGTCAAGGTTGCATGCGGTTACTAAGCAGAAATTGTCTAAGGAAATAGTACAGGATACTCAGTGTATAAATAAGATTTTAACTGAAGTTGAAAAACATTCACTTCAATGACAAATTTCTTATATCACTTATAATAACAGCAATAAAATAATAGCAGCTAACACTAGGAAGAGGTCGTGATGTGCCATGCACTATTCTAAGAGCTATACAGAGATTAGCTCATTTCATCCACACAATAGCTCTCTAAAGGTAGGAGCTGTTGTTGTACCTATTTTACAGATGAGGAAATTGAGCACAGCAAGCTTAAATAGCTTGCCAAAGTCATGTAGCCATGAGTGTCAGGCCAATATTAAGCCCAGGCAATCTGGTTTCAGTCACTGCCCTGACTCTTCCACTACATCTGCAAGTAACATCTGCTATTGCAAATGTAAGTGTAGGAGCTGCCTGCATTTACCAGCTAAGGATAGGTCACTCTGATTCATGATTGTCCTGCTGATCCATCATCCTTTTATTCTATGACATCTCAAGTTTTGGCCTTCTAAATAGGCTTTGGGCTCTCATTTTCCCAGTGTGAGTTGCCCTGCCTAATGGAAGGATTGCATTGCTCCCTATAAAGTCATTATTATAACCCTGGTTACAAACAGGGTTTCTTGGGATTTGCTCATATTATTATTATTATTATTTGAGACGGAATCTGACTCTGTCGCCCAGTGCAGTGGCGTGATCTTGGCTCACTGCAACTTCTGCCTCCCAGGTTCAAGTGATTCTCCTGCCTCAGCCTCCCAAGTAGCTGGGACTACAGGTACCACCACACCTGGCTAATTTTTGTATTTTTAGTAGAGATGGGGTTTCACCATGTTGGCCAGGCTGGTCTTGGACTCCTGACCTCAGGTGATCCACCCACCTAAGCCTCTCAAAGTGCTGGGATTACAGGCGTGAGCCACTGCACCTTACCTTTTTTTTTTCTTTTTGAGATGGGATCTCACTTTGTTGCCTAGGCTGGTCTCAAACTCCTGGCCTCGAATGATCTTCCTGCCTCAGCCTCTTGAATAGCTGGGACTGCAGGTGCGCACCCGGCTTCATATTCTTTTAGCTAGCTCAGAATCTCTGTTCCTTCTTTCTCTCTGGATTTATGAGGCTTTGTACTTTGCGTTCCTTTCTCCTGATTGATTCTTTCTTTTCTCCTCAATGTAACTTCTGACCTCTTCTGCTCTTGCTTCTCCTCTCTTACTCTTTTTTTCAAGAAACTCTGCAGTTTGGAGGAATCAAGCAGGCTTCCTAGCAAGGGACTCCATAATGCAACCCCCTAGAAAATAAGTCCCTCACCTCTAGTACTTATTTTCCTAGCAAGGGACTCCATAATGTAACCCCCTAGAAAATAAGTACCTCCAGTACTTTCTATGAGCATGAACCAGTCGTTTTCTTCTTGTGAAAGCATCGTTGGTCATAGTCACTGTGGAGATGACTTTGCCCAGGCTATAAGCCCACTGGCTGTACCCAAGTACACTTCCATTAAAAGTAAGCAAATAAATCTCTCATCTATAATACTGTAATAAACAAACCTGTAAGATTCCAAAACACTGAAACAAGTTTGAAAATCACTGGACCAGTGCACCTTTATTCTGTTTCAAGACTTCTGAAGAAGGAGAGCTATTGTCTGTTCCTTAAGAATTCTCTCCAATAAGTATTAGCCAGGCGTAGTTTTGCATGCCTGTAGTCCCAGCTACTCAGGAGGCTGAGGTGAGAGGATCTCCTGAGCCTGTGGAGGTAGAGGCTGCCGTGAGCCATGATCACACGCCTGGACAACAGAGTGAGATCCTTTCTCAAAAAATAGCCAGGTTCAGTGGCCCATGCCTGTAATCCCAGCACTTTGGGAGACTGAGGCGGATGGATCACTTGAGGTCAAGAGTTCGAGACTGGCCTGGCCAACATGGTGAAACCCCATCTCTACTAAAACTACAAAAATTAGCCTGGCATGGTGGCACACGTCTGTCTTCCCAGCTACTCGGGAAACTGAGGCAGGAGAATGGCTTGAACCCTGGTGGTGGAGGCTGCAGTAAGCCAAGATCGCGAGACTCGGTCTCAGAAAAAAAAAAAGAATCCTTTCTGACAAAAAATCATCATCTTTTCAATGAATCTTCTTTTGCTTTTCATAAGTACCTTGCACTGTGCTTAAATCCATTTCCTCTCATTCTGCCCTCAGTAGGGAGCTCATTAATATCCTCTGCATCATGAACCCAAAGACCAGCATTAATGCAACCTCCACATTCTCTTCCTCAAGTTGAACAATCCCGTTGCCTTTCATCTTGTGTCCTGGCTTTTGCTTTCCAGCCCTTTAAACAGCCAAGACACTGAGTACAGCGGGAGAATTGCTTTCTAGTTGCTGTGGCCCGCGCACCTGTTCACATAATGCAGCGTCGTAACGCCTTCTGCTTGAACTTTCCTTTGTGTTGTTGAGAGTGTTTCCTTTGGCATCGTATCACTGCATACTGCTTGCTTTAGAACACCAGGGCCACGTGACTCAATTATGCATATTTCTTGTTATGCACCAGGCTTCCTGAGCCCTTTCTCAACTCTGTATGCTAGATCAGTCATTCTTCATTGTAGGTTGGCTTGTTTGCCTTGCCTCCTTCCTCCCGAGTAGTCCTTCGGGTCCAGGTCCCTCTTGGGCTCATCGTGTGCATTTCTCACCATTTCTCACTCCCTCCTGCCTCAATGAAAGGTCCTCAAGTTTGAGTGGCGACAGCAGCATATGGTGACTTGCATTTATATAATCTAAATTTTGTTCCTTTTTTTTTTTCTCTTTCTCTGTCTGCTAAGATGCTGGATTTGAGATTCCAAACTTATTTGTGGTGGGATATGCCTTAGATTACAATGAATACTTCAGAGATCTGAATGTAAGTCTTGCATGCAAATCCCTAACCGCCCTTTTTATAAGAACTTAACAATTTAAAAAAGTATTGAATGCGTGTTAGTGATGTCTGCTATTGATTGAGTATCTTCTATGTCAGGAGTATGGTGAGCACATTGCATCCATACTCCCAATTAACTCCCACTACTATTCTGCAGGGTAGGTATCAGGATGATAGAGGCAAATTATGATTATCTCTATTTTGTACTAAAGAAATAGGAAGCTAAAAGCAGAACTATGGTTTGACACTGATTCTTCTCCATAGTCATTGACTGTGCCCAACCAACCATAACAATAGCCAATATTCTATACACTGGTTTGTGTCAGTGCTTGAACTCTAGCAGGTTTCAATTACAGTGGCATGCAGCTCATAACTCTTCCCTCTTTGGGGGAAATGATCTCACCACACAGACGTGGACCCCCAGTGTGGACCCCAGCTGTGTGACCCTGACCAACACTGCATGATCTAGAGGTAGACAACTTACCCATAGTGGACCAATCAGTCTCTCTGTCCTGGGAATTAGAAATTTAAACCAAAAGTCACAGAGACTGAGTGTGTTCAGACTTCAACCACTAGGATAGCAGTGCCCCCAGAGAGTATCCATAGCACCATGGGTGAAAGTCTCTGGAGCTGCCCTTGTTCCTGCCTTCTAGTTGCTTCATTGCCCAGCTCATCCTTGGATTCTGAGAGCTACCCCAGTATTCCACCAATAAATTCCCCCTCCCCCCTCTTTAAAGACACAGGGTCTCACTCCACAGTCTCACCTAGGCTAGAGTGCAGTGACGCAATCATAGCTCACTGCAGCCTTGAACTCCCAGGCTCAAGCGATCCTCCCGCCTCAGCCTCCTGAGTAGCTGGGACTACAGGCACACGCCACTATGCCTAGCTAATATTTTTACTTGCTGTAGAGATGGGGTCTTCGTATGCTGTCCAGGCTGGTCTTGAACTCCTGGCTTCAAATCATGCTCCCACCTCAGCCTCCCAAAGTACTGGGATTACAGACAGGGGCCACTGAGCCCATCCAAATCCTCCTTTTTTGCTTACATTAGCCTGGCCCCATTTCTGTTGCTTTCAATCAAAATATTCCTAACCCTTTGCTTGTTGCCCAAAAAGGGTTGAATAAGAGCCCATGTTGTGCTTGCCACTGTTATTTCTCCATTCACCCAAGCAGTTGTCATCTTACCAGTAGGAGACTTCTGTTTCTAGCAGGGCTAAACATACAGCTCCCTCAGCATTTCTGGGTTTTAGGGACCTGGGGAGCCGGATTCAGAATAGGAATCTCCAAACTAAACCACAAAGGACCTTTTGTCAAGCACTTGAATGGGTCTCTTTAGATTTTACCCACACATATAAATACACACATTTCTATTTAAATGATCAATAGCCAATTACAGGATGGCATTCGGTTATTACTGCATCACCTTTTCTGTGTCTCATATTTTGTTAAGAAACTGATGCGTTTAAATCCTTTATTGTTTCAGCACATATGCGTCATCAATGAGCACGGTAAAGAAAAATATCGAGTCTAAAGACATGAATTCTCACCACTAAAGTCCCAGATAGCATCATATTTACGCCTGTACTTGGGAAGCCAGCTGTCAAGTTTGTCCCCCCAGGCATCTTCACTCAGCAGGATATAAAAGAAAAAAATGTTCAAATGAGAGAGCTTTCTTTTCTGAGGTTAATATAAAGAGTATCAAAGGTTCCTAAGGAAAAGAAAGCAGTGCTTTTATTTGACTTGTTCCAAATTAAACACTCCGCCTTGTGACTCAGCAATGCTATCTACCTTCACACTCCTGAGCTCCGCCTTCCTTTGTTTTGATACAGTCATTATATTTGATTAGTATTCCCAGGAATACCCCCACCTAGTTACTCAAATATTTTTCACTTAACTTTTTATACTCTTATTTTGGTAATAAGCTTACAATATTAAGAAGCTGGGGACTTTTTTTTAACTGAAGACTTGAGTCCCCTATACCGGGAATGCAGCTATTAATAGATTCCCATATTTTAAAAGGAGGGAAAGGACAATTTAATATAAATTTCTGTTTGTGCATTTCTGACAGGCCATTATTATCTGCTTTGACAAAGCCTTTCTGAAACGCAGTGTACAATGAATCTTAATGATGTTATGAAACGAGCTTTGCTCGGGGCTCTTGATTGGAGCTTCCGGTATGTGATGACGGTATGTCATGTATGCATGGATGTACTCAACTGTGTTTAATACTCTGAATTTTAATTAGAAAAAAATACAATAGCAGCAAGGCCCTGGTTTCTAAGCTGTATCCTTTTATTCATGTGGGACATGAGCAAATGGCAGAATTAGGGGCGAGTGCTTTCAATGCTCGAAACTAAGCAAGTATAAATTTTTCCTCTTATTTGCATGAAAGGACAAGACACTGTTATGCCCTGTCCTAAATGTGAAGACAGAGGTTGAATTTTTTAAAAAATATCTTTAAAAGACTGATCACAAAATCCAAGGTGCTACAGGAAACAAGCACACTCAAGAAAGTTTTTTTCTGAATAACATTTTTTTCCAATTTCTCCGTTTTATAAGACATTTCCTAATTTATGGGGATTTTAATTGAAAATAAACTTGAGTCCCAATAGAGCTGTTTTTTTCTCACTTCCTACAAAATGCAAATGCAAAATAAATAACTAAGCAGCTTTTGTTTGGTTCTGAACCGTATGTGGCGTATTGTTATTAGGTTCTAGCTTCCTTTAAACTAATAAAGAATAAGAAAACTTGTTATGTTTTATCACTTCTTACTGTTTTTCTTCCGCCTCCATATTTTTTAAATACTTTCAGACATTAACATGTATGTGAGTCAGTAGCTTAAATATACGACTGCATGTATCTATCCTGCGGCTTTATTTTTGTTAACTTGGATTAAATCCAATATATGCACTAGTAGAAGCAAATGATTAAGCTGGGCTAGATCTGCTGCTTTTTTTTTTCCTCAAGCTCGTTTGTGAGAACAAGGAATTTTAGTTGTAAAAGAAGATTTTCCTGCATATCTTTGTTTCGGTCAGAGAAGAAAACAAGCCACACCCAAATATCCCAAGGGATAAGTCTGCAAAAGGAATCTCTTCTAGCTTTGTTTCACAGAAGCATTGGTACCCAAGCTTAGATTTATAATTGTGTCTGACTGACGAATTTCTTGAAATACCAAAATTAACACTCTGAATATAGCTTTTTTTTCACAATGCCATGTTTATGTCAGAGGACCTAGAAAAATCCAGGCACACATTTGGTTTTAAGTGTAAAATTATCCATAAGTATGCAATATGAAAATGTTTTCTTAAAAACGTTGAATTTTAGTAAGCATCAGTATCCTTTCTGAGGACAGTCTGTTTATTCAAATTAGAAAGGAGATTGATCTACCTCACAAGATTGTGAGGACTTGTATAGTTAATGCTGAAAATTCACTAAATATGCAAGAAGTTTAATCATGCTTGCAGTTTTTTCCTACCAGACAATATTTTGACAGTGATAGCCAAGAAAGTCATCTTGGGAAAAATAGTATTTCCTTTTCTCTTGCAAAACTCATGTCTAGTTAATATCACTGAGTTTATTCACTCTAAACCAAAAATGCAAAACTTATTACTTGATTAATAACAAATCCATTATTAATTTAGTGTTCCAAAGCTGATTTGTAAGGGGGAAAATGTGTATGTGTGTGTGTGTGTATGTGTGTGTGCGTGTGCGTGTGTGTATGTGTGTGTGTGTGCGTGTGCGCGCGTGTGTGTGTATTTCACTGGGAAGTTTGGAATCAGTTATAATCAACATAATTAGTAATATTTTGGGATTTTCCAAACAAATTAGAACCCCTCATTATAAATTGGTCCTTTCTTACAGGGACTGGAATGTACTCATTTTTGACCCACGGACCCCCTAGATGTAAATGGCAAATAGTCAAATCCCGACATACCTTGTTTAATCTTTGCGTATAAGATGGCTTGCCATGTTTCAGGCCTTCTGAGACTGTGAAAACAGCCTTTCAGAGCACAGTCAGGCATTTGCTCAGCCTTCTGTGAAATCAACTTGTGTCTTCCCAATGGAGAGAAAAAGCAGGCTATTCCACATCCAGAGACCGGGTGTCATGGAAATATGCCCTCCCTTTTGTCATAGAGGTAGTGTGTTCTAGGAAGTTGAAACCCCAAACCACGCTCTCCACCCAGTTATCTGACTAATTTGGGCAAACTTAGCATTTGGGAGTTTTACTGACTTTGCAATCGTGAAGCTCCTTTGGATCCCAAGATGACAATTGAGAGCTAACAACAAGCCAGTTTCAGGAAGGGAAGAAGGGGATCTCAAGAGGGGCCTTTGCACGCTGCTGAGGGGAGGTGTGCAGAAATAGGAAGAGGGTGTGCATGGAGAGGGCTGCATTATTTCTTGGCCAGTCATACACCCATGATGGCTTCTGAGCCCGGTGCAAAGAGGAAGACTAAGACACCAGCCTAAAGAGCTGCATTCATGGTTATCTTTGTGCTGCATAGTGGAGCTGACAGGCCAGCTGTTCTTCACATTTCATTGAGGAGCACGGGGAAGCTTTGGGGTGGGAAGAAGCAGGAAAGTAGCTCCGTGCTAGCACCCCAAGGGCTCTGCAATTTGGGAAGCACTGTGGACTGGAATGGGCGCTTCCCAAGATGCCACCCTCCAGAAGCGTCATGAGCCACAGACATCCGCAAGGAGACCAGAGCCCACATGAGAGGAATGTTGATGGACAAGTTCCAGAAAGCTCAGAGCACCCCAGGAACCCAGCTACAGCATCAGGTTGTGCAGCCCGCACTGCTGGTGCCCTCACAAAGACATCAAACCAAGGAGAGCCCACACTTCACTTGCCAACCCGTGGACCCTGGCTCACGACTGCATCAGCCCTGAGGAAGAGGTGCCTTTTCCTAAAAAGAGAGTCTCTTTCTAGTCCTCTCAGAAGAGATAGGTTTTTGCAATTTCTCAGCCAGGAGGGAGTGGCTTTTTAAGATAGGGTGGGGCACTGAAGCCCTACACTGCCCAAGAGGGAGAAAGAAGCCTGAACTAATGTTACTGTGACCTTCTTTGTGTCCAGAGCCTAGTGAGGGTTGAGTAGAAAGTAAGCTGTGAGTGAGGAAGGTGTGAAGGTCACTCAAGAAGCCTGGCTGTGAAGAGAAGAAGACATATACAATCATAGCCAGAAGGCTTTTTAAAGATGGGAGATTCCTGTGAACTCACCTCGGGGGTGTGGGGGGAAAGATGCAAGAGACTTGCGAGTTTTTATTTGCTGTAGAGAACAGCCACATAAACCAGAGAAAGTGTATTCCTTGTTGATGGGGGTGGGGGTTGGGGTGGCTCACGCCTGTCTTTGGGAAGCTGAGGTGGGATAATCACTTGAGGCCAGGAGTTTAAGACCAACCTGGGCAACATAGCAAGACCCTATATCTACAAAAATATAAAAATATATATATATAGTTATCCAGGGGTGGTGGCACGTACCTGTAGTCTCAGCTTCAGGGGGCTGAGGTGGGAGGATTGCTTGACCCCAGGAGTTTGAGGCTGCAGTGAGCTATGATCACACCATTGCACTACAGCCTGGGCAACAGAGCAAGACCTTGTCTCTAAAAAATAGTAAATAAATAAATAAATTTTGTTGATTGTTTTGTTAACAGATCATTCCAAAACTGAGTAGTTTAAATCAACAATAATTAGTTACTCTCTTTAATGGTTTACAAGAGTTAGGAGGCTAGATGTGGTGGCTCACGCCTGTAATCCCAACACTTTGGGAGGCCAAGGCGGGTGGATCACGAGGTCAGGAGATCGAGACCATCCTGGCCAACGTGGTGAAACCCCATCTCTACTAAAAATACAAGAATGAGCTGGGCATGGTGGCCCATGCCTGTATTCCCAGCTACTCAGGAGGCTGAGGCAGGAGAACCACTTGAACCAGGAGGCAGAGGCTGCAGGGAGCTGAGATTGTGCCACTGCACTCCAGCCTGGGTGACAGAGCAAGACTCCGTCTCAAAAAAAAAAAAAAAAAAAAAAGAGGAATACAGAGAAGACATACTGGAGGTAGTTTGTTTTTGCTCAGTGATGTCTGGTACTTCAGATGGAAGACTCCAAGGCTGATGGCTGCAACCAAGAGAAGCTGAACTGCACAATGTGGCAGCAATTATGTGGTTATTTAAATTAATTAAAGTCAAATAAAATTTAAAATTTACTTCCTCGTTCACACTAGCTATGTTGGAACTGCTCGATGGCCTCATGTGGTAGTAAGTTACCAACCATATTGGACAGTGAAGACATAGAACGTTTCCATTATGGAAAGCTTTTATGGAAAGCTCTAGTCTGAAGGCTTGTTTTTGTCTAGTGGTTAATGTTAGCTGTTAGCTGGAACCTTAGCTGAGGCTGTCAGTTGGAACCCTAACATGTGGCCTCTCCATGTGGTCTGGGCTTCCCCACAACGTGGTGGTTGGGTTCTAAAGTGGAGGGAGACAGAGAGAAGAAGGAGATGGAAGCCATATTGCCTTTTACATAGCAGGCTCACTTCTGCCATATTCTGTTAGTCAAAGCAGTTACAAAGATTTGCCTGGGTTCAAAGGGAGAGAACACAGACTGTCATCATTTGATGGAAGAACAGCAGCATCATATTGTAAGAAGATCAAGTGGGATAAGATGTATATTGGTGGTGATCTATAGAAAATACAATCTGCCACGGAAAAGTTATGTGCCCTGCACATTTTCTTTTTTAAAAAATTATTATTATTTTTATTTTGCATAGAGATGGGGTCTCACTAAGTTGCCAAGGCTGGTCTCCAACTTCTGGCCTGAAGTGATCCTCCCACCCTGGCCTCCCAAAGCCCTGCACATTTTCTATTAATAAGATTACTAAATGAGTTGATTATTCAGTGGTCATAAAACAAGTCTGCTTTTATAGATGTTAAAGAATTCCAGAATACTATCTAGAAGATGACAAAAAGAACACCAGACAGTGTGTGCACATACATATTTGCTTACTGATAGCGTTTGGAATAGATTATGAAGACATTGAAAGAGCAGATTTAGGCCAGGCGTGGTGGCTCATGCCTGTAATCCCAGCACTTTGGAAGGCCAAGAAGGACAGATCACCTGAGGTCAGGAGTTCGAGACCAGCCTGGCCAACATGTCAAAACCCCCATCTCTACTAAAAATTAGCCATGTGAGGTGGCATGTGCCTGTAATCCCAGCCACTCAGGAGGCTGAGGCAGGAGAATTGCTTGAACCTAGGAGGTGGAGGTTGCAGTGAGCCAAGATCGTGCCACTGCACTCCAGCCTGGGTGACAGAGTAGAACTTTGTCTCAAAGAAAAGAAAGAGCAGATTTATTTCTAAATGGCTTAAGTTTGCAGTATAAAAAAGTTTAGAAAAATAGATTTTGCTCATCAAGGATTCTATTAGTGTGAACTCATACTAAAATTTTAGTAAGAGTTCTATATTTATAGAAAGAAATTACATAATAATTTGGCCAAGAAACTAATCCAGGGTGGAGATTCCTTAAATACAATAAATATAACTGGGTGAACTGAACCCTATATAATATATATATAAAATATATATATAATATATTATATATGTTATGTATATAAATAATGTTATACCTGGAAACAGTAATCCAGTAATCCTCAAATCAATTAATAAATATTTTTAAAACAAAAGATTGACAACTAACAGCATGGTTTTACAATGAAAATTGCTCTGATTTATCTAATCTTCTAATATTGAGTGGTAGAATTGGTTGACTGAAAAAAGAAATGTATGTAATCTGTCTTATCTTTATTTTAACAAGGTTGTGCCCTGTGAAGAATATTCATCATTGCCTGATAAAGTAACTGACACTACATAGCTACTGGGTGACTGCACAAATCTTCATAGTTGTACTCAAAAGAGATCTGTCCTGAGCATAGCAAAGCATATTGTGAAAGATTCAAGCCTAGGCCCTCAAGCTTGTTGACATTTCGTGAGCAATTTGGTTGCAACTTCTGTGGATCATGCACTGTACAAAAACTTAACAATAACCCTTTTTTTTCTTTTGAGACAGGGTCTCACTCTGTCACCCAGGCTGGAGGGCAGTGGCGTGATCATAGCTCACTGCATTCTCAACCTCCTAGCCATTCTCAAGCCATCCTCCCACCTTAGCCTCTCGAGTAGCCAGGACCACAGGTGTACACCACCACCCTGGCTAATTTTTAGAAAAAAAATTAGTGGAGATGAGATCTCCCTATGTTGCCCAATCTGGTCTCAAACCCCTGAGCTCAGGAAATCCTCCCGCCTCAGCCTCCAAAAATGCTGGGATTACAGGCATGAGCCACCATGCCCAGCCTGAAAACTTAATAACTCTTAATCTAATACTTAGCACAAAATGTTGAGATAGGAATTGGCATCTCCATTTTAGAGATAAGTAAGTGTCAGAGAGATTGAATCACTTACTCAGGGTCACACAGCTTTTTTCAAAGCCAGAAATTGAACTAATGCTATTGGGCTGCTGAGTTAGTACTCACTTCACCACACAGGACTAAGCGTCATGTGCAGCTGGTTTTGCTCTGTGTCCCCACCCAAATCTCATGTTGAGTTGTAATTCCTAATGTTGGAGGTGGGGCTCAGTGGGAGGTGATTGGATCATGGGGGTGATTTCTAATGGTTTAGCACTATCCCCCTCGTGCTGTCTCGCAATAGGGTTCTCACGAGATCTGGTTGCTTGAAAATGCATAGCACCTCTCCCCTCTCCTTCTCTCTCGGCCACCTGAAGACGTGCTTGTTTCTCCTTTGCCTTCTGCCATGAATGTAAGTTTCCTGAGGCCTCCCAGCTATGCCCCCTGTACAGCATGTGGAGCTGTCAGTCAATTAAGCCTCTTGTCTTCATAAATTACCCAGTCTCAGGCAGGTAGTTCTTTATAGCAGTGTGAAAACAGACTAATAAACCCATAGAAAGTGTATAGACAGATGTATAGATGACATTCAGATGAGGATAAGAAAGAATGGTATGGTATAATAGGAAATATATTTGGTCTTTGTCCACAGTCCCTGGCACAGGGCTCCTGAAACACTTGAAATGTCCTGAGTGATAAGAGCATCTTTTGTTACTTGTAAGAAACCCCTTATGAGTTTAGGATGGAGTTGGTCACCAGAAGGACCAAGTGATTCAAGGGTTGGAAGTTTCAGACCCTCCCACTGAGCTCCAGAGAGGAGGCTGGGGGCGAGAGATTGACCTTTATAAAAACTCTGGGACAAGAAAATTCAGAGAGCTTCTAGGTTGGTGAACACAGTGCCATGAAGGGAAGGTGGCGTGCCTTGATTCATATCTTTAATAATCTATCTTTCTTTTTCTTTAATAAAAAAAAACATTTTCCTGAGTTCTGTGAGATGTTCTAGCAAATTATGGAAACTCAGGGCAGGTGGGAACCCACAGATTTGTAGCCAAGTTGAACAGAAGTGTGGGTTACCTGGGGACCTGATACTTGCAACTGGTCTCTGGAGTGGAAGCAGTCTTAGGGAATCGAGCTTTTAAACCTCTGGAGTCTGATGCTAACTCCAGGTAGTTAGTGTTAGAACTGAATTAAATTCTTGGACATCCACTTGGTATCCAGAGAACTGGAGAACTGGTTGATGGAATGAGAAAACATTCCAGAAAGACGGCACTTAGAACAGAATTCTCAAGCTTCTAATGTTTACCAATCACCTGGGAGACAAATAAATATAAATTACTTGAACCTATCCCTAGAGGTGTAGATTCAGCAGGTCTAGGTGAAAACCTGCATTTTTAACAATCCCTTAATCTTCTCCAAATGATTTTAATACAGATAATCCTGTAGTCATTCAGCAATCTAAAGGAACAGGATCAGAATTCTAAAAGACCCTTATAAGAGTGGAATCAGGAAGGAAAAAAGGGATGACATTCATTAAGGACAAATGTAAAACCATTTACTATTGAAAGAACAATACAATACAGATTGTCACTGCATAAGTGTACAAGAAAAATACTAGAAAGCCCTAATTAATAAAATATGGATCCGGCAAAATGGGGATAAATATTAGAAACCATTAAAACAGTGATCTCCCAACTTTTTTTATCACATAGCAATAAAAATGATAAGTATTTATAAGCAGTGGTTCAATGCTTAACAACAGGAATACATTCTGAGAAATGCGTTGTTGTGATGATTTCCTCATTGTCTGAACATCATAGAGTGAACTTACACAAACCTAAATGGTATAGCCTATCACATACCTAGGCCATATAATAGCCTACTGCTCTTAAACTACAAACCTGTACAGTAGTTTTACTGTACTGAGTGCTGTAGGCAATTGTAATGTAGTGGTGTTTATGTATGTAAAGATAGAAAGGGAACAGAAAAAATAATGATAATATAATCTTATGGGACCTCATTACACATGTGGTTTATTGACTGAATTTTCATTATGTGGTGCATGACTGCATATATGAATACTTCCTTCAAGCATATTTCCAATGTGGTCTTCCTATGATGAATCTTCTAAGACTTTTGTATGCCTGAGAATATTTTTATTGTATTCTCATATTTGAATGAAATCTTTACTGGATATATGTATTAGCCTTTTATCACATTGCCATAAAGAACTCCCTGAGACTGGGTAATTTATAAAGAAAACAGGTCTCATTGACTCACAGTTCTGTAGGCTGTTCAGGAAACATGGCTGGGGAGGCCTCAGGAAACTTACAATCATGGCAGAAGGTGAAGAGGAAGCAGGCACGTCTCACATGGCCCGAGCAGGAGAAAGAGAGAGAAGGGGGATGTGCTACACACTTTCAAACAACCAGATTTCATGAGAACTCTCCTACTATCACAAGTACAGCAAGAAGGAAATCGGCCTCCATGATCCAATCAGCTCCCACCAGGCACCTCCTCCAACATTGGGGATTATAATTCGACATGAGATTTGGGAGGGAACACAAATCTAAACCATATCAATATAAAATTCTAAGCTCCATGTCCTTTCTCTTCAATAAGTGAACGCATTACTTGTTCATTGTCTTGCATCCAGTATTGTATCTCAGAGGACTCAAATCTGAGATTTTATTTTTATTGCCTTGTGAAGTGCAAGAAATGGAGAGAAAGTCTAGGATCTATGCACTGTGGGAGTCTGATAGAAACACCTATGGCAGGGCCGGGCACAGCACTTCACACCTGTAATCAAAGCAATATGGGAGGCGGAAGCAGGTGGATCACTTGAGGCCAGGAGTTTGAGACCAGTCTGGCCAACATGGCAAAACCCCATCTCTACTAAAATTACAAAAATTAGCCAGGTGTGGTGACCCATACCTGTAGTCTCAGCTACTCGGGAGGCTGAGGCAGGAGAATTGCTTGAACCAGGAGGTGGAGGCTGCAGTGAGCCAAGATGTGCCACTGCACTTCAGCCTGGGAGACAGCGGGACTCAGTCTCAAAAAAAAAAAAAAAAAAAAAAAGATTTAGCAAACATGGTTATTAAAACTATTAAAACATCTGCTAAAAGTGTTCCAGATATTTAAAATTTTTAAAGTTAAGTGGAGATATAAAATATACATTTTTAAGGACCCAAATCATACTTCCAGAGTAAAACAGTGTTTGATTTGAAAAATACACCAGATGGGATGACTGCTAGATTAGACTTTGTAGAAGAAAAGATTCATGAACTTTAAAACATAACAAAAGAAGGCAATCTAAAATGAAACATACAGAGAAAAATATTTTTTTAATTAACAGAGCATCATGAGCTCTAAGTGGCTTAATATCTGTACAGTTGAAATTCCCAAGAACAGGAAAAAGATGATGGCTCAGAAAATATATTTGAATAAATTATGGCCAAAAATTTTTCATATTTGATGAAAACTATAAACCCAAGTTCAATGAATCCAAGTATAAAAAAATTTTTTTAAAAACCCACAGAAGAGAATGAGTACATCTTTAAGTACTGAAAACAAAATCCGTCAACCTACAATTCTATATGGAGGTGAAATAAAGATGTTTCCAGAAACACAAAAGCTGAAATACTTCATCAGCAGCAGACTTGCATTACAAAATGTTAAAGTTCTTTAAGCAGAAGGAAAAATGGTACCAGATTAAAGTATAAAGTCAAACTTCAGTATCTGCAGGGGACTGATTCCAGGACCCTCGAGGACACCAAAATCTGGAGATGCTCAAGTCCCTTATATAAAATGCTAACATCAGTAAGGACACAGTAGACTCGAATAACACTATAGATCAATGTGACCTGATAAATATTTTTAGCACACACTATTCAACAATAACAGAATACACATTCTTTTCAAGGGCACGTGGAACATTTACCAAGATATACCATATTCTATGAAGTCAAACAAGTCTCAAAAATTGTTAAGGAATTTATACCAAATATATTCTCTGACCACAGGGAATAAAATTAGATAATTCATAACAGAAAGAATTATCTCTGAAAAAATTTAAAAAAAGAAACTAAATAATAGAGTTCCAAATAAGCTATGGGTGAAACAAGAGATGAAAGGGGAAATAAAGTATTTTTAATTAAATGAAAATGAAATAAAACATGTCAAAATTTGTAGATGCAGCTAAAGTAATACTTAAAGAAGCTGTATAGCATTAAACACCTATATTAGGAAAAAAAAAAAAGAAAGGTTTTAAACAAGTAACTACAGATTTCACTTTAAGAAAGTAGAGGCCAGGCACAGTGGCTCATGCCTGTCATCCTAGCACTTTAGGAGGTTGAGGCAAGAGGATCACTTAAGCCCAGGAGTTCAAAACCAGCTTGGACAGCATAGTGAGACCTCATCTCTACTAAAAAAAAAAAAAAAAAAAAAAAAATGTAATTAGCTAGTGCCAGGTATGGTGGCTCATGACTGTAAACCCAGCACTTTTGGAGGCTGAGGCAGGTGGATCACTTGAGCTCAGGAGTTTGAAACCAGCCAGGGCAACATGGTGAAACCCCATCTCTACCCAAAATACACAAAATTAGCTGGTGTGGTGGTGCATACCTGTGGTCCCAGCTACTTGGGAGGCTAAGGTGGGAGGATTGCTTGAGCTCAGGAGGCAAGGGTTGCAGTGAGCCAAGATGATGCCACTGCACTCCAGCCTGGGCAATAGAGTGAGACTCTGTCTCAAAAAAAAAAGTGTTCCCTTTTCACCACATCCATGACAACATCTATTGTTTTTTGACTTTTTAAATAATGGGCATTCTTGCAAAAGTAAGGTTAGTTCTTAATTTGATTCTCAGGTTGGTCATTGTTGGTGTATAGTAGTGCTACTGATTTGTGTACGTTGATTTTGTAACTTGAGACTTTACTGAATTTGTTTATCAAATCTAGGAGTCTTTTGGAGGAGTCCTTACTGTTTTCTAAGTATGTGATTATATCATTGTTGAACAGCAAGAGTTTGACTTCCTCTTTTCCAGATTGGGCTCCCCTTATTTCTTTCTTTTGCCTGATTGCTCTGGCTAAGACTTCCAGTACAACGTTGAATAGAAGTGGTGAATGTGGGCATCCTTGTCTTGTTCCAGTTCTTGGGGAATGCTTTCAACTTTTTCCTATACAGTATGATGTTAGCTGTGGGTTTGTCATATATGATATTTATCATTTTGAGGTAAGTCTCTTCTATGCCTAGTTTTCTGAGTGTTTTTATCATAAAGGGAGGCTGGGTTTTATCATATGCTTTTTCTGCATCTATTGAAATGATTATATGGCTTTTTGTTTTTAATTCTATTTATATGATGTATCACATTTATTGACTTCTGTATGTTAAACCATCCATGCATTCCTGGGATAAAAGCCACTTGATCATGGCGTATTATCTTTTTGATGTGCTGTTGGATTCTGTTAGCTAGTATTTTGTTAAGGATATTTGCATCTGTATTTATCAGGAATATTGGTCTGTAGTTTTCTTTTTTTTGTTGTTATGTTCTTTCCTGGATTTGGTATCAGGGTGATACTGGCTTCACAGAATGAATTAGGAAGGATTCCCTCTTTCTCAATCTTTTGGAATAGTTTCAGTAGGACTGGCATCAATTCTTCTTTGAATGTCTGGTAGAATTCAGCTGGGCTTTTTTTTCTGATTCAATTTTGCTGCTTGTTATTGGTCTGCTCAGGGTTTCTATTTCTTCTTGATTAATTTAGAAGGGTTATGTTTTTAGGAATTTTTTCATTTCCTCTAGACTTTCTACTTTGTGTGCATAGAGGTATTTTTAGTAGTCCCAAATTACCTTTTGTATTTCTGTGGTGTCAGGTGTAATGTCTCCAGTTTCATTTCTAATTGACTTTATTTGAATCTACTTCTTTTCTTAGTTAATCTAGCTAATAGCCTATCAATTTTGTTTATCTTTTCAAAGAACCAGCTTTTTGTTTCATTGGTATTTGGTATTTTTTGTTGTTATTGTTTCAATTTCATTTAGTTCTGCTCTGATCTTTGTTATCTCTTTTCTTCTGCTAGCTTTGGATTTAGTTTGTTCTTTTTTCTCTAGTCCCTTGAGGCATGACATTAGGTTATCAATGTGTGATCTTTAAGACTTTTTGATGTAGGCATTTAGTGCTTAACTTTCCTCTTAGCACTGCTTTCGCTGTATCCCAGAGGTTTTGATAACTTGTGTCACTATTTTCATTCATTTCAAGGGATTTTTAAATGTCCACCTGGATTTCATTATTAACCCCCAAAACATTCAGGAGCAGATCATTTAATTTCCATGTATTTGTATGCTTTTGAGAGATCCTTTGGTAGTTGGTTTCTAGTTTATTCCACTGTGGTCTGAAAAGATACTTGATATGATTTCGACATTTTTAAATTTACTGAGACTTGTTTTGTGGCCTGTCACGTGGTCTGTCTTGGAGAATGTCCTATGTGCTGATGAGAAGAATATATGCTCTGTAGTTCTTGGGTAGAATGTTTTGTAAGTATCTGTTAGGTCCATTTGTTCCAGAGTGTAGTTTAAGTCTATTGTTTCTTTGCTGAATTTCTGTCTCAATGATCTGTCTAGTGCTGTCAGTGGAGTGTTGAAATCCCCCACTATTGTGTTGCCGTCTATCTCATTTCTTAGGTCTAGTAGTAAATGTTTTATGAATCTGGGAGCTCTAGTGGTAGGTGCATATAAATTCAGGATTGTAATATCGTCTTGCTGGATTCAACCTTTTATCATTATATAGCGACTTTCTCTGTCTTTTTTTAATTGTTGTTGTTTTAAAGTCTGTTTTATCTGATATAAGAATAGCTTTTCCTGCTTACTTTTAGTTTCCACTTGCATAGAATATCTTTTTCCACCCCTTTATCTTAAGTTTATATGATTCCTTACATGTTAGATGAGTTTATTGAAGAAGCTAGTTTTTGTATTTTAGTAGAGACAGGGTTTCACCGTGCTAGCCAGGCTGGTCTCAAACTCCTGACCTCAAGTGACCTGCCCATCTTGGCCTCCCAAAGTGCTGTGATTACAGGCATGAGCCACCGTGTCCGGCCAGAATGTGACTTTAATGTTTGTAGTTTATTATAGCCTAATTTGGGTCTTGATGCTTTCAGGGTTGAAGACTCTGTATAAGTCCCTTCGTTATAGAGAGTCTTCGTATGATGGCTTTCTCAGATACTGGTTGTAGTAGCAATGCACTCAGTGTGTGAGCAAGTTCACTATCTGCTATGGGGTTGGAATGGCAGAGGTCTCTTGAAACTTACCTTCTTCACCCATGGTGTACTCTTATTTATTTATCTATTTCCCCAGTATTCTATTTACTAGGTTGAATAATTCAGGCTTTAGGCCAGTAGGGTAGGTGTCCCTGGGTAGAAACTGGTTGTGGCTAAAGCAGGTGGGTAAATGCAACACCAAATGATGGGCAGACGTCCCAGTCTTGACAGGGGTGTCTGGGGGAACTCTCAGTGAAATGCACTGAGATCTTATCATGGGAAAGGGTGGAAGCCACTTCAGCTCCCTGGCCAGGCCAGCAGGAAAGCAATCTACCACCCAGACATACTTCTGACCCAGTGTTCTCGCTATTCAGAGCAGACAGGAGCATCTTTCCACCTGCAGGAACGTTGATGTTCCTAGAGGTAGAGGAATTGCGACTGTACCTCTTGTGCAAGCCTACACCTGGCAGGTGTTCCACCTGCGGGGATGCAGTCAAGCTGAAGTGTTCCAGAAAGGCTGTCTATAGAGTCACCCATGTCAAGCTCCCAGGGGAGAAGCCAGAGTTGTTTCTGCAGTGGTGGATGAGGAGGAAAAGAAGTCCCCTTCAAGACCCTTCACAAGCACCAGGGCTGCCTGCTGGTGAGACAGAGCCGCAGATGTTCCCCACTGAGCCCAGCATTGCAACTGTGCCTCTGCTGAAAGAAACTTACCACCAGGGGAAAGATCTGAGATTCAAGGCCTGCTGTTCAGATTCTTTTGTCCCATGCGGTGTTGCTTTGATGTGGTGTATTCTCCCTTCCCCTAGGAATAGGAGTCCCTGAGAGTCAGACTACAGTGAGTGCTGTTCCTCCTCTGGATCTAGCCCCACCTGGGGCTGCCATACTCCAGGCTGGTACTGGGGAATATCTGCAATGGATCCAATAATGTAATCTGTCCTCAAATCTCCTAGCAGCAGGTACCAGCCCTGATGAGGGTGGTAGGGGAATGACGTGGGCTCTGAGATTCCTTGCTTATATTATAACTAGCCTTAGTGCATTGGCTTTCTCAAATGCCAGTCTTAAGAGTAATGAACTGGTTACATGGATAGGCTCAGGAACCACTGGTTAGCCAGGATGGTACAGGCAATGGTGATAGCGAGGTCACACACAAGTTTTCTCCTTCTTGGGTGCAGTGTTCTTCTACCTGGAGATGCTGTAATGGACTGTGTTGGTAGGCCTCCAGCCAGGAGGTGGCACTTGCAAAAAGAGCACCATCTGTGGTAGCAGTGGTAGGATTTGTGCTTGCCATATGTTACCTAAGGGAGGTACTCTGGTATCTCAAGTGATGGGCAGGGCCATGGGGCTCCCAAAAGTTTCTGTCCTTTGTGTTAAACTACCAGGGTGGGTGGAGGGGTAAAGTCAGGTGGGGGCTGGGTCAAGCAGGTCTGAGCTCTGGCTCTCCATAGGCAGGGCAAGCAGAGGCCCCTGTGTGGTCAGGAGGGCAGTTCTCTGGACACTAGGGTAATGATCCGGGAAGGAACATAACTGCCTCTGCTGCACAGAAGAGTTTATGCAGGGAGTGGGGAGTACAGGGGGCAATAGGCCTCATCCAGCTCCCACACACTTGGCAAGGCAGGGCAAGACCTGTTTTTTAAAAACAAACAAATAAAAAAATCTAATAAAAGAGGAACAAATTAATTGCAAAGTATATAGAAGAAAGGAAAGGAAATAATAAATGTTAGAAAGAAAATCAGTGATAGAGAAAAACAAAAACCACTGGAAAAAAAGGATGAATGCAAAAACTGGTTCACTGAGAAGATTAATGAAATTGATAAAATACAGCCACACTGATCAGAAAAAAAAGACACAAATTATTAATATCAGCAATGAAAGAGGTGACATTACTACAGATTGTACAGATAATAAGAAAATATTGACCAGGCACAATGGCTCATGCCTGTAATCCCAACACTTTGGGAGGCCTAGGATCCTTGAGCCCAGAAGTTTGAGACCAGCCTGGGCAACATAGTGAGACCCTATCTTTATTTTTTAAAACAAGAAAATATTAGCAATATTATATGCCTATAAATTTGATGACTTGGATAAAATAATAAAATGCCAACTTGATCGTGGTGGATAAGCTTTTTGATGTGCTGCTGGATTTGGTTTGCCAGTATTTTATTGAGGATTTTCACATCGATGTTCATCAGAGATATTGGTCTAAAATTCTCTTTTTTTGTTCTGTCTCTGCCAGGCTTTGGTATCAAGATGATGCTGGCCTCATAAAATGAGTTAGGGAGGATTCTCTCTTTTTCTATTTATTGGAATAGTTTCAGAAGGAATGGTACCAGCTTCTCTTTGTACCTCTGGTAGAGTTCAGCTGTGAATCCACCTGGTCCTGGACTTTTTTTGGTTGGGAGGCTATTAATTATTGCCTCAATTTCAGAGCCTGTTATTGGTCTATTCAGGGATTCAATTTCTTCCTGGTTTAGTCTTGGGAGGGTGTTTGTGTCCAGGAATTTATCCATTTCTTCTAGATTTTCTAGTTTATTTGCATAGAGGTGTTTATAGTATTCTCTGATGGTAGTTTGTATTTCTGTGGGATCAGTGGTGATATCCCCTTTATCATTTTTTATTGTGTCTATTTGATTCTTCTCTCTTTTCTTTTTTATTAGTCTTGCTAGTGGTCTATCAATTTTTGTTGATCTTTTGAAAAAACCAGCTCCTGGATTCATTGATATTTTGAAGGGTTTTTTGTGTCTCTATCTCCTTCAGTTCTGCTCTGATCTTAGTTATTTCTTGCCTTCTGCTAGCTTTTGAATGTGTTTGCTCTTGCTTTTCTAGTTCTTTCAGTTGTGATGTTAGGGTGTCAATTACACTATTGGTGGGACTGTAAACTAGTTCAACCATTGTGGAAGACAGTGTGGTGATTCCTCAAGGATCTAGAACTAGAAATACCAATTGATCCAGCCATCCCATTACTGGGTATACACCCAAAGGATTATAAATCATGCTGCTATAAAGACACATGCACATGTATGTTTATTGCGGCACTATTCACAATAGTAAAGACTTAGAACCAACCCAAAAGTCCATCAGTGATAGACTGGATTAAGAAAACATGGCACATGTACACCATGGAATACTATGCAACCATAAAAAAGGATGAGTTCATGTCCTTTGTAAGAACATGGATGAAGCTGGAAACCGTCATTCTGAGCAAACTATCGCAAGGACAGAAAACCAAACACTGCATGTTCTCACTCATAGGTGGGAACTGAACAATGAGAACACTTGGACATAGGGTGGGGAGCATCATAAACTGGGGCCTGTCAAGGGGTCGGGAGAGTGGGGAGGGATAGCATTGGGAGATATAACTAATGTAGGTGACAAGTTGATGGGTGCAGCACACCAACATGGCACATGTATACATATGTAACAAACCTGCACGTTGTGCACATGTACCCTAGAACTTAAAGTATAATAAAAAAAATTTTTTTAAATAAAATTAAATTAAATTCTAAAATGCATAGTTTTTTTTGTTTGTTTGTATTGTTTTTTGTTTTTGTTGGGGTAGAGACGGGGTCTCACCATCAAGTGATCCTCCTGCCTGGCCTCCCAAAGTGCTAGGATTACAGTCATGAGCCACCATGCCTGGCCATGCAAGTTTCTTGAAACACTCAAACTCCCAAAGCTCAATGAAGAGGAAATAAATAAAATGAATAGCTCTGTAGCTATTAGAGAAATTACATTTATTGCTAAAACTTTCCTATAAGCTGGGCACGATGGCTAATGCCTATAATCTCAGCACTTTGGGAGGCTGAGGCAGCTGGATCACTTTGAACTCAGGAGTTCAAGACCAGCCTGGGCAACACGGCAAAACCGCATCTCTACAAAATATACAAAAATTAGCCAGGCATTGGTGAGGCTGAGCCCAGGAAGCAGAGGTTACAGTGAGCCGAGATCGCGCCACTGCACTCCAGCCTGGGTGACAGAGTGGGACTCTGTCTCCAAAAACAAAAAACAAACAAACAACAAAAACTTTCCCATGAAGAAAACATGTCTGCAGGACCTTCCTAGTAAATTCTACCAAACATCTTAAGGACAAAATCATAGCAATTACACATTAACTCTTTCGGAAAACTGAAAAGGAGGGAATACTTTTAAACTCATTCTATGAGACCAACATTAACTTGCTACCACAATCAGACAAAAATATTGTAAGAAAAAGAAACTACAGACCAATATTCTTCACGAACACAGATGCAAAAAATTCTAAACAAAACTTCAGTAAATTAAATTCAACATATATAAAAATATAATATGTCATGACCAAGTGGGGTTTACCTCAAGATTACAAGGCTGGTTTAATGTTCAAAAATCAATATAATTCATCATATTAACAAACAAACAAAAACAGACACCACAGGATCACCTTAACAAATATTTTTAAAGGTCTTTGCCTAAATCTAACATCCATTCTTGATTAAATCTCTTGGTAAACTAGAAAAGGAAGGGAATTTCCTCAGTCTGATAAATGGCATCTATAAAAAACAAAAAACCTGCCATTAACATCATACTTAACGGTGAAAGATTAAATACTTTTCCCTTGAGATCTGAAAAAGACAAGGATTCTGCTCTCACCATTTTTATTCAACATTGTGGTAGAAGATCTATTCAGTGTAACCAGGTAATAAAAAGAAATAAAAGGCATCCGGATTGGAAAGGAAAAAGTAAAACTGTCTTTATTCACAGATTAAATGATCACCGATGTAGAAAATCTAATGAGATCTATCAAAAAGCTAATAGAACTAAGTGAGTTTAATAAGGCTGTAGAACACAAGCTCAATATATAAAAACAAATGTATGTAGTAGGAACAATCAGAAATTTGAAAGTTAAAATACACAACTTATAGAATAGCATCCACAAATATGAAATACCGGAAGGATACATTTAAGGAATCTGAGGAATGGTGTGGAAGGCTTGTATGCTAAAAACTACAGAAAGTGCTAACAGAAATTTTTAAAAAGCTAAACAAATGAGGAGATATGCTGCGTTCTAGAGTCAAAAGAGGCAATATTGCTAAAATGTTAATACTCCCCAAACTAATTGTGCTCAAGTAATTGGATATGCATATGCTGAAACATGGATTTTGATCCATATTGCAAAGCACAGACATAAATTAACTCAAAACTTGATCATATTAGCTGGCTTGGTATTGGCGCCTGTAATCCCAGCTATTCAGGAGGCTGAGGTAGGAGAATAGCTTGAACCCGGGAGGTGGAGGTTGTAGTGAGCTGAGATTGCACCACTGTACTCCAGCCTGGGCGACAGAGCGAGACTCCATCTTAAAAATAAAAAAATTGATTATAGACCCATATGTAACGCCTTATGTAGAAAATAATATGTAGAAACTATAAAACTTCTAGATAAAACTTTTCTGACCTTGACTAGTCAAAGATTTCTTAGCTAAATCACCCAAAACAGGATACATGAAGGAACAAATTAATAAACTGGATTTTGTTAAAATTATAAACTTCTGATTTTCAAAAGACACCACCAGAAGAAAGAAAAGACAAGTCAGAGACTGGCAGAAAATATTTGCAAAGGATGTATCTGATAAAGAATTTGTATTGAAAATATATAAGGAACTCTCAAAACCCAATAACCAGCAAACAAAATGACCCAATTGTTAAAATGGGCTAAGTATCTGAATTGTCACTTCATCAGAGAAGACATAGACATGGCAAATAATCACATGAAAAATGCTCAACCTCATTAGTCATTAGGGAAATGCAAATTAAAACCAAAATGAGATAACACTGCAGACCTATTAGCCTAGCTAAAATTAAAAAGACTGACCATACCAAGGGCTGTTATGGATTTGGAGGAACTGGAATTCCCATACACTGCTGGTGGGAATGATACAACTTTTCTACATCATGTTTAGAGAAAAAATAAATAAATAAAATAAAGTAAAATAATACAACCATTTTGGAAAACAGTTTGGTTGTTTTTCTTACAAAGTTAAATATACACTTAGCATATGATCCAGCTATTCCATTCCACTCCTAAATATTTACCCAAGAGAAATAAAAGCATATATCTAGAAAAACATACCTGAGGCTAGGCCCACTGGCTCATGCCTGTAATCCCAGCACTTTGGGAGGCGAAGGCAGGTGCATCACTTAAGGCCAGGAATTTGAGACCAGCCTAGCCCACATGGCCAAACCCCATTTCTAAAATACAAAAATTAGCTTGGTGTGGTGGCACACACCTGTAATCTCAGCTACTCAGGAGGCTGATGTATGAGAATCACTTTAGCCTGGGAGGGAGAGGTTGCAGTGAGCAGGGATCGTACCACTGCATTCCAGCCTGGGCTGGAAAAGAAAGAAAGAAAGAAGAAAAAAAGAAAGAAAGAAGGAAAGAAAGAGAAAGAAAGAAAGAAAGAAAGAAAGAAAGAAAGAAAGAAAGAAAGAAAGAAAGAAGGAAGGAAAGAAAGAAAGAAAGAGAATGTTTATAGAAGCTTTATTTGTAATAGTAAAGCTGGAAACATTTCAAATATTTATCAATATGTGAATAGACAAAGGAATTGGTGTATCTCCATACCACCGAATACACTAAACATAAAACTATTGATACATGTTAAAACATAGATGGATCTCAAAAATGATTACATGGAGTGAAAGAAGCCGACTGGAAAAGGAGCATACTGTGTGATTCTATTTACATAAAATTCTAGGAAATGCAAATTAATGTAGAGTGACAGAAAGTAGACCAGTGGTGCTTGGGGATAGGCAATGGAAGAGCAAAGACAGGGAGGGATGAAAGGAGGTGGTGGCCAAGGGGCACCAGGAAACTTTTGTCGGTATTATCTTTATTTCAGTGATGGTTTCATGGGTATATTACATATGTTATAACTGATCAAATCGTATACTTTAAATATAGGCAGTTTATTGCGTATCCGTTATACCTCAATAAGCCTATTTGAGAAAATAAAACTAGATAGTACAATCCCATATCATTTGATCAGAAAGTCCGAGTGCGGTGGCTCACGCCTGTAATCCCAGCACTTTGGGAAGCTGAGGCGGGTGGATCACTTGAGGTCAGGAGTTTGAGACCAGCCTGGCCAACATGGAGAAAGCCAGTCTCTACCAAAACTACAAAAAAAAAAAAAAAAAAAAAAAAAAAAATTAGCCAGGCAAGGTGACCAGCACCCATAATCCCAGCTACTCGGGAGGCTGAGGCAGAATCGCTTGAACCCAGAAGGCAGAGGCTGCAGTGAGCCGAGATCGCACCACTGCACTCCAGCCTGGTTGACAGAGCAAGACTCTCTCTCAAAAAATAAGAGAATAAAGAAATATATTATGTATAACATGCATATGGACTGTCACCCCTTTGACATTATAGGATCTCTTCTCTTCCCTTAGGCTATTTTAAATACTGTACCTGACACGTGGCATCTGACATATGCGCCAAGGGAGGGCTTCATTGCAGTCCACATGTTAAATGGTAATAAGGCTTAGTTTCTTGTTTTTAGACTTAAAAGAAGAAACATAAAAAGAAGTTTTCATACTTCCTGCTCACTCTCATGAATCGTGTGAACCCATCTAGAGATATGAACATCCACCTTTGGAGACAACTGCAAAAATGATAGAAAGAGTGGGAACTGTCTTGTTTCCTCTTTGTCCCCAGTGTCTGCACAAGGGTAGGACACAATAGGCATTTGCTAAATGTTGATTGAATGAAGCAGAGCTAACAAAGCTATTTTGTCGGTCGGGCGTCGTGACAGCACTTTGGGAGACGGAGGTGGATGGATCAACTAAGGTCAAGAGTTTGAGACCAGCCTGACCAACATGGTAAAACCCAGTCTCCACTAAAAATACAAAATTAGCTGGGCATGGTGGCAGGGGCCTGTAATCCCAGCTACTCGGGAGGCTGAGGCAGGAGAATTGCTTAAATCCGGGAGGCGGAGGTTGCACTGAGCCAAGATTGTGCCATTGCACTCCAGCACTCCAGCCTGGGCAACAAGAGTGAAACTCTGTCAAAAAAAAAAAAAAAAAAAAAAAAAGCTATTTTGTCCCATTGATCTCAGGACTAATTTGACTTTCTAGAGTACCAGCATTAGTTCTGGGAATAACACATTAAAAAAAAAAAAAGTAGTGGATAAGGAAAGAGCAAAAAATTGTAAAGAAGTAAAATTCAAAAGAAAGAATGAAAGAACCTAGAGAAAAATCTAGGGATGGGGTAGAGTTCAGGGTGTTAGAGTTGAATTCCAGTGTTAGGAGATGAAAGGCCGAACCCCATTCTTGAAAATCAAGTCCAAGTGTTCCTGCTCCCCATTAGAAAGAAACAGAAGCCACGACCTGGATTTATTCTGATGTAAGAACGCTTTTCTTGGCCGGGCATGGTGGCTCATGCCTGAAATCCCAGCACTTTGGGAGGCCAAGGTGGGTGGATCACTTGAGGTCAGGGGTTCGAGACCAGCCTGGCCAACATGGTGAAACCCTGTCTCTAATAAAAATACAAAAAAATTAGCCTGGTGTGGTGGCATATGCCTGTAATCCCAGCTACTTGGGAGGCTGAGGCAGCCTTGAACCCAGGACGTGGAGGTTGCAGTGAGCCAAGACCTCACCATAGTACTCCAGCCTGGGCGACAAGAACCAAATCCTGTCAAAAAAAAAAAAAAAAAAGAACATTTTTCTCAATTCTCTGTCTGGTCTACACTTCAACATTTAAAAAATAATAGATTTCTCTGAAATGTGTCTTGGGGTGCAGAGGGGAAGTAGGAGGGATGATAGAAGTGATGGTCTAGACTTCCCAAAATCTTTTCCGCTGTATTAAGCTATTAAGATTTTCTGCCGGGCGCGGTGCCTCACACCTGTAATTCCAGCACTTTGGGAGGCCGAGGCGGGCGGATCACGAGGTCAAGAGATCGAGACCATCCTGGCTATCACAGTGAAACCCCGTCTCTACTAAAAATGCAAAAAAAATTAGCCGGGCGCGGTGGCGGGCGCCTGTAGTCCCAGCAACTCAGGAGGCTGAGGCAGGAGAATGGCGTGAACCCTGGAGGTGGAGCTTGCAGTGAGCCGAGATCGCGCCACTGCACTCCAGCCTGGGCGACAGAGCGAGACTTCGTCTCAAAAACAAAAGATTTTCTAAATGGGCAAGCATTGAAAGTATTTTTCTCCAGTGTTTAAAATACACATACTGATGAACTTCTCCATGTTCATATGCACACTTGATAAACAAAGTTATCTTTAGTATTATCAAAAGTAAAATGTCTCCCAAGACATGTCATATTTATTGGCCCTAATATAGTTTCGTTTTTTATCATACACTATGTATGTGACCACTGTTCACTTAAATGTCATCTATTTTCAATATCATTCTGATCTATGGCTCAAATCATGTTTTGAATACTTAAATTCTGTTTGGTACAGAATCAATATTTTCTCGTGTTGTAACATTGTTTATTACACATACCACAACATGCTTTAATCAAAAGGGCTGCTAAACTTTGCTCAACCGTGGTTGCACCCGATGACTCATAAGCTTTTTCTTTTTTTCTCTTCTCAATTCAATTCAACAACATCTGGTAGCTTATATAAGGAGAGAGGATGTTCTTTACAATCGGTGATTTTTCTGGACATGTTTCTACAATGGGCAGCCTTCCATTTTTTCCCCTGAGTTATTACTGTCTTCATGTAGTCTAACATTGGCATATTAATTTTTTTCCTAGAGACAAACATGTGCAGGAATTTGGTCTAATATAGCACCATAAACTTTTACAATGATTAGTTCCTAAGTCTCTTCTATTAATTTGTTTTGAGTTTGTCCAACCTTGAAAAAAGAAAACTAAAAATAAATGTGAACAAATAAGAAACAAGATATCAATCTTAAGCACTTCACATGCAGGCTGTTCTTTCTTTTTGGGGGTTTTATATTATAAAATCTTTGCAGTCTTTGATAACCACTGAAAAGAAGATAAGGAGCAGAGATTGCAAAACGTATCTCTAGATACACTATTTTTTTCTACCCAGATGTTTTTCACATCCTTTCTGACTCACAGTCCTTCAGACAGAGATAAACTATGCATAATATTCACACTACTAAAGATTCTTGAAACATGTCCCTGCATTTTCTTGATGTTCTTACTTTAGTTTAGTCTTTTATTCATCTTTAAAATGGAAGTGGGGAAAAATAAACCTGTTGTCTGCAAAGGTATTATACACACTTAGAGCCCTTTAAAATTTTTCTACCGTTGCTTCTCCAGACAGAGAAGGAAAAATGTTCATGAGAACACATGGACACAGGGAGGGGAACATCACACACCAGGGCCTGTCGCCGGTTGGGGGCAAGGGGAGGGAGAGCATTAGGACAAATACCAAATACATGTGGGGCTTGAAACCTAGAAGATGGGTTGATAGGTGCAGCAAACCACCATAGCACACATATACCTACGTAACAAACCTGTATGTTCTGCACATGTATTCCAGAATTAAAAGTAAATTAAAAAAAAAAAAAAAAAGAAGAATGTTCATTGGAGCCAGTTATTCTTCAGGTATTTGCATTCCTATTTTGCTGGGAAAAAAAATACCCCAAGAGTTAAAAGAAATACACTGCAATCAAACTGGCTGACAACAAGATAATAATTGGCTCCAAATACTTAAAAGCATCAAAATGGAATTTTAGAAAAAAGATGTTGACATCTCATATAGGAAGATTATCAATTGATAATAATTAATAATGATTCTAAATAAGGTGTTCAACAAAAGCTATTTATACTTATTTTTCCATGAAACTATTTTAGCTTTCTAATAAATGGAAGGGGTTCACTTGAATATTTGATAGTTTGGAGGGTTTTAATAAGTGTAATATTTCTACTTCCTCTTTCAACCTTCATTCCAGAATATTTCATTAAATACTAAATCCTGTCATTAAGCCCAAGAAAAACAATTTGGTTTAAAACAATGTCTTTTGAAGAGAAATCATATACACTTAAAATGTTTCCAGCAAAATTCTTTGAGGTCTTGGCATAGTTTCAAAAGCTGCTAACGTTTCAAAGGGTCACCATTATCTTTCCTCTCCCATTTTTACCCTTTCCTAAGACCTTAAACACACTCATTCTTCTCTAGTTAACACAGTACTGTCTCAGTATAAGAAATCACTATTTCCTCACACATCTATGTTCATAGCAGCACTATTCACAATAGCCAAGAAGCGGGTGCAATCCAGTTGTCCATCCATAGATGATTGGATAAGCAAAATGTGATATATACATACAGTGGAGTATTATTCAGCCTCAAACAGGAAGGAAATCCTCTCACATAGTACAACATGGATGAACCTTGAGGACATTATGCTAAGTGAAATAAGCCAGTCACACAAAGACAAATACTATATGATTCCACTCTTATGAGTAGTAGGTAAACTCATAGAAACCAGAAAACAGAATGGCAGTTGCCAGGGGCTGGTTGGAGGGGAGGAGGAAATGAGTTGTTAAATGGGTATAGAGCAAGCTTGTCCAACCTGTGGCCTTATGAGCCACATGCAGTCCAACACAAATTTGCAAACCTTCTTAAAACATTATGAGATTTTTGGTATGTAATTTTTTTTTTTTAGCTCATCAGCTATAGTTTGTGTTAGTGTATTTTATGTGTGGCCCAAGATAATTTTTCTTCTTCCAATGTAGCCCAGGGAAGCCCAAAGATTGGATACCCGTGGTAGGGAGTTTCAGTTTTGCAAGATGAAAAAGTTCTAGAGATCTGTTGCACTCAGTGTGAAATACTTAACACCACTGAATGGTACACTTAAAGATGGTTAAGATGATACACTTTGTGTTCTGTGTTTTTAACCACAATTGTAAGTATATAAATATATAAGAAATTACTATTTGCTCAGAGAGGATTTTCATTCCCAAAGTGTATTTGACTTAAACATTTCCCATTGTGGTGAGAAAGGAATGGAAACCTGTTGTCTCATAGTATCTTAAAAATAGCACATGCACCCATTTTTTCTTTACTAAGCTTCATAGGTGTTAAATAATTGATCCTGTCAAACTTGATTGGTTTTTTTTGTTTTGTTTTGAGACAGAGTCTGGGTCTGTTGCCGAGGCTGGAGTGCAGGGTCGTGATCTTGGCTCACTGCAGCCTCTGCCTCCTGGGTTCAAGCAATTCTCCCATGTCAGCCTCCCAAGTAGCTGGGATTACAGGCATCCACCACCACACCCAGCTAATTGTTGTTTTTTTAGTAGAGACAGGGTTTCACCATGTTGGCCAGGCTAGTCTTGAACTCCTGGCCTCAAGTGATCTACCTGCCTCAGCCTCCCAAAGTGCTGGGATTACAGGCGTGAACCACTGTGCCCAGCCATTGATTGGGTTTTAGAAGCTCCCAGTTTTCAGGCAGGAGAATTTTAAAATTGAAATTCGAAAGGAATTAAGCACTATATTTCTTAAAAGAGTATTGAAAATTGCAATTAACTCATACCCATGCTCACCCGGGGAAATATTAATTCTCATCAAATGAGGTGGAAGATTCGTTTTGGATAAAGAGTAAAGCACTTGGAAAGAAGGGGATACATATGTGGTACAGGCTGAATATTTATGTGAAATGCTTGGGACCAGAAGTATTTGCGATTTCATGTGCATAATGAGATTTGCATATACACAATGAGATGGGACCCAAGGCAAAACACAAAATCCATTTATATTTTATATACACCTTATACACATAATCTGAAGGTAATTTTATCCAATATTTTACATACTTTTGTGCATGAAACAAAGTTTGTATTAAGTATTTATGTGTGGAATTTTCCACTTGTGCAGTCATGTCAGAGCTCAAATAGTTCTGAATTTTGGAGCATTTCAGACTTTCAGATCAGGAAGGCACGACCTGTATAAAAAACAGAGTAACTTCTAGTATTCTTGCTTCTCTGCTCTTCTCTCTTGCTCAGCCAATGCCGTGATCCATTTCTGTTGTGTGGGTGTTTAAGGCAGAGGCAAAGTGACTGAAGTCTCTGTTTCAGATCCTCCCACATGCAACATTTAAGAATCTGGCATTTAACTCATTTCCTAACCTGTTAGTGGTACACACAGACTTTAGGAAGCTGAATACATCCTCTTCTGCACTGGAGTCTGTGAGAAGGTTGGAGGCAGGAAGGCTGAAACTGACCTTCATCAGTTATTTTCTACCCTCATTCCACTGCTACCCTCCCTGGGGTCTCTTTCTTAAGTGTCATTTTGGTGGAGAAGGGGATGGTTTCTCCACCTCCCAAATAGAAGAAGTATTTCATGATGTATTAGTTCGTAGTTTCTTCGGTTTATGTTGGTCTCCTAACAGAGTTCCAAAAAGCAGCATTGTCCCCTCTGATCCGCGGTTTTGCTTTCTGCAGCTTTCATTACCCACAGTCAACTGTGATCCAAAAATATTAATTAGAAAATTTTAGAAATCAACAATTGATAAGTTTTTAATTGCATGCTGTTCTGAGTAGTGTCGTGAGATCTTTCACTACCCTGCTCCATCCCTCCTGGGACATGAATCACCACTTTGTCTAGTGTATCCTGAGTTACAGATGTCACCTGCCCCTGAGTCACTCAGTAGCCATGCCATCTCAGTTATCAGATCAACTATGAAGAAATCACAGTGCTTGTGTTCAAGTCACCCTCATTGTACTTAATAATTGCCTCAAAGTGCAAAAGTTGTGATGCTGGCATAGTGTTATAATTGCCCTACGTTTAGTTATTATCGTTCATCTCATATGTGCCTAATTTATAAACTTTATCATAATTATCTATGTATAGGGAAAAACATAATATATACAGGATTCGTTACTATCAGAGGTTTCAGGCCTCCACTGAGGTAGTCTTGAAATGCATCCTTTACAGCTAAGGTGGACTGCTGGATAGACCCTTTTTTCTTTTTGTTAATGGATGGGGTCTTGCTCCAACCTAGCAGGTTGGAATGCAGTGGCGCAATCATGGCTCACTGTAGCCTCGAACTCATGGGCTCAAGCCATCTTCCCACTTCAGCCTCTCGAGTAGCTGGGCCCAAGCCACCACACTGGCTAATTTTTTAATTTTTTGTAGAGACAGGGTCTCACTATGTTGCCCAGGCTAGTCTCAAACTCCTGGCCGCAAGTGATCCTCCCACCTCGGCCTCCCAAAGTGCTAGGATTATAATCATGAGGCATCTCACCCGGCCTAGACTTTCTGTTTGTGTCAATTCAGTTTCATTCATTCATTTGACAAATATTTATTATTTAAGATATACTAGGCAGTGGCCCTTTACAGTACAGTGCATGTCTATTTAGTATGACCCTTTAGTATCCTAGATATTAGCCCTTTAAAAATCAAGAAGTATCTCAAACATGACTCCAGACTTAAATTGAATGATGATTTTTTTAAGAGATGGGTCTTGTTATGTTGCCCAGGCTTGAGTGTAGTAGCTATTCACAAGCACAATCACAGTCTCGAACTCCCTGGTCTCAAGCAATCCTCCCGCCTCAGCCTCTTGAGTAGCTGGGACTATAAGCACCCAGCTAAAATGATGATCCTGATCACCAACTAGATACTAGATATATAATGAGGCATGTTTTTAAAAATTACACAGATTCTTGCATCATTTATGGCAATAAACAAACCAGCCATCTTTCAAGTGTGATATTTCCCAAAGTACCCATGGAGGTGCTGGCACGAGCTTGCTCACAAGCAATCTACCCTGACCTTGAACACTCACCCCTGTTACCCAGCTCTTGTCTAGGGCTCCCCTATACAGACCCCAGGACAGGCTACTGTTGGAGCAGCCGAAATATACAAGGCCTCCAGCCTGGGCCTGCTGGGAGCAGGGGCTGGTGCCTCAGGGCATCCTGACTGGCTGGCTGGTTTCCATCCATTTTGCCTTGGCCCATGGACACTCCTGCCTGCTCACTTGACTTCGGGACCTGAGCTGACACCACAGCCATAGGCCCTTGGCATTTCCAGTCTGCTTCTGGCTTTGTGCCCTGTCTCCATGATCCACTGCTGCTCAAGCCCAAGCTTGACAGTCGTGACTAATTGGGGCAGGTCACCCTTTCAGCTCCAAGGTGATATCCCATCTACCTCCCTCTAGCTTGTCTGTCTCAAACAAAGGCATTTTCTTCTAACCCCCAGCAACCTCAGAATGACTCCTACTGTATGTACATTTACTTCCTAAACTATAAAAGCTAACAGAGAAAGAAATTTCCTTTATGTTCCTTAGAAACAAATGGGAGCAAATTTACTAGAAATCACCTTGCAGTTTCATCCAACCTCTTACTGTCTATGTTATCAACACATCATTTTACCTCTCTGGAACTCAAACTTAAAATGCAAGCACTAAGCTAACCCACTGCTGCTAGCTCTCCTGGTATAATACTGGAAGGAGGAGGTTAAGAGCATAGGCTTTGCAGATAGTCAGGTCTGTGTTTGAGATTTCCAATTTTCTTTCTCTTTTTCTCTCTTTCTTTTCCTTCCTTCGTTCCTTCCCTCCCTCTCTCTCTCCCTTTCATCTTTCTTTATTTCTTTCTTCTTTCTTTTCCTTCTTTCTTTCTTTCCTTCTTTCTTTCTTTCTTTCTTCTTTCTTTCTTTCTTTCTTTCTTTCTTTCTTTCTTTCTTTCTTTCTTTCTTTCTTAATGGGGGAGTGCAGCAACATGATCAGACTGGAGTGTAGTGGTGTGATCTCGACTCACTGCAAACTCAGCCTCCAGGGTTCCAGTAATCCACCCACCTCAGCCTCCAGGGCTCCAGCAATCCACCCATCTCAGCCTCTGAGTAGCTTGGGACACAGGCACATGCCACTTATGCCCAGCTAATTTTTTTTATTTTTGGTAGAGACGGGGTCTCATCATGTTGCCCAGCCTGGAAATTGACTAACTTTCAACCATGGACAAGTGGTTTAACCTCTCTGAACTTCCATTAAACAGAGATAATACCTACCTCATAGTGTTGTTTTGAGAATTAAATGAGACACTATATGTGCAGTTCTTACCAAATAGTATTAATCAACACACAGATAAAATATATAAATACATAGTTACATGTAAATATTTAGTGCTTACTTTTTTTAATCATTCATCTCTGGATACCTTCTCTTTCATCTCAGTCCTTGCTACTTCACAGCATACTTTAAGAAATAGTTACATGTTTCTATGGCCAGGTAATATTTGTCAGAACCTTGTTTTTTTTTTTTAATCAGGGTACAAAATTTTAGTTTTTAAAGTTACCTTTATCAAATCTATGGTTAAAATAGTTGTGGAGCTGCTCTAATTTGAACAGAACTTATTTTTTTTAAGTACAGATTATTTTGGCAACCATTTTCTGATCTGATTACAATAAAAATTTTTAAAAGAAGTTCCAGTTTTATTGCCAGCCACGGTGGCTCACACCTGTAATCCCCACACTTTGGGATGCCAAGGTAGGAGGATTGCCTGAGCAGGAGTTGGAGACCAGCTGGGGCAAAAATCCCATCTCTACTTTAAAGAAAAGAAAAGAAAAAAAAAGTTTCAGTTTTTGCTTTTGGGTTTTTGTTTTTTGTTTTTGGGGATTTTTTTTCTGAGACAGGGTCTCACTCTGTCACTGGAATGCAGTGGCATAATCATGACTTACTGCAATCTCCACCTCCAGGGTTCAAGCAATTCTCCCACTTCAGCCTCTCCAGTAGCTGGGACAACAGGCATGTGCCACAATCCCCAGCTAATTTTTTTTTAGTAGAGACAAGGTCTCACTGTGTTGCCCAGGCTGGTCTCAACCTCCTGAGCTCAAGCGATCCTCCTACCTTGGCCTCCCAAAGAGGACAAGATTATGGGTGCAAGCTACAACACCCAGCCAGAAGTTCCAGTTTTTAATCTGGAAGCCAGAATAACTTGGTAAATCATTTCCACACTGAGGGAAGAAACCATCAAAGACGTATTCATTTAGTGTCCCAAGTTCATGAACGCTTTATACAGTATCTTTCAAGTCAGGCACCAATAAAGAAAGTGTGCCCACAGACAGGGGAACAGAGAGAGTTTTAATCTCATCAAAACTCTACTCGGTGATGTCAACAATTAAGACCTACTATGTTCCACCCTTCTTTTCCAATTAGAGGCAAAGAAGTAAAATATTGAAGCCAATACTCAGAACTCAAGTAATTCTGATAGCTACAACATTGAGCTATAATTCCAGGCTCAGTGGATCCTTTCCAGGCCTGGCTCTATTTATCTAAGAAACTAAGAGAGACAAACAGGCCTCCTCCTCAGCACAGCTATGATGAATATTTAATTAGCTAATAATACAAAGTAAATGTATCATCAATAGCAAATGAGATGCTTATAATTAACTTGGGACAAAGAAGTAGAAATCAAGAAATAGCCTGAATCTGGGCAGGGTGGCTCGTGCCTATAATCCCAGTGCTTTTGGAGGCCAAGGCAGGAGGATTGCTTGAAGCCAGGAGTTTGAGACCAGCCTGGGCAACATGGCGAGAATCTGTCTCTACAAAAAAATTTAAAAAATTAAAAAAAAAATTAGCTGGGCATGGTGGCACACACCTGTAGTCCCAGCTGCTCAGGAAGCTGAGATGGGAGGATCACTTGAGCCCAGGAGTTCAAGGCTGCAGTGAGCTATGATTGCGCCACTGCACTCAAGCCTGGTTGACACAGCAGACTCGGTCTCTTAAAAAAAAGTAGCCTGAGATGGTTATTTTCATCATAAACTGCCTTTTTCTCTGAGGCAAGGCTGTTAAACTGCTAGCATTTGGAAAGGCCTATGGCCAAGTCAAATGTCCCTGGAATTTACATAAGGTCCAGGGCAGACTTGTTCAGCATGAGACAAATGGGACAAGATCAGGTGGTGAACAGAAGCTCCAGAAGGCCATGCTTATGTGCAGCACACCGTTCATTCATTCCTACTGTGGCGATGATATTGTGGCTCTCCAAAGACTTCCACATCATCATCCTTAGAATCTGTGACTATGTTGCCTTACCTGGCAAAATGGACTTTCCAGATGTGCGATTTAAGTTAAGGATCTTGAGATGGAGAGATTGTCCTTGATTAGCTGGGTGAGTCCAGCGTAACCTCCTTATAAGAGAAGGAGGAACCCGGGTGTGGTGGCACATTCCTGTAATCCCAGCTACGCAGGAGGCTGAGGCAGGAGAATTGCTTGAACCCGGGAAGGCGGAGGTTGCAGTGAGCTGAGATCGCGCTATTGCACTCCAGCCTGGGCAACAAGAGCGAAACTCCATCTCAAAAAATAAATAAATAGAGAGAGAGAGAGAGAAGGAGAGTTAGACTCAGAGAAGGAGATGAGATGGCAGAAGTGAGGTCAGAGTCATAGACAGAAATTTGAAGATGCTTCACTGCTGGCTGTGAAGACGGAAGAAGCGGACATGAGCCAAGAAATGCAAGAAGTCTCTGGAACCTGGAAAAAGCAGGGAAAGGGTCTCCCCTGCAGCCTTTAAAAGGAAAGCAGTTCTGCTGACACTTTGACTTTAGCCTAATGAAGGCCGTTTTGGATTTCTGACTTCCAGAGATATCGTAATAAACTTGTGTTGTTTTCAGTCACTAAATGTGTGCTATTTTGTTGCAGCGGCAATAAGAAACTAATACCTCTAAGTGGCAGAGAGTCAAAGATGAAAAAGACACATTCCTCCTGTGGGCATTTGTTTAAAAAATATTTATCGGGTTGCTCAAAGTCGCATGATAGCTGATGCTTATCAGCCACCCATTATGTGTCAGGCAGGATGTTAGGTGCTTTGCATCCGTTTCTCCAATCCTCAGACCCATCCTAGTATACATACTGCTGACATTTATTAAACACCATGCACCAGACACAGTCTTAAACACTTAACATGTATTATCATATTTCATTCTTATAGCCCTGAGATAGATCATAATCACTCTCATTTTACACAAGTGGAAACAGGCGAAGGGAAGCTGAAAGTAGTTTCTCAGGGTCAAATTGCTAAAAGTGATTAAAATTTTAGCTTGCCTGCCTCCAGAACCTGCTCTGTATTTTCCCCATTTTCCAGATGAGTAAATTAAGGCTCAGAAAGGTTAAATAACTTGGCAAAGCCAAAACTGATTCATCATCTGCTGACCATCCACCAGACCGACTTTCTCCTGACTCTCCCTGTACGCCCTCTCCACTAGCCCAGAGCCTTCTGATTCTAGTCTGAAGCTTGTTCGGAAAACCTTGTATTCAGCCTGGACGATGTAGCAAGACCCCATATCTAAAAAAATAAAAAAATTTAAAAAAAAAACCCTGGTATGATGGCATGCACCTGTAGTGCCAGCTACTTGGGAGGCTGAGGCAGGAGGGTCACTTGAACCTAGGAGTTTGTGGCTACAATGAACCATGATCACACCACTGCACTCCAGCCTGGGCTATAGAACAAGACCGTGTCTCAGAAAAAGAAAAAAAAAGAAAGGAAGGAAGGAAACCTTGTGTGTTGTAATGACTAGGTCTCTCATAGACTGATTTTGAAGTTGACCGGCTCTTGGTACAGAAATGTGCGGGCAGGGTATCCCAGGCTGGATGGCCTGAGTCCTCCCTGCTGTCTTCAGCTCCCTTTAAGCTGTGGTTAAGATGCCCATTTCACTGCATGAGACAGTGACAGGACAGAATGAGCACAGCGATTTTATTCACTCATTTAAACAGCCGTGAAACACGTATTCATTATTTACGGCTCCTGAGAACTGCTACACTTCCCTACTTTTCAACGACATAAAGAGAGCTGGTTTCTTGCTGGAACTGTACCTACAAAGAACACACATTCAGGGCAGGGCTGGGTCCATCTTGTTCATCCTATCCCGGAGCCCAGCACTGCACCTGGACTACAGTAAGAAGTTCCATCACTGTTCTTGACTGATTTATGTAGCTCCATTAACACCATTGAGATCACTAATGGTTGCTCATGGGGCCTGCTGGGAAACCACGCAGGTAATTTCACTGTTTTGCCTATAATTGGGTTTGTCCCTTAGCTATCAAACTATGGCAGTCTTCAGTGTCTCAAATGTCTGGTTTCGTTGTTGCTGTTTTGAGACGGAGTCTCACTCTGTCATCCAGGCTGGAGTGCAGTGGTGCAATCTCAGCTCACTGCAACCTCTGCCTCCCAGGTCCAAGTGATTCTCCTGCCTCAGCCTCCCGAGTACTGGAACTACAGGCGTGCACCACCATGCCCAGCTAATTTTTGTATTTTTAGTAGAGACGGGGTTTCACCATGTTGACCAGGCTGATCTTGAACTCCTGACCTCAAGTGATCCACCTGTCTCTGCCTCCCAAAGTTCTGAGATTACAGGTGTGAGCCACCACACCTAGGCTTTTGGTTTTTTTGAGACACGGTCTCACTCTGTCACCCAAGCTGGAGGGCAGTGGCATAATCACAGCTCACTACAGCCTTGACTTCCTAGGTTCAGGCAGTCCTCCCACCTCAGCCTCCCGAGTAGCTGGGACTACAGGTGCGTGCCACCACACCTGGCTAATTTGGTTTATTTTTTTGTAAAGACAGGGTCTCGCTATGTTGTTCAGGCTTTTCTCAAACTCCTGGACTCAGGACTTGCTCCCACCTCAGCCTCCCAAAGAGCTGAGATTACAGGAGTGAGTCACCACATCCTGCCTCTGTGTCTCAAATGTCAAACAGCTAGCTACCTCAAGGTATGACAGGAATATTTTTTTTTTTTTGAGACGGAGTCTCGCTCTTTTGCCCAGGACAGAGTGCAGTGGCGCAATCTCGGCTCACCGTGCCCGCCCCAGGAATATTTTTAAAGTTGGTCACTGTTCATGAAGTCCTTTCTCATGACTTGATACATCATCTCTGTGCCAGCCAAACAAACCTGTTTGCAACTATGCTCCTGGCTTTCACTCGTGGCTTCTTTGTCCTTCTGCACAAATCGTATTTCCACATTGAATGTGTGGACGAAAGAAAAGAAAAAACAAGTTTTTAATGAATTAAAGTTAGTTTTATTCAGAAGTCTTACTGAGGACTGTGGACTGAGGCCTATAGCTCTGGAGGAGTCTTTCAGAGAGGAGATTTTGTCAGAAATCTCCCAACCAGTGTTTTAGCTCACAGCTTATATACAGGAGGGGGGAGTTTATGATGACAGATCACATCCAACGTACTCAGAAGTTATTATATTGGTGCAAATGTAATTGTGGTTTTTGCTATTAAAAGTAATTACTTTGAAGCAGAATCACAACAAGGTTGAGGTATAAGAGTCCATCTAGTTATAGATTACAAAAACATAGTCACTAAACTCATCAGAAGTTATCTTATGTTGGCCAGTCACAGTGGCCTACAATCCCAGCACTCTGGGAAGCTGAGGTGGGTGGATCACTTGAGGTCAGGAGTTCGAGACCCGCCTGGCCAACATGGTGAAACCCCCGTCTCTACTAAAAATATACAAAAAAAATTAGCCGGGTGTGGTGTTGTGTGCCTGTAATCCCAGGTACTCAGGAGGCTGAGGCAGAAGAATCGCTTGAACCCAGGAGAGGTTGCAGCGAGCCGAGATCAAGCTACTGCACTCCAGCATGGGCAACAGAGTAAGACTCTGTCTCAAAATGAAAAAAAAAAAAAGTTATCTTATGTTTAAGGAAAGACAAGGACAAGGGTCATTTATCTTTAAGGAATATGGTGACCCAAGTAAGAGACACAGACGGCCATATGCTCTGTCCTGTTTTGTCTTTAAAGCATCCCTCCAGAGATCTGCACGTCACCACAGAGCCAGGTGCTTGGTGAAATTATGCTGGCAAGCAGAAATGAGCAGATATGGCTTCTGTTTGCTACTTCGTCTCACAAATGCTTTTTACTTTCTCTGTACCAATTCACACTCCTCCTGTCTATCTCCTCCTGGATTATCACCATCCTAAGCAGGTGATCCTGGAAGTCACATTCCCTCTGTTCTTACGTGTGTGCTGGATTGCCAAGGTAAGATTATGTCCATCAAGGCTTGTATTTATGCATCCTGTGTGTCCTCAGGAAAATCACAAGCCTTGGGATGGTAGAAATCATAAAATCATACATTCTATTTCTTTCCTATCAAATCCCTGCCAGGACACTTATTAGTATAGATATTAATTCAGTTTTCAGTAAGTATGTAATAAATGGTTCTAACTGAGTTTCTTCTTTTATACAGGTAGAAAGAGCAGACTTTGATTTTAGTCCTGGCTCTGTCTTGAACTACCTGAGTGGTATTAGCCGGGACACTTCACTCCTGCCCACATGCCTCTCAATTATAAAATGAGGAGAAAGGCCAAGCACGGAGACTCATGCCTATAATCCCAGCACTTCATGAGGCCAAGACAAGAAGATCACTGGAGTAAGGAGTTCGAGACCAGCCTAAGCAACATAGCAAGACCCACATCTCTACAAAAAATTTTAAAATTAGCTGGGTATGGTGGTGCACAATTGTGGTCCAGTAGAATGCTCAGTAGATGTTAGCTATCATCATCATCTTTATTATTATTAGGGCTTTATTAATTATTATTACTATTGGCTCTTAAATCAACATGATTTTTGCCACATTGCCCAGGCTGGTCTCAAACTCCTATCCTCAGGCATTCTACCCGCTTTGGCCTCCCGAAGTGCTAGGACTACAGGTGTGAGCCACTGCACCCGGAACCCGGGTATATATTGAAAAGGATGAATAGTTGTGAGCTTGGGCAAGTTGCTTAATCTCTCAATGCCTCGGTTCCTCACCCAAGATGAATAATGATCCCTACCTCATAGGGTTCTTATGAGGATTCAGGCAATTAGACCCAGACTGGCTACTTAGTAAGCACTCAGTAGATGTTAGCTATCATCATCATCTTGATTATTATTAGGGCTTTATTAATTATTATTATTTTTTTTATGAGAGAGTCTTGCTCTGTCGCCCAAGCTGGAGTGCAGTGGCACAATCTTGGCTCACTGCAACCTCCGCCTCCCAGGTTCAAGTAATTCTCCTGGCTTAGCCTCCCAAGTAGCTGGGATTACAAGCGCCCACCACCATGCCCAGCGAATTTTTTGTATTTTTAGTAGAGACGGGGTTTCACCATGTTGGCCAGGCTGGTCTCGAATTCCTGACCTCAGGCGATCCGCCCATCTCGGCCTCCCAAAGTGCTGGGATTACAGGCATGAGCCACCACGCCCAGCCAATTATTATTATTATAGGCTGTCAAGCCAATTCCCAGTAGTACTCTTACCTACATGAGGATGGAAGCTCTGGCAGGACAGGGAGGTAAGCTCACGTTAGAGCCAGTCTACCTGCTGGGAAGCAGAGAAGCTCAGGCTGCCGCCTGCCAGTATTTTTAGCAGCGATGGTGAATCACGAGCAGTTAGTGTCAGAAAGACTAAAAATTGAAATAGCTTCTAACACCTCGACAGTATTTTTACCACACTGTTTTATCTAGGCATTAAAAATATACATGGTTTTAATTATATCTTGCTTTGCAGGAGGGGAAAAGAAAACCCTCAGCCGCTTGCCATCTCTCTCCTTTTTATATGTGTCTTTCTTCATGAAAAGCGGGCCTCTGAAAACGATTGCATGAAGTGGAGCGTCTCTGTCAGGTGGAACTGGCCTCCCAGGCCGCATTTACCCCAGTGTTATTACAGGAAATGAATGCATTGTATTGAAGGCCGTTTGTCGCTCATTGTTGCTCAGGCTCAGGCCTGTGTGGGACTGTTTGTCCTCCTGCACACACAGCAGCCATTGTGTCCCCTGCAACATCCTACATGCAGCTGTGAACAGTTGTGCCCGAGCCAGTTTATCGGCCGTGGAATTCACTCAGAAAGGAATCGAGAACAACATATCAAGTCAGGGCCCTCATTTTCTCTGGGAATGTTCTGAGCTCTCCCGCATTCCTCCTCCCACTTGGCCAAGAAAAACAAACAAACAGTGGCCTCCTTTGATGTACGCACCTCTGGGCTATTCAGAGGTGGGATTTTTTGGGTAAGAATTTCCAATTTCTACATGGAATCTCCATTCACAACTTTCTGGACCCAGAGAGCTAAGGCAACAGAATCTAATAACTACAAAGGCTGTCCCTGCCACTGATCTCTGGGGCCAAATGATGTCCCTACAGTAAACAAAGTCAAGGGGGTGTCCCACCCCGTCATTTCACACCATGACAGCCGTGAGGCTAATTTGCAGGGTGACTCTATGAACACTGTGTTGTCCTTTCGGGTTGTTCATATGGCCCACCTCCCATAGGACACATATTTAATTCATCAGAACATGAAACACTTGGCAGGGCACAGTGGCTCACCCCTGTAACTCCACACTTTTGGAGGCCGAGATGAGAGCGTCACTTGAGGCCAGGAGTTCGAGACCAGCCTAAGCAATATAGCAAGATCCTATCTTTATTTTAAAAGAATGAAAAATAAAAAACAGGAGGCTGGGCGTGGTGGCCCATGCCTGTAATCCCAACACTTTGGGAGGCCAAGGCAGGTGGATCACCTGAGGTCAAGAGTTCGAGACCAACCTGGCCAACATGGCAAAACCCTGTCTCTATTAAAAATACAAAAATTAGCCAGGCATGGTGGTGGGCACCTGTAGTCCCAGCTACTTGGGAGGCTGAGCAGGAGGATCGCTTGAACCCAGGAGGCGAAGGTTGCAGTGAGCCGAGATCGTGCCACTGTACTGCAGCCTGGGAGACAAAGTAAGACTCTGTCTTAAAAAATAAGAATAATGAAAAAAAAAAAAACAAGAAATATCGGCTCCCAGGCTAGAAATAGGAGTCAAGAAAGACTGAGGCAGGTTTCATAGGTGAACATTCATATCAAGTCTTGGCAACTGTTTAGGTGGGACAGTTGAGGCTTGGGTTGGCTTAGAAACATTGATCATTTTTTCTTAAGCATAGTGCCTACAATTTTGATTGGTAAATGGGGTTTTGGGCTTGGTTGTGGAAAGTGAACCAACCATCTGTTTTTTTCCTTGGACTGCAGTGGTGCTCAACAGAACATTTTGCACGAGGAGCCTTAAGCTAAACATTTGCTCTAAAACATATATGTGTATCTATACATCTATGTACATGTAAAAAAACCATGTGTATCCACTTATCAGAATAAATCTCTGATGCTGGGTGTGGTGGCTGATGCCTGTAATCCCATCACTTTGGAAGGCCAAGGCAAGTGGATCACTTAATCCCAGGAGTTTTGAGACTAGCCTGGGCAACACAGTGAAACCCTGTCTCTACAAAAAATACACAAATTATCTGGGTGTGGTGGTGCATGCCTATAGTCCCAGCTACTAGGGAGGCTGAGATGGAAGGATTGCTTGAGCCTGGGATGTCAAGGCTGCAGTGAGCCATGAGCATGCCACTGCCCGAGTGACACAGCAAGACCCTGTCTCAAAAGAAAAAAAAAGAATAAATATCTAACAAACACAATATATCAATAGTTGCCAATAAAGTTTAGAGTAAGTAGAATTTAGAAGAACATGACTTAACTAAGTCCAAATACACAGATGTAACTTTTCCTCACTGTCCAAATTTCCAGTTTTCACTACTATTAAATGTGACTCTGATGTTCATAAACAGGGCAAAGGAGGAAATAAACTTAATTCACTCAACTTGTTCTTCAGAGTCTAAAAGCCTTGTGGGGCTTATGCTCAACTTTTACACAACGGCTTTGGCATTAAAAGTCTTTGCACAGGCTGCTTATAATCCCTGCACTTTGGGAGGCCAAGGAAGGAGGATTGCCCTGAGCTCAGGAGTTTGAGACCAGTGTGGGCAACATGTCGAGACCCTGTCTCTACACAAAATTTTAAAAACTAGCTGGGCAGGATGGTGCACACCTGTAATCCCAGCTACTGGGGAGGCTAAGGCAGGAGCATCGCTTGAGCCCAGGAGGTCAAGGCTGCAGTGAGCTATGAGTGTGCCACTGCACCCAAGCCTGGGCGACCCTGTCTCAAAAAAAATAAAAATAAAAAAAATTTTAAAGCCATTGCACAGTTTTCTCTGCTGCTGGAATAAATGGATCTTCTGCTAGCTCTAATTGCCCTAGTAAAAGAATATTATCTTTGACCACTGATCCTAAGAACCCAAATTCCCTGCAATTCCTTTGCTAAAGGAAATCCCTGTCTTCTCTCCATTTCTGGCCCCTGAATGCTATTTTTCTTACAACCAACAAAGAAGAGTATAAAGGTGTTTATGGAAAGAGCATCCCTGTGAGCCCCCTTTTCCTGGGACAGTTATTCTTTTCCCAAACAGAGAAGGGTTCTTTTAATAATCAAGTTACCGATTTATTCTAAACTCTCCCCTCCCAACTGATATTTGAAGGTTGGAATGGCATTAAAAATAACATCACATAGAAAGCTGGCCGGGCGCGGTGGCTCACGCCTGTAATCCCAGCACTTTGGGAGGCCGAGGCGGGCGGATCACGAGGTCAGGAGATCGAGACCATCCTGGCTAACAAGGTGAAACCCCGTCTCTACTAAAAATACAAAAAATTAGCCGGGCGTAGTGGCGGGCGCCTGTAGTCCCAGCTACTTGGGAGGCTGAGGCAGGAGAATGGCGTGAACCCGGGAGGCGGAGCTTGCAGTGAGCCGAGATCCCGCCACTGCACTCCAGCCTGGGCGACAGAGTGAGACTCCGTCTCAAAAAAAAAAAAAAAAAAAAAAAAAAAAAAAAAAAAAAAAAAAAAAAAAAGAAAGCTAATTATGTTCCACTTCCCACCCGTCCTTCTTGCCAAGTAATCTTGGGTTTTGCCACCTTGTTTTTTTATTTTTTGAACATTAAAAAACAGAAGAAGACGAGGGAGGCAGCAGAGAATGGGAACAGATTAGGCTTTAAAATAGAACTGTCAAGATGGTTCCCCGCAGGCTCTGTTCTGATCTAGCAATTGGTAACTTCAGATCCACTTGCTTTCACAAGCGTCTGGATAGCAGTAGATTGAGCAGCAATTAAGGGATAGAGCATTAAGCCGAATGAACTTACTTTTCTAGCATTAACTATGGCTTTTCATGGTTTCCAGTGAAAAATAAATTTAAACAAACTTATAAAATATTTACGTGAACAAACAACATGTGAAAAAACAAATTTATAGAAATCGGTCAGTTGTTCAGAGCATATTTGCAAAACACTCTAAATTGGGGGTCCTTAAACATTTTACTCACAACTCCCCACCTCCACTCAAAATAAAAAAAAAAAGAAGAAGTTTGAAAAACTATGCAGCACTTTCTCACCTGTTTGAAGGATAACATCTAAAATTTTTCAACATAAGTTTAAATAGCTGCCAAGGATGTAATTTCCAGCGGATTGTAAATGTTAATATTGTAAACTAAACCCACAGATCACTTTTAAACGTCTCCGATGGAATCTAAATATCTGAGCAATTTAATACTCATTTTTATTCACTAAAAAGTATATGAGGCCAGACACGGTGGCTCATGCCTGTAATCCCAGCACTTTGGGAGGCCAAGGCGGGTGGATCACCTGAGGTTGGGAGTTTGACACCGGCCTGGCCAATATGGTCAAACTCCGTCTCTACTAAAACTATTTAAAAAATTCACTGGGCATGGCGGCACATGCCTGAAATCCCAGCTACTCGGTAGCTGAGCCGAGAGAATCGTTTGAACCCGGGAGGCGGAGATTGCAGTGAGACGAGATCGTGCCGCTGCACTCCAGTCTGGGCATGACAGAGCGAGACTCCGTCTCAAAAAAAAAACAAAAAACAAAAAAAGAATATGAAAGTCATTGTTTAATATTTGAAAATAAAATATATTTTTTCTTTTTATATCCATTCTACTTCTCCATATAATTTTATCCTAATGAAACTTATTCTTATCTCTGATTTTTTTTTTTTTAAGACAGTCTTACCCTGCCCCTAGGCTGGAGTACAGTGGCATTATCATGGCTCACTGCAACCTCAATCTTCTGGGCTCAAGGGATCCTCCTGCCTCAGCCTCCCTAATGAGGGGGGGACTACAGGTATCCACTACTATGCCCAGAGACTTTAATTTTTTTTTATAGACATGGAGTCTTGCTATATTGCCTGGGCGGGTCTCAAACTCCTAGCTTCAAGCGATCCTCTCACCTTGGCTTCTCAAAGCGCTGTGATTGCAGGCATGAGCCACAGTGCCAGGAATTGTTTTGTTTTGTTTTTGAGATAGGGTCTCACTTTGTTGTCCAGGCTGGAGTGCAGTAGGGAGATCACAGCTCACCATAGCCTTGAACTCTGGGCTGAAGGGATCGTCCTATCTCAGCCTCCCAAGTAGCTAGGACATCAGGTGCATACCGTCACACTCAGCTAATTTTTAAATTTTTAAAAATGTTTTGTAGACATGGGGTTTTCCTATGGCTGGAGTCACCCAGAATGGTATTAAACTCCTGGGCCTAAGTGATCCTCCCACCTCAGCCTCCCAAAGTGCTGGGATTACAGGTGTGAGCTATTGCACCCAGCTAAAAGTTGTTTTATTCATCATACTGTCATACTTCTCTGTCACAAAAATAGATTTAAAAACTGCATTTATGACTGGAATTTGGAAGAAGAGTTGGAGGTAGATTTATGATTTGATGGACTGGAGCAAGACTGGGGAAGCACTCAACAGTTTGCTTCAACAGCATGCTCAGTGTGCTAGGAGCAAACAGCATGCTGTCTGGGACATAGATGTTTCCACCAGTTTCTCCCGCAAACAAGCATCAGAATCTTGATGCAAGAAAGAGGGAGGCAAGTATGAAAGTGCTTTCTCAGCCGGGCATGGTGGCTCACACCTGTAATACCATCACTTTGGCAGGCCAAGGTGGGCGGATCGCTTGAGGTCAGGAGTTCGAGGCCAGCCTGGCCAACGTGGTGAATCCCTATCTCTGCTAAAAATACAAGCCGGGCATGGTGGTGTGTGCCTACAGTTCTAGCTACTTGGGAGGCTGAGGCAGGAGAATCACTTGAACCCGGGAGGCAGAGGTTGCAATGAGCCAAGATCACGCCACTGCACTCCAGCTTGGGCGACGGAGACTTCATCTCAAAAAAAAAAAAAGGGGGGGGGCTTGCACATACAAAACTCTTTGTGAGACACTTTGGGAGCATAAAACAGGACAGCTTTGGTCTGAGGTAGAAGAGCATGCCCTAAAAGTGATGGGGAAGGTTTATCCCTACTTCTGTAAAGCCAGCTCTGCATAGGGAGCCATGGACACCCTGAGACTGCAGCCCTGGGAAGCAGCACACAGTATCACCATTTGCAGCCCCTAGGCCAGCACCTGCTCTGGTGGTGCCTGCCCCACAAGGGGTTGCAGATCCCAGCCCAGAACGAGAACTAGGGCTGTATCTGTGGGCAAGTCCATCATAATGGCACTGGCAGTCTCAGGACAGTGTTGGCAGAGACACCCCAACATCAGCCCCAGCATCCCTAGAACAACGATGTCTTTAGTGGTTGTGGGTGACTTCAGCTGCAGCTGATGAGAGCAAAGTGTCAGTACTTTTGTTCAGATGAGGGGCTGAGCTACAACTTCCGGGGTGGTATTTCCTACGGGAGCCAAAGAAAATGGCCAACACTCAAAAGACATATTTGCAAACCCACGTGAAACATTAACTAGGACCCCTCAAAAAGATTGGTATGGACTTAGATGAGTCCCAGAGGTACTTCAATAGCAGAGGAAAGCCAGAACGAAGAAAGCATTGCTCTTCTGCGTGGATCTGCCTTTATTTATTTGCAAGACAGAAACTAGGAATTTTCCAGTCCTGCAGAGCACCCAATCCAATTAAGGGAAAATAGTATTACTGTGGGTCAAATCAGAATGAAAGGTAGAAGTAGTAAAGAAAAGAAGAAAAGCAGAAGTCAACATGGCAACAACGACCTTCCAATTCCTCTACAAGAGGAGAGAGAGGAAAAAACAGAGACATTTGCCGATAATCAATATCTAGCTCCAATAAATAGAACCTTAATTGAAGGGCACTAACTGGCTGATTTTAGTTGTGGTTGTTGTTTCGTTTTATTTTTTTGAGATGGAGTCTCACTCTGTCGCCCAGGCTGGAGTGCAGTGGCACAATCTTGGCTCATTGCAACCTCCGCCTCCTGGGTTCAAGCCATTCTCCTGCCTCAGCCTCTGAGTAGCTGGGATTACAGGCGCCGGCCACCACACCTGCCTAATTTTTCTATTTTTTTGTAGAGACAGGGTTTCACCCTGTTGGCCAGGCTGGTCTCGAACTCCCAACCTCAAGTGATCTGCCAGCCTCGGCCTCCCAAACTGCTGGGATTACAGGTGTGAGCCACCACACCTGGCCCATTTTTAGTTCTCTTTTCAGAGGGTTTGAAGATCTATGAATGAGAAGTAATGTAGATACATGCCAAGTATATCATGGATGCCTGAAACAGAAGTCTATTCTCTATGAGAAAAATGGAGGAGTGCAGGCAGGAAAAGAATCTGTACTCTAGAGAAGAGAGCAATTTTTAAAAATGAGGCTCCACATCTAGCAAATTGCCAAAAAATTAAAAATTGGTAGGCAGCTGAGCCTGGCACAGAACATGTTCTGAAAAGAACTTGCTGTATCCACTAGCATTCTCCCTTTGGGTTTTTTTTTTTTTTTTTTTTTTTTTTCCCAGAAAGATGAGAAAACAACCCTGTACTAAAACAGCTCTGAGCAGGGAAAGCATTTTGGCTCCTGAAGACAAGTCAGCATGTGCACACATTCCCAGAATCCCCCAGACCCCACCCCACATTAGCATGAAACTCCCTAAATCCCAGTTAGCTCTGCAGAGGTGAAGATGAATGCTAGGCTCTATTGCACAGCTGGGTGAAGAAAGCCATCAAGGTCTCTCCCACTCTGAAATTCAACAAGTCTCCAGGCTTTTGTCCATAGTCCACTACTTGGTTTAGTTCTAGATGACTTACCTAGTTGTTTGGTTTCTTTCACAAAATTGTAAGCTCTTTTCTTCTTCCTCTATGTCCCCCATATTACCCAGGATATTGGACAGGGCTTAATAAATAATGTTTAATTGATTAAATACAACATTATTCAATTGCTGAGCAAAACAAGTCATTATCAGAGAGAATTTCAGATAGTCCTGAAAAATTTAACCTCTGCAGATCCTTTAAAAGGGAATGTCCTATAGTAACATAATTGCAGTGGAGCGGTGTAATTGCATTCCGGTGTTGCCTGGGCCAGATCCTGTCTTGCTGTGGGAATCTGGGAGTTATATTTTGGACTGATAATTATGTACAGTGGGAAAAGGAGCAAAAAAATGGGAGCTAAAGGGAGTTCTAGGATACACTAGACAATTTTTAAATATGCAAACTCATCCATTTACGTGACAACACTAAGAAGTATTCGTTTTACAGATGAAAAAAGCAAAGTTCATAAAGCTGTGAGAAATTGAATCGGGGATAAAACTGGAACTCAGATCAAACAGACTCTGAATTCGGGCTCTTTCCAGCACACCAGAGGTCCTCCTTTGGAACGGAAGAAGTCGGGGTTAGGGCATCCGGATGTCTGCTAGAGCTTGCTGACCTCCCGCTCCTGTGTGGGTCCCAGCCCCTGCCAGCCCCTTTCTTTTCCCACATCAGGCAAGGGTTCAATGTCACAGATCCGCCAGAGCATAGCGTCCCACTTCCCACAAAAACTTCCCATCCAAATCCTGAGTTCGTCGTACCCTTCCAAGCACACGGCAGCTATTTATTGAAAGGAATCAAATAAGAAAGGGGCTTTCCTGGGCGGGGCGTGGTGGCTCACGCCTGTAATCCCAGCACTTTGGCAGGCCTAGGCGGGCGGATCGCTTGAGGTCAGGAGCTCAAGACCAGCCTGGCCAACATGGTGAAACCCTGTCTCTACCAAAAGTACAAAAATTAGCCAGGCATGGTGGTGGGTGCCTGTAATTCCAGGTACTCAGGAGGCTGAGACAGGAAAATTGCTTGAACCCAGGAGGCGGAGTTTGCAGTGATCCAAGATCGTGCCACTGCACTCCAGCCTGGGTGACAAGGGCAAGACTTCATCTCAAAAAATAAAAATAATAAAGGGGCTTTCCTGAAGAGAAGGGAAGAGGACATCTAGGGACGCCACGTGAGCCCACACGGAGTATCCCCAACCCACTCTGGGCCCGTTGGCTTTATTAGGCAAACTTTAACATTCACCTTGGAAATACCAACAACTCATACAGCAAAAGAATCTAGTGGGTCTTCCTAAAGCAGACCTTGTATGTCATCTGAGGCTTAGTTCCTACAGAATGAGCTCCACATCTTGTATTGGATCAACAGCTGCAGACTATTCTGTTTTGTTTTTCTTCTAATGGTTTTCTTAAAAAAAACAAAGCAACACCTGTCATTTGAAATAACAGCAATAATCATAGCAAACACCTATATAATACTTACAAGGTATGAGGCATTATTATAATTATTTTCTTCTTCTTCTTTTTTTTTTTTTCGAGTCAGTCTTGCTCTGTTGCCCAGGCTGGAGTGCAGTGGCGTGATCTCGGCTCACTGCAACCTCTGCCTCCTGGGTTCAAGCGATCTTCCTGCCTCAGCCTCCTGAGTAGCTGGGACTACAGGCGTGTGCCACGGTGCCCAGCTAATTTTTGTATTTTTAGTAGAGATGGGGTTTCACCATGCTGGCCAGGATGTTCTCAATCTCTTGACCTCATGATCCACCTGCCTCAGCCTCCCAAAGTGCTGGGATTACAGGCGTGAGCCACTGTGTCTGGCCATCCCTATTCTCTGTCCTGTTCAGAAACATGTCCCCAGTCATTCCATGGACAGCAAACTATGGTCATTTCTGGCTTCAAAGACTCACTCTAACAACTCCTTAGACTTTTGCTTAAATATGGCAGATTTAACAAATACCTAATAAATCTAACAAAATGTTAATAATAAAATGTCAGGAATAAAAATGTAAAAAGTTGGAAAGACCAATGAATGATACGTTAATGTCTCTTTAGAAGAATAAAAAAATAGATGGATGAGATATTATATGCAGATTTGAGACCCCAACCATCTAAATGCCTGCAAAGGGGGAAAAACAAAGAAAAGAGAGTCATTTTTCCTACTTACCCCCACCAGAGCCCCAGAGGGCATGATGTTTTGGAATCACCAACTAATATGGAAGATTGTATTAGGCACAGAACTGAAAAGATGGATATTGGATGAAAAGACTACCTACACAGTCCAGGCATGGCGGCTCATGCCTGTAATCCCAGCACTTTGAGAGGCCCAGGAGGGAAGATCATTTAAGCCAGGAGTTCAAGACTCGCCTGGGCAATATTGCAAGACCCCATCTCTACAAAAAAATTTTTAAAAATTAACCAGGCCTGGTGGCACACACTTGTAGTCCCAGCTATTTAGGAAGCTAAGGTGGGAGGATTGCATGAGCCTGGGAGGTCCCCATTGCAGTGAGCTATGATCACTTCACTGTACTCCAGCCTGGGCAACAGAGCAAGATCCTGTCTCAAAAAAAAAAAAAAAAAAAAGACTACATACACAATATAGGTTGTCTCCTTTTCCTTATATATCCAGACATGTTATCTACCTACCCACCCACCCTAACTCCATCCCACACACTTAGGAAACAAGAAATTATTGTCAATCTGAGTCTCTAGATTTAAAAGGGCCTGTTGTACACCTACCACAAAGGACCCAAACCACAAACATCACTGGGAAATTCCAGAACCTAAAAAAATAAAGAGAAGATCCTAAAAATTTCTAGAGAGGAAAAAAATACACAACGGTTTACATAAAAAGTATCAAGAATCAAAATGGCATTGAATCTCTTCACAACAACAGCAGAAGCTATAGATCAATGGATTCGTTTTTGATCTTCAAAAAAACCAAGGGGTCTTTGTTTTTTTACTTCAATTTCCACATCCAGCCAAATTATGAACAAAGTATAAAGATAGAAAAAAAAAAAGATCTTTTTGTGGACTGGGCGTGGTGGCTCACGCTTGTAATTCCAGCAATTTGGGAGGCTGAGGCGGGTGGATCACTTGAGGTTAGGAGTTTGAGACCAGCCTGGCCAACATGGTGAAACCCTGTCTCTACCAAAAATACAAAAATTAGCCGGGTGTGGTGGCACGTGCCTGTAGTCCCAGCTACTCTGGAGGCTGATGCCGGAAGATCACTTGAACCCAGGAGACGACAGAGGTTGCAGTGAGTTGAGATCACACCACTGCATGCCAGGCTGGGCAACAGAGTAAGACTCTGTCTCAAAAAAAAAAAAAAAAGATACTGTCACATATTTAAATCCACAAGTATTTTACCTTTCATACACAAGTGTGTATGATATACAGAATGATGTTCTTTGGAAAAATAAGAGAGAAAGCAAGAAACAGAAATTATAGAAACCAGAGAATGAAACACAAGATGATGGCTATATGGGAGGCATAGGAAACAACCAGTTCAAGTTAGACTATGAGGAGAGAAGCCTCCAAGAAGAAGCTCTGCTGGATAAAACAAAACAAAACCAATGTCCTTGTGTGAAAAATAGTATCAAGAGGCATATTACAGAGCTGTTGGAGTATTTAGAATTAATGATTGCACAAATTTAAAAAAATATTTAGTCAATAACTCCAGGAACATTTAGGGACTTTGCATGATGATATCTTGTAATATAAAAAGCAAAGCAAAAAAAAAATTTAAATTTTAAATAAGAAAAGGAACATATGCTCTTCTACTTACCTCAGCCAAAAAATAAAAAACATTTACATAGTCATAATAATGTGAATTCCAAATATTGATTTACCCAAAACTTATGATATAAGTTAGGAAGAATGAGAAGTCAGGACAGCAGCGGGGAAAGAAAGCCAAATCCTCATCTAGGATAACAGACGATTACATTTCAAAAGGGATTCGGTGAAACATGGTGCTATAAACACATTACTAAGAATGACGGAGGAAAATGCCATAGGGGATAGTTTTGAAGTCGATATCATTAGAAAGCACGATTCCAGTTGGGGAGGCCTGGGAGATGGGTCTTAAAGTTTTTTTTATTTGTTTGTTTCTTTTTCTTTGAGATGTAGTCTCACTCTGTGGCCCAGGCTGAAGTGCAATGGTGCAATCCCGGTTCACTGCAATCTCCACCTTCCGGGTTCTAGCAATTCTCCTGCCTCAGCCTCCCGAGTAGCTGGGATTACAAGTGTGTGCCACCATGCTCGGCTAATTTTTGTATTTTTAGTAGAGATGGGGTTTTGTCATGTTGGCCACGCTGGTCTCAAACTCCTGACCTCAAGTGATCCGCCCGCCTTAGCTTCCCTAATTGATGGGATTACAGGCGTGAGCCACCGTGCCTGGCCAGGGGGCTTAAAGTTCTAAAACTACATTGATGAGTTACTTTGATACAAATTTAAATTAATTCACTTTAAATTGTAGCTAGATTTTCCAGGTGTCTAGGGTGGCAGATGACATGTTTTTGTGTTTGCTAAGACTTGTAGAGGTCCCTACCCATAGTAATGGGTGGTAGATCACTACCTAATTGTTGATATAATTAGGAAAAAAACCACAGCTTTAAAATGAGCTATTTTTGTAATGACTGTATTTTTTGTTTACTTTCCCCTTTGCATTTATAAAATTATAACATTTAGAATTGGAAGAGACAGAAGATTGAATTAAGATGGTTAACTGAGCACAGATGCCTAAAAATGACAGAAAAGAGATTACAAGTTTAAAATAATAAACCCATAATAGGGCTGGAGAACAGGAAGGGGTATTCTTGGAGGACCAGAAATAAGAAGGAATATCTAAATAAGGGAAGGCAGGCAGGGTTCGTTCATTGAGGAGGCTGTTTTTCTGAAAGCAAACGACTGTTGTAGAAGGAGGAAGTCATTCTGGAATGCTCCAAGCCTCCAACCCCAAGCTGGGAGGTACAGCTTGTGAGGAGTAAGAGGGGAGCCCAGAGGCAAACCTGGGGGTAACTGGTTTGCGACATGCATTAGGAGCAGCCAGATGAGATAAGCTCCGACCTCTCCTTGCCAAGTAGAGGTGTCTGCCCTTGGGTAGGAGCAATGAATGTGAGCTTTGGAAGAAGACTTGTAAACACTCAGAAATAATGGGGTGTCCCCATATCCAGGAGACTGACTATGGGTATAGCCCACTTGACAGTTGGTATAGCTCACCCCTTCTTAAGAATGCTGGGAAGCAAAGAAAGCACTCTAGACAGGCTACAAGGACATGCCAGCCATCATATGAGTTCACACCTAAGAATGGGCAATCATTTTTTACAAAACCAATATCCTGAAGAGTGATATCAAACTCAATAAGCAGAAGCTCATTTTTTATGAGGACACAGAGTTAATATCCTCAGAGAGATAAAAGAGGATATTGCATCCCTGAAACTGAACAGGATTTTTTTTTTTTTTTTTTTTGAGATAGGGTCTCACTCCATCATCCAGGCTGGAGTGCAGTATCATCACGATCATAGCTCACTGCAGCCTTGAACTCCTGGACTCAAGCAATCCTCCCACCTCAGCCTCTCAAGTAGCTGGAAGGGCTGCAGACAAGTGCCACCATGCCCAGCTAACTTTTCTATTTTTTATTTTGCAGAGAGAGAGTCTTGCTATTTTGCCCAGGCTGGTCTCAGAATTCTGGTCTCAAGTGATCCTCTCACCTTGGCCTCCCAAAGCACTGGAATTACAAGCATGAGCCACCACGCCTTGGCCATTTTTTTTTCTCAGGAAATGATTAGAGACATAGAAATCAAAACTATGGGGCCATGCCTGTAATCCCAGCACTTTGGGAGGCTGAGGTGGGTGGATCACTTGAGGTCAGGAGTTCAAGACCAGCCTGGCTAACATGGTGAACCCCTCTCTCTACTAAAAATACAAAAATTAACCAGGTGTAGTGGCGCTTGCCTGCAGTCCCGGCTACTCTGGAGACTGAGGCAGGAGCATCACTTGAACCCGGGATGCAGTGGTTGCAGTGAGCTGAGATTGTGCCGACTGCACTCCAGCCTGAGAGACAATGGTCAGAACGAGAACCTTTCAGATCTCATTTGTATTTTCCTTCCTACGGCATTCTTGACTGTGTCTGTGTTGACAGACAGCTCACAATCTTATCAGTCTACTCTATTGTGGGAGAGCTCTAATTTAAAAGTTTAACAATTCTCTTGTATTTTGAATTTTGTCTCCTTGCTCCTAAATCCACTGGTCCTGGCTCTGCCTCTACAGCAAAACTAAGTCTGCTTCCTCTTCTACAAGAAAGCCTTCCAGATATTTGCAAACACTTATGATGTCTCTCTCCTTAGTCTTCTTGTCTGTGAGCCAAATAGTCAATTCACTGAACTGTTTTTCACCTGACAGCTTCTAGATGCTTTGTTCTTCTGATAACCTTTCCCCTGAGCTCTTTTTAGAGCTCTTTTTAGATTATCCCCAATACCTGGGATAGAAACAACTTGTGGTAGATCTGGAATTGCGCATATTTTGGATGTGGCCTAATATTTCCACAGTGGTATTATTATTATTACTCAACTGCTATTAATAATAATATCTAAGCAGACATGAGTGGTAGTGCTTTCCTTGAAGAACCCCAGGGAATGAGTAGACTTGTTTCTTCAATGTTTAATATTAATATAATATTAGGTTCATCTATTTACTAAATAGTTATTACCCACGAGCTACAATCCACAGATGGTGCTGGGTGCTATTGGGGCTTCCAAAATGAATGAGGTATAGTTGCTGCCCTAAGGAAGTTTATGGTTTAGTAGGAAACTTAAGATATACATATAAATAAACCTCCAATGTAGAAAGTGGTACAGATGGTAGAAGCATACAGATATAGAGCTATGGGATCCAAAGGAGATGTGTCATCTAAAAGCAGAAATGCTTCCTGATAAACAATATCTCAGAAGGCTGGAGATAGGCTGGGCACGGTGGCTCATGCCTGCAATCCCAGCACTTTGGGAGGATGAGGCGGGCAGATCACTTGAGATCAAGAGTTTGAGACCAGCATGGCCAACATGGTGAAACCCCGTCTCTACTAAAAATACAAAAATTAGCAAGATGTGGTGGTGCACACCTGTAGTCCCAACTACTTGGGAGGCTGAGGTGGTTGGATCGCTTGAACCCGGGAGGTGGAGGTTGCAGAGAGCTAAGATCATGCCATTGCACTCCAGCCTGGGCAACAGAGCAAGACCCTCTCTCAAAAAAAAGAAGGCTGGGGATGGAGTTCCTGCTGCCCAGACTCTTTGCCTGGACTTGGATTCTCTCTTTGCCCAGCTTTCTCTTCCTATCTTCTCCTCAGTTCCAGAGCTCTGTGCATGTCTCTGTTTGGTCTTATCGTTCCTTCCTGGGCTTAAAGATGGGCTGAGATGCCTAGCTGGAAGAATCAGCCTAGGGTTGGGCACAATGGCTTATGCCCGCAATCCCAGTACTGAGGCAGGAAGATCCCTTGGGCCCAGGATTTCAAGATCAGCCTGGGTAACATAGCAAGACCCCATCTCTACAGAAAGTTTTACAAAAGTAGCTGGGTATGGTGTTGCTTCCCTATAGTCCTAGCTGCTTGGGAGGCTAGGGTAGGAAGATTGCTTGAGCTCAGGAGTTTGAGTCCCACCTGGACAACATAGCAAGACCCTGTTTCAAATTAAATAAATAAATAAAAGGTTAAATGGTAAATTTTATATTATGTATATTTTACCTCAATTAAAGAAAAAAAGAATCAGCCCATCCTTGGCCCTTAGACATTACAGAATTCAATTTCTCACATCTTTTCCTGGCTTTGTCCCACAGCTTCACCCCTCCTTCTAAGGACTGGGTTGACTTGGAGCTACTCCTGACATGGGCCTGTCTCATGGATGCAGTGATGATGATGAAAGATTAGCTAAGGGAAAACTATGTTCCCAGAGCAGGGACTTGTCTTCAGCGGACACAGTCAACAGACTAAAGCTAGAACCCTCCAGGGCAAGGCTCACATTCTAGTCAGGGCTCATCTTCCCATAAACTTGTATGTAGCAGGCTCATTAATTAACCAGGAGATTTGTTTGGTTCTAGTCTGGACTGGGGCTGACATGGAAAATCCTCATCCCCATCCCTGCCAATCTCGCCACTGTCACAGAAGCGCTTTTTTTTTTTTTTTTTTTTTTTTTTTTAGATGGGTTCCCACTATGTTACCCAGGCTGGTCTTGAACTTCTGGGCTCAAGGGATCCTACTGCCTCGGCCTCCCAAAGTGCTGGGATTACAGGCGTGAGCCATTGCACCTGGCCAGAAGCACATCTTATTTTTTATTTTTTTTAAATTATAGGGACAAGGTCTCACTCTGTCACCCAGGCTGGAGTGCAGTGATGTGATTATACCTCACTGTAGCCACTAACTGCTGGGCTGAAGCCATCCTTCACCTCAGCCTCCTGAGTATATAGGACTATAGGCATGTATCACCTTGCCCAGCTAATTTCTTATTGTTTGTAGAGATAGGGTCTTACTATGTTGCCCAGGCCAATCTTGAACCCCAGGAGCTCAGGTGATCCTCCTGCCTGGGCCTTCCAAAGTGTTGGGATTACAGGTGTGAACCACTGTGCCCCAACCTGGAAGCTCATTTAGAAGGATGCTCTTTCCTGGGCATTTCTTCCTCCATGGCCAGGGCAGGACCTCATACTTAGGGTGGGCAGCCTCGGGACCAGGCGACAGAGTTTCCAAATTGGTGACCAAGCCAGCAGACTGCAGTATTGTGTCATAAAGAGTGCTCTATTCATTGATTTTGACAAGCGTTGTTTAATTTTAATTATTCATGATGCTTTATAGTCCACTAGAGACTGCCCACAAGTCCTTCAATAAGAAGCAATCCAGGAGAGTAACCTGAGACCTTGGTCTGCCTCTCAACTGTCAAATCCTTTTTTTTTTTTTCCTTTGTAGAGACAGGGTCTCATTCTGTCACCCAAGCTGCAGTGCAGTGGCACAGTTATAGTTCACTGCAGCCTCAAATTCCTGGACTCAAATGATCCTCCCACTTCAGCCTCCTGAGTAGCTGGGATTTCAGGCCTGTGCCACCATATCCTGCTAACTTTTAAATTTTTTTGTAAAGATGGGGTCTTGCTATGTTGCTCAGGGTGGTCTTGAACCCCTGGCCTCAAGCAATCTTCCCACCTCAGCCTCCCAAACCACTGGGATTACAGACGTGAGCCATGGCACCCGGCCTCAAATCCCTCTTACAAAGAAAGAAGAGTTATTTGTTCATTCCATAAACATTTATTGATATTGACATGATAATTATATGTGTATGATAACAGGGTTATGATAATAAATGGGTCTGTGATTGATTAAATGAAAATTGACTCCTTACAGGTCCGTAAGTATTCTGTTTTTATATGAAGACTCTTCCACCACAGTCTTGTAAAATCCAAAACAGCTGTATCTCTAGGTATTCATGGGGGCCAGTAGTGGCACGATTCCATGTAATTGGTTGAATTACGTCCCTCTCCCTCCCAAATTCCTATGATGAAGTCCCCAGTACCTCAGAATATGACAGTATTTTTGGAGATAGAGTCTTTAAAGAGATAAGAAAGTGTCCTACTCTGTTTGGACAGCAATAACCAAATACTATAGACTAGGTGGCTTATAAATAACAGAATACTATTTCTCATGGTTCTGGAGGCTGGGAAGTCAAGGTGCTGGCAGATTTGATGTCTGGCGAACACTTGCTTCCTGGTTCATGAGGGCCACTGTGTTCTCACACGGTGGAAAGCGCAAGGGTGCTCTCTGGGCTTTCTTTCCTAAGGGCACTAATCCCAATCATGAAGGCTCCACCCTTATGGCTTAATTACCTCCTAACGGCTCCACCCCCTAATAGCATCACACTGGGGGCTAGGATGCTGACATATACATTCTGGGGATGGGGAGCACGCAAACATTCGGTCTCTAGCATTACGGTTAAATGAGGTCTTTAGGGTGGGCCCTGATCCAATATGACTGGTGTCCTTATAAGAAGAAGAGATTAGGACACAGACACAGAGAGAAAGAAGAGTATGTGAAGGAAGACACAGGGAGAAGATGATCCTCTACAAGCCAAGAAGAGATGCATTAAAAGAAACCTACCCTAGCCAGCTGCAGTGGCTCATGCCTGTAATCCCAGCACTTTGGGAGGGTGGATCACTTGAGGTCAGGAGTTTGAGACCAGCCTGGCCAACATGGTGAAATCCTGTCTCTACTAGAAACACAAAAATTAGCCAGGTGTGGTGGCACACACCTGTAATCTCAGCTACTCTGGAGGCTGAGGCAGGAAAATTGCTTGAACCCGGGAGGCGGAGGTTGCAGTGAGCCAAGAGCGTGCCACTGCACTCCAGCCTGGGCAACAGAGCAAGACTCGTCTCAGAAAAAAAGGAGAGAAGAAGAAGAAACCAACCCTGCTGACACATTGATCTTGGATTTCTAGTCTCCAGAATTGTAAGACAATCAATTTCTGTTGTTTAAGCTCCCCAGCATGTGGTACTTTCTTATGGCAGCCCTAGCAAATGAACACACTCTATCATTGCCCAGGCTACTTCTCTTACAATTTAATAATCCCATTCCCTTCAAGGACATTTTGAGACAGAAATCATATCCAAGACATTAGGACAGAACTGTTTTGATTCATGAAAGAACTGAAGAAATACACAGCTAATAAGTATTCCTAGCAACGCAGTGTGCTTTAGGAAAAGAAAAAAATATGGTGGGGAGGGGGTTGGGATGTACCATGTCCCAGCTCAGCAAGCTGTCGATCTGCTAAAAAAGCATATGTGTTATTACTCACATTTCCTTCCAGTGTAGGAAGTCTCCCTGGAGCTGGCATTGCTGCATCAATGCTCAACACCCAGGCATGTGTTTACCACAGTCACCAGCAGTTCAGTCAAATTGTGCAGTCTTTTAACCAGGACCCAGATTATAATTTATATGAATAGGAAAACTCTCCAACTTTAATCTCCAAAGAAGGAAGCCATTTCCAGCAGTCAGGGAATCTAGGTGATTAGCGCCTTAGCTTTGTGCTCCTAAATGTCTGCCTTGTACTTCCCCTGCCTTTGAACCCTCTCCCTGACACACCCAACACACTCCACCACACCCATGGGTTCACAGCACATTCCCAGCTTGGCCATGTCAAGATCCACTTTTGCTTCTCCAGGGAACATTTCTGGCTATGGTCTCCACCTGTTGCCCTAATTTCTTGCCAGCATTTTGAACTATTTTCCCAGCTTTCCCCCTAATGTCATGAGCCTTGTGCCCAGTATGCTTCTTTTTATTTTTCTTTTTCTTTTTTTTTCTCGAGACAGGGTCTCGTTCTCTCACCCAGGCTGGAGTGCAGTGGCAAAATCACAGCTCACTGCAGCCTCAACCTCCCAGGGTCAAGCGATCCTCCCACTTCAACCTCCCCAGTAGCTGGGACTACAGGCACTCACAACCATGCTCAGCTAATTAGTGTGTGTGTGTGTATTTTTTGTAAAGATGGGGTTTTACCAGATTACCACCCTCCTCCACCTCCCAGAGTGCTAGGACTACAAGCATGAGCTACAACACCTGGCCCCTGTGTACTTGTTAACTTATAACAACCCCTCCATTCCCAATGTGCCCATGACTGAGCTGCCTGGCTTGTAGATTCAGTTATTCCTCTGGAGAGCATCATCCAGATCTGACCTGTTCACCTGAACCATGCCCATCAGTTCTCCTAGCTGATGGTTATGATCCTGCCCTTGTTCTCCTGGCCTAATACACTATCTTTCCAGACCTTTTAGTAAGAAGTCCCTAGGCAAAGCAAGCTTTTTGCACAGATCACCTTATTACTGCCCAAAGTTTAGCCAACATTTACATATTTCTCCCTTCTTCGAATCTTGCAGAAAGAATCTTTGTGCCCAACTCAATGGCAAAACAACTTCCATATTTACTGAAAGCTGGGCACAAGATTCTTTCCTAATGCTCTCTTCTATCAATATTACTGGTAGCAAGCCTACTTGGCAAACCTAAGGACCCAGTTTCCTTTCACATTGGAATTTATGTTAGATGCACCAGAAAAATATCATTCACAAAATGCTCAACATCACTAATCATCAGAGAAATGCAAATTAAAACCACAATGAGGGATTATCTTACATCAGTCAGAATGGCTATTATTAAAAAGTCAAAAAAGCAACAGATGTTGGCATGGATTCAGAGAAAAGACAACCTGATTCGGTTTGGCTGTGTCCCCAACCAAATCTCATCTTGAATAGTAATCCATAATCCCCACATGTGGTGGGAGGGACCCCATGGGAGGCAACTGAATCACTGGGGCAGTTTCCCCCATGCTATTCTCGTGATAGTAAGTTTTCACAAGATCTGATGGTTTTATAAGGGTCTTCTCCCTTCATTTGGCTCTCATTCTCTCTCCTGCTGCCATGTAAAGAAGGAGGTGTTTGCTTCCCCTTCTGCCATGATTGTAAGTTTCCTGAGGCATCCCCTGCTATGCAAAACTGTTAATCAATTAAACCTCTTTTCTTTTTTACATTACTCATACTCGTGTATGTCTTTATTAGCAGTGTGAGAACAGATGAATACAGAACTCTTGCATACTATTGGTGGGAGTATAATTTATTACAACCTCTATGGAAAACAGTATGGGGATTTCGCAGAGAACTCAAAATAGAACTACCATTCGACCCAGCACTCGCACTGTTGTGTATTTATCCAAAAGAAAAGAAATCCTTATATAAAAAAGACACCTGCACTCGTATGTTTATTGCAGCACTAGTCACAATAGAAAAGACACAGAATCAACTTAGATGCCCATCAACGGTGGGCTGTATTTAAAAAATGTGGTACATATAATGCCATGCTATACTATGCAGCCATAAAAAAAGAATGAGATCATATCCTTGCAGCAACATGGCTGGAGCTGAAGACCTTTATCCTAAGCAAATTAATGCAAAAACATCACACCACATCCCCAGCTTGGCCATGTCAAGATCCACTTTTGCTTCTCACTTACAAGTGGGAGCTATAATTCTCTATAAGTGAGAAGCAAAAGTTATGTTTAATTAAGATAACTTATTCCACATGCTCTCACTTGTGAGTGGGAGTGAAACAATGGGTACACATGGGCATAAAGATGGAAACAATAGACAATGGGGACTCCAAAAGGTGGGAGGTTGGCAGAGGGATGAGGGTTGAAAAACTGTCCATTGAATACAATGTTCACTATTTAGGTGATGGGTACACTAGACGCCCAAACCTCACCATTGTGCAATACATCCTTGTAACAAACCTACACGTGTACCCCCTGAATCTAAAATTTAAAAAAAAAAGACTTATAATGCTGCCCCCAGCCTCTGTGAGAGCTCTCATTACAATCACCCTTTCGGTTTTGGGGTGTCATCCACTGAGCCAGCTCGATGACCTTACTCTGAAATAAACCTTCTCCCAACCCCTCACCGGCTGTTAGGCTAGATGACAGATTAGTTTCTATCATCCTGCACCCCATTTCCTTCCTCCTCCACTTAGCCACAGACATGCTGTGTCACCTCAAATTCTGGGGTGCATTTCCATGCCCTTCCATTTCTCTCTGCACTTTCTTATCACACTGTTTCTGCTTGTTCAAAACCAGAGCATTGTGTGTGTAGAGCTGTTTATGCCCGAGGCAATGCCAGGCCAGTGTATGTTGGGAATAGCCAGGACCCTGCAGCACATATTATTGCCCTAAGGAATACTAATTGACTCGCTGATAAATTGAGACGGAAGAAAAGCCTCAAAGACAATGCCAGGCTCATTTTAGAAGAGAACCCTTAAAGCACATCTACAGAAACATCAGTCATTTAAAGAAACAATCCTTTTCTCTCTCCTAAATTTGTACTTCCTTGGGCTTCATCCTCTGCTCCTTTCTTAGCCATTTAAGGATCGTCCTTTAAAGGGCCTGAACAAGACATACGCAGACAAAAATAAAATAAAATACAGAGCTCAGAATCAAGGTCTCTGCTGTTGTCAAGTTCAGGATTAGCTGAAAAAGCCCAGCCTTTCTGGTCTTGTCCCGTTATCATGAAACACCATTTTCCCAAGACATTCTTGTAATACGTCATCATTCACCAATCAGAGAGCCCAGTGGGGTGATATTTAATTCATGCCTGTCAATCACGACACAAAGAAAAGGCCTTCAGCTGGCCACCGAGAGAATCCGCTGTCCGAACAAAGAGTCCGCAGGGATGTGGTCCCAGCCACGAACTGCTCTCAGGAGCCGGCTCTGCCTCGCTACCAGGCCCTTGCGTGGTTTCAAAATAATTGAGGGTTTGGAAGCAGCAAGGCAGATTAAAGAGATTAACCCAACAGAGCAACTCTGCAACATGGTCAGGAGAGAACAAGATGGGGACTTTCATGTTTTAGCTCTTCAGTCGTAGATCAGCATGGCCTTGGCATTCGACCTCTGCATCAAATCCAAATATTTGAATTTTAGAGTAAATTGCCATAGCATAACCCTCTCAACCGGGGTGTGTATCAGCTCTGTGAGTTTTAAATGGATGTATCAGCAAAACCGGTGAAATCAAGTAGTTAAGATATGAATCTGGTGTATGAAAACTCAAAAACCTTCATTTCCATGCCTTGCATTTCTCTTTGGAAGTTGGAGGGATATGAACAATAAATAATTGAAATTAAACACTTCCGTTGCAATTGTTGGTAACGCAAACACGGGATTCAAAGGCGGCAGCTGGACAATAAAGGAACAGTTCCTCACGTTCAAAATTAGCTCACCAAGGAGTTTTTTTCTCCTCAAAACAGTCACTGGATAGTACAGTGTTTTTTTTCTCCCCGCCTCTCCTGTACTAGTAATAGAATCAAAATGGTTTTGTATTGTATGTTGATGCTAAGTAGGGGAACTTGAGCATATGCATCTCAGTGATGCAAAATCTAATCCCACCTTTCTTTCTATCCCAAGAACCCTTTATATTTATCCTATACCTTTTTCTTCCAAAACATTTTCATATTTGTTCATTCCACCTTAATGAAGGTAAAAATTGTTTTACTAACTTTTTTGTAGCCCCCTTTTCACACATGAAAAAACAATGAAGGAATCTGGCATAAAAATTAATCAGTGGTGGGGTGGAAGAACAAAAACAAAAGCAAATGGGGTTTGGAGATGGGAAAAGCCCGGTGTTGAATCTCAGCCCTCCAATTTCTAGCTCTCTGACTTTGGCAAGATGCTTAAACTCTAGGTTTTTTGTTTTGTTTTGTTTTGTTTTTGAGACAGAATCTCGCTCTGTCCCCTAGGCTGGAGTGCAATGGCACGATCTCACTGCAATCTCCTCCTCTCCGGTTCAAGTGATTCTCCTGCCTCAGCCTCCCGAGTAGCTGGAATTACAGGCGCCTGCCATCATGCCCAGCTAATTTTTGTATTTTTAGTAGAGACGGGATTTCGCCATGTTGGCCAGGCTCATCTTGAACTCCTGACCTCAAGTGATCTGCCCACCTTGGCCTCCCAAAGTGATGGGATAACAGGTATGAGCCACCATGCCCAGCTAGATGCTTAAATTCTTTGATCATCAGTTTCCACTCCTGTGAAGTGGAAATAATACCTATCTCACAGTAGTCTCACTGCAATTAAGTCAGATTACACAGGTGAGGGTTCCTGGCACATCCTAGAAATACTTACAAATACAGTCGTGTGTTGCTTAACAACAGGGATACCTTCTGAGACATGCATCATTAGATGATTTCATTGTATCTTGTAGAGTGTACTTACACAAGCCTAGATGGCATAGCCTATTACATAGCTAGGCTATATGGTACAGCCTACTGCGACAAATCTGCACTGCATGTGACTGCACTGCATACTGTAGGCAGCTTTAACACAATGGTAAGTATTTGTGTATCTAAACATAGAAAATGTACAGTAAAATATGTTATAAAGGATTAAAAAGTGGTATACTTACAGGGCATCGTGGCTCACACCTGTAATCCCAGCCCTTTGGGAGGCAGAGGCAGGAGGATCACCTGAGGTCAGGAGTTCAAGACCAGCCTGGCCAACATGGTGAAACTCCATCTCTACAAAAATACAAAAATTAGCTTGGCATGATGGTGGGTGCCTGTAATCCCAGCTACTCCCAGCAATCCTGTAATCCCAGCTAATCCCAGGAGGCTGAGGTGGGAGAATCACTTGAACCCAGGAGGCTGAGGTTGCAGTGAGCCAAGATGGTGCCACTGCACTCCAGTCTGGGCGACAGAGCGAGACTCATTCTCGAAAAAATAAATAAGTAAATAAATAAAATGGTATACCTGTATAGGGTACTGAGCAGGAATGGAGCTTGCAAGACTGCAAGTTGCTGTGGGTGAGTCAGTGAGTGGTGGGTGAATGTGAAGGCCTAGGACATTACTGTGCATTACTGTAGACTTACCTTATAAATATTGTACACTTAGGCAACACTACATTTATTTTAAAATTTTTTTGTTCTTCAATAATTTACTCTTAGCTTACTATAACTTTTTTTATTTTATAAACTAGATTTTTAAAACTTTTAGACTTTTTGCAATAATGCTGCTTAAAACAAATACATTTTACAGCTGTATAAAAGTATCTTTCTTTTTTTCTGTTGAGACAGACTCGTGCTCTGTTGCCCAGGCTGGAGTGCAGTGGTGCCATCTCAGGTCACTGCAACCTCTGCCTCCCAGGTTCAAGCGATTCTTGTGACTTAGCCTCCCAAGTAGCTGGGACTACAGACGCCTGCCACCACGATCGGCTAATTTTTGTATTGTTCGTAGAGACAGGGCTTCACCGTGTTGGCCAGGCTGGTCTCAAACTCCTGGCCTCAAGTGATCTGCCCACCTCAGCCTCCCAAGCTGCTGGGATTATAGGCATTAGCCACCGTGCCTGGCCTATTTTCTTTCTTTATATCTTTATTCTATAAGCTTTTCTCTATTTTTATATTTTTTAATTTTTATTGTTTTACTTTTTAAACTTTTTTTATTAAAAACTAAGACACAACCAGACATTAGCCTTGGCCTACACAGGGTCAGGATCACCAACATCACTGTCTTCCACCTCCACATTTTGTCCCACTGGAAGGTCTTCAGGTGCAGTAACATACATAGAGCGCTCATGTCCTGTGATGACAATGCCTTCTCCTGGAATACTTCCTGAAGACCCTTCCCAAGGCTGTTTTACAGTTAACTTTTTAAAAATAAGTAGGAGTACAAGCTCAAATAACGATAAAAAGTATAGTATAGTAAGTATATAACCCAGTAACATAATTATTTATTAGCAAATATTATATGCGCTAACCTTGTATATGACTGGCAGTACAACAGTTTTGTTGACACCAGCATCACCACAAACACGTGAGTAACACGTAGTGCGCTACAACGTTATGACAGTGACGATGCCACTAGCGATAGGAGTTTTTCAACTGCATTGTAACCTTGTTTTTTGGGGTTTTGTTTTTGTTTTGTTTTGTTTTGTTTTTGAGACAGAGTCTTGCCCTGTCACCCAGGCTAAAGTGCAGTGGCACCATCTCGGCTCACTACAACGTCCACCTCCCGGGTTCAAGCGATTCTCCTGCCTCAGCCTCCCAAGTAGCTGGGATTACAGACACCCACTGCCACATCAGGCTAATTTTTGTATTTTTAGTAGAGACAGGGTTTCGCCTTGTTGGCCAGGCTGGTCTCAAACGCCTGACCTCAAGAGATCTGCCCCCCTTGGCCTCCCAAAGTGCTGGGATTACAGGCCTGAGCCACTTGTACCCAGCCAACTGCATTGTAATCTTATGGGGCCACCCCTGTATCTGTAGTCTGTCTCGACAGAAGCATCATTATGCAGTGCATGACTGTAGTAGATTCCTCCTTACGCCAGGAGAAGTTTTGCAGTAGAGCTGGAATTTCTGCCTCTAGCCACGATGCCCAGGACCACTGGCTGGCTCGGCTGATTCTCACATCTGACTGGGTTGCTGGCATCATCTTAAACTAGATACCCTTGGGTTCCCTTTCTGTCCCAGGAGCAGCAGCAGCAGCAGACCTTCCAGAAGTTTCTCTCTCTCCTTTTATTTGCTGACCCTCTTATGGAAACGCGGGACTGGAGAAATTTCAGGAAGAGATTAACCCTGTTAGACCCAGGTCTTTTGTGCCCTACATACTCCTATAGTCTTAGGCTACAATTAAGATTCCAAAAGTAGAATATCTCCAGGAAATTTGCCTTTTAAATATGCCTGCCTTGGCCAGGCATGGTGTCTCACACCTGTAATCCCAGCACTCTGGGAGGCCGAGATGGGTGGATCACTTGAGGTCAGAAGTTCAAGACCAGCCTGGCCAACATGGCGAAACCCCGTCTATACTAAAAATACAAAAATGAGCCAGGTGTGGTTGTGGGTGCCTGTAATCCCAGCTACTCAGGAGGCTGAGGCAGGAGAAGTGCTTGAATCTGGGAGGGAAAGGGTGCAGTGAGCCGAGATCACACCACTGCACTCCAGCCTGGATGACAGAGTGAGACTCCATCCTCGAAAAATAATAATAATTAAAAAAAAAAAATTTAAGTGCTTGCTTGGCCCGGCGCAGTGGTTCACGCCTGTAATCCCAACACTTTTGGAGACCAATGCACTCAGATCACTTAAGGTCAGGAGTTCAAGACCAGCCTGGCCAACATGGTGAAACCTTGTCTCTACTAAAATAAAAAATACAAAAATTAGCCGTGCGTGGTGGTGGGCACCTGTAATCCCAGCTACTCGGGAGGCTGAGATGGGAGAATCGCTTGAACCCAACAGGCGGAGGTTGCCGTGAGCTGAGATCATGCCATTGCACTCCAGCTTGAGCAACAGAGCGAGACTATCTCAAAGAAAAAAAGTATCTGCCTTATAAGGTGGGAAGCAATAATGACAGCATTAAAGCTTAAAAATGCAAGTTGAGGCCAGGCTGGGATTACAGGCATATATATATATATATATATATGTCTAGACATATATATGTGTGTGTGTATAGACATATATATATGTATAGACATATATATATATATATACTATTCTAGTATCTGAGAGGTTAAGTAAATATCCTAGCATCCCAGAGGGTTAGGGCTCAGAGAATATGTGATTTTTAAAATTATATATATATGTATGTATATACATATATATGTATATATACATATGTCATTTCACCTGGACAAAAAATTATATATACACATGTATATGTAATTTTTAAAATCACATATTCTCTGAGCCCTAACCCTCTGGGATGCTAGGATATTTACTTAACCTCTCAGATGCTAGAATATTTAACATATATATATGTTAGGGTATTTAACTTTAGAGCTTCTTAGGGTTTTCTCACCCACATCCCAGGACACAGTTCCAGAGCCTTACACAGCAGTGGGCGTTGTTGGGGATAGAAGGTTGGGGATTCAAGCTCATCTTTGAGATGTCTACACGGGCCACAGGCCCCCAGTCCACACGGGCCCTTTAGTCACTTCCTCACCACGCTCGGAATAAAGGAATCTTCTATTAGGCTGGGAAGTCCAGTGTGCGTGGTCTCTTTCCTTCTCTGAATTCTTGCCTCTGCCTCTTCCCCGGCCACTCCCAGGAGGTAGCTCTTATTCCCCATGGCAGGAAATTTCCTCCCAGTCTGGTTGCCACCTACTTCTCAGCCCGCCTATGTCCCGCTTTCATAGACATCCTCCACGGCTGCTATACCAAGAAGCCACCTGCAGCTCACCAATCTGCCATGATCCCTCATGCCTTCTTGCGTTGCATTGCTGACCCCTCTACCTGCAATATCTTTCCATGCCCTCCTCCCAACCTATGTCAGTTGTTATTCATTCCTAAGTGAAAGCTGATTTGTCATCTCCTGCAATGATTCATCTTTCGTGCCGTCTACAGGTTCTGCATTGGCTCCTCCTCCATTCTACTTGCATAGCACATAAGCACCGTGGCACCCATTCCATTTTATTGTAATGGCCTGGGTGCATGTCTGTTTTCACGACTCATCTAAACACAACCTGAGCTTCGTCTTTCTTTCTCCAGCCACTGCCTGACATACAGCAAGTGCTCAGTTTAGGCTTGTTAAGGCAATTTTCCTATCAGCATCCCTATCCCTTAGCCTTCTCTCCTAATCACCCTTGCCCTCTGTGCTTGAATTTATGGCAGTGCTGTCCACATTTGAGCCATTTAGCTATTAATGTGACCACCAGGGGACCACGGGTTTGAATGAATGAATTACATGTTCTCTCTACTAACCTCCTAATTACAGGGATCTTAGTGGTCAGCCAGTCCAACCTCCTGTTTAGCACACAACTCATCTTACGAATAGTCACTCCATCTCTGCTTAAATAATTCTTAATGCTCTTGTATCAAGTGGATATAATGAGCTTGTCGTAGAAAACACTAGTATGTGGGGTAAACATTAGCAAGAAAACATCTTGACAGAGGAATCATCACTCTGTTGATAAGGACAGAGCAGTCCAGAATGATGCTGGGAAAAAAAGGGACATTCTGTTTTCAGTGGAGCTTATTTTTCTTCCAGATTGCAGGCCAGGTGAAAAGGGAGCTTGACTACCCTAATCTTGCGGGCTGCGTTCTGTGGGCTGGTTTGGGCTGAAATTCTCCAGGTGAAATGACTGGAGCCCTCTGCTCCGTCTTGGAGGAGCCTTTGTTATCTCCACAGCGAGTTTTGGACTCTAACAGTTTTTGGAGAAGAAAAAAAGAGGCGAAGACAGTGGCTCTTTGTGTCTCTCAAAGGAGGCACTGTTTCCTTGGGTTGGCACGGCCCACCGGCAACGTGCTGCCCTTCATGCCTGATGGTTTTCATGCCCGGACACACGGACTGCGTGGTACCAGCCTTCTGGCAGGACAGAAAGGATGGTTGTCTCCTGTGTTGCAAGGGTGACTTCCAAAGCAGAAAATGGAGATAACCGTCTGATCATGACTGTCAATAATTCATCATACCCTCTTTTTATGTCTCCATGATGCAGGTTTAGGAAAGCACTAACAGCCCTAGCATTTCCAGCCAACAGTGGTCTTGAGCTTAGAAGAAGTGGAGTTGCTAAGGATCTCTCTCATATTTCCTTTATTTAGATTCATTATCCAAAGTTGAAAGTCAATGACACCTTAATCTTTATAAATAGCTGTCTGTTTGGTGCAATCTGAACTTCCAGAGTGATATGGTTTGGATTTGTGTTTCCATCCAAATCTTATGTCAAATTGTAATCTCCAATATTGGAGGAGAGGCCTGGTGGGAGGTGACTGGATCATGGGGGCGGAGTCACCCCTTGCTGTTCTCGTGATAGTGAGTGAGTTCTCACGATACCTGGTTGTTTGAAAGTGTGTAGCACCTCCCCCTTCTCTCTCTTCCTCCTGTTACGGTCATGGCCTTCCACCATGACTGTAAGTTTCCTGAAACCTCCCCAGCCATGCTTCCTGAACAGCTCCTGAACTGTGAGTCAATTAAACCTGTTTTCTTTATAAATTACCCAGTCTCAGGTAAATCACCCAGTCTCTTTATAGCAATGTGAGAATGGAGTGATTTTGCATCATTCATTCTTTTTTCTTTTTGTAGACATGGAGTCTTGCTATGTTGCCCAGGCTGGTCTCAAACTTCTGGCCTCAAGAGGTCTTCTCACCTCAGCCTCCCAAAGCACTGGGATTACAAACGTCAGCTACCATGCTCAGCCTCATTCATTGATATAGTTAAACATTTGTTGAGGACCAGCTCCATGCCCCTGCTGTGCCTGGTAATGAGGATAAGGATCAGACAGTCACTATTCATGGAGTACCTTGAACACCCAGAGGAAGAGCTCATGAAACATGGCCAATGGGAATCATGGAAGACCTCTCGGTGTAGGTGGTGATGGAGCTGTCATGTGAACAAACAGGAGTCAGCCAGGGGCTGAGTAGGGGAAGGGCAGGCAGGATTGTGAAGGTAGAGAGAAACCTTGGCACACACTGAGTATGGAAATTAATTCTTAATGGCAGGAGTGTGGGGTGTATATTAGGAGAATGGCAGGAGATACTGACAAAAGTAAAGAGAGATTTTGAAAACAAGCCTTGGGAGCCATTTGATTTTTTTTTTTTTTTAATTTTTATGCCGGGCAAGATGGCTCACGCCTGTAATCCCAGCACTTTGGGAGGCCAAGGCGGGCAGATCCCCCTGAGGTCAGAAGTTTGAGACCAGCCTGGCCAACAAGGTGAAACCCTGTCTCTACTAAAAAATACAAAAATTATCTGGGCGTGGTGGCACACACCTGTAGTCCTAGCCACTTGAGAGGCTGAGGCGAAAGCATCACTTGAACCTGGGAGGCAGAGGTTGCAGTGAGCCAAGATGGTGCCACTGCACTCCAGCCTGGGCCACAGGGCAAGACTCCATCTCAAAAAAAAAAATTATTTTTAGAGATGGGGTCTTGCCCTGTCACCCAGGGTGGAGTGTAGCGGTGCCATCATAGCTCACTGCAGCCTCAAACTCCTGGCCCCACGATATCTGGCTTCAGCCTCCCAAGTAACTGGGACTATAGGAGTGCACCACCACGCCCAGCTAATTTTTAAATTTTTTGTAGAGTCAGAATCTTGCTATGTTGCCCAGGCTTGTCTCAAACTCCTGGGCTCAAACCATCCTCCTGTCTTGGCATCCCAAAGCATTGGGATTATAGGCATAAGCCACCATGCTTGGCTGGATTTTAGATTTTATCCTGAAGGTATCCGGGGGCTCCTGAAAGATTTTCTTTCACTGGATGGTGACATGACCAGATAAAGCAGACGGACCATATGTCAGGACAACAAAACAATCACACATGGAAGGCCACACATCCTCAGTGGCTCATGTGGGCCCAAAGAAACAGTGTTGCCACAAAAGACACCAACACAAGTTTCAGAAAACTGGATGCTGTCCTTCATTCCTACTGAATTGTATTCTTAGGGGCAGGGAGAGTTGCTTTTGTACTCTGTACTACGAAGAGATACCTGGTCTAAGAGACATGTGGTAGGTGCTCAACAGATGTTCGTTGGATGAATAAATAAAGGAAGGAATGAAGGAATGAACAAATGAGTGGTTCTGCCTTCTGGGAGAAGAGGGAACAGGTATAATCCCTCTTTGATGGGATTTCATATTCGACTTTCCGATACTTGGAGATCACTATTTCTTTTATTTATTTATTTATTTATTTAATTTTTTTGTAGAGACAGGGTCTCACCATGTTGCCAAGGCTGGTCTTGAATACCTGGCCTCAAGCGACCCTCCTTGCCTCGTCCCCCCAAAGCCCTGGGATTATAGGCATGAGCCACTGCGCCCTGCCTGGACTGTTATTTCTCTTTTTTTTTCTGAGACTCACTGCAAGCTCCACCTCCCAGGTTCACGCCATTCTCCTGCCTCAGCCTCCAGAGTAGCTGGGACTGCAGGCGCCCACCACCACTCCTGGCTAATTTTTTGTATTTTTAGTAGAGACGGGGTTTCACCGTGTTTGCCAGGATGGTCTCAATCTCCTGACCTCATGATCCGCCCGCCTCGGCCTCCCAAAGTGCTGGGATTACAGGCATGAGCCACTGTGCCCGGACGATTGTTATTTCTTTAGTCTGATATTTGCAGGTTCTGCATTCTTAGCTCTTTCAACTATTCTTATGTGATGTCATTTTTCCCTACCATCCCTATTGAATTTGTTCTCATCTGTCATATCCCCCCTGGTTAAAATGTGGTCCCAAGAAAGAAACGAAGGCTGAGAGTAGTGGTTTATGCCTGTAATCCCAGCACTTTGGGAGGCTGAGGCAGGTAGATTGCTTGAGCTCAGGAGTTCCAGACCAGCCAGGGCAACATAGTAAAACCCCGTCTCTGCAAAAAAAAAAATACAAAAATTAGCCCAGCGTGGTGGTGAGCACCAGTAGTGTCAGCTACTCAGGAGGCTGAGGCAGGAGGATCACTGGAGCCCAGGAAGTCAAGGCTGCTGTGAGCCATGATGACACCACTGCACTCCAGCCTGGTGACAAGCAAGACCATGTTTCAGAAAAAAAAAAAAAAAAAAAAAGGAAACAAAAGGCTCCAGGGATAAAAAGAAAAAGAGAGAGGCAAAGGCTCCAGGTGAGGCCGGGCGTGCAATGGCTCATGCTTGTAATCCCAGCACTTCGGGAGGTTGAGGCGGGCAGATCACTTGAGCCCAGGAGTTCAAGACCAGCTTGACTAACATGGTGAAACCCTGTCTCTACTAAAAATACAAATAATTAGCCAGGCTTGGTGGTGAGCGCCTGTAATCCCATCTACTCAGGAGACTGAGGCAGCAGAATCACCTGTGCCCGGGAGGCGGAGGTTGCAGTGAGCAAAGGTCACACCACTGCACTCCAGCCTGGGTGACGGAGTTAAGATTCTTTCTCAAAAAAAAATTAATTAATTTTAAAAAGGGTCCAGGTGAGCTCTGGCCTCGGAGAAGGCTCTCAGGACTCTGATTGCTTTTCATCTCAGTTTTACCTAGCAAACACTTAACCCTGGTGACTTATATTGTGCCTATAGTAAATTAAAATCCTGAAATATTTTTCATATATTTCACTTTTATGCCATATCTCCTTCCACAAAAATAAACTAAAATTTTAGCTGGATGTGGTGGCTCATACCTACAGTCCCAATACTGAGGCAGGAGGATTGATTGAGGCCAGGAATTCAAGACCAGCCTGGGCAACAAAGCGAAATTCTGTCTCTACAGAAAAATTAAAAATTAGCCAGGTGTGGTGGCGTGCACCTGTAGACCCTGCTCCTCAGGAGGCTGAGGTGGAAGGATCATTTGTGCCCAAGAGTCTGAGGTTGTAGTGAGCTAAGATTGTGACATTGCACTCAGCTTGGGTGACGGGGCATGACCCTGTCTCAAAAAATAAATAAATAAATAAATAAAATTTAAATATTTCCTCTATTTGGTATATATGGCTTACATCTTTTAGACACAAGTGTAGAGTTCTACATTTAGTTCTTTTTAACCTCAAGTCGCTTTCTTGGACCCATTATTGCAGCCTATTAAGGTCATATTAGCTACATCCTCCAGCTTCATGTCATCTACAGACATGATCAATGTGCAATCAATGCCCTAATTCAAACCACCAGTGGAAATGTTTAGCAGGCTAGATCCTTGTGGCTTAGCAACTAGAAAGTTCTCTCAGGCTGGGCTTTTTCAAACTGTGGTGGTGATCCTTCACTGGATAGTGAAATAATTTTATTGACTGAAAATAGCATTTTTTAAAAATAGCATAGAAAAGAAGAGAGTATGTCAGAATTTATTGCATGTAGTAAGTGCAGGCTTTATTTTGTGAAACTTTTCTTTCAGTCATACACACATACACACACATTACTAAGGTCTATATAACACAACCACAGACAGATACAAATAATATAATTACATGAATCACATAATTAAATTGGAGAATAAATATTGTACTACTTCTTTAAAACATAGTAAATAGGTTAACATAGAAATGAATACAGAGCCCCATTATTACACTTCTAATTCTTGACTTTTTTTTTTTTTTTTTTTTGAGACAGAGTTTCAATCTGTAGCTCAGGCTGGAGTGCAGTGGTGCAATCATAGCTCACCGCAGCCTTGAGCTCCTGGGCTCAAGAGATCCTCCCACCTCAGTCTCCTGAGTAGTGGGGACTACAGATGCATGCCACCACATGCAGCTAATTTTTAAAATGATTTAATTTTTGTAAAGACAAAAATTACTTACAACATTGCCCAGGCTGATCTCGAACTCCTAGCCTCAAGCAATCCTCCCACCTTAGCCTCCTGCATCACTGGGATTATGTATTCATGAGCCACCACCTGGCCCTTAATTCTTGAAAACTAAAGCTCTAATCGTTTAACAATCAAAGAACACTCTTCTATTGACAAGTGTTTTGTAAAACTATATTCTAGAATATTCCAGGGTATTACAGTGTCTCAGGACCACTGTGGAGTCCAATCCCAGTTTAAGTAACTCTACTACTACTCTGTTTTTATATCTGTGGTGCTACATAAGATTTTATTTGGGTAGGGGGGAAGGAGTTTCTCCTGGCTTGAAAAAAATAAAAGGCCAGGTTCAGTGGTTCTACCTGTAATCCTAGCCCTTTGGGAGGCCAAGGAGAGTGAATTGCTTGAGCCCAGGAGTCCAAGGGCAACGTGGTGAGACCCCATATCTCTACAAAAAATACAAAACTTAGTTGGGCATGGTGGTGCACACCTGTAGTCCCAGCTACCTGGGAGTCTGAGGTGGGAAGACCACTTGAACCCGGGAAGTTGAGGCTGCAGTGAGCTCTGATTGTGCCACTGCACCCCAGCCTGGGTGACAGAGTGACACCCTGTCTCAAAAAATAAATAAATAAGAGATTGAAGTCTACTAACAAAGACCAGGCTTCCTAATAAAACTGGTTAGAAAACATCCTTGACTTGCTGAGTTCATAAGCAAATATATTGTCATCAATAAAGTTTTTTTTGTTGTTTGTTTGGTTGGTTTTTTTTTTTTTTGAGACAGAGTTTTGCTCTTGTTGTCCAGGTTGGAGTGCGATGGCGCGATCTCAACTCGCTGCAACCTTCGCCTCCTTGGTCAGGCTTGTCTTGACCTCCTGACCTCAGGTGATCCACCCGCCTCCGCCTCCCAAAGTGCTGGGATTACAGGCATGAACCACCTTGCCTGGCCAGACCAATAAAGTTTTGCCTGAAATTTATGTTAGGACCATTTCTCATGATGACTTATGTCCTTCTTTTCAACCTAAGCAATACGTTTTCTAGATCCTCATGTTCATGTATTGATTAGTAGTAAATTTGAAAATTATTTTTTTTTTGCTGTCAACAAATACCTTCCAGTGGTTGATATTAATAGTTCTGTAGACTCTCTTTGCATGTAATGGTCCTTGGCCTATAACTAGTTTTTCTTTTGTAAGTGTGTCAAACAGCTGTTCTCAGATATTCTAATTTGCTTTCTTCTAGGCATATGGTAGAACTGAACTTTGTTCTACTGAAATTGCTCATTGCCATGTGATTTGCTTTGGCGAATGAAATGAAACTGAAGGTGATGTGTGGACTCTTCTTGGGGGAGGCATTTCATTGCCAGTGACAGGTACCTTACTGCTCCCTTCCATGTCCCATGTTGATTAAGAAAATAACAGAGCAAAGCATTCTTGCAAACCCATGCTAAACATGTAGCATAATGAAAAATAAGCCTTTGCTGTCTTAAGCACCTGAGATTTGGGATGTATTTGTAATTAAAACATAAGCTAGTCCACGCTAATATGTGGTTTATCATACATTTATTTTCCTGTACATTAAGCTATATTTCTTCTTTGTTTTAATTTGTATCTTTGTTTCTATAGTGATAAATGTTGATTATTCTTCTTACAGCTCCATACTATTTATTGGGCTGTAATAATTCTCTCTTCTGATTTTCCAGTGGGTTTTCTTTTTCTGTGAAAGAGTCACATTGCAAGAATCTTTCTTGAATGACTATCAATAGTGGGATACTTGGAAGAAATACTTTTTTCATTATATTTGGCAAAGAAAAAATATACTTCTTTTTAGAGGATCTCCACCCTTCAGCTGCAACTCATTACTGTCTACCTAAATGCGCTAAACTAGCCAGAAAGCAAATGTTTCCCATTACAAATGACATTTATCAGCTAGTCTCAGGAATCAGTTTCCTTCAAAATTGATCTAGTTTGGAAGTCACAGTTATGACTCACTACTGGATCTTTCAGTGCTTTCAAAGTATAAAAGTACAATGGGCGATATGATTAACATTGACCCATTGCATCTTTTGTACGTATATATCAACCATAACATTTATTTCTCCAAGAAGACATATTTTTGGCTACCAGTATCAGAATGCCTTCCTTAATATGTCTGGTAGTCTTTCATTTGCATTAATGCTTTATATTTTGAAGTTTTTCATATAATGTATTCATTATTATATTTTTAGAATCTATTATTTGAGTTTGCACTGTTGCCCATACACCAAATTATATTGTTAAGAAAATGTTTAAGTAAATGCCATCCAGACTTGAAACCTGATTGAAGTATAAGAAGTCCCCAACTTCCATATGGGTTATGTTCTTAAGATTCATAGTCTGCATTTTGGAGCATGGGTGACATTTCCCAGAAATAATAATTCTGAGATTCATCATTAGTTCCCATCCCAGCCATCCAAAGCCGAGATAACCGCTAAAGTAATTGACATACTTCTTTTGTGTGGTCATCTTAGAAGTCTAATCACCATTTATAGTAATGTTTGAGAAAAACAATCCGTTGGCATTAACAAAAGGCATACATTGATTTGGAGAAAATGTTTGTACCCCTAACCTATCGTAGGAGAAGGGAAGAAATGTAAAGCACTAGGAACACATTGTATTTATTTATTTTTTTAGAGATGAAGTCTCACCATATTGCCCAGGCTGGTTTCAAACTCTTGGACTTAAGCAATCCTCCCACCTCGCCTCCCAAAGTGCCAGGAACACACTTATGTCTCTTACAGCCATGGAAACAATGAACTGCTAACATGTGTTTTTAGAAAGAATGTGGAAGTATGGGAACCTCTTCCTTTATGTGGTAATTGAGGTGAGTATCTTAGAACATCTGGTATGGCTTAGGATGGATGGTAAGGTAAAAAGATCTTTATAAATCAGACATTTCTCATTTCAAACTCAATTTCACACAGTGGCTTAAATGATACTTGAAACAGATCCATGTAGAAGCAACATAATGCAAAATTAACTCAAATGGGGTCTCACCTTCTCATTCTGACTTTCTAGTTGTAAAGTATTGATCATAATCTAATAGGACTATAGTCTAACAATAATTTTTAATGAGATGATGCAGCTTCAAAACTTACATTCCAACCAGTCTATCCCTACAGTGCTATGTGAAGAAGGATTGAAATGACTTTGAAACTCCAAAATTTGTCAATGTAGAACAAACAGTATCTGTTTATGTAGTCATAAATTATAGGTGCCCTGGTGTCCTGCCATCTTGACTCAAAGATGAAGTCGTTCAGTATTGAATCAGTAGGAACTTAGACTTTAGGTATTGTTGGCTCCAGTTTGAAAGCTATAAAATGGTGGCCTGCGGACAAGAGAAGGAACTAAAGAGGAAAATACATAACTCATTGAGGAATTTACCCAATTCTGCCTTTGACCATTATGATACAGTGCTATAAACTCAAGAAAAAGGGTTTTTTTTTCCCCTGCTAAGAACATTTTTTTCAAAGGAAATAGAGAATGAGATCAAAACAGTGCTTGAACTTTTGAAATCTTTTAGACACAGCTATGATTCAGGCATTCAATAACACTGACAGCAAAATCCTTCCCACCACGTCTTGAAGAGTGAAACTAGAGTCAACCGTGAGGTTAAATGGTCTTGAGAAGATTATCTTATTATTGTAAAACTGCCTAGAAGATGAATGGAATTTTCTCTAAGTCACTAGTATTAACCTGTTTGCTAAGTTGAATAGAGAATGCCAGGCAGTTTGAAAAATCTGGGAAAAGTTGAAGCAAAAATAAAAAGTAGGAGGTCTTGGCTGTAATTTTGAGCCAGGAGGTCTTGGCTGTAATGTCTCTTCTGTGCTCTACTAATTGCCTGGTCATTTTGACAACTGAGAGTTAATTTACCCTTCTGCAATGATATCTTCTTGGATTACTTGCTCTCTAGCTCTCTTCCAACTTTGATATGTTCATGTTTCAGTGACCTATTACTGTCAGATATAGGCATTTCTAGGTACTAAAAGGTGGACAGTCATTTATATTATGTCAGTGGTAAGTAGCAGTGGTAGCAGCAGGCTACCATTCATTGAATATTTATTACAGGCAAGATTCCATGCTGAGTCCTTTATATGGATTATCTCATTTAATCTTTGAAGTATCAGAGATTTGATATAATTTGCCCAAGTCCTCCCAGCTATAAAATGCCAGATGTAAAAAAGAGTAGGCTGGGCGCGGTGGCTCATGCCTGTAATCCCAGCACTTTGGGAGGCCAAGGCGGGTGGATCACGAGGTCTGGGCGCAGTGGCTCTTGCCTGTAATCCTAGCACTTTGGAAGGCCAAGGCAGGTGGATCACGAGGTCAGGAGATGGAGACCATCCTGGCCAACATGGCAAAACCCCATCTCTACTAAAAATACAAAAATTAGCCAGACGCGGTGCCAGGCACCTGTAATCCCAGCTGTTTGGGAGACTGAGGCAGAAGAATTGCTTGAATCTGGGAGATGGGGGTTGCAGTGAGCTGAGTTCACACCATTGCTCTCCAGCCTGGATGACAAGAGCAAGACTCTGTCTCAAAAAAAAGAGTAGTGGATATTGATCTTCTAGTCACTTGCTCAAAAGTTAACTGCCATAACAGCTTTGAATGAACACATAAATCTAATATATCCATTCTTTCTGAAAATCAGATGTCTTGTGTGTGTTGGCAACAGATTTTTGTTTAGGTGACATATGGATCTATTCATAGGTATTATGTGCACCACCTCGTGATTCACTGTTCGATAAATTTAAATTTTCATTAGCTAACTTAAAAACTTAATTCCTCTGTCAGTAGCCACAACTCAATGCTCAGTAGCCACATGTGGCTAGTGGTTACCATATTGGGTAGTGCAGATATAGAAAATTTCCAGCAACACAGAAATTTCTACTGGACAGTGTGGCTCTAGTGACTTCATTCTAATTCTCTCTTCCCTGCTCCTCCCAATGTCTCAGTTTTGTCTTAAGGTCAGCTTCATTCACAGTAGCAACAATAGCTGTAGAAGTAAAAACCTTCCCATCCCATCTAGAGGAAGAATTTTCTTTTGGGGTTGTTAGAAGTGTGAGGGAACTTTTTTCCCAGAAGTTTCATTATAATATTGTTATGCCTCATTGTTGCAAATGTGATTATATCCATATCTGAGTAATCCTTATGGCTAGAGAGATAGGATGTTCTGATTGGTTTAAGCCAATCAGGTTCACCCCTGGGGCAATTTCACTGTAATGACTACAATTTCATGGCTGCTATCCGTTGGGTTAGCAAAAAGATTCCTCCAAAACAAGTTGGAGTGCTTTAAACAGAAGAATGGAAGATAAATTTTGGTGAGCTCCATAAAGATATCCACCATACCTTTCATTTTTGCCATTTTTCTAAATCAATGTCAAAGGATGTGTTAAAATGCTGTGCTGAATGTCTCAGGACTCAGGCAAGAATGTAGCCTGAATTGTTTCCATAGTCCCAACAGCAAATTTTCCACTCCATACAATGGCCCTCCAAACTAACTGTTCTGTTTCAATATGGCCCAAGTCCTTAAAATAGTTTTAATGTAGACTATATTAAAAGATATGTATCTAAAAATTAGCTGGGCATGGTGATGGGTGCCTGTGATCCTAGCTACTCAGTAGGCTGAGGCAGGAGAGTCGCTTGAAGCTGGGAGGTGAAGGTTGCAGTGAGCCCAGGTCATGCCACTGCACTCCAGTCTGGGCAACAGAGTGAGACTCTGTCTCAAAAAAAAAAAAAAAAAAAAAAAAAGAAAGAAAAAAAAAGAAAGAAAGAAAAAGGAAGAAAGAGAAAAGGAAACATATGTATTTTTGGGTAAGTATCATAGGAATTATTGAATGCACCATAATAATGGATGTTCAAGTTCAAGAGTTTTGCGGAGACCCAAGGAAGAGACACAGTGAATGGGCAACCTCCCAGCTATGCTTGTGCATAAACTTGGGTAACTAAATTAACCTTCACTAGTTAGGGTTTTGTGCCACATTTCTCCCTCTGATACCTACAATGTAAGTCAATACAATAGCCACCATACATACCCCAGGTCTCTGGGTCTAAATTAATGTTTTCTAAAGCTCGTTGGCACTCTAGACTAGAGAATCTTTCTTAAGGTGAAGGATATTGTTATCCATTTTCCCCTAAATGGGAAGGAAATGGTGTCATTAGTCAATAAATACATTTCTTTCAAGTCTTTGCTTTCAGTTTTAATACATATGAAAACTGTGACTTCTTTTTCTTGTTGTTGTTTTGTTTTGCCGAGACAGAGTCTCTCTCCGTCACGCAGGCTAGAGTGCAGTGGCGCGATCTCGGCTCACTGCAACCTCCGCTTCCCGGTTTCAAGCGATTTTCATGCCTCAGCCTCCCGAGTAGCTGGAACTACAGGTGCATGCCACCACGTCCGGCTAATTTTTTTATATTATTAGTAGAGACGGGGTTTCACCACCAGACTGGTCTCAAACTCGTGACCTCAAGTGACCCACCTGCCTCATCCTCCCAAAGTGCTGGGATTACAGGCGTGAGCCACCGTGCCTGGCCTTATTTTGTTTTTAAAAGTTATATAAATGTATACCACAAGAGGAATTTTCCAACCTGGTCCTTCCTTAAATATAAATATACAAAAGAAGAATCCACACTAGTCTGTTTACAATGTAGAACAAAAAAAAAAATTGAAAAAGTCATGGTGATGAGTCCAGAATGTCCAAGCCAGTTTTAAGTCAGCTGGCCTTTGAGTTGCTAAGTGTGTTTATTTTTTCCATTCTCCTCTGAAACCATAGTTGCTACAAAATCCCAGAAACAGAACTGCAGTGAATCTACAGAACTACTTTATTCCATCAAACCCCAGTCAGCAAACTGTGATTAAATGGGTGTGAAGAATAAAACAGCCCAAGATTCCTAAAATGTCACATATTTGCAATTTGACCAAAATGGAACTGAGCCTGTAGGCTTGTCTCATTACTTTTTGGCAAGGGAAAAGGGAATATCCATGGAAATGCTCTTAAAATTGTCCTTGTTTTCTTTTGAAAAAAAAAGGCATCTATTTATAAAATAAATTTTTATTTTTATTAATTATTATTATTATTTTTTAGAGACAGAGTCTCCCTCTGTCACCCAGACTGGAATGCAATGATGCAATCATAGCTCACTGCAGCCTTGAACTTCAAGGAATCCTTTCACCTCAGCCTCCTGAGTAGCTAGGCCTATAGGAGCAAACCCCCATGCCTGGCTACACTAGTTTTTATTTTTTGTAGGGACAGAGTCTTGCTATGTTGCCCAAGCTGATCTCAAACTCCTGGCGTCAAGCAAATCCTCCTGCCTTGACCCTCCAAAGCACTGCAATTACAGGTGTGAGCCACCATGCCTGGCCCCTATAAAAATAAATTTTAAACCTAGAAAAAGGTGTTAATATACGCACAGAACAGAGGCTCTCAAAGAAGAATCAACCTACTCAAAACTTCGGTGTTTGCTGGATGTGGTGGCTTATGCCTATAGTCCCAGCACTTTGGGAGGCCAAGGTGGGAGGAGGACCACTTGAGCCCGGGAGTGCAAGACCAGCCTGGACAACATAGTGAGACCCAGCTGTATTTTTTAAAAAATTAAAATATATTTTAAAAAAAAACTTTGGTATTAGAATTATGCTTGGGGCAGTAGTGAGACAACTAAGCTTACATTTTAGAACATGTATTTGCCTTTATTGACTGCATTATAAAGAGATCTCTTGCCCTTAAAGTGGCTACCCTCTTTTCGAGGTCTACACACTAGCTCTTTCAGGACAATAATTGCAACTCTTCTCTGAACTAAATGAACTTGCGAGCTTCTCTAGACTAATAGAAAGTATTTCAATGACACTTGCTTATGATGGGGTCAGTTCTTCCTACGTAGAAATGCCCATTACAGAAATAAGCAGACTCAATATTCTTCTCACAGATGCTAACAATGGATTCCGTGGGTAGAACCGTTATCTTCTTGTTTGTTTGTCTGTTTATTTGTTCTAGTTTTTGAAAATGACAATAGCACACATGATTGTCCCATATTAGTTCCTTATTTAAGGCAGAAACTAAGTCCATCAGCTTAACTATCTCCAATGTCTTTCTTTTTTCTTAAGGTTAAAAAAAAAAGGAAATCAGAAAGTCAGAATTCTCTGCACCCCTCATTGCACACTTTTGCCTTTCAGGATGCATATTTGACAGTCTTGGAACAAAAGACATGCTGTTCCAGGCCTTATAGTACTATATAGTGCACTCATAAAATGTTACTCACCTTTAAATAGTCTTGTATGACTTTCAGATAATAACAGTAAATCACTAATTAGATGAAGAAAGAAAATACATATATGTCTTAATCAAGTTTAAACCTAAACAAATATAGAGCATGTTTAATTTACTTAAAGAATTGGCGAGGAAAAGTTGATGTACTTGTTAGTTGTATCTGCTGCTCTAATAGAAAGAGAAAGCTCCTAAAAATATTTATTAACCTATATTATTTTAACCACCACCACCCTCTAATGATGATCAGATTCAGAGTCTTTTCTCTTTCGAAGTCACTGACAAGAGCCGGCAGCATCCAAAATGAGTGTTTCCACAGGTTTCCTAGCAAAACAGACAAGAATGACATGAGTGAAAACAGAATATAGGCCTGAGAACAAATCTATTTTTCTGAAGAATGTTACAAAGAACAGGATGTAGTGTGATGTTAGGGGACATTGTCAGGAATGTCATTGGAGTGGAGACCTAGTTCTGGCACTCTAGATGCCAACCTTTTCACTTTCAGAGCGCTGTCTTTTCCTTTCCTTTACGCTCTCTAGAGTCTGCTCCCAACTCTGGAAAACTTTACTAATCCATATCCTTTGTTGGTATCCTTCTGCCTCCTAAAGCTTATGCCCCCAAATCTGTCTCTTTGGGATTCTCCACTGTGTTGTCTACCTCTCTCTCTCTCTCTCTCTCTGTCTCTCTCTCTCTTTCTCTCTCTCTCACTAACCTCATCAGTATCCTAGAACTAAATGTCCCCTTTAGGGGCATGATTCTCACATCAGTGTCTCTAAACCACTACTCAGTTCTGAGATCCAGAACTACATTTCCAATTGCCTGATCAATAGATTCACCTACAAAGCGCATAGGTAAACGACACTCAAGATTGATAGCTACCTCCTCAAAGCAGCTCTTCCTGTTAGGTTCCTATTTCTGTGAATGGCACCATTTTCCTCCTAATTCTCTGCTCCCAAAATGTCAGTCAGGTATGTCACTGATTTCTCTATTTCTTCTCATCTCCGATTTCTGTTGTACTGGTTTTCCCTCTACAGAATCTTTTGTATCCATTTCCATCCCGTTTTTAGGTCACTGCCATGGTTCAGTTTCACCTTGCCTCCTGTCTAAACTATTACAGTATATATTAAATCATCACATGTACACTTTAAATATATATAATTTTTATTTGTCAATTATACCTTAATAAAGCTGGAAGACAAAATAAAATAAACAATTAAAGTAGCCTACTAACTGCTGTCCTTATGCCTGGTCTCTTCTAATTTATTCACCATATGCTGCCAGAAAAAATCTTCCTAAGGCATAACTCTACATATATCATCCCCCAAAACAAATACTTCTATTTATTTTTATTTATTTATGTATTTATTTATGTAATTTTTTTGAGACAGGGTCTCCCTTGGTTGCCCAGGATGCTGGGCTGTAGTAACACTATCACGACTCACTGCATCCTCAACCTCCCAGGCTCAAGTGATTCTCCCATCTCAGCCTCCCGAGTAGCTGGGACTATAGGTGTATGCCAGCACGTCCAAGTCGGGGGACTATAGGTGTATGCCCAGCCAATAAACACATTTGAAGACTCCCATTTGCACATAAAATTAAATTCATACTTCTGCTTATCCTAGTTTCATTTTGTTTATTTACTTATTTATTTTTTTGAGATGGAGTCTTGCTCTGTCGCTCAGGCTAGAACGCAATGGTATGATCTCAGCTCACTGCAACCTTCACCTCCTGGGTTCAAGCAATTCTCCTGCCTCAGCCTCCCAAGTAGCTGGGATTACAGGTGCCCATGACCACACCCAGCTAATGTTTTTTGTAGTTTTAGTAGGGTCATGTTGGTCAGGCTGGTCTCAAACTCCCGACCTCAGGCGATCCACCCACCTCAGCCTCCCAAAGTGCTGAGATTACAGGTGTTAGCCACTGCGCCCAGCCTCATTTATTAATTAATTCAATGAATATTTATTTTTAAATGCCATAAACACAACAAAAAGTGAAAACGAGTGATTTCTGCCCTCACTGAATTTTCAGTCTCTTGTGGAAGATAAACATTACAGATATAGGCTTAAAAAAAGTTAATTCGAATTGTGAGCACTTTATGAAAGAAAAATAAAACTTATCTTGAAAGATTTAACCTGGTCTGAGAAGACTCTCTTATCGCAGTTATATATACATATACATAATATATGTGTAGCGACTTCGGTTTTCTGAAATCTTCTGCTCAAAACTGACCTTTAATTCAAATTGAACTTCTCAGCCCTTGATTAGGCCTCCTTCTGTGCTTTGTTCATGCTGCAGCTTTTCTTTATAACATATCCTATATATCCTTCAAATCCCACCTCTTCCTTGCAGCTCTTTTAGTAATTTCTTCTATATACTGTGAGTTCTTGCTCCTTAATCCCCCAATCACTTTATATTTACCTCTCTTCAGATGTGTGTATGTGAATGATCCAATAATCTTGTTAAAACCGTACTATTTGGAGGATACAAGGTCAATATACAAAAATCAATTGTATTTCTAGAAGTAATTAGAAAATTAATGTTATAAAATCCACTTAAAATAGCATTTAAAAACAAAACAAAACAAAACCAGAGACTTCTGTTTCCAGCCCAGATAGAGAAATAGAAGTTGATTTACTCTAACACATGAAGCAACCAAACAACAACAAGACAGATGAAATATATGAAATAATAGCTTTGAAGGCACTGAGTAGAGGCAATGAAGGACAGTGATCCCTGAGAAACAGTCAGTGAACAAGTCGAGTGCTACAAATGCTCGTTTTACCACTATGAGAAAGTTTAAGAGTTTCTAGGCTGCAACATACAGAGAAACCAGGCAAAACCCAGTGAACTCCTCTAATTGAGGAGATGAAATTGAGAGTCCACAAAGACAGTGGAAGCTAGAGTGTTGAGGACAGAGTAATGGAGAGGAGACTATTTCATAAAAAAAGAAATCCAGGCTCCACACAGTGGCTCATGCCTGTTAATCCGAGCACTTTGGGAGGTCGAGGCAGGAGGATTGCTTGAGTAGGAGTTTGAGGTCAGCCTGGACAACATGGTGAGGCCACTTCTCTAGAAAAAATACAAAAATTAGTTGAGTGTGGTGGTGCACGTCTGTAGTCCCAGCTACTTGGGAGTCTGAGGTGGGAGGATTGTTCGAGCCTAGAAGGTCAAGCCTGCAGTGAACTACAATTGTGCCACTGCACTCCAGCCTGGGTGAAAGAGTGAGACCCTGAGAAAGAAAAGAAAAGAAACGAAGAGAAAAGGAAAGAAAAGAAACCAAGAGAAGAGAAGAGAAAACAAAAGAAGGAAGGAAGGAAGGAAGAAAATAAAAGTAAGAAGGAAGGAAGGAAGGAAGAAAGAAAATAAAAAAAAGAAAGGAAAAGAGAAGGGAGGGAGGGAAGGGAGGGAGGGAAGGAAGGAAGGATCCAGGTATCTGCAGAAGGTCCCCCTTAAGTGTGCGGCAGAACATTGAGCAGTGGATGCATATGAGGAAACTACTTGATACTGGGAAAAGCACCATTCAAAAGGATTAAAGAAACAGCACCCATTCCACACAGAGGGCCACGAATAGTGCCTGCTCCCACTGGACAGACTGGAAAAATACTGTAATTCCCTGGGCATGGGGTTGAGTATACAGAAGGCTCTTGCCTCAGTATTGTGGGCAATTAGCCTTAGGCTGAGCACTGTGCTGGTCCTACCTAACAAAACTCAAAGCAAGACCCAAATGAATCAAACTGCTTCCAAGTAATGTAACTGCACCCCAGAACAAAGCTCAAGAATATTTACAGGAATATAAAATATCCAGCACCTAACAAAGTAAAGTTTACTATGTCTGGCATCCAGGTAAAAGTTATCAGAAATAAAACAAGCAGAAAATAGGACCCCTAATGAGGAGAAATATTTGAGTCAGTTCAAACTGACTCAAAACTGACATAGAGATTAGAACTAATAGACAAGAACTTTAAAACATGTTATTATAACTGCATTGCATATCTTCAGAAATTTACATAGAGACATGGAAGATGTTTTTAGAAGACCCAAATTGAACTTTTGGACATAAAAAGTAGAATGCATGAGATGAAAAATCTCTAGATGGGGTTAATGACAGATTAATCATTGAAGGAGTAAATATTAATAAACTGGAAGATAGACCAATAGAAACTATTGTAGTGAAAGACAAGAGAAAAAAGAATTTTTTAATGAAAAGAGCATCAGTGAATTGTGGGATAACTTCAAGTGACCTAATGTATTTGTAATTAGAATCTGCAAAGGAGATGAGAGAGGACAGAAAAATATTTAATGGCCCTAAATTTTCCACATATGACAAAAGTTGTAAACCCGCAGATCCACCAAGCTAAGTGAACCCTCAAACACAAAACACAAGTCTGTGCACCAAATTACAGATCTTTTAATTACATGAGGCAAAAAACTAATAGATTTGCAAGGAGGAATAAAGAAATGAGAAAATATAGTCAGAAAACATTAGAGAGAAGTATTCCCCATGAACATAAATTCTAAACAAAATTTTATCAAAATTAAATCCAACAGCATATTAAGAGCATCATGGCCAAGTGAGGTTTATTCTAGAAATGCAAGGTTGGTTTATCATTCAAAAATCAATAAATGTAATTCACCATATTAATAAACCAAAAAAAGAAAAATTATGTAATCATCTCAATGGACACAGCAGATGCATTTGACAAAACACAACATCCATTCCTGATGAAAATTCTCAACAAAAATTCTACAGATAACATCATACTTAATGTTGAAACACAGAATAATTTCCCTCTAAAATTGGCCTGGCCAACATGGTGAAACCCCATGATATGGTTTGGCTTTATCCCCACCCAAATCTCAACTTGAATTGCATCTCCCAGAATTCGTGTGTGTTTTGGGAGGGACCCAGGAGGAGGTAATTGATTCATGGGGGCCAGTCTTTCCCATGCTATTCTTATGATAGTGAATAAGTCTCACAAGATCTGATGAGTTTATCAGGGGTTTCCACTTTTGCTTCTTCCTCATTTTCTCTTGTCACCACCATGTAAGAAGTGCCTTTCGCTTCCCGCCATGATTCTGAGGCCTCCCTGGCCATGTGGAAGTGTAAGTCCAATTAAACCTCTTTTTCTTCCCAGTCTCAAGTATGTCTGTATCAGCAGCATGAAAACAGACTAATACAGTAAATTGGTACCGGTAGAGTGGGGCATTGCTGAAAAGAAACCCAAAAATATGGAAGCAACTTTGGAACTGAGTGTCAGGCAGAGGTTGGAACAGTTAGAGGGCTCAGAAGAAGAGATGAAAATGTGGGAAAGTTTGGAACCTCCTAGAGACTTGTTGAATGGCTTTGACAAAAATGCTGATAGCGATATAAGCAATATGGTCCAGGCTGAGGTGGTCTCAGATGGAGATAAGGAACTTGTTGGGAACTGGAGCAAATGTGACTCTCGTTATGTTTTAGCAAAAAGACTGCAGCATTTTGCCTCTGCCCTAGAGATTTGTGGAACTTTGAACTTGAGAGAGATGATTTAGGGTATCTGGCATAAGAAATTTCTAAACATCAAAGCATTCAAAAGGTGACTTGGATGCTGTTAAAAGCATTCTGTTTTAAAAGGGAAACACAGCATAAAAGTTCAGAAAATTTTCAGCCTGATGATGCAGTAGAAAAGAAAAACCCATTTTCTGAGGAGAAATTTAAGCCAGCTGCAGAAATTTGCATAAGTAGTAAGGAGCCTAATATTAATCCCCAAGACCACGGGGAAAGTGTCTCCAGGTCATGTCAGAGACTTTCATGACAGCCCCTCCCATCACAGGCCTGGAGGCCCAGGAGGAAAAAGTGGTTTTGTGGGCCAGGCCCAGGGTCCCCATGCTGTGTGCAGCCTAGGGACTTGGGGCCCTGTGTCCCAGCTGCTCCAGCCATGACTGAAAGGGGTCAATGTACAGCTTGGGCTGTGGCTTTAGAGGTTGGAAGTCCCAAGCCTTGGCAGCTTCCATGTGGTGTTGAGCCTGTGCATGCACAGAAGTCAAGAATTGAGGTTTGGGAACCTCTGCCTAGATTTCAGAAGATATATGGAAACCCCTGATGCCCAGGCAGAAGTTTGCTGCAGGGGTGGGGCCTTCATGAAGAACCTCTGCTAGGGAAGTGTAGAAGCGAAATATCAGGTCAGAGGCCCCACGCAGACTCCCTACTGGGACATTGCCTACTGGAGCTGTGAGAAGAGGGCCACTGTCCTCCAGACCCCAGAATGGTAAATTGGTACCATTTACCATTGTCCACTGACAGCTTGCACCATGCACCTGGAAAAGCCACAGACACTCAATGCCAGCCCATGAAAGCAGCCAGGAGGGAGGCTGTACCCTACAAAGCCACAGGGGCAGGGCTGCCCAAGACCATGGGAACCCACCTCTTACATCAGCGTGACCTGGAGTCAAAGGAGATCATTTTTTGGAGCTTTAAAATTTGACTTCCCCACTGGATTTTGGACTTGCATGGGGCCTGTAACCCTTTTGTTTTGGCCAATTTCTCCCACTTGGAGCAGCTGTATTTACCCAATACCTGTACCCCCATTGTATCTAGGAAGTAACTAGCTTGCTTTTGATTTTACAGACTCATAGGCAGAAAGGACTTGCCTTGTCTCAGATGAGACTTTGGACTGTGGACTTTGGGTTAATGCTGAAATAAGACTTTGGGGGACTGTTGGGAAGGCATGGTTGGTTTTGAAATGTGAGGACATGAGATTTGGAGGGGCCGGGGTGGGATGAGATGGTTTGGCTGTGTCCCCACCCAAATCTCAACTTGAATTTATCTCCCAGAGTTCCCCTGTGTTATGGGAGGGACCCAGGGGAAGGTAATTGAATCATGGGGGCCAGTCTTTCCCATGCTATTCTCATGATAGTGAATAAGTCTCACGAGATCTGATGGGTTTATCAGGGGTTTCCGCTTTTGCTTCTTCCTCATTTCCTCCTGCCACTACCATGTAAGAAGTGCCTTTCACCTCCTGCCATGATTGTGAAGCCTCATTGGCCATGTGGAAGTGTAAGTCCAATTAAACCTCTTTTTCTTCCCAGTCTAGGGTATGTCTTTATCAGCAGTATGAAAACAGACTAATACACCCCATCTCTACAAAAAATACAAAAATTAGCCAGATGTGATGGTGCATGCCTGTAGTCCCAGCTACTCAGGAGGCTGAGGTGGGAGGATCACTTGAGCCCAGGAGGCGGAGGTTGCAGTAAACTGAGATCATGACACTGCACTCCAGCCTGGGTGACAGGCTGTCTCAAAAAAAAAAAAAAAAAAAACCCTGTCTCAAAAAAAAAAAGAAAAGAAAGAAAAAAAGAAAGAAAAGAAAAGAAACGTTAGATAAATATTAGCCTTGTCAGGTGATAGATCATGATTAATAGTTTATACAGCTTGTTTGTAAGCTATAAACAAGTATTTAATTGTGTAAAAGTAATCTTCAAATTTTTACTCTGTAAAATATCAAATACACATAATCTATTCAGACTTAGAATGTAGGTGTTTATAAAAATCATATATAGTTCTGAGCCTTTACTTCATCCAACAGATAAAAGTTTTAAGAAATATAAGAATTGCTGAGCTATGTACAAAGACTCTGAGAAAACAGAACACAAATGCTCCTGAACTAGCACTTGGATGAGATCAAATGGACTTCGAGACTGAAATGAAATTCCACAATACCAAAGACAGAGAATGATGAAGAAAGGGAAGAACAAATGAAAATTACAGGAATAATTAAACACCCTAGGACTGATCTAATAGAAGTAATGAATGTGATAACTAACAAGCAATGATCCATGTGGAGGAATATAACTCATGAAATATGCCTTACAACTGTGAGCCCTGCAATGACCCTGGGTCCTGTTCTCATACCATGCATACCTCTCATTCCACGGGACACAAATTTGCCTTTCACATTAGAATGAAGACTATTTCCTATATGCTCAGCCTTTTCAGTGGCCATCAGCAAGGCACAGGGACAGGTCACTTGTATTTTCCAAAACCTTCCTTTCTTCCTAGACAACAATATATTATTCTCTGAAAGCTTGTTCATTGGCCTCATTAAATGCTGTATTTGAGAACAAGATTTTCACATATGTTTAGAATAAAATATACAAGATTTTCACGTGTGTTTAGAAACAAGATCTGTAAATATAATTGATTATGAATAATTATTAAGATCTGCTGAAATGGGGGGTGTCACGAGGATGACGGCCACATTTTTACGGTTTGCTGTATGTTAGAGTCACTTGCCTGCTCTTTTTCTCTGTTGAGCAAGAAGCTCCATGAGGGCAGAGGCTTGTTTTACTTACCTGCGTCCCTTCTGCAGAGCCTTCAGCATGACGGGACTTTCACAATTATTAACCTTAATGCCTCAATTAGAGGCATTTGTGTCTCTCTGGTGCAAATGCCTCTAATCAATCAATCACTTTCATTACTCTCTCTGGTGTGTTTTGAAGATGGATTTTTAAAAAGATTCACTCATGCATCTCTTAACTGATTTCTTTCTTCTTTCCCGGGGAGTTCAACAGCTAAACAGATAAACTGTTTCCGTTTGTGGTTTGAGTCCTGTTTTCTCTATGATTTCCTCCAAAAGAAAGAGCAATAAGTAAAACAGGGCAAACATGAGCTGTGTCAACATAGCAAAACACCTGCAGAACAACAACTCCAAGCTGACAAAGACTTATGCAACTGTTTAATGGTTTGTCCTGGATCCAACAGTAAGATTTTCCTGACAGTAACTCTCTCCCTGCCAAAGAGGCCATAACCCTTGAATCTGGTAGAGAAATTGGAGAGTATAATACTGTACTGTTGCTTCTGGCAGTGACAGAGTGAAATATGTGGTTGGAGTTTTTTTTTTTTAAAAAAGATATATGTAGATTAGCACACAAGGCAGAAAACAATAAAGATAACAACCAAAACATCTAAAATATATAGGCTTTTGACTAGGCGCGGTGGCTCATGCCTGTAATCCCAGCACTTTGGGAGGCCAAGGCGGGTGGATTGTTTGAGGACAGGAGTTAGACACTACCGTGGTGAAACCCCATCTCTACTAAAAATGCAAAAATTAGCCGGGTGTGATGGCATGTGCCTGTAATCCCAGCTTCTTGGGAGGCTGAGGCTTGAGAATCACTTGAACTCGGGAGGCAGAGGTTGCAGTGAGCTGAGATCGCACCATTGCACTCCAGCCTGGGCGACAGAGCAAGACTTTGTCTCAAAAAATAAAATAAAATAAAATAAAACAAAATATCTAGGATTTCACATTTGCAAAGCAGTTTTACATACATTATGTTAGTCCCTTCACCCCTATGCACATATATATAACAAACCTTAGGGTGTCTGTAATTTTCTTCATTGTACAGATAAGGAAAAGGGTTCCGAGCAATGGAAATATTTACTCAGGGTCATAAAATAATATTTCTCTTTGATATTTTCAACTCTTATGCATTAATCAACTAATTCAATTTATGAAATATATACGATTATTGACTTTTAGTAGAGCCATTCCTGAGCTTTGACACAATGTTTAAAACTCATTAAAGTGACTTCTGGTTTAAACGTATATAAAGTGTCTCCCAATTGTCCACTAAAATAGCTATGAAACTACAGAAAAAAAGAAGAAAAATTAACACAAGGAAAATTAAGACATATACAACTTATCAGAATCTGGGGTGAGTCTTTATTAACTGAAAATTAGATTTGGCAAACATTAATGGGAAATTTTGAACACTTATTCTGTGCCAAGTACCTTGCTAGGTACTAGGAATACACAGTGGACAAATACCATCATGCTATTGGCCTTTACAGAGCTTACGGTCTAACTTGACTGAGAAAATCACTCAGACATTGCTTCACAGTATACCTAACTCGCCTGAAAAGATGTAGGAGCACTTTTTTTTATCAGCCCTGTTATTCTTGCATTCAGAGATTCTGCAGCAATTGGAATATTGGGCAGAGAGTATATTGCTCATAGATCCCAAATTATGTGGCAGCCACAGCACTGATTCACTGATTATTCTTCTTCTTCTTTTTTTTTTTTTCTGCCAGCACCTGATCTTGGATGCCTGGCTAACTGTTTTTAGAGATGAGGTCTTGCTATGCTGCCCAGGCTGGTCCTGAACTGCTGGCCTCAAGTGATCCTCCCTCCTCAGCCTCCCAAGGTATTGGGATTAAAGGTGTGAGCCACTGTGCCCAGCCTGATTCTTTCTTCTTATTCTTCACCTCACTCTCCCATCCCCCCATATCTTTCTATATTGTTACATTAACTAGGACAGTAGATGTAAAATCCTTAGCATAATCTTTGAGTCAGAATATGTTCCTATTAATGTTAGCCAATTTCATTATCAGTTTTTACAATTCAGAGGTAACAACCAAAGACTGATTGGGCAGAAAGTAGTGCTCTGGAAGGCTGGTGGTAGTATATTGCAGGTATAGACTCCATGCATAAAGTTTCAAAGGCAGAGGGTCAAAACTGGAAGAATCCCAATAGGGGTGCTGTATCAGTCAGGGTTCCTCAGAGAAACAGAACCAATAGTGTATTAGTCCATTCCCACACGGCTATAAAGAACTACATGAGACTGGGTAATTTATGAAGAAAAGAGGTTTAATTGACTCATAGTTCTACAGGCTGTACAGGAGGCATGGCTGGGGAGGCCTCAGGAAACTTACAATCATGGCAGAAGGCAAAGGGGAAACCGGCACATCTTACATGGCCAGAGCAGGAGGAAGAGAGAGAGTGAAGGGGGAAGTGCTAGACACTTTCAAACAACCAGATCTCGTAAGAACTCCATCATGAGACAGCACTGGAGGATGATGCTAAACCATTAGAAACCATCCCCATGATCCAATCACCTCCCGCCAGGCCCCTCCACCAACACTGGGAATTACAATTTGACATGAGATTTGAGTGGGGACACAGAGCCAAACCACATCAAATAGGATGTGTACAAAAAAAGATTTATTATAAGGAATTGGCTTATGCAATTATGGAGGCTGACAAGTCCCAAAGTTGGCCGTCAGCAAGCTGGAGACCCAGGAGAGCCAATGGTGTATGGAGTTCCAGTCCCAAAGCCAAACAGGCTTAAGACACAGGAAGAGTACATGTTTCAATTCAAGTCCGAAGGCAGGGAAAAAAACAATGTCACAGCTTGAATGCAGTCAAGCAGAAGGAGTTTTCTATTACCCAGCCTTTTTGTTCTATTCAGGCCTTCAACAGATTGGATAATGGCCACTCACATTGGAGAGGGCAGTCTGATTTATTCAGTTTACCAATTCAAATGTTAATCTCATCCAGAAATACCTTTACAGACATACATGAAATAATGTCTGACCAAATATCTGGATACATTATGGCCCAGTCAAGTTGACACATAAAATTAACCATATAGAGGCTGGGTGCGGTGATTCACGCCTGTAATCCCAGCACTTTGGGAGGCTGAGGTGGGCAGATTGCCTGAGTTCAGGAGTTTGAGACCAGCCTGGGCAACAAGGTGAAACCCCGTCTCTACTAAAATACAAACGATTAGCTGGGTGTGGTGGCGTGTACCTGTTATCCCAGCTTCTCGGGAGGCTGGGGCAGGAGAATTGCTGGAACCCAGGAGGCAGAGGTTGCAGTGAACCAAGATCACACCACTGCACTCCAGCCTGGGCAATAGGAGCAAAACTCTGTCTCAAAAAAAAAAAAAAAATTAACCATATACATACCTAATGGGGATATTTTTTTTTCTTTTGTAGAGACATAGTCTCACTATGTTGCCCAAGCTTGTCTTTAATTCCTGGGCTCAGGTGATCCTCCGGCCCCAGCCTTCCAAAATGCTAGGATCACAGGCGTGAGCCACTGCACCTGGCCAGGATATTAATATTCAAGCACTTGATAGTTTCAAAGTGCAAGGAGTGAGGTAAGACTATCATGAATAGGACCAGAATAATCGAAAATATCCTAAAAACTGGCAACTGGACTAGCAGCAGTTTATCTTCCTCTCAAACAGTAGATCCAAGAAAGGAGTTCAATCTCCCCACGAGTGTGCAGTGAGGAATGCCAGGACTGTCCCCTCTATCTGTTGACAAAAAAAAAGCATGGCTAGATGATCTCAACTTATGTAAGAATGAGTGACAGAGAAAAAAATTGCCTATAAAAATGTAGTGCAAAACTAGATTAAAAGAATAATCGCCACTAGGCACGGTGGCTCACGCCTGTAATCTCAGCCCTTTTGGGAGGCTAAGGCAGGCAGATCACTTCAGGCCAGGAGTTTGAGACCAGCCTGGCCAACATGGCGAAACCCCATTTCTAATAAAAATACAAAAATTATCTGGGCGTGGTGGCATGCACCTGTAATGCCAGCTACTCGGGAGGCTGAGGCATGAGACTCGCTTGAACCCGGGAGGCAGAGGTGGCAGTGAGCCGAGATTGAGCCACTGCACTCCAGCCTGTGAGACAGACAGACTGTCTCAAAAAAAAAAAAAGAAAAGAAGGAAAGAAGGAAAGAAGGGAAAGGAAGGGAAAGGAAGGGAAAGAAAGAAAGGAAGAAAGGAAGAAAGAAAGAGAAAGAAAGAAAGAAAAAGAAAGAAAGAAAGAAAAGAAAGAGAAAGAAAGAAAAAGAAAGAAGAAAGAAAGAAAGAAAGAAAAAGAAAGAAGAAAAGAAAGAAAGAAAGAGAAAGAAAGAAAGAAAAAGTATCTTCCCAAAGTTCTGAAGAATGTTTTTAAAAATCTCTTGGACATTCTCAATAGAATGCAGGAAGATGCTGTCTCCATGAATTAGAGCAGAAAAATAAAAGAGGAAAGAAAGAGAAAAAGATGACAGGATGGGATTAAAAAATAAAGCAAAGGATGACTTGAAAAGCAAAGTGGCGGAAATAAGAACTTCAAAAAAGTAAAAACAAATAGCAGAGTTGAAATAAAATTGGCTTTCACTTATGAAGAGAACATGATGACTTTTTGGAATATGCAAGGGTTACAAAAACATACCTTTCACAATATCATCAAAGTGGTCTATCTAAAATACTGAGGGAAAAAAGGGGTTGGGCACTGATCATTGGAGAACGTGGACATTAATGGAGGAAGCAGAGGAAGATGGATCCATGTTGGAGAATTAAAAGCAATAGCCACAGAGGCAGGAGGAAAACCAGAAGACAGTAGTGTCATGAAAAACCAGGAGACAGAGTCAAGAAAGGAGTCATCAACTGTGTCCAATGGTGCAGAAACTTAAGTAAGACAAGCATTAGAAAGTGTCCACCGGACTTGGGAATTAAAAGATCTTTAGTCTCAGCTGGGCGCGGTGGCTCACATCTGTAATCCCAGCACTTTGGGAAGCCCAGGTGGGAGGATCACTTGAGCCTAGGAGTGCCAGACCAGGCTGGGCAACACAGAGAGACCTCGTCTCTACAAAAAAAATAAAATAAAATAAAATAAAAACAAGCCAGGTGCAGTGGCTCATGCCTGTAATCCTAGCAATTTGGGAGGCCAAGGCGGGTGGATTGCTTGAGGACAGGAGTTAGACACTACCATGGACAACATGGTGAAACCCCATCTCTACTAAAAATACAAAAATTAGCCAGGCTTAGTGGTCCGTTTTTGTAATCCTGGCTATTTGGGAGGCTGAGGCGCAAGAAGCACTTGAGCCCGAGAGGTGGAGGTTGCAGTGAGCCAAGATCATGCCACTGCACTCCAGCATGGGTGACAGAGTGAGACCATGTCTCAAATACACACACACACACACACACACACACACACACAAGATCTTTAGTTTCAAAAATAGAATAAAATTTAAAAAAGATGTTTAGTCTTTTTAGCAAAAGCAGTCTTAGTGAAATTGTAGGGGAAAGAATTAAGAGAAGGTAAGGCATAGGCTATTGTTTTAAAAAACTTGGTTGGGTGTGGTGGCTCACACCTGTAATCCCAGCACTTTGGGAGGCTGAGGTGGGTGGATCACTTGAAGTCAGGAGTTCGAGACCAGCCTGGCCAACATGATGAAACACTGTCTCTACTGAAAATACAAAATCAGCCGGGTGTGGTGGCAGGCACCTCTCATCCTAGATACTTGGGAGGCTGAGGCAGGAGAATTGCTTGAACCCAGGAGGCAAAGGTTGCAGTGAGTTGAGATCGTGTCACTCCATTCCAGCCTGGGCAACAGGGTGAGACTCTGTCTCAAAATAAATAAATAAATAAATAACTCGACATGAAAAAGTGAACGATGGGATGACTACTCTAGAGTAAATAGTTGAAGGAGATTTTGTCTTATTTTGTTTTGAAATAGATGACTTGATATTTACTTCATACATCAATTAGCTATGCATGTAACAAACTTCCTCAAAACTTACTGACTTAATTCAAAAGGCACTTATTTAGCTTACAAGTCTGCAGGGCTCCTGGGTGATTTTGATCCTAACCATGCTCAGCACATCTTGGCTGGGCTAGCTCATGCATCCACCATCAGCTGCTCGATAGGCTGAGGATTGGGAGGTCTAGGATGGTTTCAGTTGGGAAACTCATCTCTGCTCCATGTGGTCCCTTATCCTACAGCAGGCAAGCCTGGACTTGCCATATAGTGGTTGCAGCATTCCAAGGAAGAGAATTGAAGCACATAAGGCTTCATGAGGCCTAGACTGAGAACTAGCACACTGTCACTCACCTGCATTCTATTGGAAGAACATATCACACAAGGTCAGTCCAGATTCAATAGATGAGAAAACCAGCACCACCTCTTGATGGTGACAACTGCAAAATCACATTGCAAAGGATGAAAATAGAGGAAAGAGTGGAGAACTGGGACCATTTTTATAGTCAGTAGTCATCAGTCCATACCCTGTATCATAGCCAGCAGGAAAGGCAGGGACTGAACCTACAGCAGAGTGAGTTTCTTTTTTTTTTTTTTTGAGACTGTTGCCCAGGCTAGAGTGCAATGGTGTGATTTCTGCTCACTGCAACCTCCAGCCTCCCGGACTCAAGAAATTCTCCTATCTCAGCCTCCTGAGTAGCTGGATTACAGGTGCCCACCTCCATGCCTGGCTAATTTTTTTACTTTTAGTAGAGATGGAGTTTCACCATGTTGGCCAGGCTGGTTTCAAACTCCTGACCTCAAATGATCCACACACCTCGGCCTCCCAAAGTGCTGGGATTACAGGCATGAGCCACTGTGCCCTGCCCAGAGTAAGTTTCTTGATCAGCCATTCTGGTTGCTCCTGTTCTGTGATCTGCAAGGATCTTTACTCATCCATGGATCTCAATGGGTTGAGAGCAGTGTTAGAGAGCCTTCCCTTTCTAACAAGACAAACCAGGACTCAAATGCAATTATGAATTTTCACATTTTGTGAAATAATTCAATGTCCTGCCATATCGGTTCTGTAACTTCATAATTTTATAAAAATTAGTTTATTGAAACACAAGTTTCTTCCTATTCTCCATGATCTTATAGATACTATAAATCATTTTCTGTAGAATATATTCTTCTAGTTATACTCTATTGATTTCTTTAGTGAAGTTAAGGAGCCTTATTTTTTTAATATATATTAAAATAATAATAAAAATTGAGACAGGGTCTCCCTATGTTGCTTAGACTCGTCTTGAACTCCTAGACTCAAGCAATCCTTATGCCTTGGCCTCCCAAAGTGCTGATATTACAGGTATGAGCCACCACTCCTGGCAAAAACTTTATTTTTTAAAGTGTTGTTCATTCCTTGAAACAGAATTGTTTATCTAGCAAAGAAGCAATTTTCAAATGGTTTTATTCCCTAGAACCTACTGCCATTAATCTACCGTTACTTTTAGTTTATTTTGATGCAGTGTAATATTTGTATTAATGTATGTCTATTTTAAAATATTATTTGTTTTAAAGACTACAACAAGTTCATTGAAAAATGTCAGCCTTGGCTGAGTGCAGTGGCTCATGCCTGTAATCCCAGCCCTTTGGGAGGCTGAGGTGGGCAGATCGCTTGAGACCAGGAGTTCAAGACCAGCCTGACCAACATGGTGAAACATTATCTGTACTAAAAATATAAAAATTAGCCAGCCATGGTGCCACACACCTGTAGTCCCAACTACTCGGGAGGCTGAGGCACAAGAATTGCTTGAACTTGGAAGTTGGAGGTGGCAGGGAGCCGAGATCATGCCACTGCACTCCAGTCTGGGCAACAGAGTGAGACTCTGTCTCAAAAGAAAAAAGAAAGAAAGAAAAATGTCAGCCTTAATGAATTAGGACTTTTACAAGATTTTATATATATAAAAATAATGCTATACTTTCATTTAACATTTCAGTTTATGCTTAAAAGTAATGGTTATGATAAAGAGACACCTAAAAGGACTAAAAGATGTTCTATACCATATGAGTGTCACCCACCACTCTAAATAGCTTACAAAAACAAATATAAGAGCATTTGCCAAAAATTAAGATCACATAAATTCCTTCCCAAACAAATATAACTTATTAAACTATGTTTACAGTTCATTTGATACATAATTGTGGTCATACCTTAAAGGTATGATAGTATGTGACATTTTATACTGAATAAGTGAATATATATATATATATTTATATATATTCTGTATCTATATACTAGCACTTGTGAATATAAATTCAAATAATCTCAAAGACCTGATAGCCCAAGGATAATGCAAGTATTAAATGCATGGTGGCCAGGTATGGTGGCTCACACCTGTAATCCCCTCACTTTGGGAGGCTGAGGCAGGACGACTGCTTGAGCCCAGGAGTTCGAGACCAGCCTGGGAAGTAAGGCAAAACATGGTGTCTACAAAAAATACAAAAATTAGGTGGGCATGGTGGTACACGCTTGTAGTCCCAGCTACTAGGGAGGCTGAGGTGGAGGATCGCTTGAGCCTGGGAGATCAAGGCTGCAGTGAGCTATGATTGCACCACTGCACCCCAGCCTGGGCCACAGAATGAGACCCTGTATCAAAAACAACAACAACAACAAAAACAGAGTGTGACAAACCCTCCTCACCCTCTCTCTCGCAGAATCATGAGCCAATTAAACCTCTTTTCTTATAAATTACTCAGTCTCAGATATTTATTTATAGCAATGTAAGAACAGCCTAATACACGTGGGTTCAGTGTTCTGCAATAACAGCCAAGATTTTTGTTTTCCCTATTATTAATTTGGTCTAATAACTTCTTGTTAAGAGATACAAAGAAAACACAGCATCTTAGATAAATACAAAATTTGGCACCATCATTTATTTCTTTTTTTAAATATATATATATTTTTAATTGAGACAGGGTCTCACTCTCGCCCAGGCTGCAGTGTAGTGAAGCGATCTCAGCTCACTGCAACCTCCACCCCCGAGGCTCAAGTGATCTTCCCACTTCAGCCTCCCAGGTGGCTGGAACTACAGGTGCATTCCACCACATCCAGCTAATTTTTGTATTTTGTGTAAAGACAGGGTCTTGCCATGTTGCCTAGGCTGATCTCAAACTCTTTTGAGCTCAAGCAATCCACCCGCCTCAGCCTTCCAAAGTGCTGGGATTACAGGAGTGAGCCACTGCACCCAGCCAACCAACGCTTATTTCTATATTCAGGTAGATCCTAACATCCATATCTCAATATTTTCTCTTTTTTTTTAACAGGACTAGGCCAGGCACAGTGGCTCACACCTGTAATCCCAGCACTTTGGGAGGCTGAGAAAGGCAGATCACTTGAGGTCATGAGTTCGAGACCAGCCTGGCCAACGTGGTGAAACCCAGTCTCAACTAAAAATACAAAAAATTAGCTGGGCTTGGTGGCGCATGCCTGTAATCCCAGCTACTTGGGAGGCTGAGGCAGGAGAATCACTTGAGCCTGGGTGGTGGAGGTTGCAATGAGCTGAGATCGCGTCACTGCACTTCAGCCTGGACAACAGAATGAGACCCTGTCTCAAAACAACAACAACTACTACTATTGTTTTTATACTGTACAATGTTAAAATTTTTCAAATGATAGAAAAAGTTTTAAAATAAGTCTTTGGTCTATCACCTAGTACTTAGTCCTACAATCTTCAGAGTTTGTTTATCATTTCCAGCCAATAAATGCCTTTCCATAAATGTTTTTGAATATATAAATTATACATATTCACACATGTATAATCTATGTTTTCATACAATTCTATATCTACTACTACCTTGCATATCAGTGCACATATCTAACTTATTTTAACAACCACATATTTAATTTCAGATGTTCCATAATTAATTTACCAATCCATATTTACAGCCATTAAGCCAAATGTTCATTACCTATGGGGATAGCTTTGTGCATGTAATCAAACTCATTTTAGAATTCTGCATTCTATTTGTTGTAAAACAAATATGAAAAAACATGAAGATGCTTCTCACATAATTTGTAGATAGCTTTTAAGGGTTAGAACATGGTTGGGAAGTGGTTTGAAATTATTATGTTACCACTGACTTGACTGTCTCTTCCTTGCCACTTGGAAGTTTTTTCATCCTTATACTTTAAGGGTGTTTATTACACTTTAAAATATATAGACATTATTGGCCAGGCACGGTGGCTGACGCCTGTAATCCCAACATTCTGGGAGGCCAAGGTGGGTGGGTCACCTGAAGTCATGAGTTCAAGACCAGCCTGGCCAACATAGTGAAACCCTGTCTCTACTAAAAATACAAAAATTAGCTTGGTGTGGCGGCACATGCCTGTAATCTCAGCTACTTGGGAGGCTAAGGCAGGAGAATAACTTGAACCCAGGAGGTGGAGGTTGCAGTGAGCCGAGATCATGGCCACTGTGTTCCAGCGTGGGTGAGTGTCCAGACTGTCTCAAATAATAATAATAATATATAAATTTTTTAATGTTCAATATGTTATTTCACTATGAACCATAGAGTAAATGCTGGTAAGCCTTGCTTATGAATCTGTGGTTTTGAATACAATAATCAGGTTTCAAATGCTCTTCCTTTCTGTATACCCATCTCCTCCCAATTTCAGAAATGATTAAAGGAACTGAACATTAGGTAAAGAAATGGGGCTTCATCATGCTTAGAAATTCAGAGAATCTGAACCAGATCTATTCATGATTCTGTGAGTTGCAGAAGCACTTGCAATTTGAGATTGAAAGAGCTTATCAAGTATTTATCAGGCATGAAGAGACACTTCCTCATACATAGGCTGATGACAGCTAGGAATTGCAAAGAAAAACAAAAATCCCGCAAGCTATACTGACACACCCAGAAAAGGTTACTTTAAAAGGCAAAAATAAGTTGGCATCAAAATTGTTTTCTATAATATTAAATATCAGAAGGGAATGAAGCAAATTTTAAAATGTTGTGAAACTATGATCAATTTTATGAAATGCCTATGAATTCTGTATAATAACTAAAAATAATTGGACATATTGTTTGAAGTGTTTTGCATGGATTAGCTCATTAAATCCTCAAAACAAGGTAGGTGCTATCCCCATGTTGCAGATTGGAAAACTGAAGAAAGAGAGGTTGCCCAATGTTTGCAAGTTTACCCATGCAAAGCCAGACATGGGTAAGCCAGCATTTGGACCTTGGCCATGTGAGAACAGAACTTGATCTCTTAACCATGACTCTATTTTGACCCATTATAAGAGACAATGTGGTACTTCCCCCGACCTGCTGCTTCAAAAATAATTTAAAAACCCCAGACATTAGGCCTAGTGCAATGGCTCAAGCCTGTAATCCCAACACTTTGGGAGGCCGAGGTGGCCAGATCACCTGAGGTCAGGAGTTCGAGACCAGCCTGACCAACATGGTGAAACCTAGTCTCTACTAAAAATATAAAAATTAGCTGGGCGTGGCAGCAGGTGCCTGTAATCCCAGCTACTCGGGATGCTGAGGCAAAATCGCTTGAACCCGGGAGGCAGAGGTTGCTGTGAGCTGAGATCGCACCACTGCACTCCAGCCTGGGTGACAGAGCGAGACTTCACCTCAAAAATAAATAAATAAATAAATAATAAAACCCCAGATGCTATATATAAAACAAACATAAGAAGAGCACATGAAAAGATGTTCTACATCAGTAGCCGTTAGGGAAAAGCAAATTAAAATCACAATTAGATATCACTATATACCTATCAGAATGACTACAAGAAAAAATTATAACACCAAATACTGGCAAGGATGCAGAGAAAGTGGATCACTAATACATTGTTGGGGGAGTATAAAATGATGCAATCACTCTGGAAAACACTTTGTCAGTTTCTTTAAAAACATGTCACTACTATATGACCCAGCGATTGTACTTCTGGGTATTTATCCCAGAGAAATGAAAATTTATATTCATGGAATATAAATTTGTACACACATGTCTTACAGCAGCTTTATTTATAATAACCAAAAGTTGGAAACAACCTAGATGACCTTCAATGGGTGAATGGTTAAACAAAGAGTGATACATCCATACCATGGAATACTGCTTAGCAATAAAAAGGAATAAATTATTGATACATGTAACATTCTAGATGACTCTCCAGAGAATTATGCTGAATGAAAAAAGACAATCCCCAAAAGTTATAGACTGTATGATTCCATTTATAAAACATTATGGAAATGACAAAGGTATAGAAAAAAAAGAACAAGTTAATGGTTGCCAAGTCAAGGGGTGGTTGGAGGGTCTGGGAGAGAAGTGGGAGTGGCTAAAAAAAGATAGGGCAACCTGAGGGATTCTGTTTTTCGTTTAGTGTTTTTTTGGTTTGTTTTTTTTTTTTTTGAGACGGAGTTTCGCTCTTGTCGCCCAGGCTGGAGTGCAGTGGCGCAATCTCAGCTCACTGCAACCTCCGCCTCCTGGGTTCAAGCGATTCGCCTGCCTCAGCCTCCCGAGTAGCTGGGATTACAGGTGCCCGCCAGCACGCCCGGTTAATTTTTGTATTTTTATTTTTTTAGTAGAGACAGGGTTTCACCAAGTTGGGCAGACTGGTCTCGAACGCCTGACCCTAGACAATCTGCCCGCCTCGGCCCCCCAAATTGCTGGGATTACAGGCGTGAGCCACCGCGCCCGGCCAACCTGAGGGATTATTGAAGTGATGGAAGTGTTGTGTATCTTGACTATGCCAATATCCATATCCTGGCTATTTTACAGTCTTTACCATTGGGGGAAACTGGGTATTTCTTATAACTGCTTGTGAATCTACAATTTTCCCAAAATAAGAAGTTTAATTAAGAAATAAAAATTTGGGCCGGGCGCAGTGGCTCACGCCTGTAATCCCAGCACTTTGGGAGGCTGAGGTGGGCGGATCACCTGAGGTCAGGAGTTGGAGACCAGCCTGGCCAACATGGCGAAACCCCATCTCTATAAAGAATACAAAATTAGCCGGGCATGGTGGCACATGCCTGTAATCCCAGCTACTGGGGAGGCTGAGGCAGGAGAATCGCTTGAAACCAGGAGGCGGAGGTTGCAGTGAGCCAAGATCACGCCACTGCACTCCAGCCTGGGTGACAGAGTGAGACTCCATCTCAAAAAAAACAAGAAATAAAAATAAAGATATGGCAGGGCATGGTGGCTCACACCTGTAATTCCAGCACTTTCGGAAGCCAAGGCGGGCAGATCACCTAAGGTCCAGAGTTTGAGACCAGCCTGGCCAACATGGCAAAACCCCGTCTGTACTAAAAATACAAAAATTATGGCTAGGCGCGGTGGCTCATGCCTGTAATCCCAGCACTTTGGGAGGCCGAGGTGGGCGGATCACCTGAGGTCGGGAGTTTGAGACCAGCCTGACCAACGTGGAGAAACCCTGTCTCTACAAAAAATACAAAATTAGCCGGGCATGGTGGCACATGCCTGTAATCCCAGCTACTAGGGAGGCTGAGGCAGGAGAATTGCTTGAACCTGGTAGACGGAGGTTGTGGTGAGACGAGATTATGCCATTGCACTCCAGCCTGGGCAACAAGAGCGAAACTCCATCTCAAAAAAACAAAAACAGAAACAAAAACAGAAATTAGCCAGCCGTGGTGGTGGGCGCCTGTAATCCCAACTACTCGGGAGGCTGAGGCAGGAGAATCACTTGAATCCAGGAGGTGGAGGTTGCAGTGAGCAGAGATAGCACCACTACACTCCAGCCTTGGAGACAGAGTGAGACTCTGTCTCAAGAAAAAAAAAGAACAACAAAAAGATGCTAAGATACACCACACTATTCACACTATTACCCTTTAGGGGTGGGGGAGCAAAAGAGGGTGGCATTGGTGCTCAAAGAAGTTCTTCAAATTGAGAGGTTGAGAGGCCGGGCGTGGTGGCTCACTCCTGTAATCCCAGCACTTTAGGAGGCCAAGGCGGGCGGATCACTTGAGGTCAGGAGTTCAAAACCAGCCTGGCCAACATGGCAAAACCCTGTCTCCACTAAAAATACAAAAATTAACCAGGCGTGGTGGTGAACACCTGTAGTCCCAGCTACTCCAGAGGCTGAGGCCAGAGAATAATTTTTTGAACCCAGGAGGTGGAGGTTGCCGTGAGCCGAGATCACACCACTGCACTCCAGTCAGGGCAACAGAGTGAGACTCCATCTAAAGAAAAAATAATAATAATAAAAGAACAATAGTAGAACTTGAGCAGATGAAGAGCACATTAAAAACATGATAAAAGTGGACCCACAGGGAGAGAGAATCACACTGAAGTGTCGAATTTTCATGTCAAGCTGTTATCTTCCTAAAACACTACTGGTGTGAGATTTAGTCTATAGACAGTGATTCTGCAAGGGACAACTAATTACAGTTAGAGGTTAGCAGGCAAAGACGATCAACTTGGATCTAATAGAGTAATTTTCCTTCAAAACTGTTATTTGTGGTTTTTTCAGTTGTGGAAAAATATATATATCCCAAAATTTACCATTTTAAACTTTTTTTTTTTTTTGAGATAGGGAGAGTCTTGTTCTATGCACCTCATAAGTGAAATTATAGAGTATTTGTCCTTTTGTGTCTGGCTTATTTCACTTAATGTAATGTCTTCTGGTTTGTCCATGTTGTAGCATGTGTCAAAATTTCCTCTCTTTTTTTGAGAGAGGGTCTCTCTCTGTTGCCCTGGCTGGAGTTCAGTGGCATGATCATGGCTCACTGCAACTTCTATTTCCCTGGCTCAAGTGATTCTACTGTCTCAGCCTCCCAAGTAGCTGGGACAGGCACATGCCACCATGCCTGGCTAATTTTTTTTTTCTTTTTTTAGAAACAGGGTCTCACTATGTGGCCCAGGCTGATCTCACACTCCTGACTTCACGCAATCCTCTCGTCTTGGTTCCCCCAAAGTGCTGAGAATACAGGCATGAGCCACTGCATCTGGTCAAAATTTCCCTTTTTTTAAAGAATTAATAGGCTGGGCGTGGTGGCTCACACCTATAATCCCAGCACTTTGGGAGGCCGAGGCGGGCAGATCACCTGAGGTCAGGAGTTCGAGACCAGCCTGGCCAACATGGTGAAACCCCATCTCTACTAAAAACACAAAAATTGGCCGGGTGTGGTGGCATGCACCTGTATACTCAGGAGGCTGAGTATACTCAGGAGGCTGACGCAGGAGAATCACTTGAACCTGGGAAGCAGCGGTTGCAGTGAGCCGAGATCACACCACTGCACTCCAGCCTGGGCGACAGAGTGAGACTCCATCTCAAAAAAAAAAAAAAAAAAAAAGTATCTTTCCCCTTTTCCTTCCCCCCTCAGAGTTTCCTTCTTTAAAAAGAAAACAAAATAATTAATAATATTATGTGCATGACTGTAGTCGAGCACTTTGGGAGGCCAAGGTGGGTGGATCGCTTCAGCCCAGGAGTTTGAGACCAGCCTTGACAACATGGCGAAACCCTGTCTCTACGAAAAAATTCAAAAATTAGCTGGGCATGGTGGTGTGCACCTGTAGTACCGGCTACTTAAGAGGCTGAGGTGGGAGGATCACTTGAGCTTGGGAGGTCGAGGCTCCAGTGAGCTGTGATGGTGCCACTGCACTCCAGCCTGGGTGACAGAGTGAGACCCTGTCTCAAAAAATACATATATATTATAATAATATTACATTTCAGTGTGTTTGTGTATTAACCACAAGTTTTATCCATTCATTCATGGCTGGACACTTGAGTTGCTTCTTCTATCTTTTGGCTATTGTAAATCATGCTGGTGTGAACATGGGTATTCAAATATCTGTTCTAATCCCTGTTTTAAAATCTTTTGGGTATAAACCCAGAAGCAGGATTGCTGGATCATACGGTGATTCTATTACTCTATTTTTAATTTTTTGAGGAGCCACTATACTGTATTCCTTAGTGACTGTACCACTTTACCTTCCCACCAACAATGCACAAGGAGTCCAGTTTCTCCATATTCTAGGCAACACGTGTTATTTTCTGGGTTTTTTGTTTTTTTTGCTAGTAACCATCCAAATGCATGTGAATTTTTGTTGTTGTTGCTTTGTTTTGTTTACAGATTGTGATCGTATATTTTTATACATTGCTATAATCAAGAATTATATTTATACTGAAAAAGAATATCTGTTTGCAAAAGACTCTCAGATGTATCATCTACAGCTGGCTATGCTCAGTGCTGTTTGTCACATGCTGTTAGCAAGGCTGCAGACACGGATTTTAGGAGGAATTAGCCTTTGTGGGGTTACCTCAAAATCCCATACCTACTAAGTGATGGTAACAGCGTGTTATAGAGGCCATTCTCCCCCTCACCTCATCTGCTTAATGCTCCCAACTTTCTCCTGTACCAGCCACTTCCCACATACATTTTTTTTTTTTTTTTTTTTTTTTTTTGAGACGGAGTCTCGCTGTCGCCCAGGCTGGAGTGCAGTGGCGCAATCTCGGCTCACTGCAGGCTCCGCCTTTTTTAAGCTGCTTCAGTTTTTTTTTTTTTTTCTTTTTAGAGACGGATGCCTTGCTATGTTGCTCAGGCTGGTCTTGAACCCCTGGACTCAGGCAATCACCCACCTTAGCCTCCCAAAGTGCTGGGATTACAGGCATGAGCGACCATGCTCAGCCCCTGTTTCAGTTTTTTTTTTTTTTTTTTTTTTTTTTTGAGACGGAGTCTTGCTCTGTCGCCCACGATGGACTGCAGCGGCACGATCTCGGCTCACTGCAAGCTCCGCCTCCCGCCTTCACGTCATTCTCCTGCCTCAGCCTCCTGAGTAGCTGGGACTACAGGCGCCCGCCACCACGCCCAGCTAATTTTTTTGTATTTTTAGTAGAGACAAAGTTTCGCCGTGTTAGCCAGAATGGTTTCAATCTCGATCTCGCGTGAGCCACCGCGCCTGGCCCTGTTTCAGTTTTAATAGCGCTTCAGTATTCATTTTAGAGGAAGAGGAGGAGGAGTGGAAAAAATATTCATTTCAAATGCCCGTTACTTGGAGGTATACGTTCTTCTCCATGAAAATAAGAAGTTAGGCCGGGTGCAGTGGCTCACACCTGTAATCCTAGCACTTTGGGAGGCTAAGGTGGGCAGATCACTTGAGGTCAGGAGTTCGAGACCAGCCTGGCCAACATGGTGAACCCCATTTCTACTAAAAATACAAAAATCAGCTGGGCATGGTGGTGCCTGCCTGCAATGCCAACTACTCAGGAGGCTGAGGCAGGAGAATTGCTTGAACCCAGGAGGCAGAGGTTGCAGTGAGCTAAGAGCACACCACTGCACTCCAGCCTGGGCAACAGAGCAAAAATCTGTTTCAAAAAAAAAAAGTTGAGCTTTATGTTTTTACTAAAGCCTTTGAAGTTTGTGTATTTATTATATAAAACTCATAATTCAATCAAATTAAATATTCACTTTAGAAATATTTTCTATGGAAATAGAAGGAAAAAAATCCCCTTGGAGAAATGAAGTTCCTTCTGTACCCCTCAGAAAATCAATGCTATAATGGGTAAGTTTTCATTGCTGCCTCACCCAACTTGTTCCGTTTTATACAAAATCAGAATAGCTTCCTGTTGCACTGCCAGATGGTTGAAGTGATTTCACAGGGACATTGCCCACACGTGCTTTAATGAAGAAGTCCAAACAGAATAGTTTACATTTCTGGACTAAGAACTCCTAAAATGCCTTCTGCTCCAGAATAAGAGAAAGCAAGATACAAATTCTTGCACACGTTCTTAAGTGTCAAGCTTCTGATGGCTTCTGTGAAGTAAGCATTTCCTTTTCCACTAATTGCCTCTGTAGCAGGTGGTTCCCATCCCTGGTGGCACAGTGGGATCACCTGAGGGGAGTATTAAAATCCCCATGTGCGGGCCCCACCTCCAGAGAGCTTGAATTCATCTATCTCCATGGTGGTCTGAGCCTCAGGAGTTTTTATTGTGTGTGTGTGTGGACATATATATGTATATGTATACATATATATGTGTCTCCACGCACACACAATAAAATATAGTGTGTGAGTATATATATAGTGTGTATATATATATAGTGTGTGTGTATATATATATATAGTGTGTGTATGTGTGTATATGTATAGTAGAGATGGGGTTCTCACTATGTTGCCCAGGCTGGTCTTGAATTCCCAAAATGTTGGGATGACAGGTGTGAACCACTGTGCCCAACAGGAGTTATTAAACTCTCAGAAGAATTCGAGTGTGTAGCCCAGGTTGAGAAGCCAGGTACTACTTAATTTGCCGCTTTTATCAACTCAATTCCTAGAATGATGAATCGTTTTTCTTTTTTGAGACAGAGTCTGCTCTGTCGCCTAGGCTACAGTGCAGTGGTGTGATTTCAGCTCACTGCAACCTCCACCTCCTGGGTTCAAGTGATTCTCTTGCCTCAGCCTCCTGAGTAGCAGGGATTATAGGCACGCACCACCATGCCCAACTAATTTTTGTATTTTTAGTAGAGACGAGGTTTCACCATGTTGGCCAGACTGGTCTCAAACTTCTGACCTCAAGTGAATCATCCACCTCGGCCTCCCAAGTGCTGGGATGACAGGCGTGAGCCACCGTACCCGGCCCCTGCATTTTCAAACATGTAACCAGAATTCTAAATCAGACTTGGCATCAGGGTTCTAAGTTCCCCACCTTTAGCTATGAGAGAGCACAATTTAAAATTAGTGAGCTAGATTTACTGCCTGGGCTCCCATGGACAAACTGGAGTTCTCTGAAATTTGTGCAGAAGCACAAATTCGAGTGACAGGAGCATCCACATCACTATTCAGTGTTGCTACTTGCTGTGGGTGGGCTTATTGCATAACACCTTTGTCTTCTGGTTAAAAATGACCTCCAAGTGAGAAAGCAAATGGTGGTGAAAATGAAAAGAGCAGGCTGGGCGTGGTGGCTCATACCTGTAATCCCAGCACTTTGGGAGGCTGAGGTGGGAGGATGGATTTAGCCCAGGAGTTTGAGACCAGCATTGGCAACACGGCAAGCCTCTCTCGCTACAAAAAAACACAAAAATGACCCAGGCGTGATAGCACATGCCTGTAGTCCCAGCTACTATGGAGGCTGAGGTGGGAGGATAGCTTAAGCTTGAGAGGCAGAGGTTGCAAAGAGCGGAGATCATGCCGCTGCACTCCAGCCTGAGTGACAGAGCAAGATCCTGTCTCAAAAAAAAATAAATAAAATAAAAATAAGTTACCTTGTTTTATAAAGATATACATAAAAAACACTCAAAAACATTCAATTGTAGGCTGGGAGCGGTGGCTCACGCCGGTAATCTCAGCACTTTGGGAGGCTGAAGTGCATGGATCACTTGAGATCAGGAGTTCGAGACCAGCCTGGCCAACATGGTGAAACCGCCATCTCTACTAAAAATTCAAAAATCAGTTGGGCGTGGTGGCACCCACCTGTAGTCCCAGCTACTCGGGAGGCTGAGGCATGAGAATCGCTTGAACCCAGGAGGCAGAAGTTGCAGTGAGCCAAGATGGTGCCACTGCACTCCAGCCGGAGCGACAGAGCAGACTCTATCTCACAAAAAATAAATAAATAAAAGAAAAGAAAAAGAAAAACATTTAATTGTAAAGCATATTCATGCGTTTTCCATTTTCCTCAGGAATGCTTATATTGTTCACCTCTTTCAATAGTCAGTCACTTAACAAAATGCCATAAACTAGAAAAAAAAGTCAGCCACCTTTCTATAGCACATGTGGGGAGAAAGAAATAGCAAATTAATTTCATGTCTGTTCCCGGCTCATGCAGCTGCATAGCTGTACCTCTGTTATCCCGTGTTCCCTCTGATGGCTGCCAGCTTCTGTGTTAGGCCTGTGTTCAACCTGTAGCTAGTTGCTGCTAAAAACCTTGTACTACTTTTATTTATTTATTTATTTATTTTGAGATGGAGTTTCTCTCTTGTCTCCCAGGCTTGAGTGCAGTGGCGCAATCTTGACTCACTGTAACCTCCACCTTATTTATTTATTTATTTATTTATTTATTTATTTTGAGATGGAGTTTCTCTCTTGTCACTCAGGCTTGAGTGCAGTGGCGCGATCTTGACTCACTGCAACCTCCACCTCCAAGGTCCAAGCGATTCTCATGCCTCAGCCTCCTGAGTAGCCGGGATTACAGGTGCCCACCACCACGCTCAGCAAATTTTTGTATTTTTAGTAGAGACGGGGTTTCACCATGTTGGCCACACTCGTCTTGAATTCCTGACCTCAAGTGATCCACCTGCCTCGGCCTCCCAAAGTGCTGGGATTACAGGTATGAGCCATTGCACCCAGCCCAAAAAACCTTGTCCTACTCACCTTCCATGACACAAGGTTCTACAGCCGTGCTGAGTGGAGGGATGATTTAGGGAAGGCCAAATTTCCATTTACTGCCCAATCGTTTGGTTTTCCGCAACACTCCACCTGAGTACATGAGGCTTGCTGAAGTTATGCAACTAACTAAAGGGAATTACATCCAGGCTCAGTGGCTCATGCCTGTAATGCCAGAACTTTGCGAGGCTAAGGTGGGAGAATCGCTTGAGGCCAGGAGTTCAAGACCAGCCTGGCAACACAGCAAGACCCCCATATTCACAAAAAAATTAAAAAATTAGGCCGGGCATGGTGACTGATGCCTGTAATTCCAGCACTTTGGGAGGCCAAGGCAGGCAGATTGTTTGAGCTCAGTTCGAGACCAGCCTGGGCAACATGGTGAAACCCCATCGCTACAAAAAAATACAAAAATTAGCTGGGTGTGGCGGCACATGCCTACAGTCCCAACTACTCAGGAAGCTGAGATGGGAGGATCACTTGAGCCTAGGAAGTGGTGGTTGCAGTGAGCTGAGATCATGGCACTGCACTCCAGCCTGAGTGATAGAATGAGACCCTGTCTCAAAAAAAAAACAAAAACAAAAAAAAATAAGCCAGGTGTGATGGCATGCACCTGGAGTCACAGCATCTCAGGGGGCTGAGGTGGGAGGATCCCTTGAGCCCAGGAATTGAAGGCTGCCATGAGCTATGATCATGCCACTGCACTCCAGCCTGGGTGACAGAGTAAGACCTTGTCCCATAAAAAGAGAATTATAGGCTGGGAGTGGTGGCTCATGACTGTAATCCCAGCACTTTGGGAGGCCAAGGCGGGTGGATCATTTGAGGTCAGGAGTTCGAAACCAGCCTGACCAACATGGTAAAACCCCGTCTCTACTAAAAATACAAAAATTAGCGGGGTGTGGTGGTGCCCAACTGCAATACCAGCTACTTGGGAGGCTGAGGCAGGAAAATTGCTTGAACCTGGGAGGCGGAGGTTGCAGTGAGCTGAGATCATACCATTGTACTCCAGCCTGGTCAGCAACAGCAAAACTCCATCTCAAAGAAAAAAAAGAGAGAATTACAATGTAGTCAGAGGAACTTTTAAACAGGAGGCAAAATATGGCTATTATCAGAACCTAAGGCAAAAGAAGAAGAAATCAAGCACTCCTCACAAGGCCCTTTCTGGCACAGTCCATTTCCTGGCCTGTCTTCTCTGTCTCACGATCCACCTTCCTATATATTTCTGCAGAAAGGCTTTTCTTCAATTATTGTTTCATTTTTTGAAACTGGAAAAATTCCTTCCCTCCCTCTGAAATACCTTCCTTCCCTAATCAAGGCAATACATAGCACTCAAAAGTCTTAGAGTACATTTCCCAAAATTGAGTTGCAGGATCTATTCACTTAATTTACTCAAATTTAACTGCTATACAACCCTCTTTAAATAATAGAGAATAATAACAATTTGTATAGTGCAGGTGACACTGCCTGCTTTCTTCAAAAGCTTTCAACCAAAAGTGAAAATGAGATGGGAGATATGAGTCTACATATCCTTCCTTGGTAGCAGTCCGGGAAGCATCTCATCTGCCTGTCCTAAGGTTAATCCTGCTATTAGATATCCATCTCATTCAGCATGCAATTGAAGAAATAATGACTCTCTTGCTGGGGAAAACACTAGTAGGGGCCTATTGGGTAACAATGTATCCATCTTCACTTCCTAAAGGATTTTCAAGGGTAATGTTGATTATATACAATTTTCTCTTTGGAAGTACTGACTGGGATTACAGGCATGAGCCACAGTGCCTGGCCAAAAGTGTTTACAACTCTTTATAGAAGGTTTTCTTCATGTATCATACAGAAAGAACACCCTTATCTTCTTGACACAGCCCCACCCCTAGTATTTTGCCTTTATGGAAACATGCTGAAAATATGTCCCCTCTCTCAGCCATACATCTCTTCACCACTATTCTGCCTTTTCAATGTCTTCTCTCTGGTCACCCCATCCCGCATGTCACACAGCCTTCAAGTGGAGATGGTCAACTGGTCACTGAGATTCCCATCCCTTTTGTTTTTTTTTTTTTTTTTCCTGAGACGGAGTCTCACTTTGTTGCCCAGGCTGGAGTGCAGTGGCACGATCTCGGCTCACTGCAACCTCTGCCTCCCAGGTTCAAGTGATTCTCCTGCCTCAGCCTCCTGAGTAGCTGGGATTATAGGTGCACGCTACCAGGTCCAGCTAATGCTTGTATTTTCAGTAGAGACAGGGTTTCACCATGTTGGTCAGGCTGGTCTCAAACTCCTGACCTTGTGATCCGCCCACCTCGGCCTCCCAAAGTGCTGGGATTACAAACGTGAGACACCGCGCCCAGCCGAGACTCCCATTCTTGCCTGATGGCAGAGCCACGCCACTCTAGAATGGCCAGAAGACCTGGCAGGTCCATATGCCCAGAAAACCTGGTAGTTCCATATGCCCAATGGCCCCTACCTTTCCTTTCTCTACACAGAGAAAAGTCCACAGAATCTTCCAAGAACTACCACTGCTCTTTCTGTTTTTAGCTCTGGTGAATATAATCCTCCAAACTATTACACAGTTGATGATGTGCTACAGTTTTTTCATGTTCAGTCATTTTCTTTCCTGACGAGGTTTGAATTTCATGATAGCCTATATACACACGGCACCTCTCACCTAATCAGTTGTGCATTTGATTCAAGCAAGATTCTTTTTAAAAAGTTACACATTTATTTATTTATCATTAGTCTGTGACTAGTCACAGCATATTTTCCATGACCAATAACGACAAAGAGAAAATGCATGTGTTTCCAGCAAAGCAGAAAAGATTGATTAGATTTTTATCTTTTTCATCTCTAGAGTTAAATATTATATTTAAATATTAAACATTATAAATATTAAATAAATATTATTATTTTAATTTAAGTTAAGGCTAAACTAGGTGCGGTGTACTCGTACCTGTAATCCCAGCACATTGGGAGGCCAAGGTGACACCCCAGAAGTTTTTTTGTTTGTTCGTTTTTGAGATAGGGTCTCACTCTGTCACCCAGGCTGGAGTGCAGGGGCACTATCTTGGCCTCACTGCAACCTCCACCTCCTGGACTTGGGCGATCCTCCCACCTCAGCCTCCCAAGTAGCTGGGACCACAGGCGCATGCCACCATGTCCAGCTGAGCCCAGAAGTTTGAGATCAGCCTGGGCAACATGGTGAAATCCCATCTCTACAAAAAATAACAGAATTAGCCAGGTGCAGTGGCATGTGCCTGTAGTCCCACCTACTTGAGACGCCGAGGTAGGAGGATCACTTGAGCCTAGGAGGTCGAAGCCACATTGAGCCATGATTGTGCCACTGCACTCCAGCCAGGGAAACAGAATGAGGCCCTGTCTAAAATTAAATTAAAATTAAAAAGACTAAAAAGTGAATACATAAATTAAAGTTAATATGTAATACATATTCCTTGCAAAATCCTGTAACATTACAAAAATATAACAAGCAGAAAATAATAGCCATTGCCATCTTTCGGTCCTATCCATCCTACCAAAAAAATCACTATTCATAGTGAATATTCTTCCCAATAATGTAACCTCTTTTATTTTGTTTTTACTTAATAATATATCATGGCCGTGCACGGTGGCTCATGCCTGTAATCCCTGCTTGGGAGGCTGAAGTGGGCAGATCACCTGCGATTGGGAGTTTGAGACCAGCCTGACCAACATGTAGAAACCCCATCTCTATTAAAAAAAAAAAAAAAAATTAACCAGGCGTGGTGGTGCATGCCTGTAATCCCAACTACTTGGGAGGCTGAGGCAGGAGAATCTCTTGAACCCTGGAATCGGAGGTTGTAGTGAGCCAAGATCATGCCATTGCACTCCAGCCTGGGCAACAAGAGCAAAACTCTGTCTCAAAAATATATATACACATATATTTTCTAAACTTATATATTGTATATATATCATTACTGGGCAGGTGCACTGGCCTGGGACTACAGGCACATATGTATTATATGTAATTATACATCTGTGATCCCAGCATGTTGGGAGGCTGAGGCAAGTGGATCACTTGAGGTTAGGAGCTCGTAACCAGCCTGGCCTAGTGGTGAAACCCTGTCTCTACTAAAAATACAAAAACTTAGCTGGGCGTTGTGGCAGGTGCCTGTAATCCCAGCTACTCTGAAGGCCGAGGCAGGAGATTTGCTTGAACCCAGGAGGTGGAGGTTGCAGTGAGCCGAGATCATGTCACTGCACTCCAGCCTGGGTGACGGAGTGAGACTCTGTCTCCAAAATAATAATGATAATAATAATAATAATAATAATAATAAAGCTTTACTATTAGGTTGGTGAAAAAGTAATTGCAGTCTTTGCCATTAGTTTTTTGTTTGTTTGTTTTTGAGATAGAGTCTTGCCCTGTCACTGAGGCTGGAGTACAGTGGCATCATCTCTGCTCACTGCAACCTCTGCCTCCCAGGTTCAAGCAATTCTCCTGCCTCAGCCTCCAGAGTAGCTGGGTTTATAGGCACCTGCCACAACGCCCAGCTAAGTTCTTGTGTTTTTAGTACAGACAGAGTTTCACCATGTTGGCCAGGCTGGTCTCGAACTCCTGACCTCAAGTGATCCACCCACCTCAGCCTCCCAAAGTGCTGGGATTACAGGCGTGAGCCACTGCACCCAGACTTTTCCCATTACTTTTTTTTTTTGAGATGGAGTCTTGCTTCGTCACCAGGCTGGAGTGCAGTGGCGCTATCTTGGCTCACCACAACCTCCGCCTCCCGGGTTCAAGCAATTCTCCTGCCTCAGCCTCCCAAGTAGCTGGGACTATAGGCGTGTGCCACCATGCCCAGCTAATTTTTGTATTCTTAGTAGAGACGGGGTTTCACCATGTTGGCCAGGGTGGCCTCAATCTCTTGACCTTGTGATCTGCCCACCTCGGCCTCCCAAAGTGCTGGGATTACAGGCATGAGCCACTGCGCCTGGCCTTCCCATTACTTTTAATGCCAGAGAAGAAGGCTTTAATTGGGTACTGCGGAGGAGGAGAATGGGAGAAAGTCTCAAATCCATCTCCCTAATCTACTAAAATTGGAGTGCTTATATAGCAGGGAAGATGGGAAAACAAGAATTAGGGAGGGGTAAGGAATCTATCATGTTGGAAGAGAGGTCTTCTAAGTCTGGATGCAGTGATCTGAAGAGTTTCAATTCCTTGCCTGAGGGTTGATTTCTTAAGAAAAGAACTCAGATAAGACAAGTAGGTTTCAAATTTCAAGACTGGGAGGGTCAACTTTTAGTTTATTTTTAAAAACCTGTAAATATCAGTTCTGTGGGACAATTGGAACAGTTTCAGAAGCAGGGGTACTACCTCCTGTGCTTCAGTTGGGCCCAAGACAGCTGGAGTCTTTCTAATTCAGGGGGAGGATTACTAAACCTAACTGGCTCACATTGAAAGCCATGTTTTCCTATCAGCCTCATCACTAATAAAACCGACTTTTTTTTTTTAATGGAGAGATGTCCTAATTTCAAACAATAGTTACATTTATGTAATGAACTTCTATCCAGAGTACATTTGATATATTACTTAAGGTTAATAGTAATATTTTAATTGGGATTTTAAAAATCATTCTCATGTGAAATTGTCTCCTGTTTTTTTTTTTTTTCTCTTATGTGTTTGTTTTGAACTCCTGGCCTCAAGCAATACTCCCCTTCTTAGCCTCCCAAAGTGCTGGGATTACAGGCATGAGCTGAGATTACAGGCATGAGCTACCATGCCTGGTTATTTCTATCATATATTTATCATTCATGCTTTAGATAAAGGATTTTAGATAATTTCTTTATTTATGCCCCAGAAACATTTAAATTGCATAAGAATTAAAGATCCAGAAAAAAAATTCCCATCTCCCAGGAAGCCTCTGGGTTTACGGTACATTCTTCTCTCTTTCTTTTCCTTCTTTTCTTTTCTTTTCTTTTCTCTTCTCTTTTCCTCTTCTCTTGCTATTCCTCTTTCTCTTTCTGACAGGGTCTTGCTATATCACCACGGTTGGAGGGCATCTGTGCAATCACAGCTCACAGCAACCTGAAACTCCTGGGCTCTAGCAATCCTCCCACCTTGGTCTCCCAAACCGCTGGGATTACAGGCATGAGCCACTGTGCCCAAACTCTTCCATTTATATTCTATGGGGTGTCTAGTGTATGTCAGGATTTGTTCTAGGCACTAGGGATACAGCAAAAAATAAAATAGACTTATTTCCTGTTCTTCTGAGATTTACATTCTAGGCTGAGAAGACAGGCAATAAATAAAAAATAAAACAATAGGTGGCAATAAGTGCTTTTTGAAAAATTAAATAAAGTATGTATAAGGGGTGAAGGTGGAAAGAAAGGGTAATTGGGGTGGGGTGGAGTCAGGTAGGTGACTATGGTGCTATTTTAAGTAGGATGGTTAGGGAAGACATGTTTGAGCAAAAGCCTGAATCAAATGAGGAGAGTGGATATCTGGCAGGGAGAAGCATAGTCTAGCCTTGGGGAATAACAGGTGCAAACAGTAGGTGAGTGACAGATGAGGTGGGGGAAAGCCTCGGTGCCTGATGAACTTTAAGCAGATTGGTATAGCCTGGAGGTGGATCAGTAGCATGAAGTAAACTACTGTAAAGATTTTGGCTTTTCATCTGAGTGAAATGGGAAGCCATCAGAGAGTTTTAAGCAAAGAAGAGACAAGACCTGATTTAGGCTCTAAAAGGGTTGCACTGGCTCCTGTATTGAGAGTAGACACTAGTAAAGACAGAGCAGAAGACTAGCTGAAGGCTGTCAACTCATCCAGGTGATCGATGACTTCACGTGGACTTGGGTGACCGCTGTGGAGGTGATCAGATTCTAGATATAATATGATGGTGTTGCTGACAGAGTTTACTGATGTGGGGATGTGGGGTGGGAGAGAAAGAGGGGTCAAGGCTGTTTTGAAGTTCTTAGTCTGGAGCAGCAGTATGAACAGAATTGCCACTTAACGTGGAAAGGGCAGATTAGGGTGTCTTTAATTTGAGACCTCTTGAATTTCGAAGTGGAGCTAGTCATTTCCTATTATTCAGGGTTTGGGGCCTGAGCAACTTGAGCTGCCATTTACTGGTTTTGTTTTGAGACAGAGTCTCACGCTGTCGCCTAGGCTGGAGTGCAATGGCACGATCTCAGCTCACTGCCACCTCCGCCTCCCAGGTTCAAGTGATTCTCCTGCCTCAGCCTCCCGAGAGTAGCTGGGATTACAGGCGCCCACGACCATGCCAAGCTAATTTTTGTACTTTTAGTAGAGACGAGGTTTCACCATGTTGACCAGGCTGGTCTTGAACTCCTGACCTCAGTTCAGCATTTGCTGTTTTCAGACTGATTTTTGCCAGTCTGATGGATTTGAAATTGGTCTTATTATCATTTTAATTTGCATTATCCTGATTTCAGTGATACTGGGCATCTTTTATTATGTTTGGTGAAAACATGTATTTTCTCTTTCATAAATTGCCTATTCATCTTTTCTATTTTAGTTATTGGTTTATGGAGGCTCAGGCTATAAATCCTTGGTGGGAGGCCGGGCACAGTGGCTCATGCCTGTGATCCCAGCACTTTGGGAGGCTGAGGCGGGTGGATCAGGAGGTCAGGAGTTCAAGACCAGCCTGGCCAAGATGGTGAAACCCCGTCTCTACTAAAAATACAAAAAATTAGCCAGGCGTGGTGGCACGCGCCTGTAATCCCAGCTACTCCGGAGGCTGAGGCAGAGAATTGCTTAAACCTGGAGGGGCAGAGGTTGCAGTGAGCCGAGATCATGCCACTGCACTCCAGCCTGGGCGACAGAGCGAGACTCCGTCGCAAATAAATAAATAAATAAATAAATCCTTGGTGGGTTATATCAGTTGCATATATCTTCTGATAGACTGTAGCTTGTTTTTTCATTTTGTTTCTAATTACTTGGTCACTCAAACCATTATTTAAGGCAGATTAAATAACATACAACCAGATTGGGCAACATAGCAAGACCCTGTCTCTACAAAAAAATTTAAAAAATATTAGCCAGGCATGGTAGTGCACATCTGTGGTCCCTGAGCTACTTGGGAGGCTCGGGTAGGAGGATCAATTGAGCCCAGGAGGTCAAGACTGCAGTGAGCGATGATGGCACCACTGCATTCCAGCCTAGGCAACAGAGCAAGACCCTGTCTCAAAAACAACAACAACAAAATTTATCCTAAAAATGTATTTGTCGTTTATCTAAAATTCGAGTTGAGGGGCCAGGCATGGTGGCTCACGCATGTAATCCCAGTGCTTTGGGAGGCTGAGGCGAGCGGATCACAATGTCAGGAGTTTGAGACTAGCCTGACCAACATGGTGAAATTCCGTCTCTTCTAAAAATACAAAAAAAAAAAAAAAAAAGAATAAAAAATTAGCTGGGCATGGTGGCATGCACCTGTAATCCCAGGTACTCAGGAGGTTGAGGCAGGAGAGTCGCTTGAACCTGGGAGGCAGAGGTTGCAGTAAGACGAGATCGCGCCACTGCACTCCAGCCTGGGCAATAGGGGGAGACTCCATCTCAAATAAATAAATAAATAAATAAAATTCAAGTTGAACTGGGTATCCTATATTTTATCTGGGAACCCTATTGGAGATAGAACTGGAGCATCTGCCTTTGACCCAGAGATGAAACCACCTATGGAAGACAATGGAGCTATTGTAGCAGGCCTGAAGAGCATACTTGGGGATCATTACCTGAAAAAGACATAACTTTCTTTGTAGCCACTTCTAAATACAAGTACTGTGGTATTTAAAAAACATTTTGGTGCAAGAGCTTAGCCTTTGTCCTAACCAATATGTGAAAACTTTCTTGCAATTCCAAGGATTAAAAGGATTGACCAGGTGCAGTGGCTCATGCCTGTAACCCTAGCACTTTGGGAAACCCAGGCAGGAAGATCACCTGAGCCCAGGAGTTCAATACCAGCCTGGCCAATATAGTGAGACACTGTCTCTACTAAAAAACTTTTTTTAATTAAAAAAAAATTTATCATGTTTCAGGGATTATGAAAACAGAATAGTGACTTGGGGGAAGTTACTAAACTTTCATATAAGAAAAGAAATCCGGCAGGGCACGGTGGCTCGAGCCTGTAATCCCAGCACTTTGGGAGGCTGAGGCGGGTGGATGACTTGAGATCAGGAGTTTGAGACCAGCCTGACCAATATGGCGAAACCCCGTCTCTACTAAAAATACCAAATTAGCCAGGCATGGTGGCGGGCACCTGTAGTCTCAGCTACTCGGGAGGCTGAGATGGGAGTATTGCTTGAACCCAGGAGGTGGAGGTTGCAGTGAGCCGAGATCATGCCACTGTACTCCAGCCTGGGCAACAACAGAGTGAGACTCTGTCTCAAAAAAGAAAAGAAATCCTACAAGCAAATCAAAGTGAATTACCTAATGCAGGGGTTCGCCGACTGTGGCACATATACCAAATCCAGTCTTCTATCTGTTATCAAGTTTTATAGAAACAGCCACATTCATTCATTTATACGTTGTCCATCCCTGCTTTAGTACTGTAACAGCAGAGTTGAGTAGTTGCAACAGAGGTCGCGTGGCACTGCAAAGCCTAAAATATTATCTATCTGGCCCTTTACAGAAAAAGTTTAATGATCCCTGACCCAAAAGAAAACCATTACTCACCTAAAAATTTTTCTCAGCATTAATTGATAAGAAAAATTTTGAAGAAAACAAATAATGTGACTTAAAGATTGAATCATGTGGTCATTCACATTTAAAAGCAGCTGAAAGGCTGGGTGCAGTGGCTCATGCCTGTAATCCCAGAACTTTGGGAGACTAAGGTGTGAAGCTTGCTTGAGGCTGGGAGTTCAAGAATAGCTTGGGCTAAAAATTAGCTACAACACCCAGGTAATTTTTAAATGTTTTTGTAGAGATAGGTCTAATTATGTTGACCAGGCTGGTCTTGAATTCCTGGGCTCAAAAAATCCTTATGCCTCGGCCTCCCAAAGTGTTGGATTACAGGTGTGAGCCACTATGCCCAACAGTTTTTTTTTTAATGAGACACACACTAAAATCTGATTTGTTTATTGCCTGCAACATTTTTCTTTTCTTTTTTTTTTTTTTGGTTTCAAACACCAATTTGAATGAGGCTTTTTTATACTAAAAAGTTATCTGTTGTTTATCTGATGTTCAAATTGAACTGTGTGCTCATTGTTTTTATTTGCTAAACTTGGCAACCCTACCTCCAGTCACTGTGAATCGGGGAAGGGTCTAGGAAGGCACAGATCTAAGCCTTTTAAGGGAAGACTTCCAGAGTGACACACAATCATTCCTGCCCACATTTCATTGCCTAGAATTTAGTCATGGCCACACCTAGACACACCTAGATAGAAAGTCTAGCTTGTTAACCAGGTGCCTAACTAAAATACTACTATTATAGGAGAAGGAGAGAACAGATTTGGGGGAACATTTAGCAGGCTACCATAGTATATCTTTGAAAAAAATTTTTTTTAGTTTCATTAGTTGTAAATTCTGTCAGAGACATCAATTTCTCTAAATCAGATTTCTGTTGTCTTCTATATTTTTCATCTCCTGTCTAATCACTTTAATCTTTGTCCTTTTCCTTTGTATTTGATGTGCTTTAAAACAAATCTGTCATCCATCCCACAATTTTCTGCTAGATATTTCTTATTTTTATTTTTTAAAAATAGAGATGAGGTCTCACTGTGTTGCCCAGGCTGGTCTTGAATTCCCAGGCTCAAGTGATCCTCCCACCTTGGCCTCTGTGCTAGGATTACAGGCATGAGCCACTGTGCCCGGCCAGACATTTCTTATTTCTTCTTATTTCTAATTCATGTATTATTTCTGCAACGGTATGATTTTTCCCTCTCAATACCTTCTCTTAGCCATTCTAACATCTTTTATATTTCATTCATTCTCTTGTGATTTCACTTTTGATATATTTTATTTTCTTCGGGGTATGAAACATTTGTCTCTATATTTCTTCTGCTTACTGGGGTTAATCTTCTTCCATAATATATCTTTTCTTTTTAGAATATATTCCTTTATTTCATCTCTTCCCCAATATCACAATTTAAAATGTTTATGTCAGTCTTATTTCCTTTTCATTCATCTTTGATGAATATTTACTATCTAAAATTTCTATTTATATTGAAAGAAACAGGGTGGATGAATTATCTTTGAGGACCCCAGGCTTCTTGTTGGATTCAAGCAATGAGGAGCCACAGAAGAAAGCTGGAAGGAGGCATGAGAATGGGTTCGTAAAATGTGGTATGAGATTGGGCCCCTTCATAGTTTTAGTGTTTGTTTTTTTCTTTTTTACTTCGTAATTTTTAAAAATTAAAATATAATTGAAAAAATCTTTGAGGAGAAAGGTTATGTAAGCCTGCCATCTATCCTACTTAAGCCCAGATGTGAATTACCACATATTGCCCTGCGATCTTTTCCTATCTGAGGGAAGAAGCCTTGGTTAGTTGACTTTTGGATTAATAAGGAATGCAAGCAATTATAGGGATAGAGGAATGGAATCTACAGTGCTAGACAATATTGAAAGATACTCAGAGTTTCTTGAATCAAGGAATAGAGAAGTCTTTAGGTGTCTTTCCTGATTCTGCTCAATGACAATGAAAGGGAAGGCTAGAACTTTTTATTTTTTTTGATGAAAAGATTTGATTACTTTGGATTAGGCCTATGATATTAAAAATCAACTGCTAGCACAGTTTCCTAGTTAAAATGTTTGGAATTTAGCATTCTATTCCAAAATGATAAAAACATATTTCAATTCTCCAGTTGTAATATGGGTTTCTCCAGATTGCACTGTATTTTCACAATGTTCCAACTCATATTTAGTTGGGTGGGTGGAAACATTTTAAAAACTAGTCTCATATTTTTAAGGAAAGTTGGAATACTTATAAATGAAAGTCACGATTCTTAGGATAAAATAAAAACTTGCACATGGATTTTTTATTCATATTTTTTCTTAAAACATATAAATAAACTTAACAATGTTGATGACTATGACTAGCATACCACTAAATTTTAATTATGGAAATTCTAATGCTGAATAATAATTTGGATCTAAAGAAAACTTTTGATATATGATTATGGATAAGCTTTGGGGTGAAATTTTATAGTTTCTACCAAAATGTAAGTGATATTAATTTTTAGGATGGTCTTATGGCTGAAAAACAGCTAAATCGCTGGCAGTGAAGTTTATTTATTTATTTATTTGAGATGGAGTGTCACTCTGTCAACCAGGCTTGGCCCTGCCTCCCAGGTTCAAGCAATTCTCCTGTCTCAGCCTCCTGAGTAAGCTGGGATTACAGGACCGTGCCACCATGCCCAGCTAATTTTTGTAGTTTTAGTAGAGATGGGGTTTTACCATGTTGTCCAGGCTGGTCTCGAATGTCTGACCTCAAGTGATCCACCCACTCGGGCCTCCCAAAGTACTGGGATTACAGGTGTGAGCCACAGCGCCTGGCCAGAGAAGTTTCGATAAGGAGATAAAATGTGGCATTTCCGAAAGTTGAGGCCCATACCAAGTGTTCTCTTTGTGGATACCTCTTATAATTTACACTCTTTGTTTTAGGCATATTCACATAGGCCTATACATATATCTTCCTGTGACCTGTACTGTTATTGGACCTGTACAGCCAGGAATTTCTTGAGGTATAAATATTTATCAATAATAGTGACATAACCATCTTTTATTTCTTGAATAATTCTGTAGTAATTTCTATGTGTAAAAGATGTGGTAGATATTGTGGGGATGTGAAAGTAGTAAAAGCTCCAGGAATCTCCTCTAGAGAAGTTTATAATCCAGATTAAAAAAGGAGATAATATTTAGCTAAATAAGATTTATTATTTTTTTCCCACAATATATCCGTGTAACAAAAGAAGATTGTTTATAATCAAGTAACAGCAACAAACAAACAAACAAACAAACCCAAAAATAAACACCAGTATTCTAGTCCAGAGGAGGAAAAGATGACAATAAACTGAGGGCAGATAAATTATTCAAGAATATTTATTGTGTGTGGCACTTTACTAGGCATTGTATATAATGAATTAAATAATGTCATTGCCTTCTAGAAATTAATCATCAAAGATAGTAATCATGTGGAGAGAAATAATAAGATACATATTTAGCAAATGCAGAACAATAAATTAGTAAATCATTTACATTATTTGTTTAAAAGAGATGAAGGAAGAGTCCTAGAAATTGCTGATTGTGGAGAATCATTCCCTTCTCTCAATTACAATAGTTAAATGCCTTGCAAGTGTGGTGGGATTTCTGTAGCTATTCAGTTCAACATGAAAATCTTTTGCTTTTTTTGTCCAGGCATGGTGGCTCACGCCTGTAATCCCAGCACTTTGGGAGGGCGGGGTGGGTGGATCACCTGAGGTCAGGAGTTCGAGACCAGCCTGGCCAACATGGTAAAATTCTGTCTCTACTAAAAAATACAAAAATTAGCTGGGTGTGGTGGTGCATGCCTGTCGTCCCAGCTACTGGGGAGGCTAAGGCACGAGAATCCCTTGAACCCAGGAGGCAGAGGTTGCAGTGAGCCAAGATCACACCACTGCACTCCAGCCTGGATGACAAAGTGAGACTCCGTCTCAAAAAAAAAAAAAAAGTCTTTTGCTCTTTCAAAGTAATATTAGCATGTAATGTGTCTTTTTGGTAATGTGTGAATAAGAAATAAACAAAACAAAACCCCTTACTCTTCTGAGGGCTATTGGTCTTAACGTAGTTTTGCAAAGGCTTCAACCCAAATTGCAAATTTCATTTGTGGATTCACTAGCAAACACTTGTGCTTCTCAGATGTGCCAGCTTCTGTTAACATATTCAGAGTAGAAATCATTCATAGATTATCATAGAATGGCCTTCCACACCAGGGGCTGGGATACTTTGCCTCTATTTTTGGCTTTGACATTTTTTCCCTTGATATTGGTTCACCAAAACAATATTATGTCATTAGCAAAGCCAACACTTACCTTTTAAGGATACAGTTCTCATCTTCATAAATGTCTTGCCTAGATTTAGTGTATAAAGCTTTCTTGTAGTTTTTATTAATATAGCTATAGTAATTTCAGAGGCTATTTCAAAGGATACTCCAAGAAGTTTGATTATAGGAAACCCACACATTTATTAGCTATACTCTAAGGAGGAAAATAGCCTTTCAAAGCAAACAAAGCTAGAATTACTGTTAGCTCTTGCTTATCCATGATATTTGAGGATAAAGAAAACTATCAAGATAGCAACCAGTTAGTTTCAATCTCCTTTCAGTTACAATGGCCCCAAAACCTATTGTTTCACCAAATCTCTCACTGAAACTAACACGTAGCCGCGTGACTGAAGTTTGGCCCCCTTTCCTTTCCCTTGCCCTCCCTCTGGTGGAGGTGTTTACAAGTGAGATGTCCACGATGGGCAGCTAAAGAGAATTCCAAGGGCTTGCACCCTCCACCAATTACGCCAATTAGCCTTTGGAATGGAGAAAAACCAGCTGCAGGCTTCCTCTTTCCAGATGCGTGGGGGGCCACACTCACTTTTTGGTCTGGTCAGAAGGCATCCAAATGATGACCAAGCGCGGTGGCTCACGCCTGTAAACCCTGAACTTTGGGAGGCTGAGGCATCATTTGTTCAAGACCAGTCTGGGTAACGTGGTGAAACCCTGTCTCTACGGGGTGGGGGCGGGGAAGAAAGAAAAATTACCCGGGTGTGGTGGCATGTGCCTGTAGTTCCAGCTACTCAGGAAGCTGAGACACCAGAATCCCTTGAGCCCAGGAGGCAGAGGTTGCAGTCAGCCGAGACTGTGCCATTGCACTCCAGCCTGGTGACAGAGTGGACCTCATCTCAAAAACAAAAACGAACAAAACAAACAAACACAAAAAAGCATCCAAATGAGAGCTGATATTAAAATATTCTTGTTCATGGCTTCAGAAAGGAATAGACCTAATTTTTAACTGGGTTCATATATTCCTAAACAGTATCAATAAAATGTTATAAACAGTAGGGTTCCTGTTGGGGAAATAGTACAAACTTCTGCTTTATAGTAATATTTTATTTTTTGAGATGGAGTCTCGCTCTGTCACCCAGGCTGGAGTGCAGTGGCGCAATCTCGGCTCACTCCAACCTCTTCCTCCCGGGCTCAAGGGATTCTCATGCCTCAGCCTCTCAAGCAGCTGGGATTACAGGCACGTGCCACCACGCCAGGCTAATTTTTGTATTTTCAGTAGAGAAGGGGTTTCACCATGTTGCCCAGGTTAGTCTTGAACTCCCGGCCTTAAGTGATCCGCCCGCCTTGGCCTCCCAAAGTGCTGGGATTACAGACATGAGCCATCATGCCCAGCCCATAATATTTTGATTGAAATAATGTTTTTTACGTTTTAAAAGTGTCTTCTGTTGCCCAGGCTGGAGTGCGCTGGTGTGATCAAGACTCACTGCAGCTTTGACCTCCTGGGCTCAAGCGATCCTCACACCTTAGCTTTCCAAGTAGCTGGGACCACAGGCATTGGCCACCACACCTGGCTAATTAAAAAAAAATTTTTTTATAGATATAGGGCCCCGTTATGTTGCCCAGGCTTGTTGAACTCATGGGCTCAAGTGGTCCTCCTGCCTGGGCCTGCCAAAGTGCTGAGATTACAGGCATAAGCCACCGCACCTGGCCTTAAAATTTCTTCACATCTATTATCTCATTTGATTCTCTTTAACAGTCCAGCAAGACAGGGAGGATGCTGTTACAACTCAGAGGTCCTGTAGAAGCCCAGGACACAGGTTTTTCAAATCTTAGCTGTGTGCCTTTGCACTTCTCCGTACAGATAGCCTAATACACTTAAGATACCTAAGATAGTAACTTATCATAACAGTTCTTAAAAACATTCCCAAATTTTAGAACATCACAATTATATTTGTCCCAGGAGTAGAGTTAAATTGGCACTCAAAGACCACAATAATTCACACATAGTAAGTTAAGTGTTAGCTGTTATTATTAAAAACCCATATTAAGAGGTAGTACAGTGATTTATTTATTTATTTATTTATTTATTATTTTTTGAGACACAGTCTGGCTCTGTTGCCCTAGCTAGAGTGCCACACTTGGACAGGGCTCACTGCAGCCTTGAACTGCTGGGCTCAAGCGATCCTCCTGCCTCACAGCCTCCTTTGTAGCTGGGACTACAGGCACATGCCACCACGCCCAGCTAACTTTTTGTTTGTACAGACGGGTCTCCCTATGTTGTCCACGCTGGTCTCAAACTCCTGGACTCAAGCGATCCTCCCACCTCAGCCTCCCAAAGTGCTGGGATTACAGGCATAAGCCACTGGGCCCAGCCTAGTATAGTGTTGTGAATAAAAGAATGGACTCTGGAGCCAGATCCCCTGGGCTTGAATCCTTGCTTCACCACCCACCTATCTCAATATGTTGTGTGTAAAGCTTTTAGAGGAGTACCTAGCAGGAGGTATTGAATTTGATAGCTCTAGTACTTAGACACATAAGTCATAATTTTCCCTAAGTTACGTGGTAAATGATGGAGTTGGATTGTAATCTTGATCCTTACATCTTATTACCTCTTATAGAAATATTGCCTCTCTAGGTTATGTTATTTTTCCATAATTCCTAGAATGTGTTTTCCTTCCTTTTCCTTCTCCTTTCATGGCCCACATTTTACTCTCCTTTATCAAACTGAAAATTTCACAATCAACATTTAAAAAATTTCTAGTGCAAAAATTTTAACCCAAAAGTCCTCAGCTGTTAGGTACGCCGTTCATGCCATGCATGCACATTTGCATGTGCAAGGAGTTGTTTTGTGCTGTAAGTTGTTTTTCCTTTCTGGACATATTCTATAAGCCCACAAGCGGTGAGCTACTTGAACCCTGAATTTCTATTCACTTCTTGTTAATTTACTCAATTGTATCTAGCACTGGATACTGCTACAGCCACTGGGCTATTTAGTAAATTACCATCTGACTGAAATACAGTCCTTGTATTTTATTCTATTTTTCTTTTCTTGATTATTAGCTGACTTGTTTGGTGACAGGCTGTCAAGAACACGCAAATTTCATGGCCATATAAAAATGATCTCGTCAACGTCTTCCCTCGAATTGAAGCGGAGGATTTAGTTGTAGATTTGGTTTGGCACCTTCCACTTTAAGGAAGATGTAAAAACTAAGGCGCAGGTACTCCAGCTGCAGGGAGTGTTTTTTGTCCCCGCTCCCCTGTCCCCCATAAAGAAACAGGACCTCAGGTGGTGGGCGGGCGGGGAAGGAGAAGGGATGTTTCTAAGTCTACAGGGGAGAGTGTAGAAAGAAAGAAGGAAAAGGTAAGAGGACTCCACAGTTTCTAGGTTTTGTTCTTCTTTTTTTCCCTCTGGACAGCGGTGGCAGCTGATCAGACACAATAGCTGGCAGTCCCCGGCCGCAGTGAGGATAAAAATGACCCTCAACAGCACCAGCAGGAGCACCGAGAAGGGGAGGGGAGTGTGTATGGGAGGGGGCGAGGATGAGGGTGACAAGGTGACAAACGCTGCCTCTGACTGCGAGCAACTCCCCCTCCAGCCCCGCGAGGCTCGGAGCCGGGGAGCCACCTCCCCGGAGCGGGGCGGGGTGGGAAGGAGAGGCCGAGGGGGCGGTGGCCTTCACCCGGGGGCGGGGAAGAGGGCGGAGGGAAGCCTGATTTACCAGCCCCTGATTGGTTCGCGTTCTCTCGTCGCGTCTCCCGATTGGGTAATTTGCAGCGGGAGATGTTGTGAGGCACGGCGGGGCGGAGCGAGCTGCCGGGGTCTGTGACAAGGCCCGGGAATTGGGTGGGGAGGGTGGCGGTTGTGCCGCGGCTCCGGAGCCGCTGTGACCTGGAGTGTGGCGGACAGAGAAGCGCAGCCGCCTCTCCACAGTTCCGCTAGCCGCGCCAAATTCGCTCAGCCGCTCTGCAGAATTTATAAAAGGGAAAGAACTGAATGAGCAACGCTTGGCTAACTTCCCCCTTCCCACCACAGGAAGAGATTTTTGCTGTGAGGCGTGAGGGGACACTCCCTTATCTGGAAGTCCCACGTCTCGTCGCAGCTTCATTGCCTTCCCGCTGCAAAAAAGGGGTGGGGGCACAATTTGCCAAGCCCTGTCCCCCAATCTAGGACCTTTGATCCCTGGAGTCTGCAGATGTCGCTGTTATAGGCTTGTCCCCCTCTCCACCCCAGACGTCTACCACCAGGTCTCCTTTCCCGGGAGCAAGCCCATCCCTGGACGCTGCCGTTCAGCGCTTGGGAGACTGCAGGGGCGGGGAGCGTTGTGTGCCTGGTTTTGGGGTGCTGGGGGGCGAGGGCTTGTAGGTCCCGCGACCCACGGGGAGGGGGCAGGCGAGCACCCCGCTCCGGCCTCCGGCTAATCCCCCTTCTCCAGCGTCGGTTCCCCGGTCCCGTGTTATTCAAGACAGAAAATATTCAGCCCCAGAGCCTCCCCTGGGGAGGGGAGGGGAAGGAGGTGGAGTGGGAGGAGGTGGATCCAGGGAGGAAGAAGCGAGAAATCCGCCCCCGGGAAACAGCTCCGCGCGGCCACGGAGCGAGGCGCTTCTGTCACTTGGCGTTCGCGGGCGCCGGAGCTGGGCCCCGGCCCGGCCCGGCGAGGCGAGGGGAGAGTCCGGCGGCCGCCGCCCCGCCCCACGCCCTCCTGCGGCGGCCGAGAGCCCGGGGCCGGCCGGGGCAGGTCGCGGCGGTGCCTGGGAGCGGCCGGCCGGGGGCGGCGGCCTCGGAGCGCGGCGGCGGCGGCGGCGGCGGCGGCGGGCAGCGCGGGATCGTCCGGCTGCGGGGTCCGGCTCACGCCGGGCGGGCGGGCGGGGCGCGCTGTCCCGGAGCCGGCCAGCCCCGTGCGGATCCACTCGTCCCGCTTCCTCTGGTGCGTGTCTGGTTTCTTTTCCGTCTCAGCCGAGAGGGCGCTGCGCTCGCGGGCCGTGGAGTGCCCGGCTTGCCGCGGGCTCTCTCCCTTCCCGCCACAGGCCACCCGGCCGGGCGCTGGCTCGGGGCCGGAGGGAGCCCGCGGCGGGCGCCCGGCGGGGGCGGAGGGGCCGCGCCCGCGTGTGCGGAGCAAGGGCGGGCGGCGGGGCGGAGGGAAGGGCACAAAGGCCGGCGGTGGGCGCTGGGGTCCGGCCGGCCAGCCTTGGAGGAGGGGCGCCTGGGGCCGCTCATGAATATTAACCGAGCCTGCGGCCTAGCGCGTCCCGGCCGGGCCCGGCGCCCGGCCAGCGTCTCCGCTTCAGCTCGCCGCCGCGCTTCGGCCGCCGGGCCCGAGCGGGCGGGAAGGGTAAGGCCCCCGGTTTTGTCTCGCCCCGGGGCTCCTAGCACCTTTGAGAAAGTCCATATTGGGGCCGCTCTCCTCGGGAGCTCGAGGTCCCCGACCCGCCTCAGGAAGGGGCGGGGGAATCGTGGGGAGGTGGGTGGTGGTTTGCTTTTTCTCGTTTTTTCCCCCTAGGTGGCCACAGGGGAAGGGAAGCCGTGTCGAGTGGTAGTTGGGGGAAAAGCCGCGACTTCAGAGTTGCTCGGGTGTAGCTCCAGAATCATGCCCTGGAGCGGGAGCGGCGCCGGCGTCCCACCCGCGGCCGCGCACGCCTCCCCGGCCGTCCCCACCCAGCCCCGCCGCGGGCCAAGGAAAACAGCCGCCTCCTCGGGGACGCCGGCCGGGGCGGAGGGGCGGAGGGGCGGCGCCCGAGTCACCCGGAGACGCCGCCGAGCCCACGCCGGCCCCAGCCAGGCTGGCTTTGTGCTTGCGTTTTTGGGGGGCGGAGGGGAGCGAAGAGGGGGCTTGGAAAGTGTGATCCCATTTCAGCCTCGTGGGGGAGAAAACTTCACCGAAGTGTCCCTGTCTGGGTGATGCAGAAAACAACATGCACAGCCCTCTGCTCTACCCAGGAAAGACATGAATTAAAATGCACTTGAATGGGGAACATTTTTTCTTGAAGGCTGCATAACAGCCAGGTGTGTTTGACGCAACCGCTGGGCAGTTTCGAGATTTCTCTTTTTTAAACACCCCCTCGAATTTATAGGCTTTTTGTTTGTTTACGTTAAAATTTTTTTTTGTTTGTTTTGCTCGGGAGGAAACGCGAACTTGGTGTGGACATGTGGGCAAGACAGTGATAGGCGCCTGGAGAAAGTTCATGACCTTTAACTTCTCGTTTTCCTAGGATCTCTCTAGGAGCTGACACTCGAACCTTCACGACCCATTCGGATTTTTCCAGGACTCAGGAGTGGCACTGGGAAGAAGGGGACCGCTTTCTGCAATTGGCCTCGACACTGGCTGCCAAGAAGACCTGTCGCCTTTGTTTTTAAGTCTCCAGAAATGGAAGAAGAAGGCGAAGTCAGTTGAAGTCACGAGAAATCAGCGAGGCATTTGAAGGCGCTTCCTGAAAACCTTTATTCCCTGGCACGTTGTCTGTTTCAACAGCCCTGCCCCTCCTCGGAGCCTGCTTGTGGAATTCTTCCCCTTCGGGTGTGTGGTGGCATTCCCCGCCACGTCCAATGTGGACTCCAAAGGATTTGTCCCTTCTTTGTCATTTGAAATGAAATGATGGCCACGCGTCGGACTGGTCTGTCTGAGGGAGATGGTGACAAGCTCAAGGCCTGCGAGGTAAGCGCGGAGCCAGCGTTCCTGGCCGGCAGGGCGGTGGCCTGTGTCTTGAGCGTCCTGCAAGTTGGGGGTTACCGGCCACGGGGCCTCACTAGGGGCTTCCCGGGGCTTTGAGCCTGTTGGCGGGAGCGCCCCAGCTTAACCAGTAGCGAGGAGAAGCCTGGCCCACGTCTGTTTCCAGGGACTCCCGTGTTTCTTTTGCAAGAACATGTCCCGCAGTTTGGAATGTCCTCATCTTGGTCACCCCTTCTCAGAGCCAGGAATTCTCCCGTCTCTGTGGCTGTGGATGCTACAAGCCTGAGAATGGGCACCTCAGTATCCGTTTTCCTTCAGTCCCCTTCCGAGATATTTGGAGTTGAGCTGGTTGGGGGTGGCTTTCAGCATTTGTGTCTGCTCCAAGGTGCAGAGAGGGCAGCTAGTATGCTTGTTGCACCTGGAACTTAGTCTTTCTTTGGTACTGACGAGGGGAGTCTGGCTGCTGTTGCTGCAGATCTCTGCTTTAGGTAGAAAAAGAAGTGTTTTTCCGTGAATAGTTTAAGCACAGCCTTGGAAAACGACCTTACAGAGTCGTAATTCCAACTCCCGGAAAAATCTCCTGCCTTTACTGTTCTCTTATTTATACCCTCCCTTTCACTACTCTGAAGTTCTGTGAGCTGCTCTGGGGTGTCAGGTGGGTTGCGTTGCTGGTTAGGGTAGCATCTAGCATCTAACATCTTCCCAAGGGCCCAGAGATTTTACTCCAGACTTCCTGAAAATTTTTGAGCAGGCAGGACAGAAATCATAGAAAATACATTGATTTATGACACGCATATACTCTGTTGCCTCTCACCTTTTTTTTTTTTCCTCGTGTTTGGAGATTGAAGTATTCGGAATTTACTTCTATTATGAATATACTATGTTTATCATTGGCGGTTCCTGTAATTTGTTCTTTAAATAGACTGAATATTGTTATCCTTTAAATTTTACTTTTGAGATGCCTATGTTTTCATTGAAGGGTTGAGGATTACTTTAGACAATAACATACCCAAATGAACCCTCATTCACTGTCTCACTTTCTTTTGCACCGGATGTTAAATTTTAACTTCATAGTCCTTGAAACAAGGGCTGGCTCTAAGTGTGTGAGTTTTGGCATTTTAATAAAAATGAATCAGAAGTTAAATTTTGGTTCATAAAGCAAGCGGAGAAACTTGCTTCATGCAGCTTACTTCATGTCGAATTAGAAAGTTTATGCAGAAAACGTTGTGAGGTACAGTGTGCTATTACTGTACAATTTATTAGGCAGAACTGTAGGTTTACATTTAGAATCAGTGTTTTACTTTTTGACATCTGTAAACACCTGCTTGCAGGCAAAAGCATGATTAAGTGGAACACCACAATCCTCTGATCACGGTAAACCATAATAACTCCTTTTGGAAGGCCTACCTGCAACCTGGTGATTGCTTAATGTGTATTGCAGTTACATAATAATATGTATTGTGGTCCTGAAGCCTTATTTGTCATTGTCTTGTGAATACTTTAATTAGCATTGTATTTGCATTCTGTTTGCAAGAACTAATGTTATTTGATTTTTTTTTTTTTTTTTGGTCATTTAAGAGATGTCCTGAAACCAAGAATTTAGACACATCTTGTCCTTGGCTAGCAAGCAGTATTTCCAGTTTGTTGCACACTTGGCTTTTATTAACAATGACAGTTATGTATTTTTTAACGGCTGTGAAATTTGTTTTCATTTGGACCTTACTGCTGGCAGCATGGCTATCTTGTTTTTAAGTTTAGCAATGAAGAAAACACAATATCACCTGTGTTTTGCTTATGTGAAATATATATACAGTATTTAGGTTTGGTATTAAACTACAATATTATTTGACTTTCTAAAGAATAGGTATTTTGCCTAGATTCTATGTGGAAGTGGAAATAAAGGGGATATATGTTGTCAGAAAACATTTTAAAACCTCAGGGTTGGGAGTGAAGAGAACTTGTGTAATTATTGCCTGTATTTAGTTGTGACGTGTTTTAATCTGTGATTGATGCTTCTGATACACATTAAATCTTGTGAATATTTTTTAGTAATAGGGAGTTAGTTGCTAATGAAATACTTTGGGCTGATATTTAGGTTTTTGAACATTGCATTTAATTTTTGTCGTCAATTTTATTAGAAGCACTACATTCCACAGTGGTACTATCACTCTTTAAAAAATTTTAAAAATCAATAATGTGTTTGGATACTACATTTATTATTGTGTTTTTAACTAACAAAGAGATGAGCATGTGTGTCTTAATAGTAATGCTGTTAATCAGCCAAGAAAACCTAACTTTATAGGACAGAAGAAATCAATGTAATGAATTAACAGGAGTCTCTGTTTCATGCTTTATCTAATTAGCCAACTCCACCTTCTCTGAATAAGGCCTTGTGCTTTGTTGAAAAACAATCAGAGATTTCTTGTTCATCTTAAGCATTGCAATTTTATTGTGTTGATATATGATATACATTTAGGCCTCCCCACCCCCAGGATATATTGGAAGCCTCAAAACAAATAAACAGCCCTCTTCAAATAAGAAATTAGGACAGTTCAGTAGAATATGTCTTGGCATTATACAGTAAGGATGGTCCAGATGGTACTCACACGAATTTATATACTTTTATACATCTCAAGGTGTATTTTTAAAACTTGAAATCACTCACTCTGAACCTCTTAAGTGATTTTTGGGGTGTGTGTGTGTGTGTGTGTGTGTGTGTGTGTAGTCCGTGAAGTCTTCTGACACCAATCCTTGAGTAACTTTGCTCACAAAATCACTTTATATAGATTCTTCTGTTGAATCCTCTATGATATTATCACCCCTTTTCATATCCATATAGCTTCATCTTTCAAGGTTTAACTTTTTTTTTAAGCCAAAGAAGAGAAAACTTTCCCTCAGCTTTCTTAACCACATGATTTTTTTTCCATTTCTAACATTTATTTCATTTTTTATCTGTAGTCCATACTCTTGTCCAGTAATAGAATTTTTGTCACTTTATTATTAAACTTTTTACTAATGCAAATGAACTTATTTTTGTTTTGCTTCTTGACCTAGGCTAAGATTATTCTATGACTGAAATGTATTATGGCTGATGAAATACACTTGTTGGTTGATTTTGAAATACTGTAAACAATACAATAAGACATTTTTCTGGGTACGAGTTTGTATGAATCCATGTGTTGACTCTTCCTTCTGGAATGCTGGACAGTTTGCTTTTGCTTTCATCCCAGACTCCCTAGTTCCTTCTCAGGCGCTCTCTCTTCTCCTCCCCTCCTTTCTATCTCCCTCTCTATCTGCCTCTTTTGTAGGGTTTTTCTTCCTCTTCTTGCCCCATTGTTGGTTTTATCCAGAGCCAAGGCCTTTCCATTCCTGTATTCTCTTTCTCACTCCCTGGGTTTTATTTTGCACTCTCCTGTGTGCTGGTGACTCCGTATCTACCCCTCTATCTCAGGCTTTATGGTTGATCTCTAGACCTTTTCAGCCAGTTGCCTATTTACCGAACACTTTTGGGGGATATTCCCCAGGCATTGCAAACTCATCAGATTTCACCGCTACCGCTGACTCTCCCTCTTCCTGTGCACCTTCTTTCGCTGAGTAGCACTACCATCTATTTATTGGTCCAAGTCAAAAACTAGGTCAGCATTCTCACTCTTCCGTCTCGTCATTCCTCATATGCAAAGTCTTGTGGAGTCCACATTCCCAATACCCACTACCCCCACCTGAGTTCAGGTCAGCTGCATCTCACTGATGAACCACAGAAACAGATTCCCTACGGAGTTTCCCAATAACTTAGCCTTGTCCCCTTCCGCAGCTCTGTCCCTACTGTAATCAGAATGATCCTCCTGATGGGCAGATGACCTGAGGTCAGGAGTTGTACACCAGCCTGAGCAACATGGTGAAACCCGGTCCCTACTAAAAATACAAAAATTAGCTGGGCGTGGTGGCGCACACCTGTAGTCCCAACTGTTTGGAGGCTGAGGTATGAGAATCCTTGAACCCGGAAGGCAGAGGTTGCAGGTAGCCAAAATCGCGCCACTGTACTCCAGCTGATCGTTACATTACCTCCTATAAGACAATTTTCTGTCTTCCCATTTCCTTTGAAATAAAATTCAGACCTCTGTGAAGTCTGAAAGGACTTTGGTAATTTGGTCCGCGCTTCTGTCTCACTTGTTACTTCTTTTTGTTCTTCCTAGATTGAACTCCTGTCAGGTCCTTTCTTCTACCCTTCCCTCTACTGTCCCCTGTTCCTCCTCCCTCTGCTCCATGGCTGATTTTTACTCATCATACTGGTCTTTTCTTCAATACTGCTTCCTCAGGAAAGCCTTCCCTGACCCGCAAGACTCTTTCAGTTGCCCCTAGTGTATTCTCTCAAAACACCCTGCACTTTCAGGAATACCAGTTACAAGTTTATCTATATCCCCCTTGGATTGCAGTCCCTATAAGAGCAGGGACCATGTTTGTTTCCACAGGGACTGACACATAGTAAGTGTCAGGTGATATTTTTTGAATGAATAAATGAATATGCAGGAAAGGCTTTACATTTTATTCAGTGTTCATTTAGATTCCCGGACATTATACTCTCTTGATTATCTTCCTTCCTCGTTGTCACCTCCTTCTGTCTCTTTGAGGTTTCCTCGACATCCTGATTTGCTAAACCTTTCTACACCTCAAAGCTCAGTTAATCCTCATTTCTTCTCCCAATACTGTTTCATGGTTTTAAATATCAAGTATATGCAGATAATTGACACACACACACTCACTTATATTTCTTTATGTGTACATGTGTATATCTCTATTGCTGACCTGCTCCTCTGTCTCGCAGAATCAGATTCCTATATCCAACTGACCTGACTGCCTAGAATCTCCATTTGAATAGTAAATAGGCATATCTAAAACCACAATCCTGACTCTACCTCCATTCCCCTGGCCCACCTTCCCAAGTATGCTCCTTCCAGTCTTCCTCATCTCAAGCAATAGCAATCCCATCCTTCCAGGCCAGGCATCTTGGAGTGATCTTTGATGTCTCTCTTTTTTCTCATATATGACATGTGGATCTGGTTGACTGATTTCTCCACTTCAGTCCTTGCCAGCCTAAAGCCTGTTCTCCACACAGCAATCAGGACAGACAATTTATAAATCAAGTTGTGTCATTCCTTTGCTCAAATTCCTCAAATGGCTTCTCATTTCTCTGAAGATTGAAGGCCAAAGTTCTTGCAGTGACCTGCAAAGCCCTGTATAATTGGTCCTTCCCCCTCCCTGAGCGCACCTCCTGTGCCTCTTCCCGCCTCACTCTGTGCTAGCCATTCTGGTCTCTTGCTTTTCTGCATGTACACAAACGTGGGAGTCCCCAGAGCCTTCCCACTCACTGAACCCTCCCCTTAGAACACTTCCCCCAGTCTCTGCACAGCTTGCTTCCTTGGCTCCTTCGGGCTTTTGCTTAGAGGTCACCTTCCGAGTGAAGCTTTGCCAACCACTCCCTTTGTTGAATGCCCCTCCCCTGCTCCCTGTGCCATGCTCTGCCTTCCTTCCTTGCTTTATCTCCCTATCACTTAGTCTCCACCCGGCATGCTTATGCATTTGATTTTGTTTGTTTATTTGAGACAGGTAATATATCTAGAACGCAGGTGTTGAGAGTGCAGTTTGTCTGTTTTGTTCACATTGTGTTTCTTGTGCCTAGAAGAGTGCCTAGCACATAATAGGTTGTCAATAAATATGTTTTTGGAATGAATAAAGACTTAGCAAAACTCCAAAATGTTACTGAGTTTGCATTTGGACATGTAGTATGTGAATTCTTATTTATTTTATTTCTTTTTGAGACAGAGCCTTGCATTGTCACGCAGGCTTGAGTGCAGTGGTGCAATCTGCGCTCACAGCAACCTCCGCCTCCCAGGCTCAAGTGATTCTCCTGCCTCAGCCTCCTGAGTAGCTGGGATTACAGGCGTGTGCCAGCATGCCTGGTTAATTTTTGTATGTTTAGTAGAGATGGGGTTTTGCCATGTTGCCCAGGCTGGTCTCGAACTCCTGATCTCAAAGTGATCCACCCACCTCATCCTCCCAAAGTGCTGGAATTACAGGTGTGAGCCACTGCGCCCAGCTGAATACTTATTTTAGTTTATATAAAATATGTACAGTATGAAATATGTTCTTCCTTAGACCTCCTGCCCACCTTAAATTCTATTTCATTTCCGTTAGAACTGCTGTTAAAATTTTTGGTGCCTTTTTTCTTTGCACCTTTTTTACCTTTGGGAAGCTGGTAACCAAGTAACAGTAACCAAGACAATGTGTAGTACAAATGTATGAAACAATTTCCACTAAGAGATGAGATCATGATAATTAACAGACAAGTGAAAGGGCAATCAGACTGGTCGATAAGAGAAGCTATAAAAAGATAATCTGTATGGATGATGTTTTATTTCTTAAAACGAATGGCTAGTATATGGATGTTCCTTATTATGTATTTTTATTTTTTCATGTCATAAATATTTCATAACCAGTTAAAAAAAGATCACAAACATTGACCGTGATGAAATGTTAACAGTTGTTTATTCTGAATGATGAGAATATCAGGATTATATTATTTTTACATTTTCTCTTTTTTATTACCAAAATGACAATAAAAGAACACTATGTATAGACTTTAAAAATAGGTAATATGTATTCAGTCTTGTGAAAATTTGGTTTGTGGCAAACCTACACTGCTTAAAACAATACTAAAAAGCATACACACTGCTCAAAGCAACACTTAAAAAACAATTTTTTCTTTTTCTTTTCTTTTCTTTTCTTTTTTTTTTTGAGATGGACTCTCACTCTGTCGCCCAGGCTGGAGTGCAGTGGCGTGATCTTGGCTCACTGAAAGCTCTGCCTCGCGGGCTCATGCCTTTCTCCTGCCTCAGCCTCCCGAGTAGCTGGGACTACAGGCGCCCGCCACCATGCCTGGCTAATTTTTTGTATTTTTAGTAGAGACGGGGTTTCACCGTGTTAGGATGGTCTCGATCTCCTGACCTTGTGATCTGCCTACTGTGGCCTCCCAAAGTGCTAGGATTACAGGCGTGAACCACCGTGCCCGGCCAAAAAACAATTTTTAAAAAGCAAGTTTCTTCATTGGAGGCATAGGATTCATTCTAGACTAGTTACAGTATGGTATAACTCTATTATTTAATTTTAATTTTGTGTTTCTTCATACACCTGAATTTAAGTGTCAGAATACTGTTCCATGCCAAAAGTTTTATGCTGCAAGTTAGGGTTAAAGCTAAAACCTGTTAGAATTGAGAATGATGGCAGTAGCAGCAGCAGGGATCATTAAGTGGCATTTCGGCAGAAGCCTGGATTTTAATGTATTGAGTGGGGCCTATCACTAGATAAGAGCCATCAGCAAAGTGAGTACCCAGATCTAAAGAATTTCTCCGTAAATTGTTAGTGTTCCTTCCCATTCATTTCTTCCAGGTTAAGCGTTTTATGAAGTTCATTGTGCCTTGATGTTCTTCATTTCTTTAGTTACTACCAGGTCAAGTAATCTAGCACAAAGGTAATATTCAGTTTCTTTTGTTCTTTGCTTTGTGAAGGGTCCTGTCTTCTTATTATAGTTAACAATATGCTGATTTAAGTATGGGCAATGCTAGCGTTGATAAGATGCACAGATGCTGTTATTCAATGCAGCTATTTTCTGTTACAGAAAGACCATATGGTAGGCACTTGTTTTTCTGTCTAGTTGATGTGATTAGATTACTAAAACGAAAGGTTATTGGACTTAAAGATTGTCCTACTATTTTATCTAATTTTAATTGACTGTAAGTAATTAAATGTGTTAAAATATTGTAAGCCTTCCATATCTTCCCTGGTTTGAAGTAGAAAGATATCTAAATGCAAAAAACTCAATTTTGGATTGCTTTCACTAAAATAGTTTTATGGTTTAAGTTGCCATGTTCTTATAAAATTGGGTATTGTGCAAATTATTTCACAATCTAATCTGGATGATGGCATTTTGTGCTTCTCAAATAATCCAAAAGACAAATGGATATATTGTACTATAGGTTTGAGAAACTTGATGTGGGCTGGACGTGGTGGCTAATGCCTGTCATCCCAGTACTTTGGGAGGTAGAGTCGGGAGGATTGCTTGAGCCCAGGAGTTTGAGACCAGCCTGGACCAAATAGGGAGACCCCCATCACTTAAAAAAAAAAAAAAAGAAAAAAAGAAACTTGATGTGATGGAAATGTTTTATAAGTCCTCTTCTAGTTATCTATTTAATGTGCAAGAATTTCCACTATGTAGATTTGTGAATAAAAGAATAGATTGAGAACCCAAATTTGATATTTCTGACTATTCATCTGTTTCGGGGTAAGTAGACAGATCAGAAGAAACTGTTTATTATTGTAAAAAATAAAAATAAAAAAACAGGGAAGTTAAAGACTTTATTTACTTTTCCCTGGTGACTAGCTGCTGAGTTTTCTATTTGATATTGGGTGTGTTTTTGATTCAGAATTGGTTACTTACTATGTTTTCCCCTGTTGCTTATCTCTGTTCTGAAGAGGGCTCTGGCATAGTCAGGAGTAGTGCTATGTATGCAGCACTGTTTATAATCCCACAACTTCTTTGCCCTTCGTACAACCTAAGGAAGACACTCTCTTGAGTTCTATTTTTTTGTTCATTGCACTACTCATTAATATATTGAGAAGACTTATATTCTTGAGTATATGTCCTGATTTTCTCCTTACTCACAATGTGGAGACTGTCCTTGAATATCAGTAGATACAAAGCTGGATTTATGATTATATTTAGACATTCTTCTGAATGTGGCATAGCTAGTGTGATCTTGGGAATTCATCAGCGCCGTTTTTTTTTTTAACCTTGAGGTAATACCTCTGTAATACCCAGTATTTGCCTAGTAAATACAGATTGTATATTTAAAAGAATTTGTATAAGGCAGATCAGTGAGACTTACTTTCTTCTCTGGGTTCTGCATATTGGCTTCTGGAAACATTATGTGCTAGTAGTGGATGTGAGGGGAAGGAAAGGCTCTGGGCACCCCGTTCATATCAGATTGTTATTCTAATCCTTTTAGGAAATTGTTTTTGTTTACTTTTTTTTTATTTAATCATATAGACACCCTTCTTTGTCCATAGATTGTATAAACAGCCCTCTGTATCCATGGGGTTGCACATTCGTGGATTCAACTAACTGTGGATCAAAAATATTGGGGAAAAAAATTGTGTCTGTGCTGAACAAGTACAGAGTTTTTGTTCTTGTCATTATTCCCAAAACCACAGTATAACAACCGTTTATGTGGTATTCACATTGTATTAGGTATTGTAAGTAATTTAGAGATGATTTACTGCAGGAGGTGTGTTAGGTTATATGCAAATATTGCTTCATTTTATATTAGGAACTTGAGCATGCGTGGATTTTGGTATCCGCAGGAGGTCTTGGAACCAATCTCCCATGAATATTGAAGGACCACTGTATAGATCATATCTATTTTGTGGCAACATAGGTCCAGTCTCTGCCTGTCCGTACATGGCCTTCTCCACTGCATGCCCAAGTCTCCATCTGCCTTTCTCTTGTAAGGTCATATGTCACTGGATTTAGGTAATTCTCAAGATCCTTAACTTGGCCAGGTGCAGTGGCTCACACCTGTAATCCCAGCACTTTGGGAAGCTGAGGCAGGCAGATCACTTGAGGTCAGGAGTTCGAGACCACCCTGGCCAACATGGCAAAACCCTATCTCTGCTAAAAATACAAAAAATTAGCTGGGTGTAGTGGTGCATGCCTGTAATTCCAGCTACTCGGGAGGCTGAGGCATGAAAATCGTCTTGAATCCAAGTGGCGGAGGTTGTGGTGAGCCCAGATGGAGCCACTGCACTCCAGACTGGGTGACAGAGTGAAACTGTCTCAAAAAAAAAAAAGTTCTTAATTACATCTGCAAAGACCCTTTTTCAAAATAAGGTCATGCCCACAGGTTCTGGGTGGACATATCCTTTCAGGGGGGTTACTGTTCAAACCCCTACACTGGGGTTTCTTCTGTTTGGTCACATGCTCAGATGTTTCTCTTTGCTCCCTTCTTTCCAGATGCTGATGCTGTGTACAACTTAAAAGTGTTGTTAGTGATTTGCCTCTTCTCATGTCTGTTTTGGGGTTCCTAGGGATGCCTTGACACCTAGTTTTGTTGTAAATATTGCCCACGTGTTTTTGTTGTTGCTGTTGGCTTGCTATCTGGCTGCACTTATCTTTTTTTGAGGGGAGAAGGGAATTCAGGGAGATTTCCATGTTGATTCTCAAATAAGGAAAAGATAGTTACGTGAATATTATCCTTCATGTGAAACAGGTTTGAGTTTTCTAAAGGATTTTACAGATGAAGATGTTCTGACGTGGGGACTGAAGATGGGAAAAGTAGACTGTGTTTAGGAATGATTTATAAAAGATTGATTATAGTTGGGCCTTTAGTCTCTGAGTTTTTTTTTTTCTTTTTTGGTATGAACTTTTCGTTTAGTGGTTCCCCTGGGAACTTTTGAAAATCAAATGCCTGAAACCCTTCTTTTCCTTCTCCCAGAATTTTTCAGCATCTTAGAGGATGGAATAGTATCAGTTGTTAGATATGCAGCGATTTTGCTAGAAGCCCAAGTGCTCCAACTAACTTCTTTCTCTCTTTCTCTCTTTCTTTCTCTTTTTCCCTCCCACCCTCCCTCCCTCCTTCCTTCCTTCCTTCCTTCCCTTTTTTTTTTTTTTTTTTTTTTGAGATGGAGTCTTGCTCCATTGCCCAGGCTGGAGTGCAGTGGCGCGATCTTGGATCACTGCAACCTCTGCCTCTCAGGTTCAAGTGATTGACCTGCCTCAGCCTCCCAAGTAGCTGGGACTACAGGCACCCTCCACCATGCCCAGCCAATTTTCGTATTTTTAATAGAGATGGGGTTTCGCCATGTTGGCCATGCTGTTCTCGAACTCCTGACCTTGGGATCCACCCGCCTTGGCCTCCCAAAGTGCTGGGATTAAAGGCGGGAGTCACCGCACCAGCTACTTTCTTACTGAGATTGAGGAAGGAAGCAACTTGTGTTTTGCCTACAACTGATGATAATGACCCTTTTGTTCCCAAGATAGAAGTTAATCAAAAATGATTCAAATTTGATCTAGTGCCAAACTTTCCTGTTATATTTAGAAGTGTCCTTCCACATTTATTAACAAATTCAACAAACATTTATTGAGCACCTTCTGAGTGCCAGACACTGAGGGTGCGCAGCATAAAAATACAGACATAGTCTGGTTCCTACCTTCATGGGTATACATGGGCAATGGGAAGCGCAGACAATTGAACAAGTACTTATAGTAGAGTTGCAATGAATAGGATTTTAGCAGAAGAGTAAGGAGCTATGAAAACATATAGCAGGCTGACCTCACCTACTGTAGAGATCAGGGAAAATCTTCCTGGGAAGATTGTGTCTAAGCTAACTGAGGAAGGAGTTAACTAGGTAGAAAGAAGAGAAGAATGTTGTGGCACAGGGAACAACTTTAGATTCTGAATATGCTACAGCTAGGGAGAATATCTATTATCTCTAGAATACTAGGGAGAATATTTAATGTCTCACTAGATACTCTCTATCTAGAGATTCTACATATAGTATATCTAGAATATTTATATCTAGAGATACTGGATATTCTCCCTAGCTGTAGCTTATTCAGCTACAAGACCAGGAAGGGAAAAATATAGAAGTGAGCAACAGCCTTTATTGAGTCCTTTCAATGTACTCAAGTTAGTTTTCTCAGAAAGAACAACTTTTGTTTTTACCCATATTTCATCAGTTTCCATACCATCTACATTACATTATTACCAAACACAAAACAGACATAAAGAGATATGTGCAAAAATAAAACTGACTTATGTTAAGCTTGAATGTCACTTGTTGGGAGCAGAATTGAGTGTCTAGATTATCTTCCCAGTTGTAAGAGTTGAGCTTGCAGTACGGTTGGATTCAGTTTGCAGGTATTTTGTTGAGGACTTCTGTGTCTGTGTGCGTCAGGGATATTGGTCTGTAGGGTTTTGTTGTTGTTGTTGTTGTTGTTGTGTCCTTGTCTGGATTGTTTTTTTTTTTTTTTTAAGAGAAGGTTTTGCTCTGTCACCCAGCCTGCAGTGCAGTGACATGAACATGGCTTACTGTAGCCTCGACCTGCTGGCCTCAAGCAGTCTTTCTGTCCAGTCTCCTGAGTAGCTGGGACTACAGGCATGCACCATCACACCTGGCTAATTTTTAAATTTTTTTTGTAGAGATGAGGTCTCACTGTTTTGCCTGAGCTGGTCTTGAACTCCTGAGCTCAAGCTGTCCTGTCGTCTCAGCCTCCCAAAGTGCGGGGATTACAGGCATGAGACGCAGTGCCCGCCCCCTTTTCCAGTTTTGGTATCAGGGTGATACTGGCCTCATAGAATGAGTTAGGGAGAATTCCTTATTCCTTGATTTCTTAGAACAGTTTCAGGAGGATTGGTATTAGTTCTTTTTAGTTCTTTGTATGTTTGATAGAATTTGGCTGTGAATCCATCTAGTCCTGAGCTTTCTTTGTTGGGAGATTTTTTTAAATTACTGATTGAGCCTTGCTACTTGTTATTGATGTGTTCAGGTTTTCTATTTCTTCTTGGTTCAACCTTGAGTGGTTGTATGTTTCTAGGAATTTATCCATTTCCTCTAGGTTTTCTAGTTTGTGAGCATAATTGCTGTTCATAATAGTTTTTGATGATCGTTTGTATTTCTGTGGTATCAGTTGTAACGTCTCCTTTTTCATATCTGATTTTTTTATTTGGGTCTTCTCTCTTTTCTTTGTTACAACCTCTATGGAAAACTGTGTGGAGATTTCTTAAAGAAGTAAAAATGGAACTACCATTTGACCTAGGAATCTACTCAAAGGAAAAGAAATCCACTTATCAAAAAGATATCTGCTCTTGTATGTTTGTTGCAGCACTATTCACAGTAGCAAAGATATGGAATCAACCTAAGTGTCCATCAGTGGAGGAATAGACAAAGACAATGTGGTATATTTGGAATGGAAGACTATTCATGGAATACTATTCAGCCATAAGAAAGAATGAAATTATATCTTTTGCAGCAATGTGGATGGAACTGGAGGACATTATCTTAAGTGAAACAAACCAAGCACAGAAAGTTGAATATTGCATGTTCTCGCTCATAAGTGGGTGCTAAAAATTTGTACACATGGGTGTAGAGAGTGGAAGGATAGACAATGGAGACTCAGAAGGGTGACAGAGTGGGAGCAGGTGAATGACGATAAATTAGTTAATGGGTACAGTGTGTGTTATTTGGGTGATAAATATACGAAAAGCCAACTTGACCACTACACTATCTATGCAGATAACAAAATTGCATATGATACCCCATAAATTTGTACAAATAATAATAATAGAGTTGAGCCATGGGATCAGCCAGTATTCAAGAATTAGCCAGGAAATCAAGAATTTTGGTTGGTCTAGCAAGTCAGTTAGGCAGAGTTCAATTAAGCCAGCATCTATGGTAATTATAGTTTTGGGAGTTGATGAGGTCATTGAGGGAGGGAAGAGGGTCAAAGTCCAGAATCTGAGGAACACCACCAATTAAGGGACGGACAGAGGCCGACAAACCAGCCACCAAGGCGAACTAGTTAGAAACAAGCTTTTCAGTAGCCTCAGTTTTCAGATTTTGAGGACTTTGAATTTGATCTTTATATTTAGCCTTTGGCAAGCTTCCAGCAGCAGCATTGTTTAACCTAGCTTCTCTCAAATTTATTTTGCTATTGAAGACTTTTTTTTACTTAACTGTAGTTTATATTCTGCATCCTATAAAACAAGTAGGAACATACTTGGGAAACACTGCTGTATACAGGCAGAAAGGAGCAACAGAAGGAATTTATAGAGTAGTCATATGATTAGCTTTTAGTTTAAAAGGTGCTTTTGTTAGTCCTGAACAGACAAGATTCCAGAGAGGGGTGACAGGATGTTTGGGAGACCAACTAGATGCCCTGTGATAATCCAGGAGAAAGTTGATGGGGGTCTGAATTTAGGCAGTGCCGGTGGAGTGGAAAAAGGACAGTTCATTATATGTTTTGGGAGAAGTGACATGATTTGGTAGCTAGATATGAGAGGTAAGGAAGGAGGAGTCTAAGATGACTCTGGTTTCTGTTTGGGTGACTAGGGGGATGAGTTGTACAGCCACTATGCAGATTAGGGAATAGAGGAGGTCGTGCAAGTTTGGAGGGAAGGTGATGAATTCAGTTTTGGACATGTAGTATGTAGGTGTATGTGCTTAGCAAGTGTTTAGTCACGCAGATTTGGAGCTTGGGAGAAAGGGTGGTGTTGAAGAGGGCTTTAGAAATAATTCATAGTTAAAATCACAGGTTGAGGTGACTTCACCTATGGAAGTGTAAGAAATTAGAGGGAGGTCAAGGATAGAATTCTGATTTAGACAGAAAGGGGTGATCATCTTGAAACTATTAATCATTTATTAGATATCTGTTAGACACTGTTTTAAGCATGTTACAGATGTTATTTCAGATTAAACCTCGTGAAGGTATGTCTCCATCTTACAAATGAATGATTTGAAGCTTAAAGGATAAGTCTTTAGCCTCCTTGGTCATACATCTGTCTTATTAAGATCTAGGCTTTTCTCACATTGCTACATTGCCTTTTGCAAAGAAGTAATAGTTAAAGAAGTAGTAAGAGAACAAAGAGACTGGAACTGTGGTACCCAGGATGAGAGCCATTGAAGGAGTTGTTAGCTCTGTGTGGCGCTACTGAGAGGTTAAGAAAGGACGGAGTACCCTTTGGTACCCTTGGGATCAAGTCAGTGTGAGCGTCATTGATGATGGCACAGCCTTGTGTTGGAATTTGTTTGCTGTGGACCGGAGCCAGCATAGTTGATTGATTTATATACCACCTCCCCAGGTTGTGTTTTCATTGAATGACTAAAGATGCCCAGAAAAGAAGGAAAAAGCAATAACCTTTTACAAATTAAATAATGTTAAATACTCAGTAAGAATTTTATGAAAACTTTCCTTCATGATCTAATAATTTAAATGTACTGGTGGGAACTACATTTGGGAAGATGATGTCGTTCTGCCAGTTAGCTATTGCTGCTTAGACAGGAAAGGGAGGGGAAGATCTTATTTGTGGACCACATCACTGCAGAGCTCTCGTAACCCCGCTGCTCTGCTGACAGAAGCTGAGTCAGAGAAGAGATGCAGACTGTGCTATAGGCAGTCATGGCCCAGTTCAGGATTTTAGACTGCATGATCAACCACAATTGGAGTTTGTTGTGCAATCTGTATTGTGCATGGAGTGGTCAGGTTTGTTTCATAAGTGTGTATGTATATATTTGCTTTTTAATTCAAAACTGCTATGATGTATAAAGCAAAAGTAAATCAGGATATAAAAACACTGTCTTCTTGTAAGAGTAGGAAAGTAATCTTTTAGAATTTTTTTTTTGTCAAAATACCTGTTTAATGTGATAAATCTAATGATCTGAATTACTTTAAAAGAATTAAGTTAATTCTTAAGTAGCACAGATGAGACTATTTGCAGAGCTTTAAGTGGTGGAGGAGGGGAAGTTAGAATGAATTACTTAAAAGTGGCCAACAATTAAAGCAATATAATTGTAACATAAATGTTACATATTTTTGAAGGCATCTGACATTGTATTTATTAGAAAGTAGGCAAGATTTTGGAGTGAGTTGCTTTTTAGCTAGTTTTTCAGTTTTAGTGAAATATGGTTCTTGAGTTCTTTCACAGTGGGATTAAATGGAAGTACTTTTTAAAACTTTTTTGATTACTAGTCTGTTTAGAAAATGGTTATTTTGCAATAGAGAAAATCTGCTAGGTTAGCTATTGTCTGCTTTTGAGTGTTCTTCCCTAAGAAGCAAAAGCTCTTATTTTTCCCTTTATCCCTCGATCAACATTGTTATTATCAGACCTTTGTTGTTAATCGTAGATAATATTGTACAAATTCAGCATAATGGCTTCTTTTACAGAATAGAAAGCAACGTGAATGATAGCTTTTGTTCCAGTTATCAGTGAATCTTTAAAAACTATGAATTATTTACCTCGTAGGTTATTCATCACTTTGTGGGTATTTGTCTTCCTTACTAAAAACAAGTTATTTAATATTGTTTGAAATTTAAAAGGAAAACAGTTGAAAATGTAATTGAAAGCAATGAATGATAAATAAAGCACACTGACCATGCTTGCCCCAGCCCCAACCATTTCTCAGTTCTTCCATAACTGTGATGTGAGCTTCTTCGTTTATGATATGGAATTAGTTCCCAGTGGTACTTTGGGGTGTCCAATACTTTTCTTTATGTACTGTTTTCTCTATTCTGGAATGGTGAAAAAATATTTTCATAGTTTAGGCTGGGCATAATAGACTAATGTATCAGAGAAATCAGAGATGGAGAAGGTCATTTAGTCTCTGTTTGTTTCACCGTAAGATTGATCCCTCAATGCACTTTCTAGTCTGTGCCTAATGGATTTACATTACCGTAAAAAATATGGATTTTGAATGGCTGCTAAGAGGATAAAAGAAGATAGATACTGGAATTATCTTAACATGTAAAATTCATAATACCAGGAGCCTAACGAAGCTGAAACTTAAAATTTTTTAGCGTTTAGTGACTAGTTTACAGCAATTACTAAACTCATTAGTTAGTCTCATCATCAGAAAACTTTCTAGTTTGAGGTCTGAGACCTTTTTAAGACGTCTTCATTCTGGGTAATCCCAAAGGAATTTAATTTGAGTTGCAATAGAATCTAGGGGTGCATTGATCCAGTAAGCCAGCGATATCAAAAGTGCTTTTTTGGATGTGCCTTGGCCTGGGGTTTTTTGCTAGGATTGTTGTTGCTACCATCCTTGTGGTTTAGGTCTGATAATCAGCCATTTAGTTGCCAATGTCTCTGAGAAGAAGAGTTTTTAGGCCAGGCATAATGGCTCATGCCTGTAATACCAGCACCTTGGGAGGATCACTTGAGCCCAGGAGTTCGAGAGCAGCCTGGCCAACATGGAGAAACCCTATCTCTACCAAAAATAGAAAAATTACCACCAGACGCGGTGGCTCACACCTGTAATCCTAGCACTTTGGGAGGCCAAGGTGGGCAGATTGCCTGATCTCAGGAGTTCGAGACCAGCCTGGGCAACATGGCAAAACCCTGTCTCTACTAAAAATACAAAAAAAATTAGCCAGGCGTGGTGGCATGTGCCTAATAATCCCAGCTGCTTGGGAGGCTGAGGCATGAGAATCGCTTGAACCTGGGAGGCGGAGGTTGCAGTGAGCCGAGATTGTGCCACTGTACTCTGGCCTGGCAGTGGAGCGAGACTCTGTCTCAAAAAAGAAAAAAAAAAATAGAAAAATAAGTCAGGCATGGTGGTGTGCACCTATAGTCCCAGCTACTCGGGAGGCTGAGGTGGGAGGATCACCTGAGCGTGGGATGTGGAGGTTGCAGTGAGCTGAGAATGGGCCACTGCACTGCAGCCTGGGCCACAGAGTGAGACCCTGTCTCAAAAAAAAAAAAAAAAAAAGAAAAGAAAAAATGTAGAACTTAGCATAAAGTAAAAATGGCATATGACATCTCCTGTGGCTTCTGTGTCACCACTTAAAGTATTTGGTGGAGGTCACAAAATCAGTACTTTGGGAGCCAGGCAGTTGAAGAGTAAAGAAAGTGAGTGGATCACAGTCAGGGGTTAGACAATAGAGGCTGGTGGAGACCATGGATAACTAGAGATTTGGCTTTAGGAGATTGTTGTCATGTTGTACCCACTGTTGTCAGATCATTTAGATTTCAAGAGAAGCTGAAAATTTGAATTTTCATGTTAACGTGTCCTAATTTTTAAATGTTGATGACTAATTCAAGGTTTTCAAAATAGTGAGATCTAAGCAAAATACATCTGCTGACCAGATGTGGCTCTAGGCTTTTAGTGTGTAACCTCTTGTTTATAGGAATACTTAGGACAGCACTTGGTTTCTTTGAGTTTCACCGTTGAAGCTAAGCAGTAATCAAGGATGCTGCCGGATACCCTTGGAAAGCTTATGGTATAGGTCGGAAAGAAGTATGGGTGAGAGAAAACAAGTCGCAGAAAAGGCAGGATGGGAAGGAAGGAGAACAACTGAAGGAGACAGACAAAAGAAATGATACCATGGGAAGTGGGAGAGTGGCCATCATGTTTCTCAGGTTGCATACTGAGAATTCTGCAAGGTAACATTACTTATTAAATATTACCACTGTTGTATGGAGGCAGTATAGTGTTATAGTTGAAAGTGCAGAGTTTAGTGCCCAAGAACTGAATTCAAGGCCTGGAGTTGTTCCTGGCTCTGTGGCAGTGGTATGGCTTGAGTGTTACTTGCCTTCTCCTCTCTGACAGTACCAACATCAGGGATTGTTGTGAAGTTTAAAATGAGATAACCTGGATATAGCATTTAACATAGTGCTGGCGTGTTGAGTGCTTAATACATGCTTACAATTATTATTAGCGTATTCTAAGTTGGTATAGGTGATGTTATATGAGATTTACATTAAAAGTAAAGAGATGGTAGTAAAAAATCCATTAATTTAATTTTAAAAATTACAAATGCATGGTCACTTGTAAAAACTGGAAAATTAAAATTGGTTTACTTAATTAAATCCTTCAAATTCAACTCCTGTTAATATATTGATACTGCCATTTTTTTTCACCCAGTGTGTCTAGTTTGTGTGTGGGTTTTACAAGTTGGAATATTATGTACACTTTTCCATTTTAGGACATCATTTTCAATGCCTATATAATATAGAGTGTAAAGTACAGTGTATAATATTATACACTATAATATAAACTATGTATTATGTGTGTGTGTATATATATTGAAACCATTTATCTGTTGAACATTTAAATTGCTTCCAGTGTTCTGCTCTTATAATGTGTGGTGAATATCTTTGTGTTTTAAACTGTTTCCTGTTCAGGATTATTTTCATAGGATACAGTCTTAGAGGTGAAATTACTGGGTCATAGTGACACTATTTTTAGGATATAACTTTAATAACAGCCTGGGCAATATAGTGAGACCTCATCTTTACAAAACAATTAGCTGAGTATAGTAGTGCACACCTGTAGTCCCAGATATTTGGGAGGCTGAGGTGGGGCAATTGCTTGAGCCGGGGAAGTGGAGGTTGCAGTGAACCGAGATTCTGCCACTGCACTCCAGCCTGGGTGACAGAGCAAGACCTTGTCTCAAAAAACCAAAAAACAAAAAACCAAAAAAAAAACCTTAAAACAATACATTTTTTGTATTCTGAAGATCTTAGAGAGGTGATTGTTCTTGGGCTTCTTGACAGATGAGTGAATTTTAAAAAGTTGTAGATTACAATACTGGTTATTCCCATACCACAATTAAGAATGGAGGTATTGGCCAGGCGTGGTGGCTCACGCCTGTAATCCTAGCACTTTGGGAGGCTGAGGCAGGCGGATCACGAGGTCAGGAGATCGAGACCATCCTGGCTAACACGGTGAAACCCCGTCTCTACTAAAAATACAAAAAAATTAGCCAGGCGTGATGGCGGGTGCCTGTAGTCCCAGCTACTCAGAAGGCTGAGGCAGGAGAATGGCGTGAACCCGGGAAATGGAACTTGCAGTGAGCCGAGATCGCGCCACTGCACTCCAGACTGGACGACAGAGCAAGACTCCGTCTCAAAAAAAAAAAAAAAAAAAAAGAACCGGAAGTATTTTCTCCCCCTCACCAAGGTGTGTGATAAATTTCAAATGTTCTAATCAGTGTTTAGAAATAGGGGTTGAATGTTTGGTAATAATGGAGCCAGATACAAGAAGTTGTGCATTAAGGTTTCATATATATGGCATATCACATAATCCCAGTTCTTGGTTTCCTTCAAGTCCAATGACAGCTGTTATTACACAGCCACATACATAGGGAACTCAGAAGGAATACTGGGGAGCATCAAGCATGGGAGATCCTGGCATTATCACTTCTGTAGATACTTGTATACAGCCTGCGGTCTGTTTTCAGCTCAGCATCGAGTATGATCATTTTAAACATCAGAACATGAACATGGTATTCTACCAGAGTCCACCAGAGGCTGCCCATATTAGCATAAAAGCCAAGGGCCTGAAGAGATTTTGTTCCCTTCTTTCATTATCTCCAGTACCCTGTTTCTACTTCCTTTTCAAACCCTAGTCATTCTTCTCTAACCACACTGGCCTCCTTTGCTGTTCATCTCAGGGCCTTTGCACTCACCGTTCCCACTTCCTGAAATACTTTCATTTCAGATCTCTGCATAGCCTGCTGCTTTGCTTTCTTTAGGGTTCTATTCACATGTTCCCTTCTCAGAGAAATGTTCTGTTCCAATTTAAGATATTACAAAGGGAAAAACAATCATGCCATTAAAGAAGGCACTTTTTTTTTTCTTTGAAAGAAGGTTGTAAAATGATTGGAAATTTTTATTATTTAATGGAAATCTCATTTTGTATAAGTCCATTTCAGGAAAGAAGAGCCGGAGGAATCCTAGATTGGATCCTTCGAACTGGAAACGACAAGGAGATACCCACACCAAAGAGGCCTCAAGCTTAGTGAAGTTCCCTCTCTCCCTGGGGAAACCAAATGGAAGAGGGAAAGAGAGGCTGCATAGAGCATTTTTTTTTTTAATTTTTACTGCTTTCTCCCTGAAGCTCCTTCCTCTTGTCTTCCTCCTCCGCTCCTCCTGTTTTGTTAAATTGTGTCCTAGTTCTCTGTTCCTTAGAGCTGTTAAAATCAGCAGCTGCTTCTAACACCAGTAGACGGAGGCTTTACGTTGATAAGCTAGGAAATTGGAAATAGGCCTTTTGACACTTAAGGTACCTTAAATTCTTGCTACTTTAAGTGTGGTCTATGAACTGACCAGCAGTATCTACACTCCGGGAAGCTTGTAAGAAATGCGGATGTTCTGGTCTCACTCTAGACTTTAGGGAATCAGAATTTGCAGTTTAACAAGATCGTCAGGTGATTCTTCCACACATTAAAGCTCTGCCTTCAATGGCCAAAAGAGAGTTAAAGGTTATTTTTGAGAGGTACTTAATTTGTTTTTCTTTAAATATTACTTTACATTGTATCATCCTTTTAAAAATTAGGACAAATGCAAAGTATTATGGTGTTACCACTTACCATATTATTTAAATAATTATGTAGAAAAATTCTAAGTGGCTAAATGGTACTTCTTTTTTGCAACCACTGGATAAGATCCTAAATTAATCCAGAATACCTAATCATAAAGAAAAGCCTCAATTTTTCATGTTTTATATTTCATTGTTAACATAAATGGAAAAATCGAAACCATCTTTAATTCTTATTATTTTAATCAGTTAGGGAGCCTGGAAATTGGACTTTAGGCTGAGAACTCCGAGGGTTTTGCCTTGCCTAGGTGTAATACTTTAAATTGGCTTTTTTCCTGGCTTGACCTCCAGGCCAGCCTCTCTGTAGCGTTGTGGGTGTGCTGTGTGAGTGCTCTCTCTGCACGTGCTTGCGGCGCACTTCCACACTCATCACCTTGTGTATAAGACATCAGCTGGAAATGGCACAGGGAAACCTTGCTGGTGGGCAGGGTGCATATGGGATGAGCAGAGACACTAATATGTGCAGGGACACAACGGGCATTGCCAAAATGCACAGATGGCTGGTTTTCCACAGGTGGATCTTGCAGGTGAGAGCAAGGGGACGGGAATTAAAGGACAGAGGCCTATTAACCATTGTTAGGAGAAATCCAGCCAGACCGCTTCTGTATTTCACCAGCAGTATTGGAGAACCATTGACCTAAGCTTCAGAATTGCAGCTATCACAGCTATTGGCCTTCAGCAGGGGAGGAAAAAAAACACCTCTCTCTGCCCCTCACAGCAAGCTTCTAAAATGATGAAAAATGCCGCAGGAACGTTAGTTGAATATTTTGTGAGTGATGAAGAATAGGTAATATTTAGTGAGTACTTAACTATGTGTCAGACTATTTAACCAACTCTACAGAGATGCTATGAATATCACATTCCCATTTTACAGACGAAGAAGCTGATAAACAAGGGCTTAAGTCTCTTGTCGGGGCCACATAGCTAAGAAGGTGCAGAGCAGCACGCAGGCCCAGGGAGTGAGACTCCAAAGTCTGGGTGCTTGATGCCTTCTCTTTACCGAAGGATATAATGTAGTGTTCTAGTCATCAGCTTTTAAAACTAGTAATTCTAGGCCGGGCACGGTGACTCATGCCTGTAATCCCAGCACTTTGGGAGGCCGAGGTGAGCCGATCACCTGAGGTCAGGAGTTGGAGACCAGCCTGGCCAACATGGTGAAACCCTATCTCTACTAAAAATACAAAAATTAGCTGGGCATGGTGGCAGGCGCCTGTAATCCCACCTACTCGGGAGGCTGAGGCAGGAGAATCGCTTGAACCTGGGAGGTGGAGGTTGCAATGAGCCAAGGTCGCACCATTGCACGCCAGCCTGGGGGACGAGTGAGACTCCATCTCAAAAAAATAATAATAATAATAATAATTCTAAAGATGTATCAGACATCTAGAGTAAATAATAAAATTATATGGATATAATATGCAAATATATGTGTAAATTATATATTTCCCTCCCATTCCCAATTGCTGGCCAATTTAGGGAGTAGTGGAGAGAAGTAGACTGAAAAAGAGATAATAGGAGCCAGAAAGGGGACGAAAAGATGAAAGGAATGTCTGGAATGATAGATACACAGTACTGAAGAGCTAAAGATTGAAGAGAAAGCTAAGGTGGGAAAACACTTTCGAAGGGCAGATCAGGTTTTGCAGTAACTATTAGTGGCTGTGAGTTTTAGGCGCTTTTTGTAGTGTTGATTAGTTGATGTTCTTCCTCTGCTCTGTTACTGAAACCTTTAGCATTGCTGATATATATGTACAAATATATTGTGAGTTGGTGAACATGTCATATAAGCAATCTAATTATAAACATTGAGCCTATGTGAGCAGAATTCAATGTTAAAATTCTAAAAAGTGGCATCATTACTGTCATTTAACAATATGCATAATTGCTTTTAGCTGGAAAGTGGTTATGTTTGGATTGTAAACAATTTGCCTTAATTTTAGTTCACATTGATGGTTAATAGCAAGCCAGCTGCTTCTGGATCTGTAACTTAAGAGGACCTAGTAGGTACTTGGCCAGTATACCCTAGTAGGGTATTCTGCCTGAGAGCTCTGGTTGATGGGTGAAATCAGGTTTAAATGAATAAGAAAGAGAAAATGGAAATCTCTGAAGGAAAAGGAAGAATTTAAAGGAACAGTCTAAATGGTGTGTGGATGAATGGATGGCCGACCCATCTGTCTTGGCTTCTTGATGAGAGTTGGACTTGATTGCAAAGAGAAAAGCACTTAAAAATACTACCTCCTCCGCAACTTTGGGGAAAACAGTTTGCTTGAGAGTAGAGGCAAGTACTCACTAGTCACTTTGCCGCTGCTTGGTTGTGTGACTGAGCAAGTGTGTTAATGCTCTGGATTTAGTTTTCTTATGTTATAAACTGATTAGATGATTTCTTGGGCTTCTTAATTCTAGTTATAACAAAAAGTGATTCTTAGAAAAGCAGGATATGTTTTTACATAGTACTATATATTTGAGAAATGAAATTTTGACTCCTGTGTTGTACCATGTTTAATTCATGATTGATGGGGAAAGTTTCTTGTGTAGGGTCCCATTCATAGTGACTTTCAATTTAAAAGATGAATGGGAAAATCCTTCATTTAATACAAGCTATACAATAGGTCCATTAAAGAATGTAGCACTTAATTTTTCTAAGGGTGGTCATATATAATAAGCAAATGTGGGAGCTACTGAATTTACTAGCTTTATCAACAAAATGCCTTAGAATTTCCCCCCCAAATGCAGTACATATGACTCTGACACTACTGGCTCTTTAGTTGAAGATAGTGTTCAGCTCATCGGGTTTTTTTATTTTTTTTATTTTTTTATTTTTTTGAGATGGAGTTTCGCTCTTGTCGCCCAGGCTGGAGTGCAGTGGTGCGATCTGCGCTCACTGCAACCTCTGCCTCTCAGGTTCAAGCGATTCTCCTGCCTCAGCCTCCCTAGTAGCTGGGATTACAGCTGCACACCACCATGCCCGGCTAATTTTTTGTATTTTTTCAGTAGAGACGGGGTTTCACCGTGTTGGCCAGGCTGGTCTCGAACTCCTGACCTCAAGTGATCCACCCACTTCGGCCTCCCAAAGTGCTGGGATTAGAGGTATGAACCACCGTGCCTGGCCAGCTCATCAGGTTTTAAATTAGAAATTATAAAGCTCTGTATAAAATGTAAGAAAAAAGCATCCTTTAAATTGATGGCTCATTTAGGGAGTAGTGGAGAAAATGTGAACTGAAAGGAAACGAGGGGAGCCTGGAGAAGAAGAAAAGATGGGATAGGAAAGTGGGAGAGGGAACATACTAGACCAAAAGGTGTCTCTTTCTTTTCTTTCTTGCTTTCTTTTTGTCTCTTTCTTTTTCTGTTGCTGAAATTCATCCCTCTATTTGTCATATTGTCCTCATACCCCTCACCCCTTCACCCAGACCCCTTTATAAGGCCATTTCACCCATTTCTCAGCAGCGAATACCTCCAGCTGTCCTTTTCCTCTGGATGGTTTCCCTTGGCTTAATGAGTTTTGCCCCATCTGGGTCATCACTTTCACCTTTCCCTGGGGTGGATGAGAGCCAGGGAAGGGCCACCCCTAGGAACATGTTTTGTTACCCATCTCTAGAGATTCTGGGTCGGGCCTCTGGATGCTATCTTGATTTTGATACTCATTCCTACGTTTCATTGACTTGGAATGTTAAATGCTGCTACCTGGCCTCTGCTGTTCTGTGATCCTAACATCCTCCCTGGTCCTTAAGAAGCCCAGACCTATAGCAATATCTTCTACTGTCAGTGCTGGCCAGAAGGGGACAGAGAACTGGCACTGCCTCCATCAGCACATTCAGTATTGCCGTGGTACACGGAGTGTCCTGTGGGCCCTCCCGAGGGTCGCTGTTAGCTGGTTGGTTTTCTGATGTAACACATAGCACATAGACGTGTTTAGCAGGCCCGATTCTCTGAGCCTTCAGATCCCTTCTGTCATGGTCTGTCATAGCAGTTCTGGCATCTCTACTTCATTTAATGTGGGCCATCATTTTTTCCAAACTTCCTAGAGCCATCCCAGTAGTATATTTGAGCCTCCACTGAGCCCACGCCTCAGTGTTAATCCTATGTTAGGTCATAGTGCCTCATTTCAGCCTTCATCCAGCGTCACATTTTACTGCCTCGAGTTAACATTCTCAGAACCACTCTGCCCCACTACAGAGGCACAGTACACTTCTGAGTACTTTACCTACTGCCCCTGAATGCTGAGGTTTTTCCCACTCATTGGCGAAAACGGGCTCTCTTCTTCGTCCTGTGTGAGTTTTGAGGGTTGGTGCCTGTAATTTCTTCAGGAGATTCTTTTCCCTCATCATTGCTCAGCTGAAGACTGGGGTCGGGGAGGACCCCCTGCAGATTCTCAGAGCTTTCTGTCTCTCTGGGCCACTTTCTTCTCCAGGACTCTGTGCTGTGAACTTGAGCCGCCCTGCCTGGTTCCCCTGCCCTGTGCCAAAGCCCTGAAACTTTCTGTGTAGTAAGCTAGGGCGCCCATAGGGCCCACTGTTTGTGTCCTCTTTTTGAGGGATCACTGTCCCTTGTGGGCCTGATGTCCAATGCCTGGAAACTATTGTTTCACATATATTGTCTGGATTTTTAGTTGTTTTTGGTGGTAGAGTGTGTCAGTTCAGTTATCTATTGCTGAGTAACAGATTACCCTTAAAATTTAGTGATTAAAGGAACATTTATTATCTCAGTTTCTCTGGGAGTCAGGAATCCAGGTCTGGCTTACCTGGGTCCTCCAGCTCAGGGTCTTTCGAGGCTGTCATCATGGCATCAGCCAGAACCGCAGTCATCTTGAGACTTGCCTGGGGAAGGGTCTGCTTTCAGGATCACTCATGGGTTGCTGGTGGGATTTAGCTCCCTGCAGGTGCTTGGATTGAGGGCCTCAGTTCTTAAGGGGGCTGTTGGCTGAGGCTGTCCTCAGAGGTTTCTTGACATATGGGTCTCTCCAGAGGGCAGCTAACAATAGGGCAGCTGGCTTCATAAGAAGAAATGATGGAAGAGAGCCAGAGAGAGTGTAGGCGAGACAGGTCACAGTGCTTTGTAACCTAATCTTGGAAGTGATATCCCATCACATTTGCTAAATTCTATTCTTTTTTTTTTTTTTTGACGCAGTCTCACTCCATCACCCAGGCTGGAATGCAGTGGGGCAATCTCAGCTTACTGCAACCTCTGCCTCCAGGGTTCAAGTGATTCTCATGCCTCAGCCTCCGGAGTAGCTGGAATTACAGGCACCCGCCACCACGCCCAGCTAATTTTTGTATTTTTAGTAGAGACGGGGTTTTGCCACGTTGGCCGGGCTGGTCTTAAACTCATGATTTCAAGTGATCCACCTGCCTCGGCCTCTGAAAATGCTGGGATTATAGGCGTGAGCCACTGCACCCACCCTAGATTCTATTTATCTATTTATTAGAAGTAAATCGCTAGGTCTAGCCCACACTCAAGGGTAGGGGATGACACATAGCATGAATATTGCAAGGTGGGAATCACGGTTTTCTTTTTTCTATCACTGTGATTGATGATAATCCATTTAGGAATTGGGAGATAATGTTCAGGGAGTTTCTTTTCTTTCTTTTCGTTTTTTTTTTTTTTTTTTTTTTTTTTTTTTTTTTTTTTTTTTTTTTGAGATGGAATTTTGCTCTGTTACCCAGGCTGGAGTATGGTGGCACCATCTCAGCTCACTGCAACCTCCACCTCCCAGGTTCAAGTGATTCTCCTGCCCCAGCCTCCTGAATAGCTGAGATGACAGGTGCGTGCCAGCATGCCCAGCTAATTTTTCTATTTTTAGTAGAGACAGGGTTTAACCATTTGGCCAGGCTGGTTTTGAACTCCTGAGCTCAGGTGATCTGTCTGCCTCAGCCTCCCAAAGTGCTGGGATTACAGGCGTGCACTGTGCCTGGCCATGGTTCATTTCTTTTCTAGGAGGACTTAAAGGATTCAGCATAAAGTAGTACGCAGGCAATGATGTATTACAGTGAAAGAATACAAAAGCAAAGTGAAAAAGTGTATGGGACAAAGTTCAGAGGACACCACCTACAAGCTTCTAAGAGTCTTCTGCCAGCGGAGCCACATAGGATATACTTAATTTTCCAGCAACAGATTGTTAAAATATGTGTGAAATACTGCCTACCAGGGAAGCTCATTCAAGACAAGATGTTTACTGGGGGCAGGTCACATAGGTACCTTCAGCCTAGTGTATATCAACATTCTAGACTCCCAGAAGGAAAGGAAGTGTTCAGCATAAACCATGTCATTTGCACAGTCTAGGCACGGGGAGCCACTATCATTAAGGAATGACGGGAACCGTCTTGAAATCCCAGTTGCCAAACACCAACGGAGGGCCGCCTTGCAAGCTGGCCTTTCTAAGGATAGCAGTCAGGCCTCCTGTGTTAATTCTTTCTTGTGCAATAGGGAATGGGAATTTATGTTAAGCTTACCACAAACCATAGTGACCAGTCAAAATATTTTGTTAAATTTGATGATTGTGGGCCTAGGCATAAGGGGGTATGGGTGAGTTGAATGGTACTTTCTGGGGCCTAGAGATCAAAGGAATGTAATTTGGGCAATAATCCTAACATTTAGATCCCAGCTTGGTGTTACAATATATACTTGTGAATTTAGAAAAAAATGAAGTTTCAGTGGGCCATTGGTGTATATCTTTTGTACCTGATTTTGTCCTGACCACTGTGCTGGGTATAGGCTGTAAAATGGTGAACATGTATGTCTGTGTTCCTGAAGATTATAGTCTAGTGGAGGAGAGAGATACTAAATGAATGAACACAGAAATAAAAATATAATTACAAAAATAAAACTCTTTTACAGGAAAAGAAAACATTCATTTTCTACTCAATACAGTTTCTTTATATACCTGGTTTATGGTAGTAAAACCCCTAAGATGAGACAGAGCTTGGGTAGTGAGCTTTGACGCAGCCAGGAGATTTGTGTGGCAGGAGCCAGTGAATGGGGGAGAGGGATGAGGGTGTTAGGTTAGAGTCAATCCCTCTGCAAGAGAAGGTTTTAGGGGCCAGGCGCAGTGTCTCACGCCTGTAATCCCAGCACTTTGGGAGGCTGAGGCGGGCGGATCACCTGAGGTCAGGAGTTCAAGACCAGCCTGGTCAACATGGTGAAACCCCATCTCTACTAAAAATACAAAAAAATTAGCCGGGCGTGGTGGCGAGCGCCTGTAATCCAAGCTACTCGGGAGGCTGAGGCAGGAGAATTGCTTGTACCGGGGAGGCAGAGGCAGAGGTTGCAGTGAGCTGAGATAGTGCCATTGCACTCTAGCCTTGGGCAAGAAGGCAAGAAGAGCAAAACTCTGTCTCAAAAAAAAAAAAAAGTTTTAGATTTCCTTCCCAGCGTGATGGGAATTCTATTGTTGGCTTTTTAGCATGACAATGACAATCAGATTCATGTTTGTTTTTGTAAATGTTTTAAATAGAAATATAGCAGTACATAAAATGCATAAATCATAAATACATAGCTTGGCGAGGTTTGCAAAGTGAACACGCCTGTGTCGTCATTGGCCACCCAGACATAGAACATGAACAGCGCCTCAGAAGCCTCTGTTATGCCTTTTGTGGTCATTGTTTTCTCCTCCAAAGATCATCCCTCTCCAGACTTCATCACCATATAGTGGTTTTGCCTATTTGAACTTTCGTGTGAATATTATCACGCTGTATGCACCTGTTGTGTTTTTTTTTCACTCAGCATTATCTTTGAAATGTATCCATGTTGTTGCATTAGCTGTAAATTGTCTAAAAATTTGTTTATGGTAGTTCATTGTGTGAATAGACCACAGTTTATCCTACTCTTTTTTTTTTTAATTTTTTTATTTTTTTTATTTTTTGAGACAGAGTTTCTTGCTGCCTGGGCTGGAGTGCAGTGGCACAATCTCTGCTCACTGCAACCTGCACCTTTCAGATTCAAGTGATTCTCCTGCCTCAGCCTCCTGAGTAGCTGGGATTATAGGTGTCTGCCACCACTCCCAGCTACTTTTTGTATTTTTAGTAGAGATGGGGTTCCGCCATGTTGGCCAGGCTGGTCTCAAACTCCTGACCTCAGGTGATCCGCCCACCTTGGCCTCCCAAAGTGCCGGGATTATATGCGTGAGCCATGGAGTCTGGTCTATCCATTCTACTCTTAATGGACATTTGGGTTGTTTCCAACTTTTGGCTGTTACTGTTTCCAAAATATAGAGCTGGTTTATAAGAAGACAGACTCTTAGAAATGGTTTCTTCTTGTGAAAATTAAAATTACTTAAAATTTGATTTAAATATTTTATATAATTTAGTAAGAAGAATTGTACCAGTTTTTCCCCCCGTAATCTATACTTTCCATGGATGTTTTCATCGACTCCATGCCTATAGGTATCATATGATAGACTGATGATTTCCAAATCTCAGATCACTTTCCTGAGCTTAGATTCGTTTGTTTAACTGCTAAGTATCTCCACTGGCACCTTACAGGTGCTTTAAACCCATATCACAGACTAAACTTATGTCCTTCCCTCCCAACACCATTCCTCTCCATCTACTAGACTTCAGTAATAACAACAATACCAACATCATCAAGAAAAATCTGAACACCTGCACTATTAGTAAAGCAGTGTTACTGCCCTTCTTGTAACAGAGAATTCCATTTTGTCTCTTCAGGTGGATCTGAGTGATTCATGTTTCTTATTTCTAGCTTACACATTTTTAGTAAAATTTATGGTATATTGGATTTCTATTTTTTGTGAGTATTGTATGCACTTCATAATACTTGAAGATTCTCTTTGTAAAATATACATCTTATGTATTTATGCTTACTTAAAAATCATAACAGTTTGCCCTTGTAAAAGGTTTTAGAGGTTTCTCATTGTTCAACCTTCTCTGGTATTATTGGGCTTCTCTGGCATTATTTGGTCATTTCTGTATTTTAGCCAATTAAAACATTTATTCTGTGTAAAAATATTGCCTATTAAAATAATCCATCTTATAATGTTTCCAGAAATACATTATGTTGAAAGGCAGTTGTATTTATAGGACATAAATTATGAAGTGATTAAAATAATTCAGTGCTTTCTAAAAGGCCTTCCTCCAGGGTTTGAAATAGTAAGTTCCACCAATGCCTCTAAAATGTGTCTAAAATACTTTTTGATATTTAATCATAACTTTTCATGAACAAGATATAAAATAAATACCTTCTATATTTAGAATTTTTTACTTAGTTGGGTTTTTGAAATAAATAAGACACAATTCAGTTTGACCTCAGCGATGTATTTGAAAGAACGTGAGTGAACTGTGTGTTATTACCACATTAGAAGTTGGATGACAGCCTCATTGCTCCATGTCTAAGCCCTGTCTTTCCCCAGGGAACTGTGGATGCTATTAGCTCAGCTTCATGCCGTTTGCCTTTGCTGGACCCAACAACTCAAAGCTGGACCAACTCTGATGTTTCCGCCTAAAGTTAGGGTACATACCAGTGCTCACACTAATCAGAATGTAAGACAGCTTGATCCTCTTACCCTGAAAGGCTTGTTATCTTGTCTCTAAGGGGTCTGCTACCCCAGCTGATGACCTCTCAGTTTCTGTGTATTTTAAGCTTCCTTTCCAGTTCCCAGGGATTTTGCTTTGAGTTCTGCTACTATATTTTAAGACATTCCTGTTAACCCCAATTTGTAATTTTATATGAGAGCTGTGTTCTGAACACCAATGACACCATGTACTTTTCTAATTTAATCTTAAAGACGCTGGAGACTATATTGTATCTGCCTTTCTATGTTTTATATGTGTGTGTGTGTATGTGTGTGTTTATGTGTGTGTGTGTATATATATATGTGTATATATATATATATATTTTTTTTTTTGAGATGGAGTCTCCCTCTGTCACTCAGGCTGGAGTGCAGTGGCGCGATCTCGGCTCACTGCAACCTCCACCTCCTGGGTTCAAGCGATTCTTTTGCCTCAGCGTCCTGAGTAGCTGGAACTACAGGCACATGCTACCACACCTGCTAATTTTTGTATTTTTAGTAGAGACAGGGTTTCACCATGTTGATCAGGATGGTCTCGAACTCGCCACCTCAGGTGATGTGCCTGTCTTGGCCTCCCAAAGTGCTGGGATTACAAGAGTGAGCCACCACGCCCATCCTGTTTTTCTATGTTATTTATATTATGGGGCACTTAGAATAGCATGTTATATGCCAAGATGTCTAGCCTCACTAGTAATGAAAGAATAAAAAAATTAAAACATTAAGAACCATTTTCATCTTTAACATATTTGCAAAGATGAAAAAAATACTCAGTGTTGGCTGGAATATGGATATAGGAATCTCATGCTGTCAGTGGATTTGGTTCCCTGCTTTTCTGGATGGCACTTTAAAATATTGTGTCTAAAACTAAAAACAAACAAAAAGTAAACATTTGAGCCAGCAGCTCCATTCTTAGGAATTTATCCTAATGTAATTCTCAATGGTTTTTCATAGACACTGGTCTACAAGGCAGTTGTAGTTATAATAATAGTAGTAGTAATGTAGTGTAAAAAAGATAATGAACAAAGAGAAGAGTGAACAAATAAAATGTTATTTATGTAATGAAATACCATGTAGTCTTTAAAAATAATGATGTAGGTATATGTAATTGATATGGAAAGACTTACATAAAATATTGAATAAAAAGAAATAGGTTAGAAGATTTTCCTAAAGTATGTATTTTTTGTGTGTATGTGTATATACACACACACACACACACATATACATATATACATATACATACATATACATATATACATGTATATATACACATACATATACATATATACATGTATATATACACATACATATACATATATACATATATATACACATACATATATACATATATATACACATACATATACATATATACATATATATACACACACATATATACATACATATAGATATAATTATTTTTGAGACAAGAGACCTTGACCCTGATGTCCAGGCTGGAGTGCAGTGGCGTGATCACGGCTCACTGCAGCCTCAACCTTCCGGGCTCAGATGATCCTTCTACCTCAGCCTCCCGGGTAGCTGAGACTACAGGCACGTGCCACCATGCTGGGCTAATTTTTTGTATTTTTTGTAGAGATGGGGTTTTGCCATATTGCCCAGGCTGGTCTTGAATTCCTGGGCTCTGGCGATCCGCCCACCTTGGCCTCCCAAAGTGTTGGAATTATAGGTGTGAGCCACCACTTCCAGCCAGTGTATATTTATGTATGAAAAAGTCTGGAAGAATATGTATATGTCTCGAAGTATTGACATAATTTTCTCTAGACGGGGAATGACAGGTAAGTTAAATTATTTCCTTTTTGCTTAGATTTATTTTCTGGTGTATCCTAAGTGAACATACATTATGTTTTCATAAATATAAATTAGAAAAAAAATGATACATTAGCCAATAGCTATTATCTTCAGATTGTTAAAACAATTTGTTAGTGGTATGGTGGAAAAGTTCCAAGATCAGAAGATTGGAAACTGAGGTTCTAGTCCAAGCTGTGTCACTAATTAGCTATGAGGCCACCAGTGAGTCTTTCAGGGACTCAGTGTCTGTATTTGTAAAATAAATTGGCTCAACTAGATCTATGATTTTAAAAGTCTCTATCAGACTGTTAGTGTTTCCAAGGAATTAGTAGAGTAGGTTTCTGTACAAACGCCCTTGCCTCTCTCCCAAGCAGAGCAGCTCTGTATACAGTATTCAATATTTGTATATTGAATTTCTGTTCTAAGCTATCTTTCAGCAAAAGGTCTCAGAGATTTGGAGTGGGAGGAAGGGAAAGAAAAAGGAAACCCCATCTCTGAGATTGAGTAATTCTAGGTATATTTGATGCTACTCCCTTTAAGCTTCCATCTTTCTTCCTATTCATGGGGCATGGGTTCTTTTAGGACGGAGCTTAACTCCTGTGTCAGGATGCCCTTGCTCTCCTGGAAATAGCAGACTATGACAGTCAACCTTCACTGAGAACTAATGAGTAAATGGGTGATTCACGTCTGATATGAGACTGCCTTCACCCTAGCTGATACATAGAGACCCTATATTTTTACACATGTGAAAAACCATTTCGTCATCTTCTATAAGTTGTTTCCCCATCTAGTCTTGGCCTATTGGAGCAGTACTCTCTTACTGGTCTGTCCTGCCTTAATTTGGACCCTAATGCATAGTTTGGATCACCAAAATTTGTGTAACATTTGGCAAATCATTTAACCTCTTGGAGTGTCAGTGTTCTGTTCTATAAAATGGTGAATAACCAAATTGAATTTTTTTTTTTGAGACGGAGTCTTTCTCTGTCACCCAGGCTGGAGTTCAGTGGTGCCATCTCGGCTCACTTCAACCTCCACCTCCCTTGGTTCAAGGGATTCTCCTGCCCCAGCCTCCTGAGTACCTGGGATTACAGATGGCACGCCACCACTTTCAGCTAATTTTTGTATTTTTAGTAGAGATGGGGTTTCGCCATGTTGGCCAGGCTGGCCTCGAACTTCTGACCTCAGGTGATCCACCCGCCTAGGCCTCCCAGAGTGCTGGGATTACAGGCATGAGCCACTCCACCTGGCCACCAAATTGAATTCTGTTATCTCTGACTTTCCTTCTAGCTATAAAATTCTTTGAAATTGTGTAGTCTCTCAAGTGTTGCCAATGAAAATGAGTTCACCATTAACATTGGTTGCTGATATAGTATTACTGATAACTCAAAATTAACTTACATTATAAAAACTTATTTATACATACATTTAATAAGATGAGTTTCTGATAATCATAGTCAAGATAATCATAGCTCATCAAGCAAAATAGTGAAACCACATGATATGTGTCTGACCGTCTGTAGCTTTTTCTTCCGTAGCCTATATTCGTGCTTGGTATTGCTGGTATCTGCTCAAAGGGGATTGCATTATTTCATTGGTAGCTAAGATGAACTGAAATTTAAGCTCGACTTTTAATTTGGTGATTCCTGTCTACCCAAAGGGAAGGGAAGTAATTGTTTTTAACCACAGAAATGCAATCTGTTCCTTGATTCAGAGTAAACAAGATTTTATTCATATCATAAAGTAGCTTTTGAAAATATCTCTATTTGGTAAAACTTCTTTACAAGAAAATGTGTAAAAATAGGCATATCTGTATTTGAGTTTATGTCTGTTTCTCTGGTTTTGTCTAGTTGTTGTGAAATGTGCTATATGCACTCACTGCCTCAAATGAGGAAAATGGAGAAATAAGGAAATAAGAACAATTCCCCAACAATGTTTTAAAGTCTTCATTTTCTATTATCTTTGTTTTATGTAAACTTTACTCATTTCGTATAAATTTCATTCATTTTTGAGGTCCTGCTTTCTGTCAGGTTTTGTGTTGGGCACTAGAGTAAGACTTGGGCATCTTGTCAGGAAGCTGCTCTGTGATTAAAGAGATAGATGTATGAACAAGCAATTATAATATGGTTAGTAAGTCCTACAGTAAAGGTACTCTCTACAGTAGAGGGCCTGGGAAACTGCCTTTTTTTTTCTTTGAGACAGGGTCTCCATCACCCAGACCTCATGGGCTCACCCTCCCACCTCAGCCTCCTGAGTAGCTTGGACTACAGGCATGCACCACCACACCTGGCTAAATTTTGTATTTTTTGTAGAAATGGGGTTTCACCATGTTGGCCAGGTTGGTATCAGGTTGCCCTTGCTCTCCTGGAAGTAGCAGGTGAACTTCTGGGCTCAAACCATTGCCTGCCTCAGTCTCCCAAAGTGCTGGGATTATGGATGTGAGTCACCTCACCTGGCTTAGAAACTGCTTTTAAGCCTTAAAGTACACTGATCGGGAAGTTCTGCTGTAAGGCACTTTGGTGCTGAGAAAGGAATAGTTTATTCAGTTAGTACACGGGAAACATGTGAAAACAGTCATAACTCATCTGCAGGGATGTGCCGCCCAATATTGCAACTGGATGTGAAAGGTAACAACTGCTTGCGTGCATGTTCATTATGGAAAATCCATGAATCGTTCAGGAAAAAATTTAAACAGCTCCTAATTCCAAAAAGTGTGTATGTGATTAAAATAATTTTGATCATATTGGGGAGTTTTATATTTTTGCTTAACATTATATTTTGGGCATTTTCTCATGCCATTGAAAAATGTTCACAGTCATGACTTTAGGAGCTGTATCATAATTTACTTACTATTCTTTTTTGTTGTTGTTAGACAACATAGTTTCCAGTTTGAGTTTATTTATCTTTATTTTTATTTATTTATTTATTTATTTGAGATAGGGTCTCACTCTGTTGCCCAGGCTGGAGTGTGTGGCGCCATCTCGGCTCACTGCAGCCTTGACCTCTTGGGCTCAAGGGATCCACCTGCCTTAGCCTCCCATGTAGCTTGGACCACAGATGCATGCTACTATGTCTGGCTGATTTTTAAATTTTTTGTAGAGACAGGGCCTCATCATGTTACACAGCTGGTTTCAACTCCTGGGCTCAAGCAGTCCTCTTGCCTCGGCTTCCCAAAGTGCTGGGATTACAGGCATGACTCACCATGTCCGGCCTAAGTAGTTTCCAATTTGAGTTATTTATACCTTGGAATGAATAGCTTGTAATCTGTCTTTTTGCCCTTATCTCTTATTTCATTATTTACTAGCTTAACAAGTATAAAATTGAAGTTTCTTAGTAGATATTGCCAAGTAGGTTTATAGGAAGATTGTACTTCCAGTGAAGTATATGTGAATTCCCATTTGATTTCATCTTAACAGTGTGGTACCATGTTTTTCTTGATTTGTTTTAGCTTAATATCTTTTCTTCAGTGTCCTCTCCTTATTGAAAATAATGTTAGTGAGTGGGTTAACTAAACTGGAGTGCAGTGGTGCGATCTTGGCTCACTGCAACCTCCACTTCCCAGGTTCAAGCGATTCTCCTGCCTCAGCCTCCTGAGTAGCTGGGATTACTGGCGTCTGCCACCATGCCTGACAAATTTTTGTATTTCTAGTAGAGACGGGGTTTTACCATGTTGGCCAGGCTGATCTTGAACTCCTGACCTCAAGTGATCCGCCCACCTCGGCCTCCCAAAGTGCTGGGATTACAGGTGTGAGCCACTGCACCAGCCAAGAAGACAATTCTATCAATACGGTATTATATTTAGAAAAGAAAGAGGTTTGTTGCACTAAATGATAATCTCATTGTATCTTTATGACTGGTAGATACTCTTTGGGAAGTTAACAGCAAATCAGGAATGTAAATAAAATCGTGATCTTTGATTTTGGTAGACATGCTTAAAAGGTAACTGATTATAAATGCTTAATAGAGCTAGTTAGGCTTTGAGAGTAGGGGCCAAATGCTTATGACACTATAAACTGCTAATATCTATATTGATTGGATGCTCTTGTTGTTTTGGACCTATACTAAATATGATTGACTGCCACTAAACTCTTTTGAATATGTATTCAGCAAATTATTTCTTTCCATCATTTGGCTCTTTCTGCCTTTAGGAAGTTGCATGTTTACTAAAATATAGGAATGGAAAAAACAAACAAATTTGAATATTTATTATTAGAGTACTGCTACATGGTTTGTTGAGGAAGAAATACATGAATGGCCAAAATTACATTTTTATACTGCAACCCCTCCTCCCCCCAATTTTAAATATATTGATTTATCCTTCTGTGTTTCTTTACAAAAAAAAGGAAACTAAAGTGTATATAAAGCAGATTTAAATGATTATAGCAGTCCGAATATCAGTCATTATTTGTTAACCCATTCCTAGGCCGGGCGCGGTGGCTCACGCCTGTAATCCCAGCACTTTGGGAGGCTGAGGGGGGCGGATCACCTGATATCAGGAGTTCGAGACCAGCCTGGCAAACGTGGTGAAACCCTGTCTCTACTAAAAGTACAAAAATTAGCCGGGCAAGATGGCGGGCGCCTGTAATCCCAGCCACTTAGGAGGCTGAGGCAGGAGAATTGCTTGAACCCAGGAGGTGGAGGTTGCAGTGAGCTGTGATCACGCCACTGCATTCCAGCCTGGGTGAGAGAGTAAGATCCTATCTCAAAAAACAAAAATTAAAAATAAAACATAAATTAAAAAACCCATTCCTAGTTTGCTCAGTTATTCAACAGTCAAACTGATAAACTCCTGGGAAGTTTTGTTTTTGACAGGAGTTTTTGTTTCAGCAAGATCTAAGTTATTTAAGATATCATTTAAAAAGAAAATGCTTGAAGTACGCATTTCTCTGAGCCTCATTTTAAAAAATGTAAATACTGTATATGCCTCTCAAATTTGTAGTAATAGTTAAATGTGGCAGTTGTCAGTTAAATTTTGGGGATCTTGTATTATCATTTAATTATGGTTAGTGTTTGAAGAGTGTTTTATAGTGTTGTATCTTCAAGTTGTTTTTTTGCTGGGTTTTTTTTTTCTTTTCAGTCAGGGTGTCATTCTGTAACCAAGGCTGGAGTGCAATGGCACGATCTTGGCTCACTGCAACCTCTGCCTCCCTTGTTCAAGTGATTCTTGTACCTCGGCCTCCTGAGTTCCTGGAATTACAGGCGTGCACCACCACGCCCAGCTAATTTTTGTATTTTCAGTAGAGACGGTGTTTTGATACGTTGGCCAAGCTGGTCTCAAATTCCTGACCTGAAGCGATCCGCCCACCTTGGCCTCCCAATGTGCTGGGATTACAGGTGTGAGCCACCATGCCTGGCCTAGGCTTTCTGTCTTTTTTAGGAAACAGTCATGCAGTGTATGTAGCATATGCAAATTACTTTATAAAGTATTTTTATTTTGATTTGTTTTTCTCTAAAACTGAAGCCATAACTGTTTCTGAAAAATGAGAAGTAGATGGTTTTTAATTTTCCTGAGAATAACACTGAGGAGTACAATTGAAACTTTGCAGGTAAAACATTGTGTGAGATGTGTGCATGTCCAAAGGGAAGGTGGTTTCCTAACCATGTGCCCTTCTAGGTTGAGAGGCTGACAGGGACAGAGTATGGTAGCAGCTGCTTATGGACATAGCCTAGACCAGGTTTCTGAGTTATTCCTTTACAATTTATATTAACAAACCATCTTCTGGCATTATACTATAAAGACATACCCTAGGCTGAGGTGGGAGGATTGCTTGGGCTTGGGAGGTGGAGGTTGCAGTGAGCCAGGCTCATGCCACTGCACTCCAGCCTGGGCAACAGAGCGAGACTCTGTCTCAAAAAAAAAACAAAAAACTTACCTTTGAAAATAAAGTAAATCAGAGAGAGAAAGACAGAGAAATGTGCTATCCAGGTAAAAATTAAATTAAAAAACCAGAACCCTGAATACAGAAATAAATATAGTGAAAATATCAGTGATTCAAAAATAATCCATACATGAAACCATACAGATACAGCAGAAAGGACTCATGTCAACAGTTAGTTTATGAAAGCCAGCTATATGAAAAGTATTATTATAAATGAATGTCCAAGTAAATAATGAAGTTGAACATTGAAAGCTACATTTAAAAAAAATTAAGCCCAAATGTTTAATTGGAAGTATTATCAACTAAAGTCACTTAGATTGTTCAAGTTCATGTTGTGAGAGTATTACAGTCTCATTAGTCATCATCTTTTTTTTTTTTTTTTTTTTGAGATGGAGTTTCGCTGTGTTGCCCAGGCTGGAGTGCACTGGTGTGATCTCCACTCACTGCATGCTCCGCCTCCCGGGTTCACGCCATTCTCCTGTCTCAGCCTCTCAAGCAGCTGGGACCACAGGTGTCCGCCACCACGCCTGGCTAATTTTTTGTATTTTTAGTGGAGACGGGGGTTTCACTGTGTTAGCCAGGATGGTCTCAATCTCCTGACCTCGTGATCCGCCTGCCTCGGCCTCAAAGTGCTGGGATTACAGGCAGTCATCATCTTTTATCTCTTAAATGTTCAATACCCGCTGAAAAACAGAATTACTTTTTGGGAAAAAACATCTAGATACGTCTAGATATTTATCATCAAAGCATTTCCCATTGTCGACCTTTATTGACAAAAAAAAAAAGAGAAAGAAATCTTTAAAATTAGAAACTCTGTAAACAAGCTGCTTGTGAAGTTATCAAGCATACTTAGCATGCAATAAACTGTATTCAAGAGTCTTTTCTCTCAGTGGGAATTTAAACAACCCTTTAGTTCACAACGTCAGATTTCCACATGTTGAAAAATTTTGCAGAGAAATACCCTGTCAAAGAATCCTACTATGTGAGGAATAATTTACAATAAGATTGATCTCTGTGGCATTAGGACTATGGATAGAGTAATTTAAAAATAGGCAATATTTAAATGTTGAAAAACATATTATTCCCTTCCTATTCATGGCATATAGAGAAAAGCATGGGCTAGCTCCATCACCTACTATTAGCTGTGTATTTTTGACAAATTCCTCACAGCAAGCCTGTTTTTCCATCACACTTGTGATATCTGCAAAAATATGCTAAAAGTTTTATGGATATTCAAGATTTTGTTTTTCCTTTCAGACAAAACAATATTTTATATACTGTTTTCCCAAGTATCTCAAAAGTGGTATCACAATACGTTTTTGATATAAGCCTTTATGTATCAGTGACCCCTATGTTTTTTTTTTTTAGGTAGTTAAATAGTGCGTGTACTATGTGGCTGGTACTGTTTTAATCCCTTTACAAACTCATTTAATCTTCTTAACAAGAATATGAAGTGCACTGTCATTATCATCCTCATGTTAAAGACAAGGCACAGTTGTGTTAAGGAGCTTGTCCACGAGCCACAACTTAACAAATCAAGAATCCAGACCCGGGCAGTCTAGTCAGAGTGCATGTCCTTCCCCCCAAGCATGCCATCTTCCAGTGTTACAAAAGAAAAAACGAGCCAGGTGACGGTCATACCATACTAGTTCCAACAGTTTATATACAACAATAAAAAGCCACGTGGCTGCACACATTCAAATCCTGTCTTGTTTTTTCTCAGCTAATGACATCCTAAAAAGGTGTTGCATCACCATGAAACTGGCCCTAATGTAAGGAACGAAATTTTACTTTAAGTAAGTGGTATTATTAATATTGATGGTAAAATGGAAAAAAAAAAAGACAAAATGCTTTCCAAGAGTCCATGGGAGTTAGGCTTGTAATCTTAGTTACATGATGGAATCAATACCAGTTATCTTTTAAGAGAACACAGTATAAAATGCTTTCTTGGGTCTTATGAATGATTCCTGGAATATACTAGGACCCTGTTCTACTTAAAGTGCAAATAATTACAAAAGATAGATTAGGACTTATATATTGTTTATACAGGCACTCTTTTATAATTCCCTTGCATTTACTTTTGTGACAGCCCTATCTCTTTCATCTCTGTTGAACATGTAGACTTTGTACTTTTTATCTGTGAAAACCAGATGTAACATGTCTATCTAAATAACATTTTTATTTAAGTATGACTTAGTAACTATAAGATCCATCCATTGTAAGCATACATTGCAATGGTTTTTTAGCAACTTTATGCAGTTGTGAAACTTTCATTGCAGTCTTTTGGAACATTTCCATTGTTCCTGTTTGGGATGCCGGTTTGCATTCCCTTATGTGAGGTTTTTATCACCTTTATTTGCTTTATGATTAGTGATTTCCCCTTAAACTCTCTTTCACCCTCTTTGAGTTTGCTTTGTCTAGTTGTTATATCTAATTTTTATGGAATTAGTTTTTAAATCTTTATTTTGGTTTCTTTTAACCTTGAGTTATTATTCAATCAAATGACCTTGTTATGAAGTCTTTTAAGGGAGTCAAATGACAGTTCTTAGTCCACAGGAATTTAACTGCTATTATTCCAGTCACTTCTTGGCTTCTTGCACTCTGATACATGAATTGGCACTCACATTAGGGAAATAAGATGTGTGTAGAGGGATATTTCTTAGGTGGAGAAACCCATGACTGCTGGCTCCTTCACTGTGTGTGCCTATAGCTTGCCCTTGTTATAAGATCTAACAGATCAGCGGCAATGTGGGTGAGTAGAAGGAGTGAAGAGGGCACATATGTATATTTTTTTTATCTTCCGCTTCTGTGAAGGCCCATAGAAATGTAACCCTCTAGGAGACTAGAGGAGCTACAGTGTTATGTTCTGGGTGGGTGGAATGACTGAGACACCTGAGCTATGTCACATTCAGAAATCTTAATTAGTTTGCAGAGAGCAAGAAAGAAATTGCCTACTCTGCATCCCATCTTCTCTGTTTGTGTAAAGAGCCCAGTAAAACAAGACATAGCAGCTCAATTCAGAAATGTGAAGCATGTAACCATGATCCAAGAGTTACCTATATGATTTTCAACAAAAGAAAACTTGGATATATTTGGGAGCTGTGAGGCCAAGTCATAATAATACATTAGAAATAAATTTAATACTGTATAGTTTTTAAAGTGTTGAAATATGAGTCCCACAGGAAAAGGAAAATATAAAAGATAATAAATTAGATCAAAAAGCTGTTACGGGGAAGAATATGTAGATTATGAAATAAAAGAGATGATGAAAAACAATTTAACATAGAGAAAATATTCTAGCATCGAATTCAGGAGACCATTATTTTAATTCTTACTGTGATGTAAACCAGCCACAATCTTGGATAAATCACTTAGCAAATCTGGACATCATGTGTGAAGGGTTCACTTATTTAGATTAAATCTTTTTTTTTCTTTTCTTCTTTTTTAATTATTATACTTTAAGTTTTAGGGTGGGAATTGAACAATGAGAACACATGGACACAGGAAGGGGAACATCACACACTGGGGCCTGTTGTGGGGTGGGAGGAGAGGGGAGGGATAGCATTAGGAGATATACCTAATGTTAAATGACGAGTTAATGGGTGCAGCACACCAACATGGCACATGTATACATATGTAACAAACCTGCACGTTGTGCACATGTACCCTGAAACTTAAAATATTTAGATTAAATCTTAAAAGACTCTTTTGTGCTCTAAAATTATATAATGGGATGGCAGCTAAGCACATGAAAAGATACTCATCATCATTTGCCATAAGGGAAGTACAAATTAAGATCACAGTGAGATACCATTATCCACTTGTCACAATGGCTAAAATAAACAATAGTGGCAATACCAAGTCCTGTGAAGGATGTGGAGAAATGGATCACTTATACACTGCTGGTGGGCATGTAAAATGGTACAACCAGTCTGAAAAGCAGTTTGGCAGTTTCTTATAAAAGTAAACATGTAATTATATGCTGTGGTCTGAATGTCCTCCAAAAATTTATATGTTGACACCCAAACCCTCAAGGTGATGGTTTTAGGAGGGTAGGCCCTTTGGGAGATTAGTTTCTGAGGATGGAGCCCCATGAATGGGATTCATGCCCCTATAAAAAAGAAGCCCCAGGAAACGACCTTGCCCTTCCACCATGTAATCAAGAATGTGCGGCCTATTTAGGAAGTAGGCCTTCACCAAACACTGAATCTGCCGGTGCCTTGATCTTGGGCTTCCTGGGCCTCTAGAACCATGAGAAATAAATTTCAGTTGTTTATAAGCAACCTAGCCTATGATATTTTGTTATAGCAGCCCAGATGTGCTAAGATGACATATGACCCAACAGTAGCACTCTTGGACATTTATTCCAGGGAAATGTAAATTGTGTTCATACAAAAACCTGTACGTGAATGTTCATAGCATATTTATTCATAGTAACCCAAAACTTGAAACAGCTGAGATGTCTTTTAACAGATAAATGGTTAAACAAAATGTGGTACATCCATTCCATGGAATACAACTCAGCAATGAAAAGGAATGAACTATAGATACATGCAGCAACCTCGGTGAATGTCCAGAGAATTATTCTAAGTGAAAAAAGCCAATCCCAAATGGTTACTGACTGTATGATTCTATTTGCATAACATTCTTGAAATGACAAAATAATGGAAATATAGAACAGATTAATTTGGGAGGCTAAGGCAGGAGGATAACATCAGCCCAGGAGTTTGAGGCCAGCCTGGGCAACATAGTGAGACCCTGTCTCTAAAAACAAAAACAAACAAACAAACAAAAACCCTCAAAACAAACCAGGCAGCCAGGCATGATGGCGGTGCATGCCTGTAGACCCAGCTACTTGGGAGGCTGAGGTGGGAGGATTGCTTGATCATTGGAGGTTAAGGCTGCAGTGAGCCGGATTATACCACTGCATTCCAGCCTGGGCCACAGAGCAAGACTGTCTCAAAATAAACAAAACAACAACAACAAAAAGACAGAAACAAACCAAAAGAAAAACAGATTAGTGGTTGCCAAGGGTTTTAGGGGACATGTAGGAGGTGGAGGGAGAGAGCAGGTGTAGGTATAGTTATGAAAGGGCAACAGGAGAGATCCTTGTGGGGATGCGACACTTCTGTATCTTGACTGGTATGGTGGGTATATACACTTACATAATGTGATAACCCTGCACAGAACTAAACACACAACGAGTACAGGTAAAACTGGAGAAATATGAATAACACGAGTGGATTGTATCTGTGTCAGTAACCTGGTTGTGATGTTGTACTATAGTTTTCTAAGAAGTTACTGTTGAAGGAAATTGCGTAAAGATTACATAGGATCTCTCTATCTTTCTTTTCCTCTCTCTCTCTTTTTTTTTTCCTTTTTGTGGAGAGTGAGGTCTCACTATGTTGCCCAGGCTGGTCTCGAACTCCTGGGCTCAAGCTGCCCTCCCACCTCTGCCTCCCTAAGTGCTGGGATTACAGGCATGAGCCACCATGCCTGACTGTGTATTATTTCTTAAAACTACCTGTGAATCTACAGTTGTCTCAAAATGAGAAGCTTAATTTAAAAAAGAACTAAAATTTTAATGACTATTTTATTCATCCGTGTATCTACTCTGTGGAACAAGGTTGGGTAAACAGTAGGTCCTCAATAAATATTCATTTATTGATTGAATGAAGGAAGAGTATGTCAGTGAATGAGACCGTGATCTGCACATATACAATGAACTCTCATTTGGATCTCAAAAGGAGGATCCAGTCATTACTTACAGCTTAACTAGACTATTTGGGAAACTAAGCCTAGCATACCTCTTACCCTATAAACGCTACCTAATCATATGCTTGCTTTTGCAGTCGCTTGGGGCTTAGCTTGAGTCTCTCATGTTATGCTCCGCTAAATCCTAGAAGTGGGGGATAAACTACAACGGATTTATGATAAGTTAGTTTCAAATATACATAGCCTCCATAGATGACTTCAGAGACTTCATTCACACAAATAGCTAAGAATAGGGAGGAAAAAGTTAGCAGTTCATCCAAGATCCAGTTTCTTATTTTCTTATTTCTTACTTACACTATTGATTGCTAGCCCAGTTTTTTCCAATGCTCCATTATTTGCTTTGATGCATCTTTCTAGTTGCATTTTACATGCAAGTATGTTAAAGTGTTGTGAGAGATTGTGATTTAAAGAGCTATCAGGAAAAATAGATTTGAAAAGACAATGGAGCTTGCAGAGAAAGAATGAGGAGTTAATATTTATTTATTTAGAGTCGGAGTCTCGCTCTGTCGCTTAGGCAGGAGTACAATGGCGTGTTCTTGGCTCACTGCAACCTCCGCCTCCTGGGTTCCAGCAATTCTCCTTCCTTAGCCGCCAGAGTAGCTGGGATTACAGATGCCCACCACCACGCCCAGCTAATTTTTGTATTTTTAGTAGAGACGGGGCTTCACCAGGTTGGCCAGGCTGGTCTCTTTGGCCAGGCTGATCTCGAACTCCTGACCTCATAATCTGCCTGCCTCAGCCTCTCAAAGTGCTCGGATTACAGGTGTGAGCCACTGTGCCTGGCCCGGAGTTAATATTTATTAAATGTTTATGTACTCTGCTCTTCATACACATTTCATATTTAATCCACATTCATTCTTTAGGAGAAGTGCATTTATTCTTATTTTAATGATGAGAAAACTGAGGCTTAGAGACGTTAAATAATTGTCCACTATACTGCAACTAGCAAATGGCAGAGCCAGAGTTAGTGCCTGATTCAGCTGACTCCAAATCTCCAAATCCTAAGTTCTTTTTTTCAAATTATGTTTATAGATTTAGGGGGTACAAGTGCAGTTTTGTTACCTGGGTATATTGCGTAGGGGTGAAGTCTGGGCTTTTAGCATAACCATCACCTGAATAGTGAACATTGTACGGGTAATTTTCCACCCTCATCCCTTTCCACCCTCCCCGCTTTTGGAGTCTCCAGTATCTATTTTTCCCCTCTGTATGTCCATGTGTACCCATTGTTTAACTCCCACTTATAAGCGAGAATGCGAGCCTATGTTCTGAACCACAATGCTAAACTGGAAATTAAAATTCTGGGTCAGATAAAAAGAGAGAATCACATTCCTATGCCAGTCCTCAGCAGCATGCAGTAATGCAGTACACTTTTGTAACAAAACTGCACATGTACACTCAGAACCTACAATAAAAGTTGGCAAAAAAGAGATAGACTCAAAATAGAATCTTGTGTTCTTGAAGAATGATGGGAGATAGGAAACAATGATTAATAGTTATTTTTTCCAGTGTTAAATTCTAGAATCATTTTTACTTTTTAGGGTTTTTTGTTTTTTCCCCCTGACACGGAGTCTCTCTCTATGTTGCCCAGGCTGGAGTGCCGTGGCGCCCTCAGCTCACTGCAGCCTCCGCCTGCCAGGTTCTAGTGCTTCTCCTGCCTCAGCCTCTCAAGTAGCTGGGATTACAGGCACGTGCCATTGCACTCAGCTAATTTTTGTATTTTTAATAGAGATGGGGTTTCACCATGTTGGCCAGGCTAGTCTCAAACTCCTGACCTCAGGTGATCTGCCTGCCTCAGCCTCCCAAAGTGCTGTGATTACAGGCATGAGCCACTGAGCCCGATCTACTTTTTATGTTTATATTTGCTGTATACAAAAAGATGCGCACATATATATCTTTTTGTATATCATATTGACTTTATATGGTATAATAAAATGAACCCTTAGGAACTCCCCACAGATTTTAACTTATACATTACCCATGCTGTTGGAGTAATGTGTGTGTTTTCCCCAGATCTCAGCCCCATGTTTCCTCATTCACACACTCCTATCCCCTCAGGATAACCACTTTCTTGAATTTCATGATAAGCATCCTATTGCTGCTTCTTTTGTTTAAATGTCTTTATTGAGGTATGTTTGATATATAATCAACTGTACATGTGTAAACTGTACAGTTCGGTAAGTTTATACGCAAGTATGCACCAGTGAAAACATCACCACAGTCAAGGTTATTCACCACCCTTCACATTTCCTCATGCTGCTTCATAATAATCTCCACCCTTACACCCACCCAGAGCAACTGCTAATCTGCTTTCAGTCAGTATAGACCAGTATTTAGAATTTTTCTAGGATTTATATAAATGGAGCATACAGTATGTACTCCTTCTCCTCCTCCTCTTCTTCTTTGATCTGGGTTCTTTAACTCAGCCTAATTAACATATTGCTACATATATCAATAGTTTATTTCATTTTATTGATAAGTAGCATTCTGTTGTTTGGCTGTGTCACAGTTTAGTTATCCATTCATCTGTTACTGAAATATTTCAGTTGTTTTCCAGTTTGTGGCTATAATAAAGTTGCTATGCACATTTATGTACAAGTCTTTCTGTTGACGTATGCTTTCAATTTCTCTATGAGTAGAATGGCGGTGTCATATGGTAGGTGTATGTTTAACTTAAGAAACTGTCAGACTGTTTTCCAAAGTGTACCATTTTACATTCCCACTAGCAGTGTCTGAGAGTTCTAGTTGCTTCACGTCCTGACCAACACTCAGTATGGTTAGTTTTTATATAGCACATCTATTATGTGTGCAGTGGTATTTCATTATGGTTTTAGTTTGCATTTCCATTATTGAATTTTGAGAGTTCTTTATATATTCTAGATACAAGTCCTTTATCAGATACATGATTTGCAAATATATTCTCCCATTCTATGGCTTGCCTTTTCGTTTTCATAAAAGTGTATGTGTGTATGTATATACGTGTGTGTGTGTGTGTATACTTTTCATAAAATATATATATTTTTTGAGGCAGGGTTTCATTCTGTAACCCAGGCTGGAGTGCAGTGGTGTGATCACAGCTCACTGTAGCTTCAACCTCCTGGGCTCAGGTGATTCTCATGCCTTAGCCTCCTGAGTAGCTGGGACTACAGGCATGCACCACCACACCTGGCTAATTTGTTTGTTTGTTTTGAGACAGAGTCTGGCTCTGTTGCCCAGGCTGGAGTGCAGTGACATGATCTCGGCTTGCTGCAACCTCCGCCTCCCTGGTTCAAGCGATTCTCCTGAGTAGCTGGGATTACAGGCGCATGCCACCACACCTGGCTAATTTTTGTATTTTTAGTAGAGACGGGGTTTCACCATGTTGGCCAGATTGGTCTTGAACTCCTGACCTCAGGTGATCCCCTCACTTTAGCCTCCCAAAGTGCTGGGATTACAGGTGTGAGCCACTGTGCCCAGCTACCTGGCTAATTTTTAAATTTTGTGTAGAGACAGGGTCTCCCTGTGTTGCCCAGGCAGGTCTCAAACTCCTGGCTGAGATCCTCCTGCCTCAGTCTCCCAAAGTGCTGGGATTACAGGTGTGAGCCACCATGACTGGCCAGGAAGTGTCTTTCGAAGAGCAGAGGGTCTTAATTTTGATGAAGTTTCATTTATCTTTTTAAAAAAAATTCATTGTATGTTCTTCTAGTGAATATTTTTTGTTGTTGCTGTTAATGGATTATGTTCCTTGGGGTTATATCTAAGAAATCTTGACCTAAGTTCATAAAGATTTTCCCCTGTTTTCTTCCAGAAGTTTCATAGTTTTAAGTGTTACATTTAGGTTTATGATCATTTATTTTATTTGACTTTTTTGAGACAGAGTCTCACTCTGCACCCAGGCTGGAGTGTAGTGGTGTAATCTCGGCTCACTGCAACCTCCACCTTCTGAGTTCAAGCAATTCTTCTGCCTTAGCCTCTCAAGTAGTGGGGATTATAGGTGTGTGCCACCACACCCAGCTAATTTTTGTATTTTTAGTAGAGATGAGGTTTCACCATGTTGGCCAGGCTGGTCTCGAACTCCTGGCCTCAAGTGATCTGCCTGCCTCGGCCTCCCAAAGTGCTGGGATTACAGGCGTGAGCCACCACGGCCGGCCTAGGTGTATGATCATTTGAGTTAATTTTTGTTTGTGATACGAGTTACAGATCAAAGTTCTTTTCTTTTCTTGCACACAGCCTCCACACAGTTGTTCCAGGGCGATTTGTGTTTACAAGTATTTGTATTATACTTGTACAATATTGACATGGGTTCATGTTTCTTTTGGATAAATACCTAGGAGTAGAATGGCAGCATCATGTGGTTGTGGGTCTAGAGCAGGACTCCATATTCTGTTCTGTGAATCTGTGTTTCTTGATGCCAATACTGTACTGTGTTGATAACTGTAGCTTTGTAAGTCTTGAAGTCTGAGTGTTCCAACTTTGTTCTTATTTGAAGTTGTTTTGGTTATTTTAGGTTCTTTGCATTATAAAGTGGATTTTAGAAATATCATAGCAGCTTGCACACAAAAATCTGCTGAGATTTTGATTGGGATTGCAATGGATTTATAGATCACTTTGGGGAGAGTTAACATTGTAACAGTACTGCGTCTTCTAAATCATGAACATGGTATATCTCTCTATTTATTCTTTAATATCTCTTAATGTTTTGGAGCTTCAGTTTGTAGATCTTACAAATCTTTTGTCAGATTTATCCCTAAATATTTCATATTTTAATGTAATTATAAATGGTATTTTAAAAAGTTTTAAATTTCCAGTTGCTTATTGCTAGTATATGGAAATGCTGTTTTTTTTTGTTTTTGTTTTTGTTTTTGGTATACTGTATTATTACTTTCATTAACATTCCATTTACTAGAACTCAATCATATGGCCACCCCTACTGCAAGTTTGGCTGGGCAATGTTACCACCTAGTTATCTTTTCACCTTTATATGAGGCAAATTATTGTGGCAGAGTGGGTAGACTCACTGGTGGAAGATAATAAAAAATATAATAGAAGCAAGACTATTCAAGCATTTGCAATTCAATAAAGGTGACCTTTTCAAAATGCTGGGATTAACTTGGAGTTGTAATTTAAAACAAAATCTTAGCAGCTATGCAGACATGTTAAGTTTAAGATACATATCAGGTTGGAGAGAGGCTTGGGTTAGAAATACAGATTTGGGAATAATTTGCATATTAGACGGTGTTTAATGTAGGAAATGGAATGAAATCACCAAAAGACAGAGTATAGCTAGAGAAGTCCATAGACTGAGCCCTGGGTACCTCCAGGTTCAGGAACTTAGCAGATGAGAACAAAGGAGCCTGAGACAAAGTCGCCTGTGAGTTGGAAGAAAAATCAGTGTGAGAAGTCAAGTTGAGAAAATTCTTCAAGAAGGAGGAGGTGACGCCTGTGCCAATAAGGTGCACATAAGATGAGAACTGAGAATTGATCATTTAGTTTAAAATGTGGAAGTCATGGGGGACCCTGACAAGAGCAGTTTCTGGGAGTCAGGCAGATAAAAGCCTGATTTAAAGGGATTTCAGAGAAATGGAAGGAAAAGAATTGGAAACAGCAAGTACAGATAACTTTTAAGGAGTTTTGCGCCAAAGAGAAGCAGACAAACAAGGTGGTAGCTGGAGAGGGTTGTGTGTGATCAAGAGAGGATTTTGGCCAAGTGTGGTGGCTCACACCTGTAATCCCACCACTTTGGGAGGCTGAGCCAGGAGGATCACTTGAGCATAGGAGCTCAAGACCAGCCTGAGCAACATAGTGAGACCTTGTCTCTACAAAAAAAAAAAAAAAAAAAAAAAAAATTAGCTTGATGACATTCACCTGTAGTCCCATCTACCTGGGAGGGTGAGGTGGGAATATCTCCTGAGCCCCTGTGATCCAGTCTGCAGTGAACTATGATCATGGCACTGCACTCCAGCCCAGGCCACAGAGCAAGACCCTGTCTCAAAAAAAAAAAAAAAAATTTTGTTAAGATTAAAGAAATTACAAAATATGTGTATGCAGATAGGAATGCTATATATAGTAAAGAGAGAATAAGTGATGCAAAAGAGAGAGGGGAGAATTGTTGGACCTGTATCTTTGAATAGTAAGAGGGGAGGAATCTAGTCTCAACTGCTGGGGCCTTGTGAGAATGGATGGCTTATCCATCATAGCAGAAGGGAAGGCAGGGGAACATGGGCACGGTTGCAGGTTGATGGGGTGATCATGGCAGGCGATTCAGTTCTCATTTTATTGCTTCTGTTTTCTGAGTGTAATAGAAAGCAGGACCATCTGCTGCAGGTGAGGGTGGGGAAAAGGGATGAAATAGTCATCTAGGATGAATGACCAGAGAGAAATGTGTTACTATTGACTGACAACACTAAAGGCTCTCTTGAGGTTGGTAGTCATGAACTTAGAGTGAAATAGCTTAGTTTTTGTTTTTCTCTACCCACGTTCACCTGCATAAGTACAGCAGGCCCAGAGTAGGCAGTGTTGATTTATCCAGGGTTAGGTTTTGTCAGGCAACTTTGAGGAAGTGGGAGAGGGTAAAGGAGTGAATTGAAGCTGGCTTAAGAGGAAAGTGAGAACATGGGGTGATGAGGGACAGGGAAAGGGTGGTAGAGTCAGCTCCAGATTGAAGAATTGTAAGGGTTGGGGGATGAGAGGGAATGAACTAAATAGTGAACTAATAATAGGTGGTGGTTCTAGGTGGGATTCTTGATTTGGGCTTAGAAGGGGGTTTCAGTCATGACCAAGTGAAAGCTGAGAGTGGAGGAGAGGAGGTCAAAGAACAAGAAGGCCAGGGTATCAGAAGGGTTATCTATGTGGATATTGAATTCGTGCTCAGAACCTGAAGACCTTTTCTGTTATTTTCTAATGTCCTTTGTTGCTGTTGGACTATCTGATAAGGTTTAGGTTTATTTCTTCGTCAGAGTTTTATATCTGTTCTTTCATGCTTTCTGTTTCTTAATCCATAGTGCTCTTTAAAATTTCTTTGGTATTATCTTTCATTCCTTCTATTGCATTTCTAATTTTAGGAATTATATTTCTATTTTCTGAGAGTTCTTTCTTCTGACTAATTTTTTATGGCATTATTTTCTAGAAAAAAATTCTAGGTTTTGATAATTGCTTGCTTTGTTATAATAATATAATAAATTTTAGTTTTTGATAATTGCATGCTTTGTGTAGTTTATGCATCAGAAAATAGTTCATATCGGCGCTCAGGTATTAACATTTTTACATAGAATTTTTTTAGATGAGGAAGTATATTGTGTTATGTAGTTAACTTTTAAATATCTTTTCACTTTAGGTCTCAAAAAATAAAGATGGAAAAGAACAAAGTGAAACTGTATCACTGTCTGAAGATGAAACATTCTCCTGGCCAGGTCCCAAAACAGTTACGTTGAAAAGAACATCTCAAGGCTTTGGTTTTACATTAAGACATTTTATTGTTTATCCCCCAGAGTCTGCAATTCAATTTTCATATAAGGTAAGAGAAATAGTTACCGCAACTTGAAAAAAAAACCACAAGGCCATTCCTATCCCCTTCTAGTCTTCCTCTTACCCTTCCCTATGGCCTTTTTTCTGTCTTAAAAGAATCAAGCATTACATTTGAATTTTTATTATATTATTTTTCTCCTTTTAGGTATTTTCCCACCTTCAAGAACAAAACAGAAACTTTAGTCTTCTCTGAAAGATCATAGTGATTCTAAACTCCAAATCTGCATTTTTTAAGGACTTCTAATTCCAGATTTCTTTCTACTTTTTCTAATATGTAACTGTTTATTATCTAGAAAGGTAGTGAGTTTTCTGGGCAGACTATGCAAAGGAAATGGTTCACTGAAATATTCTAGCAGTTATAGAAAATTAGTAGAATTAGAACAATACTTAACTTTCAGATATGTAATATGATGGCATGTTAGAATTGAAAAACACAGCTTCTCATCAGAATGAATTACATCGACAGGCTTCAGTGGACAGTAACACAGCCTGAAAAGGACAGCCTGAGATAATTATAAGTGCAGTTGACACACTGGGTACTTGCTCTGTGTTCCTTACCATTCGTTATGAGCGTTATCTTACTTTATCCACGCCAGAATCCTGTGGAGCAGGTGGTATTATTAGCCCCATATAACAGATGTGGAAACTGATCTGGGTCATAAAACAGATAAGTAGTTGATCTAGGATTTGAATTTGACCAATATACATGCTTGATGCTGAACTATTACACAATAGTATAATGGAAATGATGATATTCAGAAGAGTTACGAGACCCTGGCCAGGCCACTTCTTTTGACCTCTAGATTTCCATTTTCATTTGTAGGAATTGAACTAGAGTATTACAAAGTCTTTTCTAATTCTAAATATCTATGAATCCAAAACTGTCTTTTAAAAAGTAGTGTCCGTATTTTTATCTAGAGACCACAGTTTTAAATTATTTTTTGTTAAATATGTCTTTCTAGTAATGTCCTACAGGGTATGCTTTTTTGAAGTACTGAATAGCTCTTTTTTTTCCTTTTCTTTTTTAAAATTTTTTATATTTGGTTACTTTAACACTGAGATAACAGGAAACAACTGAATATCTTTTAAGGATTGTAAATAATTGCTACCTTTAGAATGAAATTTATCTGTTTGGGTTTTCTCAAATGTGTATAAAACAACTGGACTAGATCTCTTAAGAATCTAGCTGATATTAAAAAGTCTCAAATAGTGTTACTTACGCATTAGGTCACATATGAGAGCACTTGATAATTACATTAGGATTGTGTATTTTTTGTCTTTTTGTTTTTGTTTTGTTTTGAATAAGAGCTTTGGGTCATGATGAACATATAGGTAGTACAATTTTTTTATAAGATAATTTTACCAAACTTATATAAACATGTATTATTATTATTGGAAAATATTTCTAGAAATTTTAGTAGCACAGTACAATAAACCCTCACTTAACATTGTCAGTAGATTTTTGGAAACTGCAACTTTATGTGAAACGTATTTAAGTGATAACTGATCTTATGTTGGCTAGAGTTTACTTGGCATATTTCTGGTCAAAAAAAAAAAATCACCAAACTTGTAAATAAAGACCAAAACACTTCCAGTATTAAACATTGAAGTAAATGTGCGGTGTTTATACACTTAAGAAAGCGTTATAAAAAGTCCAGAGTTGAGGGTGGCTGGAGCCTATCCCGGCAGCTCATGCAGCTCAGGGCATGAGGTGGGGCCTAACCCTGGACAGGATGCTGTCCATCCCATTGCAGAGCACACACACAGCCACGCTTGTTCAGACTGGGACAATGTGGGCACACCTGTGAATCGAACAGGCACAGTTTTGGCATGTGGGAAGGAACCATAGGACCTGGAGAGAACTCACACAGACGTAGGGAGAATGTGCAAACTTCACACAGACAGGGCCCCAGTGGGGAATTAATTTTTCTCGTGAATGTTACACCAAAACAACTTTGAATGAAATGATGCTATTCCAGGACATGCTTACGCTTGTTAACAGCATGGTCATTGGCATCAAAAGAGCCTGGGTTTGAGTTCCATTTCTGCCTCCTGTTAGATCTGTGACCTTGGATAAGTCGACTAACACAATAGTAGTACCTTCCTCACAGGCTGTGTGATGATTAAATGATACAATACTTGTAACACACTTAACATAGAAATTGACACTGTAATTGCTCAATAAATTTTAGCTATTAATGCTATTATTTAATACAGATGTTCTTGTAAATAGGGCTCTGTCTTGTAAATTTTACATGGAAAATATATATTGGAATCTTTTCCATTTTAATTATGAAATTTTATAAATTCACTTCAAACGAATTAAAAATTTTAATATTGTATAGCTTTTAGAAAATGTGTAATTAATATAACAGTGTCCTTATTTTGTCACTTAACTGGCAACCTCAGTCTCAGACTAGATCTTATAATCAGAAGAAGAAAAAAAAAAAACATTGGGCAGCCAAAATAAAGGTCAAAAAATTATGTAATAAATTATCAGCCCTTCACCGAACGTCTGTTTTTCTTTCTAAGGTACATGGTAGCTCCAGTATGGTAGAGGCTCAGCAAATATTTGAAAATGTATTTTTAGACTAGTTTTTAAAGGTTTCTTTTCTAATTTTCCAGCTAGAGGTAGATAACATGGCAGCAAGACAGCTTGGTAACAATGAAAGAGACCAAGTAGATAAACTTCAAAATTGAATACAAGAACTTAAATATGTAGCAATTTGGGACCAATCCATTTATATAGACAGCTCTGGGTCCTGTAATATCCCTTAAAGGCACATTTAAGTATAGTACAGTAAGTGATGACCTGACCTTTCCATCTGTCCAACTGCCTACTTGACAACTTCACTTGGATATCTCCATTAGAAATCTCGCACTCAAATGCCAAAAACTGAACTCCTGATGTCTTACCCCTAAATTGGCTTCACCCACAGCCTGCTTATCTCTATTTGTGAAAACTCTATCTTTCCAGTAAAAGGTACTTCCTATACTGTTATTGAAGATGGGCTATACGTTTGCTTTTGAGCTTGCCAGTGGCTATAGAAGAGAATGTGATCATTAAGAATATTGTTAGTGAGATTGTAATTGGCACAATCTGGGGAGGTCGATTTGAATTAAATTGAGCCTTGCTGTGATTAACAAGAGTTTATAAATATGTACTCATATATGTATATATATATTTTCATTTGTAGGATGAAGAAAATGGAAACAGAGGAGGTATGCTATAAACATTTTAATTTATCTCTGAATGTTTTTCTACCCATTTCTTTCTGTTCTTTAAGTGATACTAAATGAGATGATATAATTTTTGGTGTTCAAATATATAATAGTTCTTAGGTGTGAGAGTCATAGAATTAAATGTTTTTTACTGTGGACTTCAAAGTTTTATGAATTCCATTGTCTCATCTTAATTTGAACATGTAATGGTTTTGTTGTTAATTGTATGTGTTTTTGTGGAGGAATATATCATTATAATTCCAAGGAGAGCACTTAAGATTTTTATTTCAATTAGTAATCTTTCTAGATGAGGTGATTATTTTAGGTAAGAAATGCTGTGTGTTTTATCAATTGGGTTTATTGAGTCAAATATTGAAAAGAAGAGGGTTTGGGTTATTCTTGTAGTTAATGTTACTGTTGATTTAAACATTAATGAACGTAAAAGGACAATCAGGCTGGAGATAAAATTATTTCTTAATAACTGATTTTAAATCAACTTGAATGAGTTAAAATTCACACTCAACAAAATGCACCCATTAAAAACTTTTATTTCTAGATAATTTTAGACAACAAAGTTGCAAAAATAGTACAGAGAATTTTCATGTATCCTTTATTTTACTTTCCCTAGTGTTAAAAACTTACAATACCATGGCAGGGGCGGGCGCAGTCGCTCACGCCTGTAATCCCAGCACTTTGGGAGGCTGAGGCGGGTGGATCACAAGGTCAGGAGATCGAGACTATCCTGGCTAACACAGCGAAAATCCTGTCTTTACTAAAAATACAAAATATTAGCCGGGTGTGGTGGCGGGCGCCTGTAATCCCAGCTACTCAGGAGGCTGAGGCAGGAGAATGGCGTGAACCTGGGAGGCAGAGCTTGCAGTGAGCCGAGATCGCTCCACTGCACTCCAGCCTGGGGGACAGGGCGAGACTCCGTCTCAAAAAACAAAACAAAACAAAACAAACTTACAATACCATGGTACAATCAACAATACTAAGCAATTAGCATTGGTACAATACTACTATGTAAACTACAGACTTTATTTGGATGTCACCAGTTTTTCCGCTAGTATCCTTGTTCTCTTCCGGAATCCCACGTTGTATTCACTTGTTGTGTCCCTTTAGTCTTTCCTTGTATTTTATTACTAGTACTGATCAGTTATTTTTTAGAATGTCCTTCATTTTCAGTTTATCTGATGTTTTCTCCCTAGTTCAAGGTCATACGTGTTTAGCAAGAATACCACATTTGCATCTATTGTAAGTGTATAGTTTGGTAAGTTTTGATGACTGTATAACCCGTGAAATCACTATCCCAATTAAGATGTGATATCAAAACAACCTTTCCATCACTCCATAAAGTTCCCTTGTGCTCCTTTTTATTCTGCTGTCTTTAGACAATCACTGATCTGATTTTTATCACTGTATAGGTTAATTTTTGCCTCTTCTAGATTTTTTTTATAAATGAAATAATACAGCATGTACTCTTTTGTCAGGCATAATATTTTTGACCTTCACTGTATTATATGTATGGGTACTGATAGTACTACTGTTTTTTCGTTTGTATGAATATACCACAAATTGTTTAACCACTCAACCTGTTGATGGAGCTTTGTAATAACCATTTGAGGTCTTGAAAAGGTTATGAGTTAAAATGAGAAGGAAATGGCCTTTTTTTTTTTTGCACTATCAAAAGTAATCTGAAGGTGTAAGGCCAGGCAGGACTCTTCATAGTTGTCACTGGTACAAGATGAGCCACTCCTGCATTACCATCTGTCATGCACCAGGGTTAGGATGAATTCCAAATGCTACTTGGCATGGGTTAGAAATAAGCCTTAGTGGGGAAAGGGAAAACTCACGAAGCTGGCATCAGCAAGAGAAAGGAGGATGTAGGTACTCCATCTTCCCATCATCCTAAAGGCTGATGTGCTGATACCTGGACAACCTACTGGACACACAGCATCTAGAATTCATGCTTCTTATGGGGGGGAATATATTTCTAATAAATATAGAAAGACATTGTTATAAAACTTCATGCAGATCATTATGTGTCTGACGTAGTTCGCTGAAGAGAATGGATTTAGTTTTGTGCTTTGGCTAGGGAGAATAAACTTGAATATTTATAAGGGAAAACTAGAAGATCTATTATAGATTCAGCAGAAGGAGATTTGAAGAGGAATAATAGAGTGAGCCTAAAGGGTATAATCTGCTGGAGAAGATAACAGTTTGCCTATTTTAATTATTAATTTATGCTTAATTTCACTCAAGGGTTTATGGCCACATGAAGAAACACCTTATTTATAGCAAGATAAAATATAAGGTCAATTATGGTAAAAAATTAATTAAATTGACATTCAGAAGATTTAGTACACATAAATTCACGGTTTAGGATCTATACTGTTATTATTATTATTATTATTATTATTTTTTTTTTTTGAGACGGAATCTCACTCTGTTGACAGGCTGAAGTGCAGTGGCATGATCTCGGCTCAATGCCACCTCCTCCTCCTGGGTTCAAGCGATTCTCCTGCCTCACCCACCATCAGTAGCTGGGACTAAAAGCGCACGCCACCACGCCCAGCTAATTTTTGTATTTTTAGTAGAAACGGGGTTTCACCATGTTGGCCAGGATGGTCTCTGTCTCTTGACCTCATGATCCGCCTGCCTCGGCCTCCCAAAATGCTGGGATTACAGGCATGAGCCACTGCACCTGGCCGGTCCTATACTGTTATTGACGGTGGGCTGTAAGTTTGCTTTTGAGCTTGCCAGTGGCCATAGAAAAGATGAGAATATGATCAGTTAAGGATACACATTATTCTAAGAAAACAACATTTTGCACTGAGGTCTGAGACGGGTTTCTCCCTTGGAAAACAAAGAGCGATATAGTAGATGATATTTTCAACACCACTTCTTCCTATGGCTGTTTTTAAAGTGGTTCCTTAATGTAAGCTGACTGCAAACCCCAAGGTCTCATTCAGCTTAAAGCGCTTCTCAGCTGGGGATGATATTGCTCCCTGGAGGTATATGGTAATGTACCCTCTTTATACACATCTTTATCACAGTTGGGAGAGGGGGAGTATATATTGGCATCTGGTGGATAGAGGCCAGAGGTGCTGTTGAAACAGTGCACAGGGCAGCCCCCCCACAACAAAGAATTATCTGGGTTGGGCACAGTGGCTCACGCCTGTAACCCCAGCACTTTGGAAGGCTGAGGCGGGCAGATCACTTGAGGTCAGGAGTTTGAGACCAGCCTGGCCAACATGGTGAAACCTCTTCTCTACTAAAAATAAAAAAATTAGCCAGGGGTGGGGATGCACGCTTCTAATCCCAGCTACTCAGGAGGCTGAAGCAGGAGAATCGCTTGAACCTGGGAGGCGGAGGTTGCAGTGAGCCAAGATTGCACCACTGCACTCCAACATGGATGACAGAGCAAGACTCTGTCTCAAAATAATAATAATAGTTATTACCATTACCTGGTCCCGAATATTAATAGTGCAAGGACAAGAAATCCTGGTTTAAAGTGATGGGCACCAAAGCATTGTGGTCCAAGTGTATAGGCCATGAGTCTGGCTTGATCCAGTGACAACATTCAAACCGTTTAGAAGAATGGATATTCAAGGCTGCATATCCGGTGATCTTTTATGATTATTATCCCTTACAACTGAACTTGAGATCTGAATTGAGTTACTGCTATAGTTTGAGGTTAAATTATCTGGTTGCTTTACTGGCATTGTGCGTTGTTGATTAAGGGATAATCCTAAGTAAGAAAAGTTACATTGTAAGAAAATATAGAGTCAATATAATAACTAGAAGATAAGATGGCTAAAAGAAAAAGTCCATAAAGGATGTAAATACAGTCATCCCTTGATATACCCAGGGGATTGCTTCCAGGACCGCCCACATATATGCTAATCTGCACACATTCATGTCCTGTAATAGACCCTGTGGAACCCATGTATTGGAAACACAGCTTTTGCATCCTTGTGTTACTATGAATACCATATTTTTACTGAAAAAAAAAAAAAATCCGCATATCTGCAGAGTTCAAACCCATTGTTCAAGGGACAACTGTAATTGAAATGTAGTAAAAGTTTACCATCAGGGGTCTAACAGGTTGAGGGAGAAAATAATTATAAGTGAGGTTAACAAAAAGGTAAATCAATAAGTTAGTTAAAAGACTAATAAGATAATTTTAAAAATCAGAAAACTAAGGCTTTAAAATGAGAGAAATAGAAATTCAAGTACCTTACCTCTTCTGATCAAAGTTCAACAAGGTTGGATATGTATTAAGTCCAGAAGATCTGTAGTTTTCTTCCTAAGCAAAGAAGAATATGGAAAGGTATGAGAGTATTTGGAGAAAGTGATTTATAATACAATTGTAATATATTTGGAAGAACTGCTTGATTTTGGGGAGTGGGTTGGGAGAGTGGTGGAAATTAGCGCATGACTGAGAACTTAATCTATTTCAGGCATCATAATACATATTTTTATCGTCTTTAATCCTCACTCTAACCCTGTAAGGTATGAGATAATATTCTTATTTTGTAGATGAGGGAACTGAGGCTGAGAAATAGCTTGCCCACAGTCACACTGCTAGTAAGTGGTAGTAACTGGATTTCCAAATCAGTTGTGTCTAACTCTTAGGTCCATCTTATAATTCTGCCCTCTTACTTCTGTTAACATCTTTTTAAGTCCCTTCCTCATTTCTTTAATTTTATTTTAAAAATAATGTCTTAAAAAAAAGGGTATGACTTATGTAGTGTTAAGAATTAGAAGATAAATATAGGGTATGTTTAGTATGTTATGAAATTAATTCTGTGAATCCTGCATGGAGAAAGGTCAAGGAGATCCCAGGTTTAGAGGCTGTGAACACTTTGCAGGAGCAACCATCACTTGTTACTCAGTTTCAGTACTTGGCTAGCAGTGGACCTGCAAAGCTTAATGAGGTTATGGAGTCCTAGTGCTCCACCTACCTTGATCGCACCTTTGCTTTCCAAGTGTGAGTTTGCTGTTGGCATCCCAGTTGATCGTTGGGGTCTCAGGCTATTTCACAAAGGCCTGTTTAGCCCTAAGTATGATAGTCATGATACCATTGCAAATAACCTGATCAACAATTACACCATATTGTATGTGAAAAAAATTTCTTCTAACTTCTAGACAATTATTTACAAGTCAGTTTTTAGAATGCAACCTATTCAGAAACAAACTATGTATAATTTAGTATTTTAATTCAACAGAATGTTATGATTTTTATCTTACTGTCTCATTTCCTTTGATAACTTATTTTCAAGCATATTGAGATCATGAAATCCTTCTTATGTAGAATTTTGTGTTAGTTTAATGGAATCGGAGCCTCCAGTGTAATGATCAGAGTCAAAGCCTAGAATCACTGGAGAGAAAATAATTGCCAGGATTTTATTCAAACTCCTAAGAGATGCTGTTAAAATGCCAAAATTCTGTTAAACAGTTGAATGATTTTGTTTTGGTCTTCTTTCCTTTTGGCAGTTTAGTGAAATCTCTTTTGCCACTTAATTTTCTTTTTTCTTTCTTATCAACCAAGAAATACCGAGCCATTTAATTTTCTGATTATTTTACTTACCCAGTGTTTGCATTTTGCTTTGTTTCTCATATCCTTTATGTATGCACTCTTTTATATTTTAAAAGTATTTTTTCTTCTTGTTGGTTAGTTTTCTGTACTATGATGCAGATTTTTTATAAGAAAAAGGTTAAGTAAAATAATATTTTTGGTGGTAATAGTTGCTTGTAGATAATTAATACCTTGCTGACATCCTGTATTCCCTTAAATCTCTGGAGAATATAAATAATAATTTATAATATAAATATATAACAATATAGTATAACATGTTCTAATGTAATATAATTATAAATAATATTTTAAAGAATTTATGAATATAAATAATCAAAATAAGAATAGTGGGATGGTAGCAGCCAGCTTCAGTGAGTCTTTCGGCAGCTGGGACTGGTCAGATGGCCTTGAGAGAAGGGTGGTCTCGGGATGCCATCCAAAGTTGATGACAGTGGTTGGAGCCCTGGCTCAGCATAGGGGCCTGAGCAGAACATCCGATATTTAGCTTCCTGTGGTATACTGATGAGCAGAGCTCTTCCGCTACATATGTCAATTTTGATTAAGGAGATATGTGCAATAACTTTCTTCACAATCGCTGCACCATTAATAAAAGGAAATATTCAGAGAGGAGGATTTTAGGCTATTTAATGCAGGAAATGTATGATGTTGTATTGGGAATGGAGGATTATAAGCATTTCATTCTTTGGTGCAAAAAATCAGATATAATATCAGAGAGATCTGGATATTACAAAACATAATTAGAAATTGAGTTTCCACCAGTGTTGGAGTGATATTCAGCAGTAACCTTGGTGAAACCTCATTTGGTAAAGGTATCCTGTACTGATGGGAGACTTTTCAAGCATGGTCCATGATCGAAGGCTTTGGGTGGGGTATCAGAAGCATGTTTAGAATTGCTTTCAAAATGTAGCAGCGTTACATGGATCTCTTTTCTGAAGTCTTTGGGAGGGAACATTCACTGAACCCTTCAGCATCTTTTTTTTTTTTTTTTTTTTTTTTAAGAGAGAGAGGGTGTTGCTCTGTGCCCAGGCTGGAGTGTAGTGGCATGATGATAGCTCACTGCAGCCTCAAATTCATGAGCTCAAGTGATCCTCCTGCCTCAGCTTCCTAAGTAGCTGGGACTACAGTTGTGCCCCACTGCCTCCCAGAGTCATTTTTAACTATACTGACCATTTAAACTATTTGAGTTTCTCTGATAGTTAGGGAAACATACTAATTAGGTATGTTTTTTATGAACTTTTAATGCTGGTTATTAGTACAATCACAGGTGTCTTAAATATTCTTGAGGATATTTTAGGAAGTAGGAAGAATAATGATGATGATGAAGATGATAATGATGATGGTAGTGGTGGTGGTGGCAGCTAATTTAACAGTGTACTGGCTGCATTCTAAGACTTTGCATGGATTAACTCATTTAACCTTCTCAACAGCTTCTAAGGTGGGTGTTATTATCACCGCCATATTTCAGATGATGAAACTAAGGTGCAGAGTGTTTAAGTTACTAGCAGGTGGCAGAACTGGACTACAACTCAGGCAGTCTCTAAGTTTCTACCACAGCCTCTCAATAAAGTTCTTTACTCTTGGATGGGTATAGTGGCCCATGCCTGTAATCCCAGCACTTTGGGAGGCCAAGGCAGGAGAACAGCTTGAGGCCAGGAGGTTGAGAACAGCCTGGGTAACATAGCAAGATCTCTATCTACAAAACAAAAAAAAGAAAGTTCTTTACTCTCACATAATTCATTCTTGAAAATACGTAAGAAAGAGGATTCTGGGCCGGGCGCAGTGGCTTACGCCTGTAATTCCAGCACTTTGGGAGGCCGAGGTGGGCAGATCACCTGAGGTTGGGAGTTCGAGACCAGCCTGACCAACATGGAGAAACCCTATCTCTACTAAAAATCCAAAATTAGCCGGGTGTGGTGGCACATGCCTGTAATCCCAGCTACTCGCAAGGCTGAGGCAGGAGAATCGCTTGAACCCGGGAGGCGGAGATTGCAGTGAGCCGAGATCCGCCATCACACTCCATCTTGGGCAACAAGAGTGAAATTCCATCTCAAAAAAAAGAAAGAGGATTCTGTTCCTTTGAAAGGTAGATAACAATAAAAGATCCATTTGTATATCTTCTTTGGACAATAGTGCTGCTGTGAACATGCATGCACAGGTGTTTGTCTGAATTCTTGTTTTCAATTTTTGGAGGTTATACCTAGGAATAGAGTTGCTAGGTCACATGGTAATCCTATGTTTCATATTTTGAGGAACTGCCAAACCGTTTTCCACAGTGGCTATACCATTTCTATGTCTCCACCAGCAATGAATGAGGGTTCTAATTTCTGTACATCCTCTCCAACATGTGTTGTTTTCCATTTTTGTATTATAGCCAACCCAGTGGGTGTGAAGTGGTATCTCACTGTGGTTTTCACTTGTATTTCCTTAATGCCTAATGACTTTGGGCATCTTTTTGTGTGCTTGTCGCCATTTGTGTATGTTGTGTGGAGAAATTTCTGTTCAAATCCATTGCCTGTTTTTAAATTGGGTTGTTTTTTGTTGTTGAGGTATAAGTATTTTTTTTTAATACTTTAGGGTACATGTGCACAATGTGCAGGTTTTTTACATATGTATACATGTGCCATGTTGGTGTGCTGCACCCGTTAACTCGTCATTTACATTAGGTATATCTCCTAATGCTATGCCTCCTCTCTCCCCCCACCCCACAACAGGCCCCAGTGTGTGAAGTTTCCCACCCTGTGTACAGGTGTTCTCATTGTTCAATTCCCACCTATGAGTGAGAACATGCAGTGTTTGGTTTTCTATCCTTGCGATAGTTTGCTCAGATGATGGTTTCTAGCTTCATCGACGTCTCTACAAAGGACATGAACTCATCCTTTTTTATGGCTGCATAGTATTCCATGGTGTACATGTGCCACATTTTCTTAATCCAGTCTATCATTGATGGACAGTTGGGTTGGTTCCAAGTCTTTGCTATTGTGAATAGTGCCGCAATAAACATATGTGTGTGTGCATGTGTCTTTATAGCAGCATGATTTATAATCCTTTGAGTATATGCCCAGTAACGGGATGGCTGGATCAAATGGTATTTCTAGTTCTAGATCCTTAAGGAATCGCCACACTGTCTTCCACAATGGTTGAACTAGTTTACAATCCCACCAACAGTATAAAAGCTTTCCTGTTTCTCTACATCCTCTCCAGTACCTGTTGTTTCCTGACTTTTTAAAGATCGCCATTCTAACTGGTGTGAGATGGTATCTCATTGCGGTTTTAATTTGCATTTCTCTTGATGGTCAGTGATGATGAGCATTTTTTTTTTTTTAATTTATTTTTTTATTGATAATTCTTGGGTGTTTCTCACAGAGGGGGATTTGGCAGGGTCATGGGACAATAGTGGAGGGAAGGTCAGCAGATAAACAAGTGAACAAAGGTCTCTGGTTTTCCTAGGCAGAGGACCCTGCGGCCTTCCGCAGTGTTTGTGTCCCTGATTACTTGAGATTAGGGATTGGTGATGACTCTTAACGAGCATGCTGCCTTCAAGCATCTGTTTAACAAAGCACATCTTGCACCGCCCTTAATCCATTTAACCCTGAGTGGACACAGCACATGTTTCAGAGAGCACAGGGTTGGGGGCAAGGTCACAGATCAACAGGATCCCAAGGCAGAGGAATTTTTCTTAGTGTAGAACAAAATGAAAAGTCTCCCATGTCTACTTCTTTCTACACAGACACGGCAACCATCCGGTTTCTCAATCTTTTCCCCACCTTTCCCGCCTTTCTATTCCACAAAGCAGCCATTGTCATCCTGGCCCGTTCTCAATGAGCTGTTGGGCACACCTCCCAGACGGGGTGGTGGCCGGGCAGAGGGGCTCCTCACTTCCCAGTAGGGGCGGCCGGGCAGAGGCGCCCCTCACCTCCCGGACGGGGCGGCTGGCCGGGCGGGGGGCTGACCCCCCAACCTCCCTCCCGGACGGGGCGGCTGGCCGGGCAGAGGGGCTCCTCACTTCCCAGTAGGGGCGGCCGGGCAGAGGCACCCCTCACCTCCCGGACGGGGCGGCTGGCCGGGCGAGGGGGCTGACCCCCCCCCCACCTCCCTCCCGGACGGGGCGGCTGGCCGGCCGGGGGCTGACCCCCCCACCTCCCTCCCTGACGGGGCGGCTGGCCGGGCAGAGGGGCTCCTCACTTCCCAGTAGGGGTGGCCGGGCAGAGGCGCCCCTCACCTCCCGGACGGGGCGGCTGGCCGGGCAGGGGGGCTGACCCCCCCCACCTCCCTCCCGGACGGGGCGGCTGGCCGGGCGGGGGGCTGACACCCCCACCTCCCTCCCGGACGGGGCGGCTGGCCGGGCAGAGGGGCTCCTCACTTTCCAGTAGGGGCGGCCGGGCAGAGGCGCCCCTCACCTCCCGGACGGGGCGGCTGGCCGGGCAGGGGGGCTGACCCCCCCCCCACCTCCCTCCCGGACGGGGCGGCTGGCCGGGCGGGGGGCCGACCCCCCCACCTCCCTCCCGGACGGGGCGGCTGGCCGGGCGGGGGGCCGACCCCCCCACCTCCCTCCCGGACGGGGCGGCTGGCCGGGCGGGGGGCCGACCCCCCCACCTCCCTCCCGGACGGGGCGGCTGGCCGGGCGGGGGGCCGACCCCCCCACCTCCCTCCCGGACGGGGCGGCTGGCCGGGCGGGGGGCCGACCCCCCCACCTCCCTCCCGGACGGGGCGGCTGGCCGGGCAGAGGGGCTCCTCACTTCCCAGTAGGGGCGGCCGGGCAGAGGCGCCCCTCACCTCCCAGACGGGGCGGCTGGCTGGGCGGAGGGCTGACCCCCCCCACCTCCCTCCCGGACAGGGCGGCTGGCCGGGCGGGGGGCTGACCCCCCAACCTCCCTCCCGGACGGGGCGGCTGGCCGGGCAGAGGGGCTCCTCACTTCACAGTAGGGGTGGCCGGGCAGAGGCGCCCCTCACCTCCCAGACGGGGCGGCTGGCCGGGCGGAGGGCTGACCCCCCCACCTCCCTCCCGGACGGGGCGGCTGGCCGGGTGGGGGGGCTGACCCCCCCATCTCCCTCCCGGACGGGGTGGCTGGCCAGGCTGAGGGGCTCCTCACTTCCCAGTAGGGGCGGCCGGGCAGAGGTGCCTCTCACCTCCCGGACGGGGCGGCTGGCCGGGCGGGGGGATGACCCCCCCACCTCCCTCCCGGATGGGGCGGCTGGCCGGGCGGGGGGCTGACCCCCCCCACCTCCCTCCCGGACGGGGTGGCTGCCGGGCGGAGACACTCCTCACTTCCCAGATGGGGTGGCTGCCGGGCGGAGAGGCTCCTCACTTCTTAGACGGGGCAGCTGCCGGGCGGAGGGGCTCCTCACTTCTCAGACGGGGCAGCTGCCGGGCGGAGGGGCTCCTCACTTCTCAGACGGGGTGGTTGCCAGGCAGAGGGTCTCCTCACTTCTCAGACGGGGTGGCCGGGCAGAGACGCTCCTCACCTCCCAGACGGGGTCTCGGCCGGGCAGAGGCGCTCCTCACATCCCAGATGGGGTGGCGGGGCAGAGGCGCTCCCCACATCTCAGACGATGGGCGGCCGGGCAGAGACGCTCCTCACTTCCTAGATGTGATGGCGGCTGGGAAGAGGCGCTCCTCACTTCCTAGATGGGATGGCGGCCGGGCGGAGACGCTCCTCACTTTCCAGACTGGGCAGCCAGGCAGAGGGGCTCCTCACATCCCAGACGATGGGCGGCCAGGCAGAGACACTCCTCACTTCCCAGACGGGGTGGCGGCCGGGCAGAGGCTGCAATCTCGGCACTTTGGGAGGCCAAGGCAGGCGGCTGCTCCTTGCCCTCGGGCCCCGCGGGGCCCGTCCGCTCCTCCAGCCGCGATGATGAGCATTTTTTCATGTGTCTGTTGGCTGCATAAATGTCTTCTTTTGAGAAGTGTCTGTTCATATCTTTTGCCCACTTTTTGATGGGGTTGTTTGATTTTTTCTTGTAAATTTGTTTAAGTTCTTTGTAGATTCTGGATGTTAGCCCTTTGTCAGATGGGTAGATTGTAAAAATTTCCTCCCATTCTGTAGATTGTCTGTTCACTCTGATGGTAGTTTCTTTTGATGTGCAGAAGCTCTTTAGTTTAATTAGATCCCATTTGTCAATTTTGCCTTTTGTTGCCATTGCTTTTGGTGTTTTAGACACGAAGTCCTTGCCCATGCCTATGTCCTGAATGGTATTGCCTAGGTTTTCTTCTAGGATTTTTATGGTTTTAGGTCTAACATTTAAGTCTTTAATCCATGTTGAATTAATTTTTGTATAAGGTGTAAGGAAGGGATCCAGTTTCAGCTTTCTACGTATGGCTAGCCAGTTTTCCCAGCACCTTTTATTAAATAGGGAATCCTTTCCCCATTTCTTGTTTTTGTCAGGTTTGTCAAAGATCAGATGGTTGTAGATATGTGGTGTTATTTCTGAGGCCTCTGTTCTGTTCCATTGATCTATATCTCTGTTTTGGTACCAGTACCATGCTGTTTTGGTTACTGTAGCCTTGTAGTATAGTTTGAAGTCAGGTAGTGTGATGCCTCCAGCCTTGTTCTTTTGGCTTAGGATTGTCTTGGCAATGCAGGCTCTTTTTTGGTTCCATATGAATTTTAAAGTAGTTTTTTCCAGTTCTGTGAAGAAAGTCATTGTTAGTTTGATGGGGATGGCATTGAATCTATAAATTACTTTGGGCAGTATGGCCATTTTCACAATATTGATTCTTCCTATCCAAGAGCATGGAATGTTCTTCCATTTGTTTGTGTCCTCTTTTATTTCGTTGAGCAGTGGTTTGTAGTTCTCCTTGAAGAGGTCCTTCACATCCCTTGTAAGTTGGATTCCCAGGTATTTTATTCTCTTTGAAACAATTGTGAATGGGAGTTCACTCATGATTTGGCTGTCTGTTATTGGTGTATAGGAATGCTTGTGATTTTTGCACATTGATTTTGTATCCTAAGACTTTGCTGAATTTGCTTATCAGCCTAAGGATATTTTGGGCTGAGGCGATAGGGTTTTCTAAATATACAATCATGTCATCTGCAAACAGGGACAATTTGACCTCCTCTTTTCCTAATTGAATATGCTTTATTTCTCTCTCTTGCCTGATTGCCCTGGCCAGAACGTCCAACACTATGTTGAATAGGAGTGGTGAGAGAGGGCATCCCTGTTGTGTGCCAGTTTTCAAAGGGAATGCTTTCAGTTTTTGCCCATTCAGTATGATATTGGCTGTGGGTTTGTCATAAATAGCTCTTATTATTTTGAGATACGTCCCATCAATACTTAATTTATTGAGAGTTTTTAGCATGAAGGGCTGTTGAATCTTGTCGAAGGCCTTTTCTGCATCTGTTGAGATAATCGTGGTTTTTGTCTTTGGTTGTATTTATATATTCTGGTTACCAAGTCCTTATCAGATATATGATTTGCATCTATTTTCCTCCATTATGTAGGTCGTCTTTTCACCTTCTTTTTTTTCACTTTCTTAGTAATGTCCTTTGCTGCACAAAAGTTTTTAATTTTGATAAAATATAATTTATCTACTTTTTATTATTTTGCTCATGCTCTTGTTGTTAAAAACATTTTGATGAGTGGAAGAAATCAAGCACAAAAGAGTACTATCTGATTCCATTTATATGAAATCCTAGGAAAGAGTAATCTAAACAGGTCTGTGAGTTGGCATGGTGGTTTGCACCTGTAGACCTGGTTACTGGGAAGGCTGAGGACAGAAAGATTGCTTGAACCCAGGAATTCAAGGCCATCTTGGGCAGCATAGCAAATAGTGAGACCTTGTCTCTTTTTTTTTAATTTTTTTTTTTTTGAGACAGAGTCTCTCTCTGTCGCCCAGGCTGGAGTACAGTGGCGCGATCTCAGCTCACTGCAAGCTCCGCTTCCCGGGTTCACACCATTCTGCCTCAGCCTCCCAAGTAGCTGGGACTATAGGCGCCCGCCACCACGCCTGGCTAATTTTTTTTGTATTTTTAGTAGAGACGGGGTTTCACCGTGTTAGCCAGGATGGTCTCGATTTCCTGACCTCATGATCCACCCGCCTTGGCCTCCCAAAGTGCTGGGATTACAGGCGTGAGCCACTGCGCCTGGCCAAGACCTTGTCTCTTAAACAAAACAAAACAAAATCCTCTTCTAAACAGGTCTGTGGTTTCCTGAATTGACTGGGAAAGGGTACCAGGGAACTTGTTAGCATAATAGAAATGTTCCATATCATGGTTATGGTAGTGGTTACATGGGTGTATGCAGTTGTCTAAACTTATTGAACCCTGCACTTAAAATGGGTATTTTTTATCTTATGTATGTTATACCTCAATAAAGCTGATGTTTGTAAAAAGAATATGTACAACCTATCCAATCTACTGTTAATTGACATTGAATTTTTTTCAGTGTTTAGCTACTTCAAACAATGCAGCTATGAGTATTCTTGTATGTGTACTTTTGTACACATTTGTACTCATTTCTAGAGGGTATGTATATCTAGGCATTGCTGGGTCATGGGTATGCATATGATTACATTTAGTAGATGCCGCTAAACAGTTTTCTGAGGGGACCGTACCCATTTACACACTCAGCAACAGTGTATGAGAGTTCCGCTTGCTCTGTATCCTCACTGACACTTGCTGTTGTCAGTCTTTGTAATTTTAATCATCCTAGTGGATGTACAGTGGTGTGGACTATGGCTTTAATTTGGATTTCCTGAAGACTAATGAGGTTGATTACCTTTTATTTGGATTTTACCTGTCAGTTCTTTTTTTATTATTAACTTGTAGGCATTCTTTAAATATTGTGGATGAGGACTTTGTTAGTGATATACTATTAGCAGGTAATTCAACCTGTGACTTGCCTTTCAGTTTCGTATTAGTAATTTCTATAAAGGGAAGTTTCTAATTTTAATGTCCTCTGAATGATCAGTCTTTCCTTTTGTGGTTAATAGTTTATGAGTTCTAGGTAAGAATTTTTTTCTACTCCATGGTCATGCAGATATCCTCCTGTGTCATCTTCAAGATGCGTTATTCACAATTAAGCCTAAAGTCCACCTGAAATTGATTATTTTTGCATATGATATGAGGTCAAGATGAATTTTTTTCCTATGTAGATATTTATTTGGCCCCACACTATTTTGTGGAAAGTCCATACTTTCTCTAGAGCTCTGTAATACCACCTTGATCATAAATTGTATGTGTGTAGATCTGTTTCTAGACTTGCTTCTGTTCCAGGGATTGACCCATGGCTCATTTTTGTACAGCCTCCAAGCTAAGAATAGATCTGTATTTTTATAGGGTTGTTAAAAAAAGAAGAATATGCGACGGAGATTGCATGTGTCCCAGAAAGCCTAAAATATTTACTGTCTGGCTCTTTACAGAAAAAGTTTGCCAACCTTTGTTCTATTCCATTGATCACTTTCTTTGCACCAAAACAACACTATTTTAATTAATGTGGCTTTATAATAAGTGCTGCTATTGGGTAGAATGTCTTCTTAGAATCAAATTTTCAGTTTCTATACCCACATGAAAAAAATTCTGTTGGAATTTTGATTTGTTTTATATTGTTTATAATACTGGAATATTTGAAATATGGAATCTTTTGATCTATGAATCTGGTGTATCTCTCTCATGAATGAGTGTTAAAATGGTCTGCATCTTTTGGGATAATCCTTGGATTTTTCTTCCTTAATCACTTAATGTAGTAGATCATGTTGATAAAGTTTTCAAATATGAAACCAGCCCTGCATTACTGGACTAAACCAAACTTGTCCACAGTGTGTGATGCTTTTTATATATCACCAGATTTGGTTTTCTGTTTTATTTAGAATTTTTGCATCTCTGCTCAAGGATTGCCTTCACCTAAAGTCAGGCCTTGATCTGATAATTGGTGTTGAGTAGCAGACATCAAGATGGAAGCATAAACTAAACCAGGATGAGATATGCAGAAGGCTTATTGGGGGCAATGCTTGTAAAGGATAAAGAAGAAAGCAAGAGAGGACAGGGGAAAACCTGAGACCATGAGACAGGCCTGACCCCTGTGAAAGAAGAGAGGAAAGGAAAGAATTGGTAGGAAGGGCCCCAGCCTGCAGCACAGATCTAAGAATGCCTCTGCTAGGCCAGTGAAGAGTCCCCAGGCAAACACTTGTCTTTTAGAAGAATCCTGCTTTGGGCAGGAATGGGGAAATGTGGCCTCTGTGTGAACATGGTGATGGATCCAAAGGGCGGCAGCTGGGGCTGTCAGTCACAGTCTTCCCCTCGGCAAGTTCTTCAGAAGGAGGTGTGCAGAGGAACAGCCCACCTCCATGCTTGACATGGTTGGCCTTTTTCTTTTCATCCCTGCTCACAGGTTGTATTCTTTTGGGGACCCCAAGTGAAAACATGGTGTTTTCTAGAGCTCTTTTCCTTGGCTGGCCCTGAAGTTCCTTTTTTTTTTTGTCTCCTCAGCCTTTTGAGATTGATGGAAGCTCTGTGCAGCTGGTCAGTCTCTCAGCCATTACTTTGGAAACAGGAAACGCCTCAAGGTGAACAGTTGTGCAAAGCACTGGACTCACCTCTCTGGATTTCCATCTATTTGGAAGCTTGTCCCATTAAGCCATCTCTGCCTTGGTAGCTTTCTGGTGCCTTCACACAAATGTGGTTATACATCGTCTAGCTTTTCTGGCTATTATTCATGGGTGGAAGAGTTGATTCTGTAACCAGCTAGTTCACTGTAGGTAGATTTAGAAATTTTCACGTATGTATTTAATGTAATTAATTATGTATTTATTGTTTAATCTTTTATTTTGAACTTTCTCTTGGTTCATTCTTATATTTTTCTCTTTTCTGAGATTAAAAAATAATTTTTCTTTTATACTTTCTACTTGAAAGGTTAAAGAACATTATTACCCTTCTTTCAGTGGTTATCCTAGAAACAATATGCAAGCACATCGAAGTCTGATGCTACTTAAAATTCTGTTCTACTCTTACAAAATATAAGGACCTTAGAACATTTTAACTCCATTATCTCCTTCCTATCTACATGTTGCTTTTTTTGTTGTTTTTTAAAGAGATGGGGTCTCACTGTGTTACCCATGCTGATCTTGAACTCCTGGCCTCAGGCAGTCCCCCTCAGGCACTACTCAGAGCCTCAGCCTCCTGAGTAGTTGGGATTATAGGCATGAGCCACTGCGCCTGGCTCCAACATGTTACTTATATGTGATGTAATTCTCTCTCCTTTTTTCTGTGAAATATCTGTGTTCTGCCCTTATTTTTGGAAGGTATTTTTGCTGGGTACACAATTATTCAGTAATATTGAAGATATTATTTCATTCTTACTCCATCTCCCATGGCTACTAAATTCTCTAGTTTTTCTTTTTCTTCTTCTTTTTTGTCTTTCTGGTCTGCATTCTAGTTAATTTCTTCCAATATATGTTCAGTAAATTTCTTTTTAGTTAAGTTTTAAAGTTTGATTATGAGAAGTTTTTTAGGGTACTGCAGCAAATATGCTTGATCACTTCTTATAGTTTCTTCACCTGGACTACTTTTAGTTTTATCTTTTTATTTCTTCAGACATGGTAAGCGGAATTTTTTTATAATCTGTGCCTGGTGATTCCTTTATCAGAAGTTTTTGAATCTGTTTCTCTTGTTTGTTTTCTCTGGTTTGTTTTCTAAGCTTTAGCTTAGAATATTGTTGTTTTCCATGGTTTTTTTTTTTTAACTGCTTTGTGTTTTATGACCTTCAAAAATTATTACTTGGGGATTCTTTGAGATCTAAGACAAAAAATCTCTTCTCCAAGTTGATTGGTGTTTGCTTTTGTCCAGGGACAGGCTGTTACCTGAGTTAGCCTAAAAATCCATGTCCATGTGCAGTTTAGCCCATGGCCACTTCTTAGAGTTATCTTTCCCCTTCCTTTTTTTCTTTTTCCTACTTTGTTCAGCTCCAAAGTAGCCTCTGGGTTGGTGGGGGCATTATTTGTAGTTACCCTTCCTCTTAAGTGCGGGAGAGTCTCCTGATAGAGATTCCTAACTGGACTTGGGCTTTTTCTTCTATTTGCTGGGTAGAAAAGTCCTTAAAGTGGATGCTCATGTTCAGTGGCCTGGGCATATATTGTTTCACTGGTATCAATAATATTTTAGGATATAATTTTCTAGCAGCTAGGTTTTACATGTATATACACTATGGTTCAGATATAAATTACCCATCTCTCTATATTAGCCCAGTTAGCTAGTACATGGATAAGTCATTAGATAATTTGCTACCCATGTATTTGTCCTATTAAGATGTAGTTATAATAAAATTACCAAGTTATCTGTAGTTTGCTATTATGGGTAATATTTCCTCATGTAAACTGTATAAACTCACTTATATACATATATACACATGTACACATATGCATACATAAGCACACACAAAGGTAATAAAAGTGATTCTATATGTAGCTAGTAACAAGTTAATTTCAAAATATTTATTTTGTTTTTCTCTAGTGGACAGGTGGGAAAATATGGGAAAGGAGGTCTCCAGGGTTGTCTTCTGACTGACTAGGACATGATTAAAACACTTGGGAGCCTCAGATATAAAGGGGCTGTGATGGTAAGAATATATATACATTTTGACCTATGATGATTTTTTTTTTTTTTTTTTGAGACAGAGTTTTGCTCTTATTGCTTAGGCTGGAGTGCGATGGCACCATCTCGGCTCACTGCAGCCTGCGCCTCTGGGTTCAAGCAATTCTCCTGCCTCAGCCTCCCGAGTAGCTGGGTTTATAGGCACCTACCACCACGCCTGGCTAATTTTTGTATTTTTAGTAGAGACAGGGTTTCACCGTGTTGGCCACGCTGTCTTGAACTCCTGACCTCAAGGTGATCCACCCACCTCGGCCTCCCAAAGTGCTGGGATTATAGGCGTGAGCCTCTGCACCCGGCTGACCTATGATATGTATTTTTAAAAAGAAGATGGAGAAAACATGGAACTTTGCTTGAAAGAGAATTGCTTAGGGAAAAAGTGATAGCTGCTTTCAGATGTTTGAAGGGATATTTTGTATAAGATGAAGTAGATTGGTGTTTCACAATTTTCGAAAGCTATAGACCTTTTCCCTAATTCTCTACTGGAAAATTCTACTCATATTTTGGAGACAATCTGAGTGATTGTTCATGCTATGTGGTAAACAAGTAGGGAATTTCTTCCTCCTGACGTACCTGTTCGAGGGAGGTGGTGGCAGCAGCACGAACCTAATGAAGGCAAATAGAGAAACGAGAGGCAAAGACTGAGCATTAGAATATGCAGGCTAGGCACAGTGGCTCACGCCTGTAATCCCAGCACTATGGGAGGCCGGGGTGGGTGGATCACCTGAGGTCAGGAGTTGAGACCAGTCTGGCCAACACAGTGAAACCCTCGTCTCTACTAAAAATAGAAAAATTAGCCGGGTGTGGTGGCACATGCCTGTAAATCCCATCTACTTGGGAGGCTGAGGCAGGAGAATCACTTGAACCCAAGAGGCAGAGGTTGCAGTGAGCCAAGATCGTGTCACTGCACTCCAGCCTGGGGAACAGAGTGAGACTGTCTGGGGAAAAAAGAGAAAAGAATATACAAAGTAAACTTTTCTTACATACTTTGACTTTTCAGTATTTTTATGGAAAATAATTTCTTTTATGTATTACTTTCAGAGCAAAGATCATTAAGGATAGAAATTGTCTTTTATTGCTGAGTTTTCAGTGCCTAGTAAGTACCTGGTACATATAGTAGGAGCTCAGATGTTTGCTGAGTAAATGTGTTGAATAAAGGGAGGTGCACTGGGGTATTTCTAATGATGACCACCATCTTGAATTGGCACAAGCTTCTAAAATGACTGCTCTCAAAGCTGCAAAATTTACTATGTTAGTATCTAACCTCTGCTGTTGAAGAAGAAAAGCAGATTTCTGACTGCCCTCCTACTTTTCTTTTGTCTTTTCCCATCAACCTCTCTAACACAAAGTGCCAGTGACACTCTTTTGATTTAGAAATCAGTTTCCCATAGCTGCTATGTGTATAAGCTAGAACAGTAATAACAAAAACATGGTAATCTTGGATTTACATAACAACTTGAACTTCCTCTTTGTAAAATAAACTGGTAAAGTAAGGTGGTCAAGTTAGATGAAAGGTTAAAAAAAATATTTTACTTCAAGTCCTGGGAAACCTTGTTTATAGTGATCTAAAATGCAAGGAATTCAACTGGATTCAAGTAGCATTGTCAGAAGTTCCATTTCTAGGAGTAGGTTTTAAGAGTTTGAAAAACAGTGCATGAAGTTAATTTGGCAGCCAAGAAAATAAATGAAATTTAAAAAATCTCTTCAAGGGTTCTAAAACACTTAACATGAAATTTAGGATTGCAGAGAACTAATTGGAGACACTGAATAGATAGGACGATACAGGTGAAAAAGAAGAAAAGTGCATGGCGGAGTATTAATGTTCTGCAGAATATTAATTTCTCCTCTGGAAGGAACTTCTTTATAGAAATGTTACTCTAGAGGTAACTCTGTAATTAGGTAATTTTGAGCTTTTTTTTCTAAATTAATTTTTAAATTTATAATTGACAGTTATACATATTTATGAGATGCAGTGTGATATTTTAATGCATATATGCATTGTATAATGATCAAATCATTGTATAATGGTTTCTTTTTATTATTAAAATTTTTTTAGAGACAAGTTCTCACTATGTTGCTCAGGCTGATCTTGAACTCCTGAGCTCAAGTGATCCTCCCACCTTGGCCTCCCAAAGTGCTAGGATTACAAGACCAAGCTACCATGCTGAGCCATTTTTTTCCCCCTTAAATACAGGGTCTCATTCTGTCTCCCAGGCTGGAGTGCAGTGGTACAATCTCAGCTCACTGCAGCCTCCACCTCAGCCTCTGGAATAGCTGGGACCACAGGCTTGCACCACTGTGCTTGACTGATTTTTGTATTTTTTGTAGCGACAAGGTTTTGCCATGTTGCCTAGGCTGGTCTTGTACTAGGCTCCTGGCTCTGCCTCCCAAAGTGCTAGGATTACAGGTATGAGCCACCACACCTGGCCAAGTTGATTTCATAGAAGTTGAGCTGTGTTTTTTTTTCAGCTGCTCCATAACTTAAGACCTTAATCATAGACACCCCCTAGTTGAGTAGTCCCATTTTCTTTCCTGATTGCTCTCCAGCTAGTTAGCCTACATTGAAAGTACGTGATTCATAAATCCATGTAGTAAAGATTTAATTATAATAGTTACAGTCCCTGTTTTTGATGTTTAACAGATAATTTTTCATCTTTGCTATAAAAACAGAATAGAAATATTTACATGTAAATGCCAAGCACATTAAATCAGAAATATAATTTTTGTTTATTTGTTCCTTTAGCAAACATCTGTTGAGTCAGTCCTGTGAGCCACTCACTAAACTAATTACTGGGAAGGAAGTGATGTGGCCTCTAACCTCACTTCCTTCAGATAGCTGTGCACATGTCACCTGTTAGAGAGGCCTTCCCTGACCACTTCAGAAAAACAGCCCTGCCTTTCCCTCTTCCTTTCCTTCTCACTCTGCTTATTGTTCTCCATTGCAGTTGTCACCATTTCTCATATTACTTATTTCTTCCTCAGCATTTTTCTCTCTCAGTTGGAATGTAGAGCAGAAACTTTATTTTCTTTATCTCTTAAAGCCCAGAACAGTTCCTGGCACATATACATCTAATGAATATATGTAGAATACAGGCTCTGATTCCTTGTGCCATGATCCTACAACAATTTCATGTACCTTTATTTTTGTACTTAGGTAATTATTTTATACTTATATCCTCCACCAAACTAGAAACTACTTTTTTTTTTTTTTTTCTGAGACAGAGCCTCACTCTATTGCTCAGTCTGGAGTATAGCAGCACAATCTTGGCTCACTGGATCCTATGCTTTCTGGGTTCAAGCGATTATCCTGCCTTAGCCTCCCTAGTAGCTGGGACTACAGGCGCTCATCACCACACCCTGCTAATTTTTGTATTTTTTTTAGTAGAGATGGGGTTTCACCATGTTGGCCAGGCTGGTCTCAATCTCCTGACTGCAGGTGATCAACCCATCTCAGCCTCCCAAAATGCTGGGATTACAGATATGAGCCACCACAACTGGCTGGAACTTTTTGAAGTCAGTTTTAACCACCAGGTGAGGGGATCTCAGATGGGGTGTCCATTGGGTTGTTAACAGATGAATAGGAGTTTATCAGGAGGAAGGAAAAATGGCATTCCAGAACAGATTTTAGAGACATTTAGAAGTTACATTTGCCCAGATTTGGTTGAAAGATTTTAGGATGGAGTGTGTGTTTCCAGTTAAAGATGCCTTGTGGAGCATTATGTTTTTCTGACTTGAGTGACTGGATAGATGGAGGTGTCATTAAATGAAGGACTGAAGGATATTGAAGTGAAATATATCTCTCCTTCCTCTGGAGAAATGAGTTTAATTTGGGATAAGTTGCATTTCTGATGCCTGTAGAGAGTTCAGTATCTAGCTGAAAATTTGTTTCTAGAGTTCTCAAGAAAGAGGTTAGGGGTTGAAAATAGATTTGACAGTCATTTTATATGTTATAATTAAGTCTTAAGTGTAAGTGAAACCATACACAGAGAGGACAAAGACATGTAGAATGAAGACAGGACTCTAAGAGCTGGTCAGAGAAAGAAGAATCAGAAAGGAAATTTGAGAGTAAGTAGTGGAAAGGTCTGAGGACAACCAGGAGGAGTTGGTAATTTGCTTATTAGGAGGTGATAATTTTAAGTGGGGCAAGGGGAGTGGAAAATTTGTCCTTTGTCTTAGAGAATTCATTAGGATTTGGACTAAAGGGATACAGTTGGACTAGACCTGACAAATGGCAGTTTGGTAAAGTTACTGAGAACAGTTTCAGTGCAGTGGACGGAAGGGAGGAGGAAGACAGATAGAAGTGGGTTGGAACATAAAAATTAGAGCAGCAAACCGTGACAAGGTCAGGGTGGGGTAGTTGGCAGTTTTCCCCCAAGGAGGTATTTGTTAATTTCTGAGAAACCCTGAATTAGAGGTAACTGAAGGTAAGCGATACATACACTACATTTGTAAGTAGTTTGAAAAACAAAGGGATAGAGAGGGTAGCTATATGGAAAGGTGGAGAGAACTTTTGTTGTTTGGGAAGCATTTATATATCCATGAGATTTGGAGAGAAGACTAGGGATTTTCTCACATGAAGTTTTACATGTGAGAAGAGAGAATTATGGTGGCAAGGTCCTGAAGAGGACTGATGACTAAATCCCCACCTGAAATAGGACGAAGAAAATGAGGACAGGCAAAGAAAAAAAAAGTTGAGGATATAGCAATTGAGTGAACTGGGAGACAAGGTTATTGAACTAGTGTGAGGAAATCAGCATGGAACAGCAAGTTAAAGAGGTTTATGATGGCCGGGTGTGGTGACTCATGCCTGTAATCCTAGCACTTTGGGTGGGAGGCCGAGGCAGGAGGATCGCTTGAAGTCAGTTCGAGATCAACCTGGTCAATGTAGCAAGACCTTGTCTCTATAAAAATAAATAAAAAAGAAGGTTACTAGAAGTTTGAAACAGCAACCTTGAGGGGACAGGAATTAAAATGCAAGCAAGAGACTTTTCTGAGTAGTGTCAAGAACTTAGCTGAACTGGGAAATTGTAAATCAATGCTTGTCCTGCAGTTTTATTCAGCTGTAGTAGCAGGCCAAGAACAAGAACAGAGCAGGTGTATTTTGGAATTCTCCGTAGTTAGAGATTGGCACATCGAATGCTTTGAAAGGTTAAGGGGAAAGGAAGTTGAGGGTACTGGTCAATTTTGTTGAAATACTGATCCACGGGTAATCTTAGTAAGAAAGAAAGTAACTTCTGTTCCAATTTTAGTATATATGTTGCCGAAGTGAGCATGATAGTAATTTCTGGAGGGAGACTGATAGTTTAGAAGAATGGAGAAGGCTAAAGGGAATGGAAGGTCTTGATAAAGTCAAGCAAGTTTAATTGGTTAAAGGATTGAGAGGTGATAAAGTCAGATAGAAAGATAGTTGGTTAGAGCACCATAACAAATTTTTCTGAGTTTGCAGAGAAATTAAATTCTAGCATAACAGAAATAATAGGGCTATGAATCTAGATATGATAATACTGTGTGTGAAATGTTACATGTGAAATGTACAATGCTACATGAACTTTAAATACTTTAGAAGGCAGATGCCAGGATTCTTTGTTCATTGTAGGATAATCAATGCCTGGCACATTTGTAAGAGCTCGGTAAATATTTGTTGAATGAATAACACCCATCCACAGTCTTTCTTGCCTGGATAGTTCATAATGCCAGAAAATTTTGATTCATGTCCGACACCTAGTGGTACTGTACTTAAACTGCTGTTGAGTGGCAGCATTTTCCTTATACTATTTGAGGGAAATAGTACAGATTAGTCGTAGCACTATTGCTTTGTCCCTGAAACAACTCTCCAAGCTGGTTTTGGGAATTTTTACTATTAGCATTTTCCAGGGCTCTAATTTTAATTAGCAAACATTTATTGAGCATCTACTGTGTGCCATGCAGTGTTCTGTGTGCTGGAGATTTTCATGTCCTGTATATTCTCGTGCGTATATGAACTTACTGAACTTGAATACATAGGTAGAGCAGTTGCACTGGGCTACTTGTTAAGGCACTTAATTTAGGATTCTCATATGATTTTTACATGTGAAACCTTTCTAAATTTATTTCATAGCCTTTGGGGCTATCATTTCTGTCATGACATACTGCTTTTTATTAATGTTAAGTAGGTATTTAGGAAGATGAAAATAGAGTGGGTTTGTTTGTCAGCTTGCAGTACCGATCACATAGTGCAGAATGCTACATACTGTGAAGAACTGTTGAAGGATTTTGTTTCTTCCTTTTTTTTTTTTTTTTTTTTTGAGACGGAGTCTCGCTCTGTCGCCCAGGCTGGAGTGCAGTGGCGCGATCTTGGCTCACTGCAAGCTCCGCCTCCCAGGTTCACGCCATTCTCCTGCCTCAGCCTCCCGAGTAGCTGGGACTACAGGCGCCCGCTACCACGCCCGGCTAATTTTTTGTATTTTTAGTAGAGACGGGGTTTCACCGTGTTAGCCAGGATGGTCTCGATCTCCTGACCTCGTGATCCGCCCGCCTCGGCCTCCCAAAGTGCTGGGATTACAGGCGTGAGCCCCTGTTTCTTGCTTTTAAGAAAATGTACAGTTCTTATCTGTTAGTGGTGTGTATGGATATATTTAAAGTACCTATGAATGACATGATATCTGGGATTTGCATTAAAATGTTTTAAAGTGGGTGGGTTTCAATGAAACAAGACAAGATTGAAAATGTTTTTATAATTAAGCTGCATTCATGGGCTTTATTGTCCTCTCTACTTTTGTGTATGCTGGACATTTCCACGGTAAAACTTTTTTTTTTTTTTTTCCAAGATGGAGTCTCGCTCTGTCACCCAGGCTGGAGTGCAGTGGCGCAGTCTAGGCTCACTGCAACCTCCACCTCCCGTGTTTAAGCAGTTATCTGCCTCAGCCTCCCAAGTAGCTGGCATTATAGGGATGTGCCACAATGCCCGGCTAATTTTTTGTGTGTTTTTAGTAGAGACAGGGTTTCACCATCTTAGCCAGGCTGGTCTTGAACTCCTGACCTCGTGATCCACCCGCCTCTGCCTCCCAAAGTGCTGGGATTACAGGCGTGAGCCACCATGCCTGGCCAGTAAAACCTTTTAAAAACTAGAGAGGTGTGGGTTGAAAGAAAGGTTAGCATGATTCAGTTAGAACATGGTTTGCTTTTTTATATTAAACAAACTTTCTTATTTCATTTTGTTCTATTTGTTACTACTTGAAGATCAGGTTGAGTAGAAAGATAGTATGTTTTTACTAATAATAGATATAATGTGATTGAGACCTGACAGGTGACATTCTACTGACAGTATCCAGAGATTATTGGAATTTGGGTTTGGGAGCTCATGGTAATTGCTGGATCTGCAGATTGGAGACTTGGAGATATAATTTTAAAGTGCTAGCTGTCACCTGCAAGTGAGAGCATTTTGAGTGAGAATTTGGGGAACACCTAAATTTAATAAGTTGGCACATCTTTCTTAGTGCTTCTCTCCTTACCAAAAAACAAACAAACAAAGGACTAATAATCTGCCACAGCAGTCCTCTTAAATTGGATTCTGCTTAATGACTTATATAGGATATATTTATCATATGATACATATGGATTTTTAATGTTGGACATTGTGTCTCTGTTAGACTCTTAAGATACCAGTAAACCATATTCCCAAAATAAAAGTTAGAAGCCTGTTGTCAACAATAAGAAATACTAGTTATGAAATATTTTAGGCAAACAAAAATGTTACTTCTAAATGCTTGCCACCCATCTTTGTCATCTTAACATTTCAGCTTCACCTCCACCCCCTCATAACCTTTCTTTTTCCTTCTCTGTTTCTCTCTCCTGAAGACATAAATGACTGCAAATATAATAAGGCCCTTTTATGCCACTCTTTTCCTATTCCCTTCCTCCAGAGGTAATTACTAGCCTGAATTTGGTGTATATTACTCCTTATTTTTGTTTTTTTCCTTAATAGATCCACATTCCTATTGCTCAATAAATTCTTCTACATGCTGTTTTTTTTCTGTGGCAGTCTATTTTCCATCAAAGAGAAATAAAGATCCCTTTTCATCACTCAGACATAACTTTGCTATGTATTTCAGTCTGTGTTGGGGTTTCAGTTATTTTTTATCTGAAAAATAGATATTAATTTCAATATGCTATTTATTTCCCTTAAATAGCTGATGCTTGGTGCCTTCATATTCCATTATGTGATAAACCTCTTTAGTTTTCCACCTTTCTGGAGGGTATACTTCTTGCGAGGCTTATCTGACTTTCAGATTGGAGCATAGTCTCATTTCAACAGCCTTTTGTTGTATAAAGATAGAGATTTTTCTTTGGCAACAAAGAAACCAATGGAAAAAATACCATTTTTTGAAATAAGTCTCATAAAAGCAGAGATTTGGTTTAATTAAAAAAATTCTCCAATAGCAAGTTTGGGAACTCTGAGAGAGAAGAAACAAAAGCTCAATCTCAGTTATAACCATTATTTTCTTTCTTTCTTATATATATATATATATATTTTAAAGCCTATAGCACCTGATATTCCCAGGCAGTCTCCCATCCAAGTATTAACCAGCCCCAGTCCTGCTAAACTTCCGACATCAGACAAGATTGGGCACATTTAAGGTGGTATGGCCATAGACAAGAGCCATTATTTTCTATTGCTTTGCTCTTGATTAAAATGTGGGATAGTTTTTCTTTGTATAAACTATATATTTTTCCAGTCTGTTAAGAAATATGTTTCTCTTGTCCTCAGAACTGTAGGATTTTCTTACTATCATGATCTGTTTCTCTGTGATCTTCATTACAGAGTCCTTTTTGTAACTGTCATAGTTCAAATTTTGTTGCTTCTTAAAAGTAATCTATTAGCTTTAGTGTGGTTTTTTTTTGTATACTTAATATTTAGAAATTTCAAATAATATTTAAAAATTTCAAATAATTTAGATGTTGCAAATGATTTTGTCTTAGGCTTTCTCCAAAGAAGGAGGTCACTAGAGATTTAACTCATCCTTTTTGACTGACAAAGCCCCCAGGCCTATAGATGTAGCACTTTGGTTTTAGACACAATCTCTTTGAAGACAGGTGTATAGTTTGTGTCAGAGTTATTGGAAATTTTTTTAGTATAATCTCTTTTTACTTTCTTTTCTTTCATGTTTCTCGTCCTATCCCCTCCCCCGGCAGTATTCCTTGACTTCCCTATAATATGACAGTTGAATTTGATGAGTGTCCTTTCAACCAGTATTTATTGCTCACTTGCGATGTGACAGGCTCTGTGTACCCAAGATCATCTCTGATCTGTTTGTAAACCTGAAAAGTTTATAATCAGGTCTATCATAATAATAAGTAATACTTAACAAATACCTGCATGTACTAGATATTATATAAATGCTTTACTGGATTATCTTTTTTAAATCCTCACAACAACCTTGCGAGGTAGGAATAATTATTATCATCCCCATTTTTCAGATCAGTAAACTGGGGGCACATACAAATCATTCATCTAAAATCACTTGGATATAGGGTTGTCATATGAAATACAGAATGCTCAATTAAACTTGAATTTCAGATAGACTACTACTATTTTTTAGTTTAAATATGTATCAAATATTGCAAAATCTGATGACCCCACTTGGAAAATGAATGACAGAGGTGGGATTTTAAACCATGTAATATGGTTATAGGGCCCAAGGTCTTAACTGTTGCATTATAATGAATATAGAGAATAAGAATCACATCCACCTGAACATTCAGTATTTAGATGGCAGCTACTACCTATATATAATTAATTTTTTTACTCAAGTTATTTTTCCCCCAACTGATCATATTTACTTCATTGTAGACGTATGTGTATTCTTTCTGATTTCAAGTGTAGTGTTCAAGTTCAGGTAAATTTACATGTGCTTTTTATGTCTTTTTAAGTCAGTACTAATTATATATTATAACATAAAATGGGACTTTTTTTGAACCTGGTTACTTTAGCCATTCTCATCCATGTAAGATAATTGTCTTTTTACCTTCTTTTCTACAAATATAGGAAGATTTAACTGCATGTATGTGCCAAAAAGGCACACTCTCTTTTGATAAGGTTAGGAAATGATATTTGAATAAGGTATTTAACAGTTCTTTGAAACATGTCCCATGTGTTCTCAAAAAATTGAGAAGTTATAAAATACAGATGTGGAATTGAAAGAGGCTTTTACTAAGAATTGCCAGGGAAGCCATCTGGGTCTGCTAAGTAATCATACAGGGAAGTAAGGAGTCACTTTTCCTGGTGAATTACCACAATTCGGGATCAGGCTTTTAGTTCTGCATATCTAGAAATGTATTTACAAAAGCTAAAGACCTGAGAGAGCTTGTGAATGACACACGTGTTAAATATGATACTTCTGATTTCCAGTTCTGGCAAAATTGCGGAGCACATATCTTAAAAAGAAGACACTCTTAAAATTCATGAGTCAAGTGTTTAACTCAAGACATAGAGTCAAGGTGTATAGAAATTGAAGAAAAGTATATTTCATAGTGAAATCTGCTTATATTTAAGGGATATTTACAGGAAATGTTTTTCTCTCTCTAGGAGGAATTGGATGATATCTAGGTAGCAAGTCAGATTTTTGGAGAAAGTTCAGAAAGGAAAGTGAGCAAGAGGCCGGGCTCGGTGGCTCACACCTGTAATCCCAGCACTTTGGGAAGCCGAGGAGGGTGGATCACAAGGTCAGGAGTTCGAGACCGGCCTGGCCAACATAGTGAAACCCCATCTCTACTAAAAATACAAAAAAATTAGCCAGGCATGGTGGCGGGCACCTGTTATCCCAGCTACTCGGGAGGCTGAGGCAGGAGAATCGCTTGAACCTGGGAGGCAGAGGTTACAGTGAGCCAAGATCACACCACTGCACTCCAGCCCGGGCAACAGTGCAAGACTCTGTCTCAAAAAAAAAAAAAAAATGTGAGCAAGAATTAAAAGTGCAACTCTCAGCAGATGTAACAGTGCTTGCTATAGGATTGGACTCTATTTTAATCTATTCCATCTTCGTATGTTTTCAGGCATAGTGTATTGAAAGATTTGTCAGTGGCAAAGTATGTCTGACTTTACAATGGTAGTCATTTCAAAATTAGTATTTCTTTTGTAGAATTAACACCACATTATTTTGGACCACCTCTGTTCTGTGTAAGTGAAATTTTCTATCAGAATTTTCAGAAGTCATCGCATTGCTACCCAACCAACGTTTTATTATTTTGTAGAATTCATTAATGGTCATTTACATTTTGTATTTTTAAGTATGAAATAATCACCTTTGAGACACAGTGGACTAGAAGACATTAATAGGAAAAATGTCTCTTCTCTTTTATTATATAAATCTTTCCATGAAAGCAGTGACTTGATGCAACAAGACTTACTAAGCCTTTAGATATCTAGCCAAGAAGATAGATGTTTTTTCTTTAATGCCAACTATTGTAAATATTAGATTGACCACAGACTGACCTAACCTGATCACCAACTTGATAGGAATTCAGCGTTTGCATTTTAAGCAACTTGAATTGATAAGAAAGTATTTTTCCTTTTAAATTAATTGCAAATGGACTGTCTACTTGAATACAGCAGAGCTTGAGAAATAAATCACATTCAGTTACTTTTGAGGCAGCATGGAATTGCCACACTTGAATTCAGGCCTGAGGGTTCAAATCCCTATGCTGCCTCTTAGCAAGTTACTGAGTCTCTTTTTCCTCTTCACTCAAATGGCAATTTTAGGATCATAATGCCCATCTTGAGGGCTTGTGTGAATTTAAACTAAATAATAAATGTATTAATTCATTGAATAATTATTTATTGAATGCCTGCTCTATGCTATGGATATTAGTGAGCATTGCGAAAATTCCTGATCTTTATGTTAGAGAGATATACAACAAACATGTAAGCAAATAAAAATGTAATTTTAGGTAGTGGGTTGTAAGTTTAATGAAGAAAAATAAAGTGTAGCACACAGAAAATTTCAAGTGGCAAAGGAAGTGTTTTGGACCGATGTCTACTCGCTTCTAAAACAAGCAATTTCTACTATGCCCCATTGCCTTTGAAATCTAGCCATTCATTGCTTTGGAGGGCGTCTTTCAGAATAAATAGCTAAGTATTTAAGGGGAGCTAGTGATAGATATTCCTTTATTAAGTAACTTCCTTTAAGCCATCTTGGTGCATACACTATGGTAACAATTCAGTTTTATATGGCAATAATTATGAACTCTTTGTATTTGACACTCAATCATTTTTTGCCCAGTATTGCTGTTTAACAAGTAGTATCATGTTACTCAACACATGTATATGCCTTATTTTCTCAGTTACATTCTTCTTTAAGGGTCAGGACTGTGTCTTCTACTTCAGTGATTCTCAAACTTAAGTGTGCATCACAATCACCTCAGAGTTTCTGATTCAGGAGATCTAGGGTGGGGTCCACAAATTTGCATTCCTAACATATTCCCAGGTGATACTGATGCTGCTGGTCCTGGGACCACACCTTTAGAACTACCGTGTACCTCCTTCTTCCCCCACAATACTTATGCTGTTTGTCACTTAGCTTAAATGTCCTCTCATCTGCGAATTTTTCCTTGACTTCTATTTCACTGAAACAACTAGTTGTTCTCAAAATTTAATGTGTATTAGGATCATCTGGGAAACTTGTTGACAGAGCAGATTTCTGGTCAGACTCCAAAACATCCATTTTTAGCAAACACCTTAGATGTTAATGCCAATGATCCATGGAAAACAGCTTGTGAAATTCTGACTTACGGGGTTGATCATGCTCTCCTCATTGCCATGACTGTATTTTGTATTTGTCTCTGATTGTTTTTTATACTATACTGTTATTTGTTTGTATGTCTTTCTCCTCCTACCAGACTCCCTGAAGGGAAAGGAATATGTCTTGTTCATTGTTACATTTTAATGCTTAGCACAATGCAGTATTAAGAAGCAGTAGAGGCTGGGCACGGTGGCTCACGCCTGTAATCCCAGCACTTTGGGAGGCCAGGGCGGGTGAATCACGGGGTCAGGAGTTCGAGACCAGCCTGGCCAATATGGTGAAACCCCGTCTCTACTAAAACATACAAAAATTAGCAGGCGGGGTGGTGTACACCTGTAGTCCCAGCTACTCAGGAGGCTGAGGCAGGAGAATCACTCGAACCCGGGATGTGGAGGTTGCAGTGAGCCAAGATTGCACCACTGCACTCCAGCCTGGGTGACAGAGTGAGACTCCATCTCAAAAAAACAAAACAAAACAAAACAAAACAAAAAACAAAAGCCATGGAGTGAGTACCGCCTGTGTAATCATCTTTGGCACTTGTTAGCTGTTTGACCTTGGAGACTTTATTTAATCCCTCTAAGCTTCAGTTTCCTCTTTTATGAATGGTAGTAGTAGTACTTACTTGCTGTGGAAATTAGCTCTGAGATACAGTATTTAGTGTGGCAACTGACATACGGAATGTAGCCAGTAAATGGAAAGCATTACAGTGTTGTGGTTGTCATTATGTTATGGAAGAAGCAAAATAAATGTTTGAATTAAATGAAAACCCCTACATTATAATTTTAGCATCCAAATTCAGGATATGTATTTAATATTTCATTAAAAAGCTTTGCTTAATTCTCTCAAATACTATTTTATATTTAGGTATTTTAGTAAAGTATTGTGAAGTAAAATCATGCTTTGGGCTTCTCTGTAACAGGAAAACAAAGAAACCGCTTGGAACCAATGGATACCATATTTGTTAAGCAAGTTAAAGAAGGAGGACCTGCTTTTGAAGCTGGATTATGTACAGGTGCTGATATTCTTCTTTAAACAATACGTTTTAATTTCTTTTTCACTTTATTTCTTCCATATTTCATGTTCGATATTTTTTCCTTTTGTATCTTTCTGTATGCTTCTTCCTTTTCCTTCACATCTGTTGTTACTAATTTTGAGAACTAATTATGTTTCTTGGTGCCCATATGAATGGGTTTGAACAGAAATAACAATATAAATTGATACACTGTGAGCACTTTTAATTACCACACAGATGATAGACTCTTAGAGGCTCTTTAAAGGAACAAATTTTGCATGCATTGAATTTTGACAAAGGATTACAAAGTAGCAAAATGATGAAGGTATTTATTTGATATAAGTGAAATAATCTTGGATTTTCAAGTTCTGGAAGTGCCTGATCTGACAGAGTTGAGTTAATTAATTTGCAGCACAAAGTGGCTTAAGTCTCCAATGCGGAACATAAGCCTGGCTTCATCTGAAGGTGTCAGTATATGTGGCTTAATTGGCTGGATATAGTAGCTGTTTGTTCTAAAATGTTTTGTGATTTGTGATTTTAATAAACCCTAAGTAGAGATTTCATTTATATTAGTGCACACTCTAAAATACTCTTTTCTTTTGTTTTTTAAACATTAGACAATTTAAAATGGGAATTATTGAAAAGCTATATTTCACTGCCTTTTAAATACAATGCTATATTTTCACCTACAAATATTAGAAAGTAGTGGACATCATTGCTAAGATTTATAAGGATGTACTGTTAATGTATTACCCACCTTAGTTTTTTTTATTATACTTAAAGTAAGCCTGATTTAAATATCATTAATATGTATAATATGTATATTAGTATGCATGTGGGATTTCTTTAGAATGTATCATCTGTCGTATTTTAAGCCCCACATGATTGGGAAGATGAAGTGGAGATATGCTGTGATAAGCACACAAAAAGTACATTTTTGCCTATTTTCTTCTTTCCTCTGTTCTTTGTTTCTGTCTTTTCCTTTCCTACTCTACTCAGAGTAGAAAGAGAATTGCTTGAACCCGGGAGGCAGAGGTTGCAGTAAGCCGAGATTGCACCACTGTACTCCAGCCTGGGAGACAAGAGTGAGACTCTGTCTCAAAAAAAAAAAAAAAAAAAAAAAAAAAGAGAAAAAAAGACAGGGTACGTGGAGAGATAATTAGTTCTGCAACTCAGGAAACAACTGATAGGAGCATAAGTAGTATAGCTCTGGTCCCCTGGTAACTAGACCTTTTGAAATTTCTAAATTCAGTAATGACTGGAACTCTTACTTAGAACATGGCTAGTTTCACAAAAAGCTGGATATATTAAAATGTATTTACTTTTGTAAAAACTTTAAAAGTAATAAGCTAGGATATTCATATAATTGTTTTATAATTATGATACTAATAATTTTCTCACAACTCTGTATTTTATTATTTTAATATATACGACATTAAAAATAAGGACATTATTCAAGAAATATTTCAAAAGTGTTCAAAAGTGACTTTCTGCAGGATCTCTCATTTGTTTTTTAACTTCTCTTTGAAGGTGACCGAATTATAAAAGTCAATGGAGAAAGTGTTATTGGCAAAACCTATTCCCAAGTAATTGCTTTAATTCAAAACAGGTAAGAGTCTTAAAACATTAAAACCCAAAGATGGGTTTTATAGATCAATAGAGCACATAGATTTAATACAATCTTCTATTCTTACAAGGAATTGTGGTGACAAGGAGATGTGGAACTTTCCCTTAGATATAATGCATTTGAGAGTTGCCAAGGACCAGCTATCTGAGGATAGCTTAGTTGGTGGCTTTGGTTTGACAGATGTATCAGATTTATGATTAAAATCCCATAGAGGCTGTAAGGCACACACTTTAGATTTACTGTGTTTACCCCTTTTATTTGAAGTGACAAATGTATAATTTGTTTTTAATATATAAATAAATGCATATATAGTTTATTTTAAAACCTCTTACAGGGGTATGTTACTTTTAAGTATCTTTTTGAATAATCTTCCTAGCCTCAACTCATTTGTTCTAACCAAGACAACAAGACATTCCCTTTTAATCCATTTGCCTGCCTGCATTTTACAGAATAGTAGGATTTTGAGCTCTAAAGTTAGATACATATTTATAGAGTGACTGTCTATGAGACCTCGAAGATCATTTAGTCCTACTCTGTTTCACCCACACAACTAGAAAATTTTTCCAAATTACAAATAAGTTAGAAACCAAAGAGTTACCATATTGAATTTCTGTCAAGGCTAGGCCATGGATCTGAGCCTAGTCGGATCATCACTCTGTTGTAAGAGGTTCTTCTCAGATTCAAATACAGGAACTTTTGGATTATCTAATGCTTTCTGTTGGCCAAACTCACCTGTCTGTAATTCAAGTGCAGTTCATTTTCTGAAGATTTTTATCAAGCTCTCCTAAGTATGTCTAGAGTGGCTCATGCTGTAATCTAAATTATTTACACTAATGCCCTAATACATTGCCATTTCTTACAATTAAATGACATGGTCATGATTAATTGATCTCAGAGTGTTTTCTTTAATGTTTTAATATTTAATGGGAGTCTAACAGAAAACAACTCTTGAATATTGCCTCTAATGTTGATAATGAATTTAAAGCCTCTCCAAGGGATAACAGATTTGCCAGAATTTTTTTCCTCAAAATAATTTAGATCATCATAAATACAACGATATGTTTTGTCAGCCCATAACTTAAAAGACTTAGTGTATTTGTTAATATCTCTTCTTTAAAAACCAACTTAATCATTGTTTTCTTCAAAATCTACATTGATTCTTCTGTTACTGGTACAGTTCATCTTTCAGAATAATAACACTTCAACCACTAAAATCAATTTGAATATTAGAGAAATATTTTTTCATAATCTTATTTCCATTAAAAGTGTTGTTTTTCTTCTGTCTGCAGTTGGTAGCAAATGGGTAATGCACCACAAAGCCCTTGAGATTCTGCAGTGGATTAATATAACATGTGTCCTTGTGGGCTGGGTGCAGTGGCTCATGCCTGTAATCCCAGCATTTTAGGAGGCTGAGGTGGGCCGATCACTTGAGCCTAGGAGTTTGATACCAGCCTGGGCAACATGGTGAAACCCTGTCTCTACAAAAAATTAGCTGGGCGTGCTGGTGTGTGTCTGTTGTCCCAGATACTTGGGAGGCTGAGGTGGGAGGATCACCTGAGTCCAGGAGGTCAGTCAAGTGAGGTTAATCAAGTGAACCTTGATAGAGCCACTGCACTCTAGCCTGAGTGTCAGAGTGAGACCCTGTCTCAAAACAAAAACAACAAACAAACAGATGTGTCCTTGCACAGGAGTTTATCTAAACATCAGTTTCTACCAACTCTAAATATTGAAATGAAAGTACCTACATATTTTACTAGTTAAATTTATTTGAACCTGTGGTTCTCATGGGTTTAGTATAATCTGAGCATTTATGAAACTAAACATAATGATTCAAATCTGTCAAGAAGAGACACCAGTAGATTATTTTGTTTTTTGTTGTTGATTGTTTCTTAATCTCTTGACTGTATTGGGGGAAAATATGTCTGATATTGTTAGATTAGCTGTTGAAGCATTTGGTGGAGATAGTAGCACTGCCTTTGCCATAACTTTTATTTTATTTTATTTTATTATTTCTTTTTTGAGAGGGAGTTTCACTCTTGTTGCCCAGGCTGGAATGCAATGGCATGATCTCAGCTCACTGCAATGTCCGCCTCCCAGGTTCAAGCAATTCTCCTGCCTCAGCCTCCTGAGAAGCTGGGATTACAGGCACCTGCCACCACGTCCAGCTAATTTTTGTATTTTTAGTGGAGACGAGTTTTCAACATGTTGGCCAGGCTGGTCTCGAACTCCTGACCTCAAGTGATCCACCCACCTTGGCCTGGGAACGTAAGCCACTTCGCCCGGCACCTTTGCCATATCTGTATGTACCTCCAGATCACAGGATTCAGTTTTGTTTACCCCTTTGAACTTTCTAAACTTAGGGAAATTTCTCTATCATTTTCAACAGGAAATTTACAGAACCAAAATAAAATTAGACTTTGAGCTGTCCCTGTAAAGGCACTAAAAGTAAATCATAGGGAAAAAAGCAAATAGTTGAAATGTTATATAGTTATTAAAAATGAGTCAGCTCAGTAGTTGTGACAGTAAAGCGATTTCCTTCACTTCTGAGGCCAGGAGGGAATATTGCAAAATTAAGATGTTTAATATTACTTGGCTGGGCACAGTGGCTCACGCCTGTAATCCCAGCACTTTGGGAGGCTGAAGTGGGCAGGTCCCTTGAGGTCAGGAATTCCAGATCAGCATGGCCAATGTGGTGAGCCCTCCTCTCTACTAAAAATAGAAAAATTAGCTGGGTATGGTGGCACATGCCCTGTAGTCCCAGCTACTTGGGAAGCTGAGGCATGAGAATGGCTTAGACCCAGGAGGCAGAGGTTGCAGTGAGCCAAGATTGCGCCACTGCACTCCAGCCGGGGTGACAGTGTGAGACTCAGTCTAAAAAAAAAATTACTTAAAATATTAAGTTTGAGGGTTCTTTGATGTTAATGAATTTTAACTTGAACAGAATATATGACAACAATCTATAATTTGTTTTGTGACTTGAATAAAACAATAAATAATTGTATACTGATATTGTTAAGAGTTTGTCCTGGGACTATTTAATATAAGCAACATACTTTATATTTCTAAATTAGAAACATGTTATAAAGAAAACTTTACTGATTATGAATAGCACAAACATGGCAGGGGTCCGTCCCTCTTTTGTATATAGTTAACTTACGTATACAAAGGTGACTTCTTTTCATTCTAATGATTTGATTTTAAAAATTAAGATATAAGAAAACCAGAATAAACTCTTAAACAATTTAAAAAATACTTCTGAGTTAACTGTTTTTCCATTAAGTCTTTTTTTATACACTTCTACCTCTCCTAAAATAGTATATAATTCAATTTCAGTGATACAACATTGGAACTTAGTGTTATGCCAAAAGATGAAGACATTCTCCAAGTGGTAAGTTTTATTTATTCATATATGAGTTGTTTTACAGTCATGAATGTTCGGAAAATATTTTTGAGATGGAAGTATTAAAGATGGAATTTAAAAAAAATTCTAGAATTTAAAAACCCTCTGGTTCCTTTTACAGAATCTGGAATTCTCTACATTTTACAAAAATACCATTGCCAAGTTTTTGCAATTAAGTGACATGGAAATGTTATGTTGATTCTACAGTGAACTCTTAATGCTCTCATTTAGAATGAGATTCCTAAAGAGTTTGTCCTAGTGTTGCCTTCTAGTTCATCCTTGGACCAAAGGAAGAGTTTAGAGTGCAAGTGCATATCCCCAGGAATTAGAATCTTTTTTTTTTTCCTTCTCACTATGTACAGAGAAAAAAAAAAAATAGAATCTTATTTTTGTAATACGAGGACAAACTTTATGATTGCCATTTTCTAATTTTCCAATAAATATTACGTTTGTAAATTCACCAAGCAGTATTGTTAGTAGTATCAATTCGTTCCTAAAATGTTCACAATGAACGGAGTCTACAACTTAAGGGGAAAATATGTTATGGTCTTGAAATGAAACTTGAAAACTTTAGTATTTAGTCTAAAATATTTTTCTGATTTTTATAAAGAAAGAAATTGAATAGAATACTTAACTCCTTTACTAAGCTTAAATACTGCTGATGATAAAAATATAAATTTCATCTGGGCACGGTGGCTCACGCCTGTAATCCCAGCACTTTGGGAGGCCGAGGCGGGCGGATCATGAGGTCAGGAGTTCGAGACTAGCCTGGCCAATGTGGTGAAACCCTATCTCTACCCTATCTCTACTAAATACAAAAATTAGCTGGGCATTGTGGTGGGCACCTGTAATCCCAGCTACTTGGGAGGCTGAGACAGGAGAATCGCTTGAAACCGGAAGGCAGAGGTTGCAGTGAGCCAAGATCGCGCCACTGCACTCCAGCCTGGGTGAAACAGCAAAACTTCATCTCAAAAAAAAAAAAAAAAAAAAAAAAAAAAAAATATATATATATATATATATATATATATATAGTGTGTGTGTGTATATATATGTATGTATATATATGTGTATATATGTGTATATATGTATGTATATATATGTGTATATATGTATGTATATATGTGTATATATATGTATGTGTATATATGTACATATATGTGTGTATATGTATATATATGTATATATGTGTATATATGTGTGTATATATATATGCACACACACACACACACATATTTCATTCAAGAAAATAACATTTTCCTTCAATTGATTTTGCAGTTCTGTAGAATAAAATAGAAAAACTCTTTAAGTAACATACTTACAACTAACAGATCTAGGAAATGGCAGTGGCCGCTGAAGTATTTATTTTTAATTCTTTTTGGTAAACAATTGGGTTTTTTTCTTATTACCTATAGCTAAATTCAAGAAAAGCAGGGAGCTGATGGACTCTTTGTCGTGGTAATGGAAATGGTATAGTAATGTTCTTCATTTGTAAGGCAGTAGTTTGAACTTAGCTCATCAAAGGCCATAAATAATCTGTAAACATGTTTTATAAAAAAAAAAATCACTAAAGCCGATCCTAAAGAGTCATTCACTGACATGTAAACTATAATTAAGTGAAACTCATGGGGATTAACCCCATGTTTTCAAGGCATGTAGATTTTACTTAGGAATGGCTTAGTACCGATAACAATTACCCTTCTGAAGTACACAGTTCAGTTGGAGTTGGGAGGCTCAGGAAGGAAGATACAGTTTGCTGCAGTAATTTTCCTAGACATGCAAAAGTGGTTGTAGAGTTCCTACCCTGACAATTCAGCATAGTGATCATGTAGCAGACATAACCACAGACACCAATGGCTATGAAAATAACTAGACTAGAAATAAATAGGGAATTCTTCTCTAGTGCTCTTCTTATACAGAAGATGGTGTATATGGTAGCGAAGGATTTACCTGGCTTCCTCCTTGCAATCTGAAGGCTTGAAGACAGAATCAGCTTATGAAACTGAACTGTTTTCCGATCTTCAGTAGACCCTTTCCTTGCCAAGGTGAAGGTACTGGTTGGATGGCTCTTGGAACAGTGCTCATTTCACAGAATGGCTGGCATGGAAGCAATTAAATGCAGAATCGCCATGATATCCTGCAGTGTGATTGATGAAGAGCAGCAAACCACTTCATGTAATGGAAGGAGTAATTTTGTAATGATATGATTAATGGAAAAAGAGGTCACTTAAAGAAAAATTAGTTTTGTTCTGTTACTCATTCATATTCTAGAATAGTCTGTCTTGTTAAATTTTATTTAAGTAAATCTAAAGTAAAAGTAAAATATAAAGTATCCCAGAGACAGAGAAAAACCAGTTCAGTAAATAACATGAGCATGCAGATCTTCAAGGCTCAGCAGTAAAGAGTTCTGGTATACTGTAACATAAAATTTATTTTTAAAACATGGTATTTGAATTACTTTAATCATTAAGAAATAAAAGTACATGCCTTTAATCATAAAAGAAAACTCTACTTTTTAACCTTAATTCACATTTGAATGTAGTGTAATTCATTAAGAAATCAAAGGAATATATAATTTTCTGTCTCTAACATATATTCCAGAGTTAAAATGTTCTTTAATGTACTTCAGAAGTACTTATGCAGATCTTAAATCTGTTATTCAAAATATATGCTTTTAAAGATGTATTTGTTCCCATGAGGTTGAATATTTATTGTAAAGAAAAGCAATGGGTAATGTGAACATTTTTACAGCCACTGTAAAAATCATTTACCCATGGAAACACTTGTAGGTTGTATATGTTTGCCTGGGCAACAGGATTGGGTAGTGCATGGAGGTTTTTTTTCTTTTCCTGAAGTGATATACAGACCAAATTATTTTAGAAGTGCTCTGCTCACCTTTGAGAGGTGGCCTAGAAAATTTAATTTGGCTTAAAATTTGACTCGTGTAAGGACAGGTATATGATTATAGGTTTCATAATTCATGGATGACAATGATAGAATGTTTAAAACCATGAAGTAAAATTAAGAATAATTCATTTATGTTTTTAAACTAGTGCTAGTAATAGGAGTCCTGTGCTTGGCAGCCTCATTTTTTAAACCAGCATATATTTTCTAGGTTAACAATATAAATAGTATTACATTCATTTTAATCATTTTAACAGTATTTTGTTGTAATATTTTAGACTCTGGTATCTTAGACAGGTTCGTGTTTATTGCAAAATAAAAAGGTTTTTTATTGTATTTCCAAAAACCAAAATGATTTTGTTTCCCCATTAAATGTTATCTATGCATGAGTGAAATAGCCACACCAGTCTGGTCACCTAAACAATGATGCTGACTCTCTTAGTCTATTTGGGCTGCTGTAACAAAATACCTTAGACTGGATGGCCTATAAACAAAGAAATTTATTTCTCATATTCTGGAGGCTGGGAAGCCCAAGGTCAAGGCTCAGGTAGATTTGGTGTCTCGTGAGGGCCCATTTTCTCATAGATAGTACCTTTTCACTGTGTCTTCACTTGGTGGAAGAGCTGACGCAGCTCTCTGTGGCTTCTTTTATAAGGACACTAATTTCATACATGAGGTCTACCCTCATGACCTAATCATCTCCCAGAGGCCCCATCTCCTAACTCATTCACACTGGTGATTAAGTGTCAACATACGAATTAGGGGAGGGGAACACACAAACATTCAGACCGTAGCACTGACCAAAGAGAATACTTCCCTGAGTGAGATAGTGGTAGGAGAACTAGATCGGGGCATACTTCTTGGTTCATCACCCAGGATACTTTGTTAAGCATTTGGCTCCATTGACTCAAAGATTAAATTTTAAGTTAATCGGTTTTTATAACTCTGGAGATTCTTGGGTATAACTAATATTTGGCCAGGACATTTTAAACCTACTTTATGCTGTTCTATGTTAAACACAGCAAAGTTAAACAGCATGTCTGGTATAATAAGGAAGAAAGCAAATGGTATAAGGATTTGAACTCGGGCGGGTCTGAGATGAAAGCCTGTACTCTAAACCACAGTCCTATACTGCTGTTGAGTGGAGATGAACTGTTTAGGTGGCTTACCATAAGTCACCCTGCCAGTTGGTGTTGGAGCTGTTATTACAACGTGAACCTCTGGGTTCTGAGTCCAGTGTTCTTTTTTGCTGCTCTATGGATATGTGATAATTTGAAAAATGTAATTTAAACTAAGTTTTTCTTGAAGTTTATTAGAATTACTTTTAAAATAAGCATTTCATGTGTTCTATTATCAGTACAATATCCTATTTAAGTAGCCATTTGTCAAGTGTACATGTAGGTGGTCCGGCCTAGAGTGAGGGAAGCAAGAGTATGAATTCTGGAGGGTTCTTTCATATTTTGCAGGTTAGCAGCAGTTTACTTTGTAATTTTTTAAAATCTATTTTTAAATAATTACAAGAATAGTATGTGCTGGTTGAAAATATTTGAAATAATGCAGAAAGGTATAATAAAAAGAAAGTCCTTCTCCATCTACACCATCCCCTTCTCCCATTCCCTATGCTGGCATGGTTGGCATCTACCAACAAACATGAAGTTACTCTTGCTTTTATCATAGGTAAAGGCATTAAATTAATAACCTGTTAAAGGTGAACTGAAAGGCAGGAATTTTAATCTTACCACCTTATTTATTCTTCAGGTTTTTTTTTTTTTTTTTTTTTTTTCTCTGTTTCATTTTGTTTACCATTTATCATAGGTATGGTCATGGTGATTTTGATGTGACTGTATAAAAAATGAACTAGAGATTATTTTAGGGTTATTTAGTTACTATTAGGCATTGTACATATAATCAAGATCCAGGCTGTTAATATTAAGTTGTATTTAACATACTGTTTGGAGTTCTAATTACAAAGAAAGAATTCTTTGGGTCATCTTTCTTATTTTCTTCCTCCTCCTCCTCCCCCCCCCCCCCCACTTTTTAGAGCTTTTTGTATCTAATAGGCAAAACAGGGCTGTTAGGGAAGGCTTCAGTTTTTAAAATACAAGCTGTTAAACTCCAAAAGGTGTAATACTTAAGTACAAGGGTAAAGAAAGCTCAAGAAGGAATGTGAAGTGGTATACAAAAAGGCTGAGTGGAAAAAATGGCTAAAAATGTTTTGTCATATTCTGTTGAATTCACAAGAGCTAGTAAATTGGGAAAAATTTAAATGTTGTCTGATTCTATCAAAACACTTTCATATGTTGTAAAGTATCCATTTGGGCTTAAAGCCTAACTAAAATTCAAAATTGTTAATACTGAATATGTAATTCTTATGACATTGGTTTCAAAAATAATATTCCTCCCCAAATTTGAATAAAGGAGATAGCTTTAAAATATTAGTTCTACCCGGGCTCGGTGGTTCACACCTGTAATCCTGGCACTTTGGGAGTCCGAGGCAGGTGGATCACTTGAGGTCAGGAGTTCGAGACCAACCTGGCGAACATAGTGAAACCCCACCTCCATTAAAAATACAAAAATTAGCTGAGCATGGTGGCTCATGCCTGTAATCCCAGCTACTCAGGAGGCTGAGGCAGGAGAATTGCTTGAACCTGGGAGGCACAGGTTGCAGTGAGCCAAGATTGCGCCACTGCACTCCAGCCTGGGCAACAGAGTGAGACTCGGTCTCAAAAAAAAAAAAAAAAAAAAGTTCTAGAACAGCATTTCCCAGGCAGATATTCTAATTATTTTAAAATCTCTGGGGAAAAAAATGGGTTCCCTGGCGAGTAAGTTTGTACTTTTGAGTTTCACAATGTACATTTTGTGAAAAATGTTCTTGAATGAATTCATATTTTATCTCAACCATATCTGCTTACATTAGATAATAGTACTGCATGTGTGAGATGTTCACTGTTAATGCCTGCATTTGTATGGATTTCAGGGCCCCTTGTGATAACTTAACTCAGAAGTGGGGACCTGTGACTGTAATGTAGACTATTTAGCATTTAGAATTGCCATACAGGAATATTAGAGATGTCTGAAGTATGTAAAATATTCTCAAGTTTTAATAGTTCCAGCCGTATACTTCTATTACTAAACAGTAATATTTCTTCCCAAATTTGAATAAAGGAGTCATCTTTAAAATATTAGTTCTAGAATAGCATTACCCAAGTAGATATTCTAATTATGTTAAAACCTCTGGGAAAAAAATGGCCTCCATGGTGAATAAGTTTATATTTTCCTTTCGAATTTCACAATGTACATTAGTGTCGTCGTGGTTTTGAGAAATCAAAAAGCTTGCCAAGTGGCCCTACATCATTGACCATAGGGACCTCCTCTCCCCCATCCTCCTTTTCAGGTGGTATATAATAAAACTACACAAGGATGTTGTGGGAAATGCTGTACCAGACAGTACAGTATTCTCTCATCCAGACACAATTTTCCTATTGCAGAAAAGTATTGGTATGATTCTAATCAGCATGGAAAAGATAGACTTGGTGTGTCAATGCACACACCCAAAATGCATGTTGGGATTAACTGTATTCATGCCATAAAAATACTATGTAGACATATTTTATTTTATATGGCTAGCTTTAATTTGTCACTGCATTCTAGTCTCTGTTCTATAATATTTATTATAGGTTAACAAGAATTACTCTGGAAGTAATATTTTTATGTCTATCCAGTAGTTATTTTTGCAAACTAATACAATAGTACAAAAGGCACAGTGTTGAAAGATCTTAATTTTTGAGTGAAACTTACTTAAAAGAAGTCATTTTCCCCCCTGAATCTTAGTGTAAAGGCAGCTGCAGTCTGCTGACAGCTTGTGGTTATGCTCTGATTTACTGGGGAAGGAGGAGGTTGTACTATTTTAAATGCATAATAGAGCATTCGTTTCGTCATCTGGAAGCAGAGATGGAAGAAGCTGGGGGGAAATGAGAGACATCACTGTTGCTTTCGTGGAGGGAAGCTTTGTAGCATGTTATCAGACAGCAGTGCATATTGAAGAAAATATCTGTTAGGAATGCATGTCACCAGATGTATTTTGCTTTCAAGAATGGTAGACACATCAAACAAGAATCAGATAAAAGCCTGAGAAAAAGATGTTCAGAAGAATACTGGAGTTATTCTTTATGCTTCACTGCCCTTTACCTCTCTTGGTACCTTCCAGAGAAACAAGTATAGATGTATTTTTAGCTTGCCGTTTCCAGCATCAATATGACAACATGATTTTGTCTTTATATCAGTAAGCAGCTTCTACTATGTTTTCCTATTTTCTGCTAGCTACAGTTTACAAAGGATGTCACAGCACTGGTAAGAAATGCACAGTAGCCATTTCCTTGCTTTTTAAGTCATGTTTTGTAGAGATTTGTAATAAGCCAATCTATTAAAAACTGTTCACTTTTGCTTAGAGAAATCCCTCTATCGTGTTAATCTTACTAATTTGCAGAATACGTTTGTGATAGATGGTTTGCCATCCTTATTTTTTATTTTTATGTTTGGTTTTCTTTTGTATCCTGTACATAACTGATGCTACAGCGTAATATTTATCTGCATCAGTATATATATATATATATATATATATATATATATATATATATATATATATATATGTTTTTTAAGTATCTCACCCTCTTCCTGTCACTACTACTTTGCTGTTACGTTTGTGGCTGCACTTGAGCTTTGCAAGCTGTCGAATGCAAAGAGCAGGATGTGATGATAGTCTTGAGTTAAGCTTGTTTTGATTAGGGGAAGATGTGTTACCACATCTGTCTCAGATGCTGAACATAGTCCCTGTGTTGCACTGATGAGCTCTGTTTTGTAAAGTCTCTATAGTTGATTTCTGTTATTCTTAAGGCTTTAAAAATATTGCTGAATAATTTTACAAATAGTTGATAAAAAACTATTTAGGCTGCATGCCTGCCTGTTAGTAATAGAGAAATGTCTCCTTATAATAAGTAAAGGAGACCAAATAAATTTGTATGATATACTTTTGCATTAGCTTAAAATAAAAATATAAATTATATACAGAACGATGAGTTACCTTTTTTCATGTTTTTCTGCCTTTATTATATGTGCTTTATTTCTTAAACTTGCATATTATCTTACTTTAAATATTAAAATACTTAGCATGGCTGCTGAAGGTCTTAATTTGTCAAAATGGATTATTCTTAGGGACTCTGTAATGGTTAATTGACAAGATGCTTCAAATAAATTAGACTTAATTTATTATAGTAGTAGTACTTAAAATGCATTTAAGATTTTTAATATTTTCACCTTTTCTCTGGCAAAATACATGAATCTTCCTTTGCTGGGATTTATTTGGCAGCCATTTAACCTGTCAACTGCTGAAACTCAGAAGGCTTGAATGGGGAGAATTTTAGAAGTAATGTGGGTACATCTAATTGGTTGGGTAGAAATTTGATGAGTTTCACATGTTTTGAGCAAAGAGGTGATTGTAATTTGTATGTGTTGCAGATTCTACAGTTTATTTGATTTCTGAGAGACTAGCTCTTTCTAGATTTGTAGAGTACCCTTATGTTGTGTTTGCATGCATGCTATAGTGAATGTCACTCAGGAACGAGGTAGGACATAGATAAAATAGTGCACTGTAAAAATGGAAATTATTATTCTTTTTATGAATTTCCAGTGACACCTTCCTCTCATTTCTATACAGGCATATTCTCAAGATGCCTACCTGAAAGGCAACGAAGCTTATAGCGGCAATGCCCGCAATATACCTGAACCTCCACCAATCTGCTATCCCTGGCTGCCATCTGCCCCATCAGCCATGGCACAGCCAGTTGAAATATCTCCTCCTGACTCATCATTGAGCAAACAGCAAACCAGTACACCAGTACTGACACAACCTGGTAGGGCCTATAGAATGGAAATACAAGTGCCTCCATCACCAACAGATGTTGCAAAATCAAACACAGCAGTGTGTGTTTGCAATGAAAGTGTAAGGACTGTCATTGTGCCTTCTGAGAAGGTTGTAGATTTGTTATCCAATAGAAACAACCATACAGGTCCTTCACATAGAACTGAAGAAGTGAGGTATGGCGTGAGTGAGCAGACCTCTTTAAAAACAGTGTCAAGAACCACATCACCACCATTATCAATTCCCACCACTCATCTAATTCATCAGCCTGCAGGCTCCAGATCACTGGAACCTTCTGGAATTTTACTTAAGTCTGGAAATTACAGTGGACATTCTGATGGAATCTCAAGCAGCAGATCTCAAGCTGTGGAGGCTCCCTCTGTATCTGTTAATCACTATTCGCCAAATTCCCATCAGCACATAGACTGGAAAAACTATAAAACTTACAAAGAGTATATTGATAACAGACGATTGCACATAGGTTGTCGGACAATACAAGAAAGATTAGATAGTTTAAGAGCAGCATCTCAAAGCACGACAGATTATAACCAGGTCGTCCCCAACCGCACTACTTTGCAGGGACGACGTCGAAGCACCTCTCATGATCGAGTGCCCCAGTCTGTCCAGATACGGCAACGCAGTGTGTCCCAAGAAAGACTGGAAGATTCTGTGCTAATGAAGTATTGTCCAAGAAGTGCATCTCAAGGAGCACTGACGTCTCCATCTGTTAGTTTTAGTAATCATAGAACTCGTTCATGGGATTATATTGAGGGACAGGATGAAACCTTAGAAAATGTCAATTCTGGAACTCCAATACCTGATTCCAATGGAGAGAAAAAACAGACTTACAAGTGGAGTGGGTTTACTGAACAGGATGATAGACGAGGTATTTGTGAAAGACCTAGGCAGCAAGAAATTCATAAATCTTTTCGAGGTTCCAATTTTACTGTGGCTCCAAGCGTTGTTAATTCTGATAACAGGCGAATGAGTGGTAGAGGAGTGGGATCTGTGTCGCAGTTTAAAAAAATTCCACCAGATCTAAAAACATTGCAGTCAAACAGAAATTTTCAGACTACTTGTGGAATGTCACTGCCTCGGGGTATTTCACAAGACAGGTCACCTCTTGTGAAAGTCCGAAGTAATTCTCTGAAAGCTCCTTCCACGCATGTCACAAAACCATCATTTAGCCAGAAATCATTTGTTTCTATCAAAGACCAAAGACCAGTAAATCACTTGCATCAGAACAGTCTGTTGAATCAGCAGACATGGGTAAGGACTGACAGTGCCCCCGATCAGCAAGTGGAGACTGGGAAATCCCCCTCTTTATCTGGAGCCTCTGCCAAGCCTGCCCCTCAGTCGAGTGAAAACGCTGGTACTTCAGATTTAGAACTACCTGTCAGTCAAAGGAATCAAGATTTAAGTTTACAAGAGGCTGAAACTGAGCAATCAGATACTTTAGATAATAAAGAAGCTGTCATCCTAAGGGAAAAACCTCCATCTGGACGCCAGACACCGCAGCCTTTAAGGCATCAGTCTTACATCTTGGCAGTAAATGACCAGGAGACCGGGTCAGACACTACCTGCTGGCTGCCCAATGATGCACGTCGAGAGGTCCACATAAAAAGAATGGAGGAAAGAAAAGCCTCGAGTACCAGTCCGCCTGGCGATTCTTTGGCTTCCATCCCATTTATAGGTGAGCTCATTTAGAGTCATTGGCTAATATGCCAAATGTATAAGAAATCTTTCCAGAAAAGTATTATTTCTAGTTCAATAGGCATAGAAGTCTTACACTGTGATTTTAAAATGTTTCTAGTGAATCTCATAAGCTGTGCTTCAACCAGAGCTTTCACAAACCTCTTTAAAAGTTATTTCTAGTACCAATTTTCCTTTTTTTAAAAAAAAAACAAAAACTTCATGTACCTAGTACCCATTTCAAATTTTTATTTTGATGAAACAAATTCCTGAGATTAAGGAAATCAGCGAAGCAAATTATACCTAATTGTTGATTCAGGTGAATGAAAAACCAAGTGGAACAGTTTTGATAATTAGTTACCAACCTTTCATTTAAACAGTGCTTTTACTTTCTAAAACATATTTCTTTGTAAATTTAACGTGTACTGAGAGAAAAGACCTCTTCATTGTCAAGTTAGTTTGCCATACTATAAATCCTGGAACAGATTTAGAGAAGTTACTTAAATTATAAGCGTGTGCCACAGTTGCCGGCACCTGTCCTGTTGAGTCTTCTGTCTGCTCCCTCCCACCCCAGATCTGTTCTCCATACAGCAGCCAGTGTGATGTTTTTAAAAATGTCAATTAGATCACACCACTCCTCTGTGCAGAACCCTCTGTTTCCTTCCCATTCATCTCACCCAAAATAGCATGCAAAATCCTCCCGTGATCTGAAAGGCCCTCCATGGTCTGCCTCACAACTCCCTCTCTGATGGTGTCAGAGAGATCCTACTTCGTGATCTCCTATCACAATCTTCCATGTGCATCCCATCTGCAGCCTCACCAGCCTCCTTGCTGTCAGGTGTGTGTTGCTACAGGGACAGGTACAGCTGGTTTCTAACCCTGGTATACATTCCACAGATAGTTAACAAGCCTCTGTCTTCCTCATGACATTTGGGTCTCTGCTCAAAGATCTTATCCAAGCAGGCTTTGTGACTCACCTATCTAAAACAGGTATCCCACGCACAGACACAGAAACGGACATTCTCTTCCCTTAAGCTTTTTTATTTATCTTCGTATTACTGTTTCCACTTGACATGTTTTGTTTTTTTGTTACATGTTTCTCAGTAGAACTAAAACATAAACTACATGAGAGCAGAGATTTAAAATCTTTGGTTCACTTTTGTGTCCCTAATGCCTAGAACACTGCGTGGCACATAAAGAATTCACTCAGTAAGTATTTGTTGAGATAATGGCTGAAAGACAATTTTGAAATGCTGGTTAAATGTATAGCACAACAATACAGTTCTCATCATGACTGTGCAGCTCTAAAACATCATCTGCTAACAGGTGATGACTTATGTCCTTAATATTATCTTCATTTTATAAGTGAGAAATTTAAGGTATAGAGAGGCTAAATAACATCTCTAAAATCGCATAGTAAGTGATAAGAGACAGGGTCTCTAGGTTTGCCTCATTCAGCCTCGTCCCAGAGCACAGCTCCAGGGAGCACGCCATTTATATGGAATGCCTGTGAAGAGCGCCCCCTGGAGGCATGCGATGCAGGGGCTTTTTTCCTTCTCTTTTTGCCACCAACCAAGGCCATACTTGTAGTCCCCCTGGTGTCCCATGGGTTTATGAAAAGAGTTCTCCATCATTTTACAATATAATATGCTTCTCTTTGAGTACTAGTTGAGTTTTTCTTTTCTACGGGAACATTTTTAAAGCTGTTGAGGACTGTTGTTTCTTTTCTACGGAAACATTTTTAAAGCTATCAATTGTAAAGCTATTGATAGCTTTAAAAATGTTTCTTGAGAAAACACTTAATTGGATAGGTGACACTAAAAGCTTTTTTAAAAAGTTCCACACAGCTTATGTTTTTTTTTATAAATCGGATATATTCAAGTTGTCAACATTGTGGGGAATCTCAACCTAAATTGTACCCATATTCATATCTATACCCCTAAGGCCAAGCTCAGCAAATAGTAGACTCCTGTTGTAGATGGAATCTTATACATCATCTAGAATAGATATTTTATAGAAGGCAACTGATGACGAATGATTGTTTTATGAAGTTTTAAAATGTAAAAAAATCTTACAACCTGTGGCTGTTTCACAGGCCCATGCGATCTTATCAGAACAGTGGCATCATATTTTCTTCCTACATAATAACAACAATATAATCAGATTACATTGGAGTAGTAAAAAAATGTGCTGGATATATCTGTTAATATTTCTTCCTAGTTATGAAGTATAGAAATAAAACAATTATGTTATTAAAGAGAAGATTTTGGCTAAAATAGAAAATAAAGATCTGTATAATTCTATATACATATAGATTGATGTAAATAAATAATTTTATTTACTAAGAATAAAAGTACTCTCTAATTAGTTCCTATCTTATTTGACTTTCGCCCTCCTTCCCCCGCTGCTCACCTTCTGCTGTGCGGCCCAGCTCCTAACCGGCCATGGACCAGTACCAGTCTGCAGCGCAGGAGTTGAGGACCCCTGCTATATACTAAGGTTGCAGGAGGCATACAGGCATACAAAACAAAATGAATACATTTTGTTTTTAAATTTGGAATATTACTCATTAACAGTATTTTGTTTACTGTTCCCACCCCCCACTTTATAAAGCTGCATAGTAAGTCCTGAAAATAAATTTCAACTTCTTTTATAAGTAAACACAAACCTCAACAATGTGAGCTGTTCATGAGTAATCTCACGGTGAATAGCAGATATTACAATGTGTTCTAAAATCCTGACTTCCTACACTTCTCTAATTTATACCACTCATTACTAGTAATACAAAAATGCTACGACTGTTACCTACACTCAGGGTTTCATCTTAACTTTCTTTCTCCATAGTTTTGTCATATCTCTTAAGACTCCTCCTCCATCTTACCCCAACATTGGCTGCGTGTGTGCTCAGTTGAGGGTTAGCCCTAAGTTAAATTGAATTTGATGGTCACAGCCTTATTGGCACTGCCATATCAAGATGATTTAGAAGTGTTAGATTTGGTAAGATATAGCTGGATTACATTGTCCATACAGGGGAACTTAGCTCCCTGAAATTTACCCAAAGGGAAGAGGTGACCATTCCCTATACCCAGTTTCTCCCTTTGGGAGCTCTGGGCTCAGTGCCAGTGGTGATATGACAGGACGATGCAATGAGCACCCAGCCCTTCTTTAATACTAATTCAGGCTGAGTCTTAGCAAATAGTCTGTTTATAAAGAGAAATCATATACTTTATCATCTTACATCTTTTATAAAGAGAAATCATGTACTTATCATCTTTATATGTCTTTTTCATATATTGGCTTTTCCCAAAAATGTGATGCCATTGGTACTTAAGCTTAGAGATTTTTGCTTCCACTATTTGAGTAACGATGTGAGGTAATTTAAAAAATAATAAAATAGTCCGGGTGCAGTGGCTTGCGCCCGTAATCCCAGCACTTTGGGAGGCTGAGGCAGTCAGATCACTTGAGGTTGGGAGTTCAAGACCAGCCTGGCCAACACAGTGAAACTCCATCTCTACAAAAAAAAATACAAAAATATTAGCTGGGCGTGGTGGGGTGCCTGTGAGCCCAGCTACTTGGGAGGCGGAGGCAGGAGAATTGCTTGAACCTGGGAAGCAGAGGTTGCAAAGAGCTGAGATCGTACCACTGCACTCCAGCCTGGGCGACAGAATAGTGAGACTCCACTCAAAAAATAAAATAAAATAATAAAATAACAAAAACTTATGCCGTGCTTTATAATCTACCACATACTTTATAATGTACCAGTCCTTACCATAACCCAGTGGGGAATTTATGGCAGAATTAATAACCCGTTTTATGGATAAGGAAAGTTAAGTACTTTGCTGAAGCTCTCTCAGAGAACTGACAGAGCCGATTGCCTGTTGGCTGCAAATTTCATATTCTTTGGACAGTGCCTCAAAATGAGCAAAAATTTAAATCTTGGATTTTACTTTTTTAAATCTTAGCTTGAAAAATCATTCTAAGTTTTATGCCGACTATTATTAGCTCAGATCACCCAGGTTTGAATTGGCATCTCTTCCCCATGCTTTTGTCATATCTCTAAGACTTCTCCTCCTCCCTCTTACCCCAACGTTGGCTGTATGTGTGCTCAGTGAGGGTTAGCCTAAGCTAAATTGAATTTGATGGTCATAGCCTTAACGGCACTGCCATATCCAGATGGTTTAGAAGTGTCGAGTTCGTTAACAAAAATGTTCCACCAATAAATAATTTTAGATGCTCTTTTATCTTTTCTTTGATAGTAGCATTAGTTTTTTTTGTTTGTTTTTGAGACGGAATTTCACTTTCGTTGCCTAAACTGGAGTGCAATGACACGATCTCAGCTCACTGCAACCTCCGCCTCCCGGGTTCAAGTGATTCTCCTGCCTCAGCCTCCCGAGTAGCTGGGATTACAGGTGTGCACCACCATGCCCAGCTAATTTTTTGTATTTTTAGTAGAAACGGGGTTTCACCATGTTAGCCAGACTGATCTCACAAACTCCTGACCTCAGGTGATCCGTCCCCCTCAGCCTCCCAAAGTGCTGGGATTACAGGTATGAGCCACCGCACCTGGCCACATTAACTTTTATTCTGAAACACTTTAAATTTCTTTGTAGCACACTTTATAGATTGCTATGCTTATTTATTTAGGGAAATACGTTTTTTTTAAAACCTAGCCGCATTTTTTTTTTTTTTTTGAGATGGAGTCTCACTCTGTCACCCAGCCTGGAGTGCAGTGGCATGATCTCGGCTCACTGCAACCTCTGCCTTCCAGGTTCAAGCGATTCTCCCACCTCAGTCTCCCAAGTAGCTGGGATTACAGGCGTGTGCCACCACACCCGGCTAATTTTTGTATTTTTAGTAGAAACGGGGTTTCACCATGTTGGCCAAGCTGGTCTCGAACTCCTGATCCGCCTGCCTCAACCTCCCAAAGTGCTGGAATTACAGGCGTGAGCCACTGTGCCCTCCCAAAACCTAGCTCTTATAAACTATGAAATTGTTTCACTAAAGTAGACTTTGGAGCCTTTTCACCTAGTTCCTTTAATGTTGAAAATAGACCCAAATCTCAAAAGCCCCCTAACAAATGCCTGGTTTATAAAAACCTAAAAATGTTTTATATGTTTACATAAATTAAATAGATAATTCCACCCCTTTAGTGGATTCGTAATTGTAGGCCTTTTGAACTAGAATTGGCCCTTCTCACTACCCAAGTCCAACTTCTTTATTTTATAGGTAGTGAATGTAATATCCAGAAAAGTTAAGTGGCTTTTGCAAAATCGAACACACCAGGTCTCTTGACCTCCCTACTCAGTCATCCACATTTCTACTCCCTTGCTGCTTTTCTGTGTACTAGAATTGAGAATTAATAATTTTCAAGATAGATTAGTGAAATTGGTGAGCTGATATTTATTAAATTTCTAAGTAAATGTTGAATTTGTTGAAATTGTTACAGCATGTCAGCTGGCAAGCTGGATCATTTTTCATACACACACGCTTGTACACTGGCCCATGGACACACACCCTCACCCCCAGATCTTAAGAGTTCAGTTAACTTGTTTGATCTATGGGACTGCAAAGATTCAGCCAAGTAATTGTAACCTGTTAACCGTGGCAAATCTAGAAGTGATCCTTCCACTTGCCCTTTGTAAAATTAGAGCCCTTGCTGTGCTGACCTGGTGCATGCTTTCTTGTAGATGAGCTGACCATGATATTGTGCACATCCCTGCTTTTGCTCTGATTTTGTCACCTCCCTTTCAAATACCTACTTCACAGTAGTTCCTCTTGGATTTACAACTCCACTCCCTCATCGTCAGCACTGACTGCCATCTTGCCATGGCAAACGTGAATAGGGAATTTATTCAAAATACTCTCCCCTTCCTAACCACTGTAAAACCATTTCTATCTAATAGGGAGATACAGCATTGACCTTTTGGTTATTAAGATAACCAAATCTCCAGATGACTTTGAAGAAGCTGAATGTTAATTTAAATCCATGTTCACAGAACTGACCATTAAAGAAACTTGGTCTTAATTAGAAAATTGAATTCCAGTTACGATAATTAGCTTAATTATTGTAAAAATTGGGAATATTTGAACTAGGTGATGGGCACCCATCACCAGTTCATATAAAACAGGACTTATTGCTTCAAAATTTTTATTTATAATTAGTGAAAAATGTTTAGTGAGCCTACTCAAGGTCTGTTGCTGGGTCAAAGATGAGAAGGCCATGTGAATATATTAGCATCATTTTTAAACATTCTTTCTCCAGGCCTTTTAAATATAATGTAAATGGAGTTGCTCCAGCATGCCATTTTTATCAGCTCTTGTACCTGATGTTCAGTAATTGGTATTAATGGGGCTCATTTAAATTTGCCTAGGGAGTTCAATTTTTTAGGATGTCTTTATTTCATTGGGCTTAACTCTGATTAAAAAAAAAAGTGGCATTGCCAAAGATTAATACATTATTACTTGAAAGAAGGAGCTTATGCTTGACTATTAATAAGATCATTTAACTTTAGCCGTTCACCTCCTTTGATTTAAATTGAGTGTATATCTCAGAAGGCAAATAAAAAGAAAGGATATTTGTCACATTTGAATTTATTTATTTATTTATTTATTTATTTTTGAAACAGAGTCTTGCTCTGTTGCCCAGGCTGGAGTGCAGCAGCCTGATCTCGGCTCACTGCAAGCTCTGCCTCCCGGGTTCATGCCATTCTCCTGCCTCAGCCTCCCGAGTAGCTGGGACTATAGGCGTCCGCCACCACACCTGGCTAATTTTTTTGTATTTTTAGTAGAGACGGGGTTTCACCGTATTAACCAGGATGGTCTTGATCTCCTGACCTCGTGATCCGCCCGCCTTGGCCTCCCAAAGTGCTGGGATTACAGGCGTGAGCCACCACACCTGGCCTGAATTTATTTTTAAGACACAGAATCCATTAGCAATATTTCCTCTCCTTTTCCCTAAGGATGAGGAAAAATCAAGATTTTAAGCGTATTTTGCTTGAGGTATGTCCCTTCTGGTAGGAGTTGGAACAGAAACAGCTTATTCAATTTCCATATTTTGGTAAAAAGATATATACATGCTGTTGCTGTTTTGGAACCACATATATAATTTTAGGTTAGTTGCCATTTCTTTCAACTTATACAAATTTACCCCTCTTTTTGCAATATATAGTTTACTCTGTCATTGAAATAAGTAATAGTGTTAATATTCCTTCAATTATTATGCTGTAATTTGGGGAGGGGTTAGGAATACTACTTCGTAGCAGAGGTGAAATAAAAAGCAGAATTATGTCAGGGAACTGATTATTCTGCCATGGTCTATGCTGAAAATTCTGATAATTTCACTGAGTTACATAAAATTATTGTCAACTATAATCATAAAATATAAAGTACATTAATTATATGCTTCTTTGTAATTATGGTCAGCTGTGAGAAACGTGCCTCATAACTCAGCTCACCTTAGAAGGGACTTTTTTTTGCTCTGTGCCCTAACCTGTAACAGTGGACATTGGGTGTTATGAGAAGACATGCACATTTGTCAGGGTGCTAGAAATGCATTGCCCTCCACATTTATGTTCATCATAATTCTCTTGGTTACAGGGACAGGGCAATTATTTCAAATTAGCTCCTGCCAAGAAGTAATGTTAGCTCACAGGGAAGAACTTCTGTGGTAGACCTGGTTCCATGCATGCCTGGATCCAGATACCCAAGTAATGACATCAAGAGTGAGTTTTTCTTTTTCCTTTTTTTTTTCCTTCTTTTTTCTTTTTTGACATAGAGTCTTGCTCTGTTGCCCAGGCTGGAGTCGGGCAGTGGCGCAATCTCGCTTCACTGCAGCCTCCACCTCCCAGGTTCAAGCGATTCTCCTGCCTCAACCTCCTGAGTAGCTGGGATTACCAGTGTGTGCCACCATGCCCAGCTAATTTTTGTATTTTTAGTAGAGATGGAGCTTCACCATGTTGGCCAGGCTGGTCTCGAACTCCTGACTTCAAGTGATCATCCCACCTTGGCCTCCCAAACTGCTAGGATTACAGGCATGAGCCACCGCGCCTGGCCTGTGAGTCTTTTTTCGTTTTGCTTTCTTCATTCTCAGATTCTTTTTCTCCACATAGTAGAAAAGGTGGCCGTTGGTGACAACTCAACAGTTTACTGATTTCTACAGTTTTTGTTCTCCAAGGATAAGAAGAGAAAGTCCATAGTTTTCTCACTGTCCATGTATTGAATCCTAGAGATACTATTAATATAAGGGGCCCTGACTGCGTGGTTCTCGCCCCTTGGCCAGTCTCTGTGGATTGAGAGGGATAGGCCCTATGGTTGGTCAGGCCTAGATCATGCCCGCCCACAGGAGGGCCAGCCGCTCCTGTGAATCCCACTGAACCTCTGGGATAGACAAGCATAGACACTCTCTGTAGTTATCTTGCGGAACACGAAGAGGAACAAATAGGATGAGAACATCTTAAAGTGAAAATACTTGTCAGTTTATGAGATGAAAAAACAGTTATAAATCACTGTTTCATCTTGCTTTTATTTGATCATTTCAGTAATAGGTTTTTACCAGTATTTTTTACATTTTTATTTGGCTTTTGTATTTCTTCCATGAGTTGTCTTTTCATGTGTTTCGCTCTTTCCACTGTGATTTTAGTGGTCCTTACTTATAAGAACTCTTCATATAGGAGGGCTTCCCTTCTTTCATGCTTTGATATCTGAGAAATTATTATGTAACATGTATGAATTTTCACAATATGAAATCTTTAAGATGTTTTTCTAAAATATTAATTGATAAGCAATAAACAGTGAAAGTTTCCTATTCAGATACGAATAATAAATAGAAACATAATTTGAAATACTCTCCATTTGGAAAAAATCCAAATTGAATAATGGAGTAGATTTTATCTGTGAGGATTATTTACTTTTGGAAAACATTGTTTTCCAAAGCAAAATTTTTGGATATATAGGCCTGTATTTTTTTTTACATGTTAAGGAACAGTAGCCACATTGAATTTTGATGTGTAGCAACTTAGGTGTCCTTCACCGTTCTTTTTATTATAAAGAGCTCTGGGTCTTTTAGTGAAGAAAGTAAATGAAGACTTTTTTTTTTTTTTTTTGTGACAGAGTCCTCTGTTGTCCAGGCTGGAGTGCAGTGGCATGATCTCAGCTTACTGCAGCTCCGCCTCCCGGGTTCAAGCGATTCTCCTGCCTCAGCTTCCCGAGTAGCTGGGACTACAGGCGCGCACCACCATGCCCAGCTAATTTTTGTATTTTTGGTAGAGACAGGGTTTTGCCATGTTGGCCAGGCTGGTCTCGAACTCCTGACCTCAGGTGATCCACCCGTCTTGGCCTCCCAAAGTGCTGAGATCACAGGCGTGGGCACCACGCCTGTCCAAGACCTCGTTTCTTAAGTCAGTTCTTTGATTACGTAGTTTAACACGAATGTTTATGCCACTTAATAAATCTGTAACCCCAGTAGTTCATAAGTATGTTTTGAATGCATTATTTAATGTCTTAATGTAGTATGTGATATGCCTAGGATAAAGATGATTGATTTTCATCTAACAGAATATTTTATTTAAAAATTTAGAAGTCATTTGAAAGTGTGACAGCATGATGCTTTTGAATATATTTGTATATGAGATGAAAAATTTTTGTTTTCCGTTTGGTCAACTAAATAATATGTATTTTTCTACATTGGAAAATAAGATAAATTGGAATTATTCTTGTTTTTACATAATATGCACATTGGTAATAATTAAAGTGTATGTGAAAAGTAGAGTTTTTGAATTTGGATTATTCCTAACGAACACAGTATTTTTAAACCGGTAGAAAAGTCTTTATATTTTCAAAGGGAATCAAGAATTGGATTAGTATAGTCTGTAAATGTGAGGTAATGTAATTGTGTTTACTTTAAAAGTATGTTTAGCTTTTCCTTTTCTCCTTTTAACATACCAGTAAAAGGAATTTATTATAAAGAATGCAACAATACTGAAATGAGTAAGCCCAATGTTAGTCTCTTCTCCCACGCCTTCTCCATTCAGTCCTCCTTTAGAACAGGTGAGTATCTATCCTCCCACCTGTTTTTGCAGACATATCTAAAACTGATTATTTTAATCCAGTGTGTTTCAGAAATGTTCTCCAAAATATAGTAAGTTGGAAGAGATTGAATGAATACCATCAGGAAATCCAGGGACACAAAATTTGAAAATTGTATTTAATGCTTTGCAATAATGCTTAATCCATGCACAATTTGAATTTCACTCTCTTTAGTTTTGCAAGGCATAAAATCATTCTCCTCAAAGATTTATCCCAGTATAATTAAAGATGTATTCATACTGCATGAGTCAGATACTTTTTGAAGAATACAGTGTATTCCTCTTCACATCAGTATTCATTAATCTGTAACAGAATTATGGATCAGCAGACTCTATAAAACCAGGCTGCTTTATATGATGTATCATTTGAAGAAACTTTGTTAAACATGTGCAATTTAAATATCAAAATCAGTTTTAAATACTACAAGTTTTAGTGAAATTAAATTGTTATCCTCATTGAATTTTTAAAACTTCAGTTATCTTCTTGCTTTTGGAAAAAGAATTACTGCATTCTTACTGACATAATAGTAAACTGTCGTATACTTAGTAAAAAGTGGTGCATAGAGAAATTTTCAAAATGTCTTCTCTTCCTAAAATGTAAAGAGCTGCTTTTAAAGAAAGTTGTAAAAACAGAAAATAAGCTAAACACAGTTAGAATTTACTGATTTTGGCCATAAAATGGAAATGTTATATTTTTGTAACATTATCAGTCCTCTTGATTAAAATCCTGATAATATGGTACAGCATCCTTAGAATTTAATCAAAATTAAAATAGCTGGACCTTTTAAATCCAGGCATCAAAATCCTGGTTTATCATTGTAGTATATTCTTTAACAGGTTTTATTCTGGGGCATTTAATTTTAAGGATTATCGTTCCAGCATCCTATTGAATTACATTTCTTGGCCTCAAGTATTAGAATTTAAATCACTGATGTTTTTATAAGAGTAAGAATTTTGTGCAAATGGCCCTGGAAACTTATTTTGGAAGCTAGAGACTGGACTTTGTCTTTTCAAAAATTGAGATACACTTGTGTAGGGATGAGGCGGGGATACGGTTTTAGGAATTAATGCTTTGAAAACTGAGCCTCAGCCAATCACCTTAATTTCCTGAAGTGATAATCTGTGGTACATTTAAAATTTGAAAAGTAATTCTTTCAGGGTGTTACATGATTATTGCTCTGGTTTGATGGGTTTAGGTTCGAGGTACCTATAAACTTTAGTACCTTGACAATCAGTTAGTGAAGGCATTAATTGGTTGGTAGAGCAGCTCATTTAATTTCTTACACCATATTCTCAGAATTATTTAGAATTACTAGAGTAATAACTGTAAATCAATTTTTAGCAGACTGAATAGGTCATTTAGTGATGTGCTTTGGTGGTGAAGTGTTAAAATCCTTATCTGACCCCCTTAATAATGATTATTGACTGAGTTTTATTATTAATAACAATTAGGTCATTGAACATTCTGATTTTCCTTTTTTCTTACAGATGAACCAACTAGCCCTAGCATTGATCATGATATTGCACATATCCCTGCCTCTGCTGTTATATCAGCCTCTACCTCTCAGGTCCCCTCCATAGCAACAGTTCCTCCTTGCCTCACAACTTCAGCTCCATTAATTCGCCGTCAGCTCTCACATGACCACGGTACGTCTAAAGGGTGGTTTTGTAAACCGTATCTCATGCTCTGTTTTCCACTTAGAATAGTATGATAAACTGATGTTTCCACCGTTAAAAGAATCTGGGAACCACTTGTGAATGTCTAAATATTGGATTTTAATTAATTACAGAATCTGTTGGCCCTCCTAGCCTGGATGCTCAGCCCAACTCAAAGACAGAAAGATCAAAATCATATGATGAGGGTCTGGATGATTACAGAGAAGATGCAAAATTGTAAGTCTCGGGTGTATTATTTTAAATATTTGTATGTGGGTGGGTGTTCAGCATGACCTTGACACATAAGTTCAGAATTTAATGATGTCTTATGTTTTCTAACTTTGACATTAGAAATGCAAATAAATAAAGTTGTTAATGGTAACATTAAATTGAATTTTAAAAATCAGTAACACACAAACATGGTAGAAAAATATGTTAAATACTCTCATCCTAGAAACTGCAGCCATTCAGTACTATTCAGACATAATATGTTACTGTTTTCTTTTGTGTAATTCTAGAGCTATTCTATACATAAAATCATATGTACACTACCTAAATATGCATATATGTGTGTGTACTGTATTCTAATTATTTTTACAAACAAATGACACATGGTATAGACACTGATCTTAGAGATCCTTAAATGCATATAGTCCTGGCTCATGCTGTTTCATGATTTTTTAATTTTCCATTGAATAGTTTATACCATAATATACTTAACCAATACTCTATATTAATAGACATTTATATTGATCAAATCTTATGCTATCACAAATACTTCATTGACTATATTGTACAGAGTTCGGTTAGCACATGTGAATAAATATAATCGAAAACAGGATTCTTACATCAAAGGGTATGTCTATTTTTATTTATTTTAAAAATTTATTTATTTTTGAGACATTTTGCTCTTGTTGCCCAGGCTGGAGTGCAATGGTGCGATCTCGGCTCACTGCAGCCTCCACCTCCCGGGTTCAAGCGATTCTCCTGCGTCAGCCTCCCAAGTAGCTGGGATTACAGACATGTGCCACCTAAGTTTGTATCTTAGTAGAGACCGGGTTTCACCATGTTGGTCAGGCTGGTCTCAAACTCCTGATCTCAGGTGATCCACCCACCTCGGCCTGCCATATTTTTAATTTTAATATCTATTGTTAATTGCTGTCCATAAAAATTATACCAAACCACATTCCCACCAACAATATAGAAAAGCCTCTGCTGTTACACTCTAACACAGTGTATTGTTTGATACATATATTTTTAATTATTATAATGGCATATTGCAGTTTTAATTTGACACTTAGCAGTTGAACACCATTTCGTATATTTAAGATATTTATATTTTTCTGTGAACTGATTTTTTATATTTTTTGACTATTTTCTATGGATTCTTCTGACTTCTGCATCCTTTTTATATAAAGAAAGCTAACATTTTTCTGTGATGTGTTGCAAGTCTTTCCTAATTCAATATTTTTCATTTTTTTTAAACCATGCAAAAATATTTAAAATTTTTTCTGTGGCTAAATTTAGGAAATATTTGTGGACTTTGAATTTTGAGTCATATTGTATCAAAAAATTCTGTCACTACTCCAGAATTATAACAAAATTTATGTTTACTTTTTATTTTTTTGTAAACTTTGACTCATCTGGAATTAATTTATTCAAATTAGATAAAGAGACAACTTTACATTTTCTAATATCTCTATTGTCCCAAAAGTACCTGTTGAATGTCATCCTTTTCCCACCGATGATACATCATCTTTATTATATACTAAGTCATATGTATTTAATTTTATTGTGGGGCTCTATTCTATTCAGTTGATTTATCTGTGTATTAATGTACACGAGGTTCTATTAATTATGGTAGTTTTATAATGTCTGTCTTACCTGGTAAGGCTATTATTTTATGTTTTTTCAGAATTCTCCTGGCTATTTTTATTTTAGTATTTGAACCTTAAAATCAGATTTTCTAGTTCTTGAATTCTTATGTACATTTTCATTGATACAATGATTAATTTATAAATTAACTTGGGGAGTACTCACATCTTTATGATACTGAACCTTATGTTAAAGAACTATTTGTCTTTTTTGTTATCTTTGCATACAGTCCTCTGAGGGTTCCATTTGGTTATTCTTTATATTCCAATAAAAGTAGTTCTTTCTGGAGCAGCTACTTGAGGGAGGTTTGTGTGAGGCTAGCAGGGCTTGCTTCCAGGGTAGCAGGAATTTTCCTAAAGATACAGGGTTGGATTTGTGAGCTATTTTAGCCTTTATTTCTTCCTCATTATAAGGTATCAAAAACTGCCGTTATTTCAGAGTCTACTGCACCCTACACCAACTACACACTGTTTCCTGCAAAGATGGCAGGACTGTATGTTTCCTCATTCTCCTCTGATACTCCATGGTAACAAATGAGGCTCCTGTCACCAGCTTCAGCACACTATTTTCCATTGTTCCAAACAAGGGATGGGTTGGTTTCAATCTCTCAGAAATCAATGTAGTGCAGTTTTGAGATCTGCAAGTGATCGGTGCCCTGTTCTTTCTTCCCGTATCCATTGTTTACTTCACTGCAGTTAGCCACCCTTCTTTGTATGGTATAGTTCAGAGTTACAGTGTCTTCTGATATGGTTGAAGATTGAGTTTGCATATCTTTCTGATTACATTGTTGTTTGAGGGGGAGGTTTCTGAGAGGAGAAAACAGTGACACCTTTAGTAACATCTTAAAACTCTAAGTTTCTTAAATGAATTTTGAGTTTAAAAAAAGTTTATTGTCCCTTAATAAAAGTTAAATTATTTTCGATTACTTTAACATGAACCTGTCTCCTGAAGCTCTAAGCCTGTTCAGTGGCAACAGTTGTCCTTCTTTTTGAAAGCAGTCATAATGTGGTTAGAGTAGAAGAGTGAAGGGCCAGGACTGTCTGTAACTGTGCCCTCCCTGCCACATTTCCAGTTCAGGGTATCCACCAGCAGGATGAGTGGAGATGACAGGGAGCATCTCCCTGAAGCTGGCTGCTAATGGCAACTGCTTACTGATCATAATTAACATCATGGAAATCCTTAATATAGCATTGCAGCTACAGTTAACTAATAACATAAAACCCAGTGTTCAGCCTGAGTAGCTTTTTCTTTGATAAAAAAAAGAAAATCCCACACTTCAAGCAGAAACAATTTTAATTTACCAGATCAATTAAGAAAGTTTTAATTATTAGGTGGAACATTTTTTATAAAATTAGCTTTTTTTCTCTTCCATTGAATAGTGGACATTTAACATGATAATGATGAAATGTCAGATTATTATTGAAAGAGTAATTGTAATATTCAAATTATTCTTACATCTTTAAGATTTTTTTTGCACTAATTGAAAATATTTATATATTTTTTCCCCAACAGGTCCTTTAAGCACGTATCTAGTCTGAAGGGAATCAAGGTTGGTATTAGAGTGTTTCTACTTACCTTAGTTTATCTCTTCATAGAGAAGTACTTCTTTTACCCAGTAGACATTTAATATTTAAATATTATAATCTTTTATTCTGTAAGTATGTAATACTTGATACACATTGTGCTGATTTTTCTGACTTTATCAGTTCAAGGCCCAGCAGTCCTAACTGCCCAGCAGCCCTTTTTGTATTTTGTTGTATGCTTTTCTATCCTGGAAATTATTTTGTGGCTTCCCCCCAACACCCCCCACCCCACCCCTGTTCTCTTTCTTCTCCCTCCCCTCATACTTCCCTGAAAACATAGAAACTATTAGACAGGAATTTCCTTATTTATCATCCCCAAAAATATCAGTTTCCTGCCTTTTTCAACCTCCACCTCCCGGGTTCAAGCGATTCTCCTGCCTCAGCCTCCCAAGTAGCTTGAGATTACAGGCGCCTGCCATGCCTGGCTAATTTTTGTATTTTTAGTAGAGATGGGGTTTTGCCATGTTGGCCAGGCTGGTCTCGAACTCCTGACCTCAGGTGATCTGCCCGCCTTGGCCTCCCAAAGTGCTGGGATTACAGGTGTGAGCCACCATCCCCAGCCAGTCCCCTGCCTTTATACCCACACTTGCTGCCTTCCTTATTCTTACCATAAATATTGCTGTGCTTGTACCATTATCCTATTAAAAACCAACCCCCACACTTCTTCGGATTCTCTTGCCTCTCACTTCCTCGGTGCCCTTCTGCACAGTCACCATTTTTCCAGTGACTCATTCACTCACTGTTGTCTGCACCCATGTTCTATTTCCTACATTAAAATAGAAACCTTCCTGGAATCCACATCCTGCTTTATTCACTACTCCTTTTCACAGCAGAACCCCTTGAAAAAACTATAGTTTCTACTTCTTCTCAGCCCACACACATCAGAACAACACTGACATTCAGGTTCCAAAACTAATGGTTAACCTTGGTTTTTAACTTCCTAGAGCCCTCGCTGGTATTCAACACAATTTCTGGCTCCCTTCCTGAAACACTTTCTTCTGCTGGCTTCCATCTTGCCACACTTTCTTGCTCTTCCTTCTAACTGAAAGACTACTTCTCCATCCCCTCTGCAGGCTCTTTTGCTCCACCTGATATTTAAATGTTGGAATGCCTAGAGTTGTTCTGACCCTTCTTTATCTACCCCGATTTCCTCAGTGATCTTATGCAGAGGTCTCCCAAAGTTTACATGGCTATCCTTGACCTCCTTCCTGAACTGCAGCTGGTGTCAGCTGCCGTCACTTGGATGTTTAATCAGCAACTCAAGGTTTACGTGATGATTAGACCGCAGTTACCCCCAGACTTCCTTATCCCTTAGTTTTCCCCATCTCATTAAGTTCACTTCCATTCACCTTCTTGATGAAGCCAAGTATTTCAGAACTAGCCTTGTTTCTTCTTTTTCACTTTCCCCCATATCAATTCCAGACTACCCTGAATCTTCCCGTCTTCACCTATACTACTTAAATCCAAGCTGCCGTCATCTTTCACCTGGATTCCTATAGTCACAGCTCTTTTCACGCGTGTCCCTTTAGAATCCACTCTTGACAGAGTACTCAGAGTGAGCTTTGAACTGGGTGATCAGTTACTCCCCCGATTCATCACTTAATGCTTCTTTCACACTTCCTACCATGGCCTAGAAGACCCTTAATGACCTAGAATTAGCTGTTTATTGATCACATTAATCAGCGAACATTTAAAGTGATAATGATGATATACAGTCAGTAGCTGTACATTCTCATCAAACTCTCTTCCCTCTGACCTTTTATGGCTGGCTCCTTATTTTTCCTCCAAATTTCAACAAAATATTATTTCTTCAGAGTAGCCCTGCCACCTCATCACCAGGTTCTAGCTGCTTCTCAGCCATTCGTTATTGCATCTTGCCGTTTTCATTCTTCAAATAACATAAATCACAAACGGATCATTTTCTCATTTTTCACTAAAATGTGAACTAATAAGAACAGGAAAATTACGTCATTTGTTATTTTTAATGGTTAAAAAATGATAATTCACATTTTTTAAATGAGACTAGAAATTTTTAAAAAGATAAAGTTAGGATTTTTCAAAAATAGCCCTTCACTTGAAACATTAAATAAAGTTTTCCACAAAGCAGTTTCCATGTGCAAATATTTATAAAGGAAAATGCTGACATTTTACTGTTTTCTTGGTCTTTTCTATAGATCGCAGACAGCCAAAAGTCATCAGAAGACTCTGGGTCCAGAAAAGATTCTTCCTCAGAGGTCTTCAGTGATGCTGCCAAGGAAGGGTGGCTTCATTTCCGACCCCTTGTCACCGATAAGGGCAAGGTAGTGTGTTTTCTAAGCCACCCTGAGTGTCAGAAATGCAGACCCTGACAAATAAACCATAAAGCCTGTATACATAAAATGGCATGATATCCAGATTAAAGAGTGAAAAAAAAAACCATTTATAAATAGATTTTTCTACATTAAAAAAAGTATTCCTTAAAAAAATTCTAATTATTGCATTAATTTGGTACTTTTTGTCCTGTGTATCAGCTACATGTAGAATATATTGTCTTACGTTTTGGCAATGTAAAAAGGAAATCTAAGTATTTAAAAAGGAACTCTGCTTTTCTTATTAGTTTATTAGCAATGGGTTATTCCGTTGTCCTTTAGGAAGTGGCAAATCAGTTTTAAATTTTTATGTCTCTTTTCTTAGTTTATTTTAAATTACCTTTATAACTTTGTTTCATTTTATTTTAAAAATATTAAGTTAAACAAATATAAAAATATCAATATATGCATCCAGTAGATTTCAACAGAAAAAGACTTTGCCATAAAAATTTTCTATAATATTTGGACAGCTTATATATAAGAACATTTTAATGCTGTCAGAAGAGTTTAAAAATTTTAAGAAAGCTCACTTTGGATGTGGATAGAGTTGCTTAGCCATATAAAGTTGATGAACTCTGTTAATTAGTTATGTATACAATTGTTGGAGAACTCCTGCAGTATCTGTCATTTGTGTGCTCTAAGACGTAAGTCTTTCACTCAACAGGTTTTTTGGACCGATTTTTAAATTTTCTATTCCGTTACTGTTTTTGATATGTTTTGCTACATTTATTTTATTTGATTAGCTTTGTTCATATTGCCTTCCCAACTAAAGTTGGGATTTCACAGTCCTTGACTTTGATATGAATACACTGCCTAACTCAGTTTATGCTCCACAATTTTTATCCTTCCTCTCCTCACAAATAATGTAGTGAGCTAAATCTGCCACCTGCTACACTAGTTATATGTAAATGCAGAGGAAGGGTGTTGCTTAATGTGCTTATCCTGTCACAAAGATTTAGCCAAATATTGACTATTAAAGAACTGTCGCATGTTTTCTAGCGAGTTGGTGGAAGTATTCGGCCATGGAAACAGATGTATGTTGTCCTTCGGGGTCATTCACTTTACCTGTACAAAGATAAAAGAGAGCAGACGACTCCGTCTGAGGAAGAGCAGCCCATCAGTGTTAATGCTTGCTTGATAGACATCTCTTACAGTGAGACCAAGAGGAAAAATGTGTTTCGACTCACCACGTCCGACTGTGAATGCCTGTTTCAGGCTGAAGACAGAGATGATATGCTAGCTTGGATCAAGACGATCCAGGAGAGCAGCAACCTAAACGAAGAGGTGGGTGTTCAAAGGAATGCTGGAGAAATCTGACCCTTTCACAACACTTTCTTACAAAGATCTAAGGAATATGATATATCATTTTTATAAAAAAATTATAATGTGCTATTTTCATGTAAAACAGTTGATGAAAAGGAAAACTCAAACATACCTGTTTTATATTATTTTCACACATTGGAAAATCACCATCACTGAACTAGAAAAATAGGTTATTTATATATGCTGTATACCTTCTCAGAAGCAATGAACTACATTCCTAGTCCTGGTTGTTTGTGACCAAGTTATTCCAGATCCATTTCCATCTTTCAAAGACAGGATTGTTGTAGGGCTTAAGTTACAGTAAAAATACTTACCAGTATAAATAACTATATAAATGCAGAGTGATACTGATGATTTTTGTTAAGAGAACTATACAGTCAAGAATATGGAATAGCCTACTGTCACACAATAGTTAGTTTCTAAGAAAACTTGCATTTTCAAAAATCATAAGTCAGCTTTTTTTTTTTTTTTTTTGAAACGAAGTCCTGCTCTGTTGCCCAGGCTGGAGTGCAGTGGCGCGATCTTGGCTCACTGCAAGCCCTGCCTCCCGGGTTCACACCATTCTCCTGCCTTAGCTTCCCCTGTAGCTGGGATGACAGGCAGCCGTCACCATGCCCGGCTAATTTTTTGTATTTTTAGTAGTGATGGGGTTTCACCGTGTTAGCCAGGATGGTCTCTATCTCCTGACCTTGTGATCTGCCCGCCTCGGCCTCCCAAAGTGCTGGCATTACAGGCGTGAGCCACCGCGCCCGGCCCAGCATTTCTTTTTCATGCAGAACAGTGTTTAGGGATTTGAGAATTTACAGCTTATGATCATCAAGGTATTTTCACAGTAGGAATTTCAATAGTAAAGATAGTTTTTAAAGTATGTATAACTATAAACTTTATCAAGCAAATCTAGCAATGATGAAGTAGCAGTTGCTCAAGTATTTTCTTATCATTAACACAGTTTTTTCTTCACTGTGTTCTCACTTTTCATGCCTATTTATTATAACCAAAAAAGGGGCACGAAGTTCTCTTTTAATACTCAGGAATGCCTACATTAAATGTAAACTTATGCAAATTATGTTCTAATTTAGTCATTTCCATTATATCCAATTCAAAGTATTAAAACGTTACACCATAGGAAAAGTGTGCTTTTTTTCCTTTGGTAGTTTACACTCTGCCTTGTTTGTGGTTAAAAATAACACCAGATCTTTATCAGTGCAACCTATGTTGTACAACTACCCGCTATACAGAGGGCATCAGACCTGAATTTTTGCAAAATAAACAGGGAGAATAAGAACTTAGATGTGGATTTCAGCTTTAAGTAATAGTTCAGAGGAGTTCTGTGTAACAGGCACCTACTATGTGTCAGGCATTCTCTCAGGCAGTAGACTGTCATTGTTAAAACTCCTTCAGATGACTTGTTCTGTGACACATAGTGGCTGTTTGGAGGATTGAATGAGATAATGCATGTGAAGAATGCCTGCCAAGTAATAAACATTTACTTAATGTGAGCTATTAGCATCACCATCTAATCTTAAGACACAGGTACACAAGTATTTTCCCCAGTTTTATAGATGAGAAAACAATAATTCACTGAGCACATACCATATGGCAGATACTATTTTAAACATACTACATGCATTAATCTCAGCAACCATATGAATGTGTCCTATTATCATCACCACCATTCTAAAAATAAGGAAACAGTGGCAAAGAGAGGCTAAATAATTTCCCTAAGGTCACACAGTGACTTAAGCATCAGGGGTAGGATTTAAATCCAGGCAGTCTTATTCTAGATCTTAATCATATGATCTCTCAGCTGATAAGTTGGAAGAGTCTATTTAAATTCAAGATAACTTACTCCCGTATTTAAAGACTGTATTCTTTGTAAACTGTATCATCATTCACTATCATCAAAATGAGGCAAGTTAAAAAAAATTGAGAACCCCAGTCAATATCAATGTATAATTGGAATGAATAGGAAAAAAAGGATCACTTTATGGTCAACTCTGGGTTTACCATATAGCATTTCATACAAGGTAACTCACAGAGGTTAAAAAAAAATCATGCAAATTTTGAGCTTTTCTCTTATCTTCTGATAATGTAACTGCCGCTTGTGATACTAGTTGATCCTTGGTTTCACTATCCTTAAAAATTAGTCAGTCACTAACAAATTCTGGCAGTCTGTTTTCATCTTTTATCCACCTATATTATTTGTTTTTCTTTTTGAAGAAAAATCACTTACACGTATATTTCTTAAATGCTGATCATTCTTTCTGGTATTAGAGAAAACACTGGCTGCTTCCTAGTCATTTATTTTAAATGGACGGATCAATTCAATAAGTATTGAACACATGTTACTTGCTGGTACTATCCTAGGTATCGCATGGATACAGAAAAGAAGCAAAACCCTTTGGCAATGTTGGGAGGCACTTGGAAAATCTTTCACACAGTGATGTTGAATAGAAGCTTTGAAACAGCTCCACTGAGAACAGATGATAGTAGTGTTTGTGTTAAATAAGCAAAGCAGTACAATAGAAAGCCTCAAAAAAGTAAGGATCACTTATTTATGTTTAGAATTGATTTTCTAATTTTACTTTATTCTGTAGGACACTGGAGTCACTAACAGGGATCTAATTAGTCGAAGAATAAAAGAATACAACAATCTGATGAGGTGAGAATCCCACCTTGCCTGCAGTTAATTTGGATATAAAATCAGTACAGTCATCCCCCTTATTTGCAAGGATACATTCCAAGACCCCCAGTGGATGCTTGAAACCGCAGATAGTACCAAATCCTCTCTACGCTATATTTTTTCCCATATAGTAATGGGCGGGTAGTGTATACAGTGTGGCTACTCGGGATGAAAGGATGATTCTTATTCTGGGCAGGACTACAAAATTGAAAGCTTATGAATTGTTTATTCCAAGAATTTTCCAGTTAATATTTTCAGACCATGGCTCACCACGGGTAACTGAAACCATAGATAGAGGGGGATTACTGTAATTGTTAACAAATGTCATTTCCTTCAACAGCAAAGCAGAACAGTTGCCAAAAACACCTCGCCAGAGTCTCAGCATCAGGCAAACTTTGCTTGGTGCTAAATCAGAGCCAAAGACTCAAAGCCCACACTCTCCGAAGGAAGAGTCGGAAAGGAAACTTCTCAGTAAAGGTATTGATGTTAGCTTTCTAACAAATAAATATAATGATTTAAAATTGGCATCGTTGAGGTACGTTTATGTTTTCTGTACCATTTCTACTGACCAGGCCCCATGTCAACTAGCTCAAAATTCATAGTAGGCTTGGTCTGGGCTCATTGGGCCTTTCCCTTTGTGAGGCCCAAGACACCAGCTTCATTATAAAGCGAAAGTGAGGGAAAATACAAACAATACTTAAATCAGAGACATTACAAATTTAAATGACTCCGAGGATTCAGGTCCTATCATTTTGAAATAAAACTATTACTTTTCCCTTTGTTGAAGTCTCACTATAAAGATGACACACTGATTCTATGTAGTTTTTTTTTTTGCTGTTTTAAAGAAAATTATAGCACGCATTATAAAAGAATGAAGTAAAAGTTATATGGAAGAGAACATATTTTTGTTAAATATAGGATGTATTATTTATATTACAGGACTTGGATTTATGTAAACATTGATAAAGTGTTTTTAAAGTCATGATTTAGACACTCATTTCCATTTTATTATGTTGTTTTATTTTGACTGGCAATCAAAAGATGATACCAGTCCCCCAAAAGACAAAGGCACATGGAGAAAAGGCATTCCAAGTATCATGAGAAAGACATTTGAGAAAAAGCCAACTGCTACAGGAACTTTCGGCGTCCGACTAGATGACTGCCCACCAGCTCATACTAATCGGGTAGGAGACACCAGCCCACCGGATTTCCTCAAGTCATTAATTCAGTTTTGATTATAATGGGATCTGAGTATATAGCCTTTCAGACAACAGAGACTGTCAATCTGTTTTCCTTTTCATAGCAGACCTTAGTTTCCCTAAGTATTTCTGACCTGTAATGCTTTTTTTCTAATGTATTGACTCCGAAATTGAATAATTATTCAACCATTAGGAATTTGTCTGAAATGGTCTGTAAGAATTCGTCTTCAAATCGTGTGTTTCTGCTTTTAGCATTTTAAAACAAGGATGAGAACAAGGACCTGATTAAGAAAGTATAATACATGTAAATGTATGTGCATATATTTAAAACACCCATGCTAGGATTCGTATCATGAATTGATATTACTCTCTCCTCCTCTTTTCTTGACTCTTTATTCAGCGGAACGGTTTCCACATTCTCTTTACCTGTTGTTACTTCCTTTTTAGAATGTTATCTCTCTGGGGGTCCCTCTCTTTCTTTCAGTCTCTTTGTTCTCTTCTTACTGTCTCAAATATCTCTTGCAGGTTTTATCTATTCCCAGATCTATAATGTCTGTATTCTTTATATTACATAACAGCAATTTATGTTTCCTTTTGGATGAAAGGGGCATTTTAGCTGTGATATACAACTACTAAACATTTGTGCTGCATTAAATAAAATGTTTATTTCTTGTTTTGCAGTATATTCCATTAATAGTTGACATATGTTGCAAATTAGTTGAAGAAAGAGGTCTTGAATATACAGGTATTTATAGAGTTCCTGGAAATAATGCAGCCATCTCAAGTATGCAAGAAGAACTCAACAAGGGAATGGCTGATATTGATATACAAGATGATGTAAGTTTGCTTATTTGAATAACTGATCCTTTTTTTTCCCCCTTTGGTGGAACTGGATATGAAAATACTATATTTCTATTTTGTACACCTAGAAATGGCGAGATTTGAATGTGATAAGCAGTTTACTAAAATCCTTCTTCAGAAAACTCCCTGAGCCTCTCTTCACAAATGGTGAGTTAACTCCCGTGAAAGATACCAGATGAAATGGTTCAAGTTACAATTGGAAAACCATAGAATATTAAATTGAACAAGGACAAAATGTCTTGGTCAAAGGAAGCAGGAGGCTTTATTTAGTTCTCCCTCATATATTAAAAACATAAAAGTTATTTAGGTTCAGTGAAATATGTATTATCTTGTTCATACATGTTTGCAGCCAAATTAATATTATTGTTTCCAGTCAAATGGCTTCTGACATCATAAGGTACAATGAGTAGAAAAATGTTTTTTCAGTCAAGCCAAGTATTTAAGTGCCATGTAAGACACTTTACTAGATGTTGTTGGAGGGTGGGGGAGGAATGGACAGGCTGTGTAAATATAGGATGGTTCCTGCAGGGAACTTACATTTTAGAAATTTACATTTCAAAACTATTAGAACTCTTTCCTATGTTGTGGTTTAAAATTGATCCTTAAAGGGAAACTAGATTACAATTCACCTAGGCAATTTAAGATAAATTTGTTTTATTGTTCTTGTCGTCAGATAAATATGCTGATTTTATTGAAGCCAATCGTAAAGAAGATCCTCTAGATCGTCTGAAAACATTAAAAAGACTAGTAGGTATTATTTTATATTTTGGGGGATACAACTAAAATTCAGCCTCTGAATCCATTGTGAAAATAATCTGTTTCAGATTCACGATTTGCCTGAACATCATTATGAAACACTTAAGTTCCTTTCAGCTCATCTGAAGACAGTGGCAGAAAATTCAGAAAAAAATAAGGTATGTAAAATGCTTATTGAAGAAATGTACTTTTAGTGGCTTTAGTTTAAAAGATATGCTTCATTACTTCATGCCAAATAGTCAATAAAAGGTTTGTAATTCAACATCAAACTGGGTAAGTCCTTCTTAAAATTGTTTTTAAAAGCAAAAGATCCCAAAATACCAGTTGTCACCATTTTAAAAGGATATTTTAAAAGATTTCTTTTATGGTTATTCAGTAAGAAAAATGAAAAAGTCAGAAATTTTACTTCTCTCATTTTTTAGCTGTATATCAATATTTTGAAGAGGTAACATATGCATACGCTACAACAGTCAAAAGGCCAAATAGAATACAGGGAAAACAGACATAAACAGATAAGTCATTTTCATTCCTTTTAACACCACCACATTTTCTTTGTCAAACACAACAAAATATATTCTTTATATTGTCTAATATTCAGTTCACATTCAGTTTTTCTTTTTTTTAAATTATATTAGAGACAGGGTCTCACCATGTTGCCCAGGCTAGTCTCAAACTTCTGGGCTCAAGCAATTCACCTGCCTCCCAAAGTGCTGGGATTATAGGCATGAGCCACCATGCGCAGCCCCATTCAGTTTTTCTTGATTGTAAAAGTGTCTTTGTAGGGTTATTTGCTTAAGTCAATATCCAAACAAGGTCTACACATGGTATTTGGTTGACAGGTTGTAGTCTTAACTTAGTTTTTTGATGATTATTGCCTAAATCCATTATATCATCAGAGATTTTAAAATGATGATTTTCTAACTCAAGGGCATTACTTCTTAAAGTACTGAAGCAGTCGTTTTAATTTCTGGAGAAGAAAATAAAAGAATACCACAAGCTCAGGAATATTGCTGACAGTCTTTTCTGAGTGATTTTTCCTTAAGGTAGAGAAAGATCAGTTTAAGAAAGATAGATCAGTTTAGTGACTGTGCATGTTCTGGAAGTTGTAAGGATTGATTATGAGAAGAGTGTCAACCTCTATTACCTGCAAATCAAGAAGCTTACTTCCTTTAGGTGCTCAATTTCCTCCATAGTGATTGATAGGGCTACAAAATGGTTAGAAAAAAAAAAAGAGAGAAAGGAAGTGAAAGCCTAGACTGTTGCCAGAAATTCATACTGTAGGAGCCAAAGAGTTTTCAATATAATTATAGCTGAAATAGTCTCTAATTAATTTCAGTATTTTCTGAAATCTATTACATCATTCATCAGTTTTGCTGAATGTTAGGAGTACTGTTGGTCTAGTTAATTTAGAAAGTACTGAATTAATCTTTAGCATAGGTCTTTACTGAAGAATTTTTTGTGTCTTTAATTACACTGAATCTTGAAGATGGGGTATGGTATTTTATGGAATATCTTTCAAGAAAAATACAATTTTTAAATTTATGAATAAGCTGTAGACTATTTTACCAGTTTTATGTAGGAACCAGCTGAAACTGTTTACCCAGATAAAATATTACGGTGTATACATATAAATATTAATGTTTGTTATCATTAGTCTAAAAACATAAATCATAGTCAAGAGTCTAGTAAAAATTTTACATAAGGCATTTGAGATGGTAGACTTCTGTTTTTTGAGCCACCAGCACCAGCACAGATTTAAGAGGAGGATGAGTACATATTCTAGAGGGAGACCAGAAACATTTCTGGGTGCCCAGTTTTAAGTACACCTTTCCCACACATAGTTTCTTTCTACCAAGCCAACTCTCTAGAAGAATCCTGACTTCAACACAATTTCTTCTTCTTCCTCTGCACTGATGGTGTCGTTGTATGTGTGCTACACTACTAGTTAACATGTTAGGTGTGCAGCAGTTGCTTTTCTTTTTTTTCCATTTTGGCTTTTTGAGTTTGGCAGTGGTTTTTACCCCCCTGGGATGTTATTAGGGTTGATTAAAGTTATTTTAATCAAATACTGAATTCAAAATATATCAGATACTATAAGATTTAATGAAGGAAAACAAAAGATCCATACCTTTGACAATCTGATAATTATTATACAAGGAATACCAAATATGGAAATTAATGTAGCTTCAGAAGATTGGTTTCAAGTAAAAATTGGTCAGAAATAATATTTCCAGACACTGGGTGTTTACACATTAGTGATTTTGATGTACTAGAGGGAAAAATCTATAACCTTTCATGTATTTTTCAGCACTTCTTCCACTTTTCATTTCTGAAGGGGAGGGAGTTTTTTGTTTTTTTTTTCTTTTTTTCTTCAAACAGGATCTTACTCTGTCGCCCAGGCTGCAACCTCGACCTCCTCCCACCTCAGCCTCCGGAGTAGCTGGGACTGCATGCACACACCATCGTGCCTGACTAATTTATTTTTAGTAGAGATGAGGTCTTGAACTCCTGGGCTCAAGCAGTCCACCTGACTCGGTCCCCCAAAGTGCTGGGACTACAGGTGTGCCTGTAATCTTCTGCAAGTTTTTTTTTCCTTTGATTTTAACATTTTTATCAGTTAATCCAGCTTTGGTAACCCTCGTTTTGAACCAAATCAGTTGTTTTCAATCAAAGTCTTCTTGGAAAAAAATGAATGCTAATTATGCATTGCACATTATCATTAATGCAGAAAAAACGTTTTGTACACATTTGCTTTGAAAATCCTAACTAGGCCACTTGTGGTGGCTGACACTTGAGGCTGGAGAACTGCTTGAGTCCACGATTTCGAGACCTGCCTTGGCAACATAATAAGATTCTATCGAGAGTGCAGTAAGCTGTGATCATGCCACTGCACTGCAGCCTGGGTGAACGTGAGACCCTGTCTCAGAAAAAAAAAAAAAAAAAAAAAAAAATCTTGCTAGAAAGCATTATTTTTTTAATCTACATCAAAGCTATTTTTCTGTTTATTCTTTTTCATCAAAAATCCTACAATGGCAATTTCAGCCTACTTCCTTAAGAAAAATTCTGGTATTTCCCAGTATCATCCTTTCTTTCAGATGGAACCAAGAAACCTAGCAATAGTGTTTGGTCCCACCCTTGTTCGAACATCAGAAGACAACATGACCCACATGGTCACCCACATGCCTGACCAGTACAAGATTGTAGAAACGCTCATCCAGCACGTAAGTTCATGCTTCATCTCTGTAAGTTCATGCTTCATCTCTGCAAGAAAATTCATTTTCACGGGCAGCCGCTATTTGGTCAGACAGAGGTTGGTTGTAATATCTTTCCCTAAGAAAATTACCCTTTTTCTATACTATCCTCCAAGATCTCAGTATATTTAAAGGCTTGTTTAATTTCTCTTCTCACCTTTTTTAAATTTTAGCATGACTGGTTTTTCACAGAAGAAGGTGCTGAAGAGCCTCTTGTAAGTATTGTCTGTCAGCATTTGTACTCAGTAGTTTCATTTGGGACACAAGATCCTGGCGCGCCAACAATGTCAACTTCCTGCTTTGCTATTGTCCGCTTTGCGCCCCGGAAGCAGGTCTCTAGCTCAGTTTCTGATCTAATGAATATACAAGTACGGTGCTTATTTTGCAGTTAATTATGCGTAAACAATGTAAACACATTAAGCACAGGTGCTTTACTTAGTAATGTGTCTTTTACTAAATGTTGTTTAAATTTTAAAGAAAGTATCTTTGAAGAGATGATGAAGAGATCTTTGTTTATTAACCATAGACAACAGTGCAGGAGGAAAGCACAGTAGACTCCCAGCCAGTGCCAAACATAGATCATTTACTCACCAACATTGGAAGGACAGGAGTCTCCCCAGGAGATGTATCAGGTAACTCTTGCCTGGGCAGTCTTGACCTCTAGGCTGAAAGCTACATTCTTACAATATGAAAGAGCAAATCAATCATAGTGAATTGTTACTTATGATTTTTTTCTTTTTCTCTTCCTTTCTACTAATAAAAAACCTTAATCTTCCTTTTCCAATTGATCTGAATTATCTTCCAGTGACTCTAATGCCATTGGCAGTGCATGCAGTTGTAATGTTTGTCAGAATGGAACTATGAGGGAAATGAGCATGCAAACCACTGTTTTGTTCTTTTTTTTTTTTTTTTTTTTAATTCACAGTTTCCATGTAATAGTCATCACAAGGTAAAACAGATATATGCTACTGAGTATGTGGTTGCTGTGATGGCAGAAAGTATGATCTGGGCTGTATAAGTAGTTCTTATTCTTGAGCCAGGAGTTCTGTTTAAAAGCAGCAAGTTAAATCTGTTGAACTGGTAATGGGCACCATTTTCATAAATACATTTTCATAAATACAGTGTATTATTTGTCACAGTAAAAAGCCAGCCTATTTGACATTTATTTTCTTCTGTTTCCTGTTGCCACCCTAATGCTTGGTTAAGTATTAGTTCTTCTAGGCTCTTTTGATGAAAACTTTCTCCTGCCAAACTGTTGCACTAATCTAGCATGTTGTTTTACACAATGTTCTCCCTTTGTCTCTAGTTCTTGTTTTAGTCCTAAAGGGTTTTTTCAGCTCTTACTGACACAGGCAAATCTATACTGATGTTGAACAGGCGAAGTGGGAGGAGTCTATCACACGGTAATGTCACTAGTGGATTCTGTGATGTCCCTGATGGACAGCTGGAACTGTAGGAAGAAGGAGGACTGTTGTCCACACTGTAGCTGCCTTGTCTGCAGAAATCCCCGATTCTTGTAAATGCAAACATAGTTGATCTGTGGTGTAAAGTTTCTCATAAGATTATTGTAAACAGATCAATACTACTTTCTTAAAAGTTTTTCTGCTGTTTCTTGTTATTTCTGAAGCAGACCCTGAGGAGAAATAGCATGGTATGGTCTACCAGTTCTTAAAGTCATAAAGCATTTAGCCATGTGTTAAAAGGGGCGTGGCATGGGGCTCAGCTCATTAATTCTGAAAACCAATTTCCCTAATGTTGAAAGATGAAACTTCAAAATTGGTATTATCCTGAATATTGCTAGCCCCTTCCTACCCTCTTTATAATTGTATAATCTGAGTTTTTGCCAGACAGTAAAATTATGGTCTCCATTTTTCCATTTCCATAACAGCATTTGTTAATAGATAATTGCAAAACTGGTAGCAATTTAACCAAACTAGTCAAAAGGATCCCTCAACTGCACTGCTATGGAACTGGGGTCTGAAGCACAAAGATAAACATTATTTAATGTAAAACCAAAGTGACCTGGAAGCAAGATTATCTTAATGCCTCTTTTGCATCCATACGCATACAGCATAATGCTCAGAAAATTTAAGTCTGACAAAAATCAACATAAACATGCCAGTATGAGTGTCTCAATTGTAGCTAGGGCGGCCAACACTCTTCAAAGTTCTACATTGTGTATCAGTCTCAGATACAGGATGTGGTACATTAAAAAAGAAAATTATTACACTGTCCTGAAGCTTCTTTATTGCTAGATTTAATATTTAGAAAGTCTAATAAACACGAGTGTTTCTGTTTTTGTTTAGCACAGGGCTCCTTTGCCATTTCTATCATTGAGCTGGTTCTGCCTACAATTCACAGCATCCTTTCATGGCGGTGGCTTTCTGTGGTGCAGCTTGCATCTTTGTGAGCTCTGACTATCCACTGTGTTCTATTGTTTTGAGTTTTGCTTTCACATTTTGTTCTGTGCCTGTCTTTCCATAAGTTTTGCATTGTTTGTGGAAAGCAGTAAAGATTGGCTAATACTGACCATGTTTTATTTAATTTTTCACAGATTCAGCTACTAGTGACTCAACAAAATCTAAGGTAAATTGTTTCATACAATTTGAAATATTTTAGGGGGGAATTGTTTTTCGGCTGATTGTTATGGTTGATACACAAATGCATTCCTCTCTATGTCTAATGAGACAGAGCAACAAAGTATAATCAAAAAATTAATTCCTAAAACAATATATGATAAGAAGAATACTAGATTTTGAGTTGGAATAAGAACTCAAAAGTTCATATTCTTCTCATTGTGCAGTTTTAGCATAATACAAAGAACTAGGCCATTCTTTAATGTGAAAATTAGGTCCTAACATATACAGAAGTGAATAATAAAATGAGAAGCCTCCCTGCACCCATCTTCATCTCCAGTAATTATCAGCACTCGGCCGACTCCGTTTGCTCTGTACGCCACCTGCTTCCCTCCCTCTAGGACCATCTTTACACAAATCCCAAGCATCATATCATCTGTAAATATTTCAGAAATACCAATTTTTTGTTATGCATTTTTACAGACAGTATAGTCTTGCCTTTTCAGTGAAATCACTAATTTTTTAAATAATATTTTTACACAATCTGTGTTCCCTCAATTACACAACTTTTTGAGTAGTTTGTGGGACATTTATAGTTCTTAGAAAGTTTTTTGTCAAGTCAGTGGATCTAAATTTTGCACTGTTGAGGCAGTAGCAACTGGAATTGTCAGACTTCTTAAAACATTGTTATATTTTGTAATGAGACATGAATTTTACATATCATGTTTAAATATCATAACAGGACTCCATATGATTAAATTATAATTCTTACAAAAATGCTTTATCATGTCTCTATTACTTGTGATGTTTATCTTTTTGCCCAGCTTTTTATCTTGAAAAATGTTAAACCTACAGAAAAGCTGCTAAAATAATAGCACCCAAATCCTTTACCCTAAAGCTGCTAAAATAATAGCACCCAAATCCTTTACCCTAGATTCATCAATTGTAAATTCACACTTTTGTTCTGAATCATTTGATAGTTACTTGTAGAGATAACACTACTCCTAAATACTTCAGCATGTATCACCAGAGAACTGGGGCATTCTCCTATATAATTACAGTGTAATTTTCATACTCAGGAAACTGAGGTAAGTACAACACATTATTATCTAATGTGCAGTTTTTATACAGATTGTCCCAGTAATATTCTTTACTTCCTTATACAGAATGCAGTCAAGGATCATTCCTTGCATTTCTTTGTCAAATCTCTTTAGACTTCTTTAATCTAGAACAGTTTCCTTAACTCTGTTGCCAGCAGATGAGATTTTAAACCAGAGAGACCTGTTTGAAATCCCTGCTTTTCCCTTCTCTAGATGCATTTTTCTTAACCTGTTATTACAGTAGCCTTTTCATCTTATCCATAGTGGTGTTATGCTATGCCTGTAATATAGTGGATATCCCAATGACATGATTAACTACTTCTAACAAACAGTCTCTGTAGAAAAGTAGAGTAATTTGCCTCAACACATATATGATCATAGAATTGTAAAGAGAACCTTAAGGAAATCTGAAAGACAGTATAATCTAATTGCTTCTCGCCACGGAACTGAGATGTTTAAAAGTGAATCCCTTGCTCGTACCCAGCAAGCTAGAGAGGATGGACATCAAGGTCTCCCAATTGAGAGCCCAGTCACAACCATTATCCCCTACAGTCTTCAGCACAATGTGGGGAAATGTAAATAACCATTAGAAATGTGCTGGATAATTATGAAAGTCTTTATAACTTGTAAAAACAAAGTTCTGTTCATCTGTGATTTCATCTTAGCGAATTTTTGATAGAACAGCCTAAATTCTTTGATAGAACAGCCTAAATTTTTACTTTAAGACTTTAAATAGAGCAGTTTTAACTTGTCTAAGATTTGCAGGCAATAGAGAAATATACTGTCTGTTTCTATTACTCAGCATACCTCCTGCCTACCTGCTTGTCTTAAAAAGTGTGTGGTAAACCAGCAGATATTTAGGAAGAAACTAATAGTTGCAATCAAGAACCTATTATATCTAGATGCAGTGGCTCATGCCTGTAAATCCTGGCACTTTGGGAGGCTGAGGTGGGAGGATAGCTTGAGACTAAGGCTTCTAGACCAGCCTGGGCAACATGGTGAAACTCCATCTTAAAAAATTTTTTTTAAAAGAACCTATTATACATAGCAAATAACTTTCCCAATAACACTGCACTACAGTGTTTCTGTGGTAAGGATTTAATTGTACTTATGTTAATTGATCTTTCCTTTCTACCTTCCTGGGGTGGGTTCTCACTCTGTCACCCAGGCTGGAGTGCAATGGTACCCTCATGCTCACTGCAGCCTTGACTTCCCCAGGCTCAGGTGATCCTCTGACCTCGGCCTCCCAAGTAGCCAGGACCACAGGTGCGTGCCACCATGCCCACTTAATTTTTTGTAGAGACAGGCCTTCACCATGTTCCCTAGGCTGATCTCGAACTTCTGGGCTCGAGCAATCTGCCCGCCTCAGCCTCCCAAAGTGCTGGGATTACAGGCATGAGCCACCACACCTGGCCTGTTTTTTGAATATTCTAATTCCATTGTTACCTTGAGATAAATGAAGACATTACCAACCTGATTTACTTAAGGCAGATCCTTGAAGATCCTGCCTGAATGAACTAATGGAAGACCAGAGTTCCCTTATCTCAATGAGCTTATCTGATACAGTATCTATATCATGTGGTACCTGTAATTAGAAAAATCAAAGTCAGTCATAAACATTTAATAACCTATATCAGAATGTGATGTTTAATAACCTATATCAGAATATGATGTTTGACCGTGTCACAATATTGTTTTACCTATCCCATGCCTCTATTCCAAATGAAGGAAGTGAAGAATGCCTGGGCACTGTGGAAGGAGGGAAGGTCAGGTGTTTGGGGGATTTTGATAGGAATCAGCACTAAGCACAGACTATTTTCCTGAAAGGCAGATGTGTATGAGCTGTGGCTTGGCAGTTAAATACCACGAGGCAAGAAATTGGACTCATTAAATAAAAATTTGACTTTGGTTCAAGGTAAAAAGAGGTATTAAAAAAAAAGCTAATTGCACTGTTAATGCTTCCAGAGCTTTAGTAGATATAATTTGATAAGAAATATTTGGGAGACAAGCTTGTCAGAAAATGAACTCAGCTGCATTCTTATGCTCAGAGTCTTTCTTCTCTCTTGCTTCCCAGGGTTCTTGGGGATCTGGAAAGGATCAGTATAGCAGGGAACTGCTTGTGTCCTCCATCTTTGCAGCTGCTAGTCGCAAGAGGAAGAAGCCGAAAGAAAAAGCACAGCCTAGCAGCTCAGAAGATGAACTGGACAATGTATTTTTTAAGAAAGAAAATGTGGAACAGTGTCACAATGATACTAAAGAGGAGTCCAAAAAAGAAAGTGAGACACTGGGCAGAAAACAGAAGATCATCATTGCCAAAGAAAACAGCACTAGGAAAGACCCCAGCACGACAAAAGATGAAAAGATATCACTAGGAAAAGAGAGCACGCCTTCTGAAGAACCCTCACCACCACACAACTCAAAACACAACAAGTCACCAACTCTCAGCTGTCGCTTTGCCATCCTGAAAGAGAGCCCCAGGTCACTTCTGGCACAGAAGTCCTCCCACCTTGAAGAGACAGGCTCTGACTCTGGCACTTTGCTCAGCACGTCTTCCCAGGCCTCCCTGGCAAGGTTTTCCATGAAGAAATCAACCAGTCCAGAAACGAAACATAGCGAGTTTTTGGCCAACGTCAGCACCATCACCTCAGATTATTCCACCACATCGTCTGCTACATACTTGACTAGCCTGGACTCCAGTCGACTGAGCCCTGAGGTGCAATCCGTGGCAGAGAGCAAGGGGGACGAGGCAGATGACGAGAGAAGCGAACTCATCAGTGAAGGGCGGCCTGTGGAAACCGACAGCGAGAGCGAGTTTCCCGTGTTCCCCACAGCCTTGACTTCAGAGAGGCTTTTCCGAGGAAAACTGCAAGAAGTGACTAAGAGCAGCCGGAGAAATTCTGAAGGAAGTGAATTAAGTTGCACCGAGGGAAGTTTAACATCAAGTTTAGATAGCCGGAGACAGCTCTTCAGTTCCCATAAACTCATCGAATGTGATACTCTTTCCAGGAAAAAATCAGCTAGATTCAAGTCAGATAGTGGAAGTCTAGGAGATGCCAAGAATGAGAAAGAAGCACCTTCGTTAACTAAAGTGTTTGATGTTATGAAAAAAGGAAAGTCAACTGGGAGTTTACTGACACCCACCAGAGGCGAATCCGAAAAACAGGAACCCACATGGAAAACGAAAATAGCAGATCGGTTAAAACTGAGACCCAGAGCCCCTGCGGATGACATGTTTGGAGTAGGGAATCACAAAGTGAATGCCGAGACTGCTAAAAGGAAAAGCATCCGGCGCAGACATACACTAGGAGGGCACAGAGATGCTACCGAAATCAGCGTTTTGAATTTTTGGAAAGTGCATGAGCAGAGCGGGGAGAGAGAATCTGAACTTTCAGCTGTAAACCGGTTAAAACCAAAATGCTCAGCCCAGGACCTTTCCATCTCAGACTGGCTGGCCAGGGAACGCCTACGCACCAGTACCTCTGACCTTAGCAGAGGAGAAATCGGAGATCCCCAGACAGAGAACCCAAGCACACGAGAAATAGCCACGACCGACACACCTTTGTCTCTTCATTGCAACACAGGCAGTTCTTCCAGCACCTTGGCTTCAACAAACAGGCCCCTTCTTTCCATACCACCACAGTCACCTGACCAAATAAACGGAGAAAGCTTCCAGAACGTGAGCAAAAATGCTAGTTCTGCAGCGAATGCCCAACCTCATAAACTGTCTGAAACCCCAGGCAGTAAAGCAGAGTTTCATCCCTGTCTTTAAACTGGGGGTATGTCCACTCTAGCAAGTAAAAAAACTACTGTTACACGTTCCAGTAACTCTGTCAATATTTTCTTGTATCAGAATTGTTATTATGCAGCCTTCATTTGGGCTGGTTTCATCATTTTGCACTGTGAAATAGCTTTACAGTGCATTACTACAGCCAGAAGAACATATATATATATATATATATTTAAAAATATATCGGATAGTTGTATACAAATGAGCAAGGTATTTGTTGCAACTTACTACATAGCATATACCCAAAATCACTGAAGAAAATCGCTGGCATCAGTGTGCAGCAAATTTGTTCTTTTGGTTTCATCACTAACAAAAGTGCCTCATCATAAAAATACAGTTGGTTTTTAGGGTGCCATATTGTTAAAATTAGATAACTTACTTACATTGAATAAACGAATGCGTTTTATTGGTAACAGATATCATTACATTTACCAGTTTTAACACAGGTGGATACAGAACTTCCATTCTTTAGTCATTCCAGGTGGATCTGAGTTTTATATTCAAACTTTTAATACAGTTTTTGAGTTTTGTGTGACTTGAATTTTTAATCTTTCTGTAAAATACGTAACTTAAATGAACATATTAAATGTGTATCTTTTCTTCAGATACCAGATTTGATATAATGTTGTAACATAGGTGTGTAGATAGTGGATCCTGGATGGAACTGGCTTCTTTATCGAGAAGAATATAATTCTGCATGAGGACTTAATGAATCCAAACCTGTGTCATGCCTGTGTGCATACCCAATTAAACACTGGAAATAAAAATTGTTTTGGTGAATTTTGCATGGCTTGAAACTTATTCTGATATATTTTTAGATGTCATCCATTTATAACTACCTTACATGATTAATTGGTCCTGACTTTAAAAAGGTGCCTACTATATTTATACATTCCATCTTCTCCTCTTTCTTGCTGTGGTGGGTAGAGACTCTTTCTTACAGATGCTTACATTAGCCTAACCTCACTTGTTGACTGATAGTGTTTAACTCTTCTAGGTAAAGTAATGTATGTTATGTTAATGTTCTTTTCGTGAGTGAAACGAACATGAGTTTGGAGTCAGTCCAGCTCTACCTAGGTATGTGAACTTGAACACATTATTTAACTTCTCTGAATTTGTTTTCTCATATAAACAGTTAGTTACAGTAACACTACCTATTATAAGGGTGATTAGATTTAAATGAGATACTGTTCCACTTACAGTGCCTGCCACACACTAGTTTCAAAATAGAACAAAGCTATTGTTGGAAGTAATGGTTACAAAAAAATCTCAGACTGTTAAGGCTGAGAAGGACCTTAACAGTCATCAAATCCAGAGATTGTCAACTGTCAAACATGATACTTTCTTAAAAGTATTTTGAGATTTCCCCTTTACCATCATGAAATTCATAATATATCTAAATATAACTTTACATTGAGTATGTTATGATATAGACCATAATCCCCTATTATAAAAGAAAAATGAAAGTGATTTATAATAAAATAAATTTTTCAATATGCAAATGCTCAGGTACAACTACATCATGAAAATAATATAATGGAATAGTCAGATGTTTGCTCCAGTATATAGAGTCACTAACAATGGTAACTACACATGGAGATGGTACCATGAATAGTTTGCTGCTGGCGATGAGATTTTACTAGGAGTCATGCTCTGCTTTTAAAGTTTTGAACAAAACAAAGCACACACTTCCCTTAGTTTACATGAGGGGGAGTTCTTGCAGTGTATTATTAAAAGTGTCAAAAACACTTTTTACTTATATGTTTTAAAAGTTACTTTCAAGGCTCAAATAGTTTTATATTATTTGTTCTTGCTCCTCATTTTTTCTATATTTTTTTTTCTTTTGAGAGAGAGTCTCACTATCAGTCTATTGCCCAGGCTGGAGTACAGTGGTACGATCATCACAGTTCACTGCAGAGCTGCGACTGACAGGCACATGCCACCATGCCCAGCTAACTTTTTTTTTTTTGTATTTTTTGTAGAGATGGGCTTTCTCCATGTTGCCCAGGCTCATCTCAAACTCCGAGGCTCAAAGCGATCCGCCCGCCTTGGCCTCCCAAAGTACTGGGATTACCGGCATGAGTCACCACGCCCAACCTTTCTTTGGCTATAATTTGCTCGACTTTTTAATTTCTTGAGACGATTGCTTGGAAAATTGATTTTTAGTTGTTTTCTAATATCTTCATTTTAAGGCTATATGCTGTATTTTTATTATCATTCATTTCAAAATGCTTTCTAGTTTGCATTCTGATTTTTTTCTTTAACCTGTGAGTTATTTAGCAATGTATTGCTTAATTTCCAAACATTTGAAAACTTTCTGGTTATGTTGACTCCAGCATAATGTTACATTATCATTAAACATACATTTGAAATTGAGACATCCATTTTGACCCCACTATATGGTCAATTTTGAGAAATAACACGTCTACTTGAAAAGAATATGTTTCTATCCTTACTGGATGCTTTTTATTTGGTGTATTAGGTCAAATTTAATCATGTTTTACAGATCTAGATCATTATAGATTTCTTCCCTGGCTCTTACCAGTTCCTGAGAAGTGATAGAATATTATGATATGAATGTAGATTTGCATATCTTTTATGTCAATCTTTTATTTTGAAGTTAGTTTACTAAGTGAACATAAATTTAGAATTGTTACGTCTTTGTGGTAGATTGACCCTTCTATTATGAAATGTCCTTCATAATGAGTCTCAACCAAAGCTTTATTACCTTATTTTATATATTAATGTAGCTATATTAGTTACTTTTGGTTAGTATTTGCATAATACATCATTTCCATCCGTATTAATCCTTTTGTATTTTTCTCATAACAGCATATAGATTTTCTTTAAACATAGTCTCTTAGTTGGAATATGTAACCCAGTTACATTTAATATGATTATTTATGTGTTTGGATTCACATCTACAGCTGAACCATTCATTTTCTCCATGACCAGGGCATTTTACCTACCCTTTTCTCTTGTTTCTTGCCTCTTTTGGATTAATATTTTTATTATACCATTTCCTCCTATTAGCATATTTATATGTTCTTTTCATGGACATCCTTGACTTAACTGAATATAATTTAAATTGGATTCTACTTTGTGTATTTTTTTGTAGAGACCAGGTTTCATCATGTTGCCCAGGCTGGTCTCAAATGCCTGGGCTCAAGCGATTTGCCTGTCTTGGTCTCCCAAAGTGCTGCGATTACAGGTGTGAGCCACTGCACCGACCTGGCACATTGCAGCTTTACTAGGTTTTGTCAAATTAATCTCCAGAGTTCGCCGGCAGTGTACGAGGATTCTCATCTCTTCACTTCCTCAAGGACAGTAGGGTACTGTCAGTGTTTAAAAATTTTGTTTTTAAAACAAAGTTGATGGGTGTGAGATCTCTCACTGGTTTACATTTCCTGCATTACTAGGGCAGAGACCACGTTTCAGATGTTCATTGGCTATTCTGGTTTCCAACTAAGTTTTTTTTTTTTTTTTTTTTTTTTTTTTTTTTTTTTTGGTGACGACACAGTCTCGCTCTGTCACCAGGCTGGAGTGAAGTGGCGTGATCTCAGCTCACTGCAACCTCCACCTCCCAGATTCAAGCAATTCTCCTGCCTCAGTCTTCCGCGTAACTGAGATTACAGCCACGCGCCATCACACCTGGCTAATTTTTTGTATTTTTAGTAGAGACGGGGTTTCACCATGTTGGACAGGCTGGTCTTGAACTCCTGAGCTCAGGGAGTCCTCCCGCCTCAGCCTCCCAACGTGCTGGGATTACAGGCATGAGCCATTGCGTCCAGCTATGTGAACCTTTGATCATATTTCTGTTGTTTTTTTCCTCACAGATCTTTACAAGATTTGGATACTAATCTTAATTTCAAATCCCCTCTTTCAGTCTATAGTTTTTAAACTTTGTTTCAGGTGTTTCTTTGCATAGTTTTAAATTTTATTTATCCCCATTTGTTGGCTTTTATATGTGTATTTTGAGAACCGCTAAAAAATACTTCCCTATCCACAGACATATGGTATATATTTGTTTTCTAGTAGGCTTAAAGTTCGTTTTCATGTGCTGGAGTTCATTTTGTGACTGATATTAGGTAGAATGGCAGGATTATCTTTTCCTCTGGTCGTTTTTGATGAGCTTTTTGCTACAAAATGTCAGATCCCTGGATTCGTATGCAAGACAATCAAATGTCCCTACTTGCCATTTCACTGTAGCAAGGTTAAACCATACGACACCAGCAGGGCTGCTTTAGCTGACTGATTTGTGCAACAGAGAACAGTAGGAGCCAATTGTAACAGGCATCTCAGCTGGCTGCCCAGGAAGGAAGGAAGGAGGGGAGTTGTACTAGGGGAAGAGCATCTGTTACACAGACCTCCCAGCATCCCTGCTATGAAAGCTAAATACCACGAGAGCTGGAACAGCATCTTAGGACAGTAGAAGGAAATACAAAGCAGAAGGAAGCTTAGTTTTGTCCAGCCAAGGAGAAGGTTTAGACAGTATAATATATGCTCAAACCTTCCAATGAAGCAGTTACAAAAGGAAAATATTGGGAATTGGACATAAAGATTTATCGATTGTCAAATTTGTTGACCATGGGGTCCTGAAGATGCTTTCTTACAGACACAAAACAAAACATGTCTTGAAACCTTTACTTTCTGAGAGTAGAATGAAGATGGCAGTTGTAAAAATCTACCAACAGAACAAAGCAAAAAACTAGGTGCTCATGTATGACATTGTCTGAATTTCACCTAGTCAGCATTAGATTTTAAGGTATGGTTAAACTTCCCCAGAAGGTGGAATCACTGTACCTCACTTTTTGTTACTTTTTTGTTTTTTTGAGACAGGGTCTCACTCTGTCACCCAAGCTAGAGCACAGTGGTACCATCTCTGCCCACTCAGGCTTTCTCATCTGACCACACAACACAGAAAGTGATTTGAGTAGCTATTCTCAAAATTCTTCCAAGGATGGATGGTACCTATCCAGTACGTTAGATCCGTAGAAAAAAAGTCAATTCATTACACATAACAATGTCTTAGGATCATCACATACATGTTTAAGCAAAAACATTTCATGGCACATTCTTCACTAAGGCAATAAGGAAGGCAGTAGATGTAATACAGTAGTTAGCTGGGATTCTGAGAGTTGGCAGGCTAACTTACTTCAGATCCTAGCTCTGGCACTTAGAGACAGTAGTGTCTATCAAGGATGTAATGAGTATGTCAGGGCTAATAAAGTGCCTGATACATAACTACTGCCTTATATGTCAATTATCCACAAGACTGTAAGCCCCACAAGGGTAGAGGTCTTTGGTTTACTGGTGTATTCCATGCCTAGAACAATTGGCAGGAAGATAGCTGGCACACAGAAAATATTTGTTGGATGAAGAGGGATTTTGTTCAGAGCCTAGACTGAGAAAAACAATTACATGGTTAGGAGCAGGGCCATTGTACAATTTGTCTAACACTGGTCACTTGAAAATAAAGGACCTTGATCTACGTGGCATTGATTGTTGTGTATGATGGGAAGTGGGGATCTATGTTTTTTATCCTGTGGTCCCAATACCATGTACTGAAAGTACCCCGCTTCCCCTCTGGGGTGCAATGCCAGCTCTGCCATGTCACTTCCCATATATGTGTTGGACTGTGTGGGGCTCACTGTTCCATTGGCCAGTTCTAGTCCATTGGTCCTAATACACACCTTATAAATCTTGATAGGAAATCTTCCCTGTTTCTTCTTATCTAGGCCATTCTGGGTCCTATGAGCTTACACATGAATTTATTTTATAACTCAATATGATGTTGTCTTTACTTTTTATTGAGAAGATTCTTCTGTTCTCTTTAATTTCTCAAGTTGAATGCTCAGGCCGAGTATCAGTTATTTAAGATTATACATTTCCTTGTAAATAGTATACGCTGTGTCAAACAAGATTTAATGCTAAGTATTTTTGTATTTCCTATTACAATTTTGTCTTGACACATGGGTTGCTCAGAAATATGTTTTAAATTTTCCAAAGAGATGGGATTTTTCTAGTTTTTGTAGTTTTCTAAACTGCGTTGTGGCAGAATATGTGGTCTGTGTGATCCCAGTTCTTTGAAATTTGTTGAGGCTACTGTACAATCAGTCCTAACTAATGTATGTGCGTTTGGGAAAGATCTGTACTCTCCAGTTGAAAGGCACACATCATTGAGTGTATGTCTATTGTGATTTCAAATCCATACCTGATCCGACGGATCAAAATTCATGTGATTTTGGGAGGTCTATCAGTACTGAGCATGGCTGCCCCCTGGGGTGGATAATGAATTTGTCACTTTCTCCTTGTCGGTTTTTCTTTTTGTTATTATTTGTTGTTTTGCACATTTAGAATGGCTATAACTTCCTGTTTCTTCACTTGTGATTACATGATAAATTTTTATTATTTTTCTAGTGATTCTTTTCATTTCTAGTTAAAGTCTATTTTGTATTTTGCCATATATTAATTTAGTTACACTAGCTTTGTTTTGGTTTGTGTGTTTTTCATTCTTGGTGTATTTTTTCCATTCCATTTCAATCAGTTCTAACTAATGGTGTAGGTGTGTTTGAAAAAGACATGTACTCTCCAGTTGAAAGGCACACACACTATTGAGTATATGTCTTTAATCTTTAATATCTTTTGTCTTTATATATTAAATGCCACATAGCTACATTTCCTTTCCTTTCCCTTGTTTTTAAATCAATCTTACAAGCCGTACCATTTAATTTTCCCAGTTAGTCATTTTCCATTGATAGTACTTACTGATCTGTTTTCATCATCTGTTGAATTGCGTTTTGGGGTTTTTTCATGTGACCGCTTTTTGGTGACATGTTTTTCATTCTTCATGTAGATGGATTTTTACCTTCACTTTTCATTTCCTCCCTAATCTCTATCCTTTTAGTGCATACCCGAGGAGATTTAATATGCATATGAAACATTTAATCAGTAGCTGTACATTTCTCACAAACAACACAAAAATCTAAGCCTAATTTAAGTCCAGTCATCCTCTCCCAACTTACATACTGTCATTGTTGTTTTATACAATCAATGCCAATGGTTAGATTCTTATATTTTTACCATTTTCAATAATCACTGTTCCTTCTTGAACTGCAGACCTACCTTCTAGGATAATTTTCCTTCTACCTAAATTGTGTCTTTCAGAAGTTTTAGTGAGAGTCATTAGGGATAAACATTCTCAGCTTTGGTTTATCTTTAAATGTAATTACTTTGCTTTCACACTTGAAAGATCATTATGCTGGATACACAAATAGGTACACAGCAATCTTTTCCCTCAACATTTTGGAGATATTAGTCCCTTTTTCTTGGCTTCTGGTGTTGCTGCTATGAATCAGTTTTCAGTCTGGGTCTGTGTATTTTTATTCTCAGACTGTTTTAAGATCGTTTCTTTGTCCTGGGTGTTCTGAGGCTTTGCCGCAATGTGTTTAGATGTGGGTTTCTTTTTATTATTCTGCTTAGGATTTGTTTGGCTTGCTGAAACTGAGGATTGGTATCTTTTGTCAATTCTGTAAAATGTCTCAGTCACTTTTAATATTGGCTCTTCCCCCTTTGCTCTGTTATCTCCTTTAGGAACTCCTCCTGTTAAATGTATGTTGAATGAACTTACTCTATTCTCTGTATTTTTTACCTTATTGTTTATATTTTACTTCTCATTTTCTCTCTGTGCTGCATTCTGGGTAAGTTCTTCAGAATTATATTCCAATTTATTATTTTGCTTTCAGCCATGTCTAATTAATCGGTTCAGTGAGTTTTAAATTTCACTTCTCTCAGTTCAGAAAGTTCTCTTTAGCTGTTTTTAAAACAGCCTAGTCAGTTTTGAGATCTCTCTTGCTTGCATCACATTTTATCCCCTTTTATTTCTGTAAAATATAAAACAAATCTTATAAGAATTATAGGACCAAACTGCCTGACTTCAAATCTAGACCTTACCATTTACAAAGTGGATGTGTTTGGACAGGCTACCCAACTTACATATTAGTTTTCCTCATATGTAAAATGAGAGAAATAATAATCCTTGTCTCGGTTATTGTGTTTTCTGTTATTTTATATCTGGATCCAATAGCTATCATACCTTCAGTTTTAGCAGGTTTGATTCTTTGATATTTCTACTGACTCGTGCCTATGGTGATCTGCTTTCTCATATGGTAAAGCATGTGTTCACAGTTTATACAAATCAGGGTAGCAAACTTATTTTATCATTATCTTTGAGCCAGAAAAATAAATGTTTGTCATGGTGTACATAGTTCAGTATACCCAAATGATACTTCATCTTTTTTTTAATCTTTGAGAATACCCAACGAGTGCTTTTTAAAGACTAATGGGCAGGAGAAATCATAAACCATATTGATAAATGCACATTTACACAGTGACTTTGGAAGACAGCGTAAGATTCCTAGTAGCTCAGACTCAGGAGTCTCAGGAAGGTTTTCTTAGAGGATTCCTTATCTTAAGAATCTGAGAATAAAAGTCTATCGGTAAGTAAAACCACCAAGAGCCACCGTGAAGCCAGGTGACTTTATAATAATACACTCCCCTGTGGCTAACCTCAGATACCAAGAAATCAAAAACCGTTAACCTGCGCAATAAGCCTTGACATTTTTAGACTATACTGTGGACACCCCCCCGCCAAAAAAAAGTCTCCTTTATTTCATGTTTTGAGCAGCCAGAGAGCCTTGCATCTTTATCATTCTCTCTCCGTTTTGGCTCACGTGACTGACTTGAAAAGCCTATTAAAGTTTCCCTTAGGCCATGTTGACTTTCTTACAACATTCCACATTTTTTCCTTCTCATGAATTCTTAGAAGGAGAAATATCCAATTATTCCCTTTCCATTGGCGTGACCTCTTCTGCAAAGCTACCTGTGGCCCCACAGGATGCTTGAGCCGTGGGGTAACGAGGGGAGCTAGAGCTTTGTTGACAGACCCTCTTGGTTCCCGGGGGTTCATTATTGATTAGCAGACACTTCCCATCCCTGCCCTGAGAAAACATCATTCAAACAGATTTATCCTCAAGAAATGAGCAAAATAATCTTATGCTTGGAGATTTCTCATGGAGGGGTTGGAGAAAACAGAACAAAAACTTAAATCATGTAGTCAACCACAAAAACAGAAATGTGGCTTTTTCTTGTTTAAAGGAGTGTGGTATTACAGTTCTAGTATTGACAGCATTTTAATTGTTAGAATATAGTCATCATCCCATTCCTCCAGCCTATTTGAGCAGAAATCATGCAAACAAAAGTCATAAAACTGTAGCTTTAGCATTTCTTCCTTCCTTGGGTTTCTTACCCAGCTGAGAAGGGGCTGAAAACTGAAGCTCCACCCCTGATGTCCTTTCTTATGTAACCTTGTCCCAGAATTTGTCATGATCATGCCCTCCAGCTGCAGCTCCTGATAGCTTTTTCCAGCCTGTCCCTCACCTAATTATTTTCATCTCATGTGGTCTTACTGAACTGATTGCTTGCCTGTGGCCATAATAAGACAGTGTTCAAGGCGAACAAAAAGATATCACATAAAAATCCAGACTTTTTAAGAACTGGAAGGTCTAGCAGCGCTAGTCCCCCTACAGGGTAGTGGCAGGTTGCAGTCACCCCTTAGAGAGTGCATGTGTGCTCCCCAGTTTTCTCAGCCCCACCAGGCTGCCTCCCCTACCTGCCTGGACCCGCTGCACAACAGTACTGCAATCACTGCTGTAAACCCCAAATTACTACCCTCACTCCTGGCATGAATGAGATGTCCTTGAATTAGAAATACAACAACCCTTTGGCCTCTCCAGCCAGTGCCAATACATTCTACCCAACTGACTCTACGTCTCTACCCAATCCCAGCAATTCATCTGGGATAAGAAAGAATAGGAAAGGACAATTGAGAAGCAGTTCTCCTTTGGACATACGCATTTCCGTACTGCCAAATTCCCTGCCTCCACCACTTCGTGTATAACAGCCAGCATTCACTGAGCACATACTGTGTGCCAGGTCCTGTCCCAAGTATTTGATATGCATCAATACACAGGTCTCACAACTGTGCAGTAAACAGATTGTGACGCAGAGTCCCGGTTATTTCCCAGTACTGCTTCTTAGAGACCACACTTCTCAGCCTCCTTCACAGCTAGGTGTGGCCACGGGACTAGATGAAGTGGTTTAACGCAAACTCTAGCCACTGCGTGCACACGCAGGGGGCATGGGCTTCTATATGCTTTCCTCTTACCACAGACTGGACACAGCCCGGCTTCCACATCCCCTTGAAACACGCAGGAATCTCTAAACGAGAGCCTTGCACAGTGGATCCCAAATAGATGACACTGTGGGCCGCCTACCTCTGGGCTGCTTGGATATGAGAAATCAACTTCTCTCGTTTCAACCAGTATTACTTCGGGTTTTCTGTCATGTGCAGCTGAACCTAGCCCTGGATGATACAGAAGTATAATATCCCTGTCTTATGATGAAGAAACTCAGGCACAGAGAGATTCAGCCATTTGTCCAAGGTTAGCTCAGGACAATTTTAGGAAAGGAAAATCTGAGATCTCCACCTAGATCAGATCCCCCCACCCCCAGGATGTACTAACGGTTAGTGATGGTGTAGGATCAGATCCCCACACGCCCCTGAATGTTCTGATGGTTAGTGACGGTGTAGGATCAGATCCCTCCCCATCCCCCACATGTTCTAATGGTTAGTGATGGTGTAGGATCAGATGCCCCCATCCCCCACATATTCTAATGGCTAGTGATGGTGTTAATCTGTCAGATTGACTCCAGTGGTTCCAGTTTTCATTTTGATAACATAGAATTCCAGAACTTACAAAAATTTGAGAGATTTCTACCCCTTTGCAATATACTAAAAACACAAAAGTGAATGGAAACATCAGGTTAGTATTGTGTATTTGAATAAAATCTAGCCCACCTGATGGTTTTACTTTGTTTTTGAGACAGAGTCTCACTCTGTCACCCAGACTGGAGTGCAGTGGCGGGATCTCAGCTCACTGCAACCTCCGCCTCCTGGGTTCAAGCGATTCTCATGCTTCAGCCTCCTGAGTAGCTGGGATTACAGGTGTGTGCCACCATGCCCGGCTAATTTTTTCTACATTTAGTAGAGATGGGGTTTCACTGTGTTGACCAGGCTGGTCTCAAACTCCTGGCCTCAAGTGATCCGCCCACCTCAGCCTCCCAAAGTGCTGGGATTACAGGCATAAGCCATCCCACCTGACCCACTTGAGGATTTTAGGTGATGATGTATTATTTATGCCACTTAGAAACAAGGTTTTTCTTTTTTTCCATGCCCCAAAGTTATAACAAGAAACAAGGCTTTTCTGAAACAATAGAATTTACTGGGCGAAGTATATAAAAAACAGAACACATAGAACCCAGAAGTTTGTTTAAATGCATTTAATTTCTCTTACATATGTAATTTAAACATGCTTTTAGTTGCTAACTCAGCCATTTTCATAAGCAATCTCAGTTTTTCACAGGAAATTGAAGCTCAGAGTAAGAGCTGTGAGAAATAAAACTCCCTCAAGGAAAGATGCTTTGATTTCTTTGAAGTAATTTCATTTTCTGCTACCAAAAGTCATTTCAGAGACAGGTAAAATACTTATTTGCAATGAGTCAAGCTGAACCTACTACACACTCAATTCCTACTTGAAATTCAAATAACAGCTTTGTGCACATAAATTCTTAAAAGCAAAACAAAATATATCAGGTCTGCAAAGATTCCATTGCCACATTCTAGGATGACTGCCCTCATTTGGTTCCCCCAGAGCTTTCCCACTGACAACAATGGCTTTGCAGACGTTGTCTGGATTCCTCCTTGACTCAACCTCTGGTGCCTTTTTGAAGGTTCTTGGCTTCTGGAAGCCGCTCACACATCGTGGCCACTCTCCCTGACTTCAGAGCCACACTTGTCACCATCACATCACTCACAACGTCACTGTCTCCTCAGCCACCTTCTCCTATCCCTGATGATCTTCTCTCCCTCCTTCTGTCCTTTGTTCCAGGCAACAATTGCTACCTCCAATCAGGTGCCGTTTTCCAGCCCTGTTTCCCACTGGGGGAGCCATGAGTAGAGGTCTCGGGAGAAAGAAGCTGATTGGGTGACTTCACTTCCTCAAAGCCACGCTCGAGTCTTTTCTAATTCTGCAGCAGGAAGACTGCCTAGCAGAAAGCTATTTTTCTTTCCTGGGGCACCAGAGGCTGGCACTGAGGTGTGGAAGGTAGCCAGAACCTCAGGCAGACCTGGAGCTGACTCCCGAGTGTGGAACTCTCTCAGCTGGGCCATGTGCCACTCAGGTCCATCTGAGGGACTGCGCTCTTCCCAGATCAAGCTGCTGTCACCACCTCAGGGGGTACCAGAAGTGGGGTGGCATTTTCTCTGGCAGCAAAGGGAGCCGTTAAAGCCCAGGGGTGGTAGATGGTATGGCTGCACACAGGATGGGGGTGTTTTGGGGAAGCATTTTTTGGGAGGTCAGCCCTTAAGACTATGGTGTGACTGACCTTGAGACAGCAACTGAGCTAATTTTTCAAATCCTTGTTCTCCAGTTAAAAAACCAAAAATGTAAAGATCTTGTTCATTTTTCTCAACGCCTCCACCTTGCCAGAAGCACCTGACATTGCCGTAGCTAAAGAATACGGGAAATGTGCCCGACTGCCTGGACAGCGACTGACGTGATGGAATCCAGAGATGTCCCCCCAGTGTCACCCATGGGCAAGCAGTGCGCTTTAATGCTGCAGAAGGTGGAGGTGGAAGGAAGGGGTGGAGAAGTGCGGCCTCGGACCAACTGGAAGCAAGTCACCCCACTCAGCTCGACAGGCATCGGGTGGGGTCACCCACTTTGTCAGCCTCTGCCACCTGTCCCCTGAGCTTCTGCACAGCCACAAATCAGACTCAGGACCTCCCTCAGCTTTTTCTCTTTTTTTTTCTACTTTCTTTCCTTCTTTATTTAGAGACAGGTTCTTGCTCTGTCTCCCAGGCTGGAGTGCAGTGGCATGATCATGGCTCACTACAGCCTCGACCTCCCAGTCTCAAGCGATCCTCCCACTACAGCCTCGACCTCCCAGTCTCAAGCGATCCTCCCACCTCAGCCTCCCAAGTAACTGGAACTACAGGTACACACCACCACACCTAGCCATTAATTTTTTTTTTAAAGACAGGGTCTCACTATGTTGTCCAGTCTGGTCTCAAGCTCCTGGGTTCCAGCAGTCCTCCTGCCTGGGCCTCCCAAAGTGCTGGAATTACAGGTGTGAGCCACTACACCCAGCCCCCCTCAGCTCTTTCTGAGCCTCCAACTCCCTTTCATCATTCCCCTCACTGCGTTCAAAACACATTTTTCTGCTTAAAATCCACAAATACTTTGCTTTTGCCTACAAAGCAAGTGACTAACTTGGTTGCCTAGCATGGGAAGCCCTTATTTTAGTTCTAAGTACTCCTACACCAAGGCACTCTGCCCTCCAGCCTGATGACGTGTGTCCTTGGCTTGCCTTAAAGTGGGCCCTCTCTTCTCTACACTTGCACCTACCCTGAACCTTCACACTGGCAGCACCGTGACTGTGTGTCCATTTCTGCCTTTCCTGCCGGATATTGAGATCCTTGAGGACAGGGGTGGAGTGTTACCCACATTGCTGGCTAAGGAGGCACACAGGAGACCTGGTGCCATTGCAGGTTTTGTGCCCTCAAGGCAGGAGAGCAGTGGGGGAGACCACACTCTCTAAGGCATGCAGGGCCAGCGCCTCTCCAGGGAAGAGGGCCAGAGTGGCCAGGGCCTGGTCGAGGTGGAGCAAACCTTTAGCAAAGCTCCCCTCCACCACACGGTGGGCCTGCTCCTCCTGCACCCCACTGGCAGCTCCCGAGAGTCCTGGTGACCAGATGGCTCAGCAACCTTCTCTGACATCCAGCCTCTGCCTGCCCACTCCTTTCCTCTTCTCCCTGCCCATCAAGCTTCTGCTCAGTGACAGCTCCTCTGGGAGGCTTTCCTTTCTGCCCAGAGCACAGCTTCTCTACCTCGAGGTTCCAACGTTTCTCATGCCCTTTCTGCTTGGAAGAGGAGTCATTTCAAGACCCTATGTCACTCCTCCTAGGTGACTGTCTTGCTTTTCCAGGAACAGGATCTCTGAGAAGTCATGAGCACATGAGAAAAGATCTCCGACGGGGCCCTTAGAGCACTGGGATGTGGCGTGTTCTTTTCAGAAGCAAGAGCCCTGGATTCTCTCGAGAACAAAGCTGAGGGTGCCTCAGACCTGGCCCTGGGCCTCAAAGCTACCAGAGACGGAGCAGCGCCAGATATATCTGTCTCTCTCTCCCTCTCTCCTGCCCCACCAACCCCTAAGCCCCGGGTTCTTCAGCTTCTCTGGGCATACCTGCCTTCTTCCTCTCCCTTCCTTCTGGTCCCTTCCTAACTGCAGCTGGCTCCAGGCCAACTAGGGGCCTAACTGCCAGGTTTGAATGAAACTGAGTTTATCAACTTAGCTGGCAGCCTCTGTCCCCAGCAGCCAACAGAGGCCAGGACAGAAGAGCACAGCTGGAGATCCACCTGTGTGGGTCCCTTTTGGGCAGCCTCACCATTAGCGGTTGAATTGTCCGCAGGGCTACAATGGCACAACCACGATGCAAAAATTTAAGAGTTTTTAGTACTTACAGACCCTGGGGGAGTACTTGGCACACCTGGAGGTTGCAGGAACACGCAAACACACACACACGCACATGCATACACACGGAAGTTGGGGGGTGCAGACAGGGAAAGAGAAGAGCCCCCCTTATCTGAGCAGGGCCTTTATTGGGTCCCGGGCGTTATCCAAACCGGTTTCCCACAGGGACCTTTACTTGTTGGGTTTCAGGCAAGCAAGCAAGTGTCCCAGGAGGCCACGCTGCCACCTCACAAGCAGGGTGTCCCGCCTGCTAGGCGGGAGAGGCACTTCCAAGTTCTTATCTCTGGCCACCGGCTGGAGCAATTTGGGTGGGGCGGGGTACTTACTGGAAACCCTATCAGGGGAACTAAGCCCTGCTCCTGGTATATGAAAGGTAAACTTATATTAAAAACTGGATGCTGAGGCCGCATAAAATTAGAAGCACTCCCTGCACTCCCGTTTCTCAATGCTGCTTTCAGCTTCTACCCTTCTGCTGAGACGTTTTTTTTTTTTTGAGACGGAGTCTCACTGTCACCCAGGCTGGAGTGCAGTGGTGCGATCTCACTGCAAGCTCACTGCAAGCTCCGCCTCCCGGGTTCACGCCATTCTCCTGCCTCAGCTTCCCGAGTAGCTGGGACCACAGGCGCCTGCTACCAAGCCCGGCTAATTTTTTTGTATTTTTAGTAGGGACGGGGTTTCACTGTGTTAGCCAGGATGGTCTTGATCTCCTGACCTCGTGATCTGCCCGCCTCGGCCTCCCAAAGTGCTGGGATTACAGGCGTGAGCCACCGTGCCCGGCCTGAGGGAGTATTCTTAGGTCAGCTGCCCCTCAGCCCTCAGCCATACAGAACTCAGAAGGGTGGGTCCACAGGCCCCAAATTGGTGAGGGTGGCCATGGAGGATCTGCGTGTTGCTGTTACCCTGATCCCTTTGGGCCTTGTACTCCTTAAAGATAATCCTTTAATCGTTTTTTTTTTTTTTTTTAGTTTTTTTTTTTTTTTTTTTTTTGAGACAAATCTTGGCCCACTGCAACCTCTGCCTCCCAGGTTCAAGCGATTCTCCTGCCTTAGCCTTCCAAGTAGCTGGGATTACAGGTGCCCACCGCCATGTCTGGCTAATTTTTGTATTTTTAGTAGAGATGGGGTTTTGCCATGTTAACCAGGCTGGTCTTGAACTCCTGACCTCAGGTGATTCATCCACCTCAGCTTCCCAAAGTGCTGGGATTACAGGTGTGAGCCACCGTACCCTGCCAACGCTCCTTTTCTTAATCTGGCCTATGTTGATCCTCGGAGGGTGAGGTCTTCTTCCTGCTGATGCCCTGACCCCCATGCCTGCAAGAGGGCTGCAGGCTGCATCTCTGGCCAGCAGAGTGGCTTCTTCTCTGTTGCAGAGCCAATCAAAGTCTCCCTGGCAGCCCTGCTCTTCAAAGGGCCCTCACAGCTGTCTCCAGGAAGACCCCTTTCCCAGAACTACTCTCAACCCTCTCCTCCTGCTTCCTCAACAATGAATCAACACATCTGGGGGCATCAGGGCTTTGGCCTGGAGATAAGCACGTGTGCTTCACACTCCCAGGCCAAGAGAAGGCTGCAGGTTTGCCTCTCCAAATTAAGATGACCTGGTATGCCAGTGTGGCTGAGAACCCGACATTGGCAAGGCTCAGGACGATGGTACAACTGGATGTATACATACCATACGTCTACATATAGAAAAGTTATACATCAAGCTGATGAACTGCTAAATAAAATCTATTTTATGCTTCTGACTGCGTAAGCCTATTTTCATGAATTCCATCAACATCCTACCGTAAACAGCCATCTCTTGGAAACCTCTCCAGCATAGAAGTCTGTACCCCAAAGCTCTCTACCATCTGGACATTGGACCTAGGGTAGAAGTTCTTGAGTCCCAGAGGGCAGGCTTGGGGCATTTGGGCAGAGTTCCAGGGTCCCTGCACTTGGAGCATGGCCAGTGTAAGTGGACAGGTGTCTGGACCAGGTGTCTGTCCTCGCACTTGGAGCATGTCTGCTTACACTGGCCATGTTCCAAGTGTGGAGACCCTCTTGCAGGCATCAGGCCCTGAAGATGCCTCCTCTGCAGGGACAGTGTCACCTGAGCAGGGCCACCATGGAGCCCTCTAAAGTAGAGGCCTGGGTCCTTCTTGCTCAGATCTCAGGACAGTTCTTTTTGCTGTCGGGTTTCAATAATCTAGGCCAGGATCTAATAAGAAAAATAGCAAACATTATTGAGCACTAAGTTGCAGATGTTTTAAGCTCTTTGCACATGTGACCCGATTTATTCTCACAACAATTTCATGAGATGGACTATGATTTATATCCCTTCTAGAGAGGGGGGAACTTAGGAACAGAGAGTTTAAGACAGTACTCAAGCTTCGAAGCTGGTAGGTGGTGAACCGTGTTAATATCCAGGCAGCCTGTCACTGGAGCTCTGTTCTTAACCACTATCATATATACTGCTTTGTCAGTGTACCATATTAATAACTATACCTAATCAATGTCATTAATCACATTAACAGAATAAAGGGGAAAAAAATCAGGTGGTCATCTCAATAGATGTGGAAAAAGCATTTAATAAGATTGCATATTCCTTCATAAGGTGGAAGAAAAAACTGAGCAAATTGGGAACAGAATATAATCTGATAAAAGAATATAATCTTATGAAGATTATTTTACCATAGAATCTATACCAAACTTTATACTTAATGCTATAAATTAAGTATAAAGATAATGGTAATACCACCATTACCTGAAATGATACCCAAACCAGAAAAAGATGTAAGAAAACTACAGACCATTCCTCATGAACTTATACCCCCAAGTTTCCAACAAAATAATACAAATTAAATTAAGCAATATATTAAAAAAGTAATTATATGCCAGGATCTAGTGAGGTTTATCCTAAAACTGCAAGATGGGTTGAACATTAAAATATACATATATAATTTACTGTATTAACAAATTAAAAAGAGATAAACCATAAGATCATTTCAAGAGATATCTATTGAAAAGTTATTTGGAAGAATCTAAATTCTTGAAAACTATTGAAAGCTGTAAAGCCCTGAGAGCAGGAACAAAAAAGGAGTAACTGCTAATGCCAATTCTACCTAGGAAAAAAGAGAGAAAATACAAATTATCAATATCAGGAATGAGAGAGTTGATATTGCTACATATTCCACAGGTATAAAAGGAAATCAGGGAATATTATGAGCAACTTTATGCCAATAAATTTGACAAATTAAGGGAAACGAAAAAATTCCTTGGAAAACAATCAACTAAAGATTACTCAAGAGGCCAGGCACGGTGGCTCACACCTGTAATCCCAGCACTTTGGGAGCTCAAGGCAGGTAGATCACTTGAGGTCAGGAGTTGGAGACCAGACTGGCCAACATGGTGAAATCCCATCTATACTAAAAATACAAAATTTAGCTGGGCGCAGTGGTGGGCACCTGCGATCCCAGCTACCTGGGAGGCTGAGGCAGGAGGATTACTTGAACCCAGGAGGCAGAGGTTGTAGTGAGCCGAGATCACGCCACTGCACTCCAACCTGGGAGAGACAGTGAGACTCCATCTCAAAAAAAAAATAATAAAAAATAAAATAACATAAAATAAAAAAAGATAACTCAAGAAATGGATTATCTAAATAGCCCTGGATCTATACAGAAATTGCAGCTGTAGTTTAAAACCATTACACAAACAAAAGTCTAGGTTCAGATAGTTTCACTGATGAATTCTACCAAACATTTAAGAAAATAATAAAACCATTTGATCCAAATTCTTTCCAGAGTTTCCAGAAAGTGGAAACAGTAGGGATACTTCCCAGTGCATTCTAGAGGCCACTATTACCCTGAAATGATACCAAAACCAGAAAAAAAATATAATAAGAAAACTATAGACCATTCCTCATGAACTTATACCCCCAAGTGTCCAACAAAATAATAGCAAATTGAATCAAGCAATATATATATAAAGAATTATATGCTATGTTCAAGTGAGGTTTATCCCAAAAATGCAAGGTTGGTTTAACATTAAAAATATATATATAATTAACTATATTAAATTAGAAGAGAAAAACCATATGATCATTTCAAGAGATATTAAAAAGTTATTTGGAAGAATTCAGCATCCATTCCTGTAAAATATTTCAGCAAACTAGAAATATAAGGGAATATCTTCAACCTGATAAAGAACATTATGAAAAAACTTACAGCCAACATCATATTTAATGATGAAACACTGAATACCTTCTCCCTTAGATCAGGAACAAGAGAGGAATGCTCACTTGTACCACTTCTACTTTCCAATGTGTTTAGGGCTCTAGTCATTGCAATGAGATAAGAGGAAAAACACCATCTGGGTTGGAAAGGAAGAGGTAAAAAGAGCCTTTATTTGAAAACATACTTGACTATATAGAAAATCTAACGGATCTACAATTTGCTATTAGAACTAATAAATGTAATTAGCACGGTTGCAGGATAAAAAGTTGATATACAAACATAGATTGTATTTATTTTATTTTATTTATTTTGAGACAGAGTCTTGCTCTGTCGCCAAGCTGGAGTGCAGTGGTGCGATCTCGGCTCACTGCAATCTCCGCCTCCCAGGTTCAACCTATTCTCCTGCCTCAGCCTCCCGAGTAGCGAGGATTACAGGCAGGCGCCACCACGCCTGGCTAATTTTTGTATTTTTAGTAGAGACGGGGTTTCACCATGTTTGCCAGGCTGGTCTCGAACTCCTGACCTCAAATGGTCTGCCCACTTCGGCCTCCCAAAGTGCTGGGATTACAGGCGTGAGCCACTGTGCCCGGCCATAGATTGTATTTCTAAATACAATTAAAAATTAGCTGAACTTTTAGAAATATCATTTATAACAGCATCAGTACATATTAAATACTTAGGGATAAATCTGATGGAAACTATGAAAGTCTTGTACACTAAAAACTAGGAAAACATTGCTAAGAGCAATTAAAGAGCATCTAAATAAATGGAGAGATACACATCTCTTTTATGAGTCAAGAGACCTAAGAGGTTAAGATGTCAACTCACCCCAAACTCATCTATAGATTCAACATAATCCTGATAAAAATCCCAGCAGACTATCAGATAAACTGACAAATTCTAAAAATTCATATTGAGATTCAAAAGACCTAGAATTGCCAAAACAACTTTTATTACAAAGCTACAGGAAACAAGAGTGTGGCACTGATGTAAAGATAGACAAATAGAGCAATGAGACAGAAAGAAATCCAGGATAGAACCACAGATCTATCTTCAATTGATGTGACGAAGACCAAAGGCAATTCTATGGAGAAAAGACAGCCTTTTCAACAAACAATCCTGAAACAATTGGATATCCACGTGCAAAAAATGGACTTTCATTCATACCTCACACCGTATTAAAAAAAAATGCAGAATTGATCATAGACATAAATGTAAAACCTAAAACTACAAATCTCACAGAAGAAAATATAGGCATAATTAATTTTGATTAGGAATTAATCATTTCTTCTGACATCAAAAACACAATGTATAAAAGAATTGATAAATTGAACTTGATTAAAATTTAGAACTCCTATCCTTCAAAAGACAATATTAAAAGAATGGAGTGCTGGGTATGGTGACTCATGCCTGTAATCCCAGCACTTTGGGAGGCTGAGGCAGGAGGATCATTTGAGGCCAGGAGTTCAAGACCAGCCTGGCCAACATGGCGAAACTCCGTCTCTACTAAAAACACAAAAATTAGCTGGGCGTGGTGGTGCGTGCCTGTAGTCCCAGCTACTCAGGAGGCTGAGGCACAAGAATTGCTTGAACCCAGGAGGTGAAGGTTGCAGTGAGTTGAGATTGTGCCACTGTACTCCAGCCTGGGCAACAGAGTGAGACTGTGTCTAAAAAATAATAATAACAATAAAACGATGGAAAACTGGGAGAAAATATTTTCAAAGCTTATATCTGATACAAATAAATGAACATATATAGATAAAATTTAAAACTCAATAATAAAATGAAAAACTCAATAAAAGAACATCAGTGATTTTAACAGACACCTTACCAAGGAAAATATACGGGTGGCAAATAAGCACCAGAGAGAGGCTCTAATCACTAGTAATTTAGGAAATATGAAAATCAAAGTGAGACTGAATCACTAATCACTCACTCTAGAATGGCTAAGATTCGAAGACTGACCATATCAAGTGTTGATGAGGTTGCAGAGAAATAGGAACTCCCAGACTGATGATGGGAATGTAAAATGTATTTAATACAACAACTTTGGAAAGTAATCCAGTAGCTCCTCAAAATACTAAACAGAGTTCCCTTATGATCCAGGCATGTCATTCCTAAATATTTGCCCAAGAGGAATGAAAGCATACGTCCATGCAAAGACTACTCCACGAATGTTCATAGTACTTTTGTCATAACCAAAACCCTGAAATAATCCACGTTTATCAACAGGTAAATGGATAGACAAATTATGGTATGTCTCTGCAATGAACTACTACTTAGTCACAAAAAGAAATGAACTATTTATATAACACGGATGAATTTCAAAATAAAGCGAAAAAAGCCAACAAATAAATACAGGGTCTAATATTCCATTTATTTAAAATTCTGGTACACTCAAACTGGCGCATAGTTACAAAAAGCAGATCAGTGTTTGGGAAAGAGGGGATGGAGAAGGGTGGGGAGGAGGGATTAGAAAGGAACATGAGAGAAATTTTGGGAGTGAGGAATATGTTTGCCACCTTGTCATGATACTTTTGCGGGTATCAAAACTTAGGAAATCATACCCTATAAATGTGTGCAGTTTGTTGTATATTGATTTTATTCAATGTAGGGAGCAAAGTTTAAGATGCCCCTGCAGTGATCCTGCCTACTGGCAGTGGCAGCCTCGAGTAACCCTCTCTTCTTGAGAAACGTGTTTCTAATCAACACACTACCTTGATGTTAAGGGGATCTCAGTTCCAAGTTTGTAACTTACCTCTTGCTAGCTCACTCTATGCCCTGCTGGCTTTGATGATGCCAATTGCTATATTGGGGAGGCCCATGGGGAAAGGAACTGAAGATGGTCTCTGGCCAACAGCCTACAACGAACAGAACCCCTGCTATCAACCACTTGAGCTTGGAAGCAGATCGTACCCCAGTCTAGATTCCAGGAGAGACCCCAGTCCCAACTAAAACCTTTTTTGGCAGATTTTTAAAGCAGATAACCCTGCTAAACTTATCTGGATTCCTAACCCACATAAACTGTGTTGTTTTAAGCCACTAAGTTAGCAGTAATTTGTTTCACAGCAACAGACAACCAATGTAATTTTTTTAAAAGTAAACAAGGAAGCAAACAAACCAAAAACCTACAATGAGTAGTACTCACACAGCTACCCGAGTAGCTAAAATTAAATACTGATGATACTGAATGCTTGGAAGTGGAGCAATTTGAACTCTCATACACTGGAGTAAAAATTGGTGCTGCTTTTTTGGGAAATTCTATGGTCTGGCAATTCCTCTCCTAATGATAGGCCCAGCAAAAATGCAACCATATGTGCACCAAAAATATATACAATACTGTTCAAAGAAGTTAGTAATAGTGCCAAACTAGAAGCAAGCCCAGGTCTTATTAGCAATAAAATAGATTAATGATGGTATCTTCATACAATGAAATGCTGTACAACAATGAGAAGTAACAAACTATCGATACAACCAACACCTTGGATGTTGATCTCAGAATCGTAATTAGGTGAAATAAGCAAAACACAAGAATGCACTTAATTATGGTAGAAAACAAGTCAAACTAATATATGGTTATAGACTCAGTAACAATGAAATCACAGTTACTTTGTGAAGCATCTCAGAGGAGGCCTGAGGGTTTTGGTAACTTTCTATTTCTTGATGTCATGTGGGAGGTACACCGGATATGTATACTTTGTAAAAACTGAGTTGTAAACTTCTAGTTTGTGTACTTTTATGTATGTTATACTTTATAGAAACTGGACTACAGAACTGATTCATGTTAATTAAAAACAACAATGTACCTTGTGGGATTCTGGAATTTACAAAGCACTTGGCATCCATGCACTGTTGTCTTAGTCTGTTGGGGCTGCTGTAACATAATACCTCGGTGGCTCATAAACAACAGAAAGATTTATTTCTCACCGTTCTGGAAACTAAAAATCCAGAATCAAGACACTGAGGCTTGTGCTGGCAGATTTCTTGTCTGGTGGGGCCCACTTCCTGGTTCATACATGTCTGTCTTCTCACTGTGTCCTCACATGGTAGAGGGGGCAAGGGAATGCTCATTATCATGTTCATAAAGGCTAATCCCACACCTGAGGGCTCCTCCCTCATGACCTAATTACCTCTAAAGGCCCCATCTCCTAATACCATCACATTGAGAGTTTGGATTTCAACCTAAGAAGTTGAGGGAGACAAACATTTTGTCCACAGCAACTGTCATTCTTTAAAAACAGGTAAATAACCTGAAAGATATATTTGCACAAGAGAAAACTGACTTATGCATGTTTGGGACCTAGGATACACAGAAGATATTCCTTCTAATCAAAGTAACCACGGAGTATTTAAAAAAAATAAAAAAATACAACTAAGTCAGTCATATGGAAGTCTGTCTTCACAGTAACTTATCATCTGGGTCGTCTTGGAACTAGTAATCATGATCCTGCTAAGATAAAGCAACCAGTGGGGAGGCTGAGGGCTGCCCTGATTTTCTTCCAAGGTCAGTGCACACTAATAGGTGGTGGGAAGGAAGAGACATGAGCACATAGCAGGCAGGAGCTCTTCTGGGGATGCAGGAGGAGGCAAGCTACTGGCTCTCCACTGTCTCCCCTGATGCCATCTACTCCCAAATCTGGGGGGCCACTTAGAAACAAAAATCAGGGATTCTTAGCTCAGGGACCTGGAATATGGTCAAAACTGTGAACAGGCCTCAGGAGAGGGCCCATTGCTTTCAGTTGATTCTCCAAGGGGCCATGATGCTGATAGGTTTGAGACCTCTTTCCTCGGGCCACTTGCTCCAGCCTGATGCTGTTGTCCCACAGCAAAGCCAGGCAGAGCTGTGCAGAGCAGCCCCTTGTCACCCCAACAGCTCCCCATCCCAGCTGAGCTTCAGAATCCTGGGCAACTTCTAACCGGGGGCCGATGAGCTTTTAAAGCCCACAGTTAATTCTCATAGTGGCTACAGTGAAGAGCCATGGGTTTGCCTCCTATTCCCATTCTGAGTACTGGGATGTGAGGACAGGACTCTGCACCCTGTGATGGCTGAAATTCTGACTCTGCTTGTAACAGGGCAACTTATATTAAAGCAAACATGGAAGGGCAAAAGTTTGCAGAGGCGAAACATGGGAGCAGAAAAGAGGGAGGGAAAAGAGGGAGGAAAAGAGGGAGGGAAAAGAGAGAAAGGTGGCCACTTGCAAATGAGGAATGGGATGCTCCATTTCCTTTTTCCCCAACTGAGGTCACCCTATGTCAGAGTCAGCTGCCAGTGTAGGACTTATTTAAAAGAGAATGGCTTTTGAGTATAAAACATGACACCACCTACTCACTCACTGGCATCTTCCATGGGCCAAGAACAGAAGTGGTCAAACCCCATCCCTGTCCTCACAGGGATCTGAGTGAAAGAGATATAAACACCCAACAAATAAGGTGTGGAATTAAGGCAGAGCTGCTCAGCCTGGGCACACCTGATACATTGAGCCAGATCATTCCCTATTGTGGGGGTGGGGGCTGCCTTGCAGCACCTCTGGGCTCTACGGACTAGATATTGGTAGCACACCATCACCCTAGCTGCGAGAACCAAAAACATCTCAGACACTGTCAAAATGTCCCCTGGGGGTGGTGGGGGGTGCAAAATCACATCAGGTTAAGAACCTCCAAGGTAGAGCTGTGGTCTCCAGAAGTTTAAGGCATCAGTTCTGCCGGGGGAAATCAACAGAGGCCACAGAGAACTCAGAGCCCATCCGAAATACCACCACCCCAGGCCCAGGCCTTCACATAGTGCCAATGTCTGAGAGCCTGGACTTGGGAAGAACTGACAGTAGAAATTCAAACAGACCCCCAAGCAGCGCTACCTTCTTTGGTAGCATGTGACTCTCTGTTAGAGATGAAAATTCCAGGGCTGCATGAGGTGGCTCATGTCTGTAATCCCAGCACTTTGGGAGGCTGAGGAGGGAAGACTGCTTGACCCCAGGAATCCGAGACAAGCCTGGGAAATATAGTGAGACCCTGTCTCTACAAATAATAATAATAAAACTTAGTGTGCCTGTATAGTCCCAGCTACTTGGGAGGCTGAGGAAAGAAGATCACTTGAGTCCAGGAGTTTGAGGTTGCAGTAAGCTATGGTCATTCTACTGCACTCCAGCCTGGGTGACAGAACAAGACCCTGTCTCTAAAAAAAAAAGAGACGAAAGAAAATTCTACATAGCTCCCCCAACCATCCTATGGCATTGGGAGAGAATAAGGGTTACCCACAAGCTGAGAGTTACTGATCCACAGGTAATGTCTTTGCTTATTCATCAGGCAAAACGTTATTGTGGAATAGCAGGTGAAGTTGGAGATGTTGACAGAGCCTGCAGGCCCTAGAAAAATTTTGGATTTTATTTAAATGCACATGGAATGGTCGGTTGAATCAAACAGGTGGAAATGTGACAGGGACAGGGATATATATATAAATTTGTCTGAGTCCAAAATAGCAATTGCACAAGTATAGAACAGTGGCTACATGGCTTAGCTTTTGCACAGGTGGAAGAGGCTCAGGGGCTTTTGATGACAGCCTTTATCAAGTGAACCATCGGCAGCTGCTACTCAGAATTTAATGCAGTCATAGGTGCTCAACTAGAAACACAACGTGCAAGCTAAGAGATGGAACACGCCCAGTAGGTTCTGCCTGCCGACGTTTGTTCAGATTTTGATAAAATACACCATCATCTACTCCTAACTACCTTTTCTGAATTGAACCATTGCTTTGGTTAGCTTACCTGAGTAAGGACCTTCCCCAGTTCATACATTTTTTTCCTTTAGAGACAGGGTCTCACTCTGTTGCCCAGGCTGGTGTGCAATGGTGCGATCAGGGCTCACCACAGCCTCCACTTTCTGGGCTCAAGTGATCCTCCAGCCTCAGCCTCCTGAGTAATTGGGACTACAGGCACACACCACCATTTTCTTTTTTTTATAGAGACGATGTCTCGCTACGTTGTTCAGGCTGGCCTCGTATTCCTGTGCTCAAGTGATCCTCCTGCCTTGGCCTCCCAAATAGTGCTTTTTAATCCACATACTTTTTAATCCACACACTTACAGCTTCTAGCTCCTTCAGCCCTGCGGTGGACAGCAAGACTTCCTCCAGAAATTCCAAAATGTGGAAATGAAAGAACAGCAAACTCATGGTCAGCAGACCGCCTCCCGGGGATTCCCATTCCTGCCCCATGGAGTTTGAATTCCCAGAAAATTCTACTTTGGATCTGCCCTCTGACACTTGGCATTCCACCACCGGACACTTGATCCTTTGATTAAATTGTTGCCCTCTTCCTATTGCCCTAACATGCTTGGAAAGGAACATCAGTTTTCTGGTATCTCAGTTTATCACTTCCCCCAAAGATAGAAACGATGGAAGGCACAGAGGAGTTCTGAAAAGAAGCCCCAAGCTGAGGACAAATGCCAACTGCCTCACGTTTTCATTCGGGGCTACAGCTGCATATGGCTGGTACATTTACATTTAAAAACTTTTAATTGGCAAATAATTATATATACTCAAGGGGTACATAGGGATGGTTTGATATATATATATGTATATATATGGTATATGGTATACCATCCCTATGTATATATATATAAACCACCCCTATGTGTGTGTATATATATGATATATGGTATACCATATTATATATGTGTGTATATATGGTATATGGTATACCATATATATATATATATATATATGGTATAATGATCAGATCCAGGTGATTAACATATCCATCATCTTCGACATTTCTCGTTTGTGTTAGGAACGTTCAATATCCTCCTTCTGGCCAGGCGCGGTGGCTCACGCCTGTAGTCCCAGCACTTTGGGAGGCCGAGGTGGGCGGATCACGAGGTCAGAAGTTCCAGACCAGCCTGGCCAACATGGTGAAACACCCTCTTTACTAAAAATACAAAAATTAGCCTGGCGTGGTGGTGGGCGCCTGTAATCCCAGCTATTCGGGAGGATGAGGCAGGAGAATCACTTGAACTCGGACGGCATAGGTTGCAGTGAGCTGAGATCATGCCATCGCACTCTAGCCTGGGCGACAGAGCAAGACTCCATCTCAGGAAAAAAAAATCCTCCTTCTAGCTATTTGAAACTATATAATACAGCTGCAGCAAAAACTGAGATAAAGTTGAGAAATTCAACGAGGTGCACAAGTTCCAGATGACCACCAGATGGCAGGAGGTGAACAGTATTTTCCTGAGATGCAGCCTCTTAAAGGAGTCTTCAATCTCAAGTCTTAAAGAGTGTTAAATGTGGATGGTGTGAACAGTAGGAACTACGTGCCCCTCATACCTCGTCCCCCAGCCTGCACCCCACAGAAGAATATGAACCTACCTGACTTTTGGCAGGTCCTGCCTTGGGGTCCTCTGTGTGTAATACAGACATTGATTCCTGCACTTGATAATTTACTGACCACCACTCACCCCCACTGTCTGCTTTAGTTTCCACTAAGTGCTGTGAAGGAGGGTGAACTCATAGAGGGTGAGATCCAGGTTTCCTGGAGTGAGCAGCGTGTGAGCTGAGATCAGGATGAGGAAGTGGTGGGGTGAACATTCCAGGCACAGGAAGCAGCTTGTGGCTGGGGCTTGAGGAGGAGCAGACCAAAGAACAGGGTGGCTGGGCCAGAGGGAGCCGCGGGTAGGTGGGCGAGGCGCCCACTGAAAGATAGGGAGACGCCAGATTCCGTGGGGCAGGGATGCCACGCTTGACCTTGGGAGTGTCTCCTTTGAGGGATTTTAGACAGAAGGGGCAGGAAGAGGTCAGGGCCCCTTTCTCTGGAGTCACTCAGTGAGCGGACATTCTTTTTGCAGGAGGGGGAAAGTGTGCTAGGCCTGGCAGGGCAACTTCTGCTGTGCAATGGATTCTATTCATTTGTGAGACTGAAGAATGTGCAGCTGCAATCACTGTACAATGATCTAGTTATTCCTGAACATCTTCTTCCCTGACTCCATTTCCAAGTAAGTTAGCCAACTGTTTGAGAATCAAACAGCTCAGCTAAGCCTTCTTGGCTTAGCTTCCTAGAGTTGATGTCAGGTGAAAAAAAGCACTTCTCAGAAAGGAGTAGAGACCTCCTTTTCCAGCCCAGAGGACACCAGGGATATGAGGAAGGAGGCGGCTGAGGCCCCAGACTCAGACCCTGGTGTGTGTGGTCAGATGAGCTCAAAACCACAAAGGAGATAACACTCAAGGGAGGAGACCAAACAGGTCAAAGACAAATTCTGGCTTCCTTACAGATCTAAGAAATCTTAGGTCTCCGATATGGTTTGGCTCTGTGTCCCCACCCAAATCTCATGTTGAATTGTAATCCCCAATGTCAGAAGTGGGCCCTGTGGGAGGTGATTGGATCACAGAGGTGGTTTCTAATCGTTTAGTGCCACCCCCCAGTGCTGTCTCATGATAGAATTCTCACAAGATTTGGTTGTTTAAAAGTGTGTAGCACTTCTCCCTTTGCTTTCTCTTCTTCCTGCTCCCGCCACGTATGACGTGCCTGCTTCCCCTTCGCCTTCTGCCATGATTGTAAGTTTCCTGAGGCCTCCCCAGCCATGCCTCCTGTACAGCCTGTGGAACTGCGAGTCAGTGAAACCTTTTCTTTGTAAACTACCCAGTCTCAGGTAGTTAGTTCTTTAGCAATTCCAGAATGGACTAATACAATCTCTAATCCATCTGCAATCCTAAATCGGTCCAATGTGCTATCTTAGATCCAATCTCTTTATGGAGCAGTCCTGGATACCACTTTTAATGCCGGCTCAAACAAAGTGTGATCCAATCAACATGCTGCAGAGAAGGACTTAATATCTTCTGCAGACAGGACGGCTCAACTGTCGCTTCCCAACATTGGGGATCATCTGTGTTCCTGTTGCCTGGCAGAGGTGTTGACTGGTAATGATACAAGGTTGGTCCCTACTGTCCTTCATCCATAGAAAGGGGCTTTCATCTCATTTGTTTCAAATAGAATACTTGTAGGTAAAGGCTTTAAATAAAGCCAAAGACAAAGAATAAAAGTGTGTCCTAGGTATGGAGATACGGAGATGTAGGTAACACTAGAGGTGATCGTTTCACGGTGATTCAAGAACCAGGAGAAGTGGGAGAAGCAGGGTGTGAAGACCAGGCATGCATACAACATAGAGAAACTGAGGAAGGGCTGAGGGTGGTGAAGCAGCAGAAGCAACCTGTCTACATGCTGATGGGCAGGATTACGCGCGGGGTGGATGTTGGTGGTGTTGGGGAGGGTCTCACTGAAAGTGCAAAACCTCTGAGCAGTGAGGGACACACTGAGGGCAATTGGAGAGGAGAGGGGACCTGTTGGTTTGGGCCTGGTGCTGCTTATGTTTTTAACCTGATGGGCAGGGAACCTCCATGCCACCCTCCGGGGTCTTGCCTCGCAAGGCTGAAGTCTGGGATGGGCTCTCTCCTGCCCAGGGTTCCTCTGCTGGGACCACGAGTATCCGTTTCCTCACTCTCCTGCCCTATCCTCAGATCCCAAATCACAGCTGCATGAGCCACCCTCCCGGAATCTCTCTCCTTCAAAGAATGGCTCTGCACTTCTAATTTTTGGCTTTACCTATTGACACTATGTCCAATAGAAGCCTGGAGAAACATTTGAAATACATCACTAAAACGATATGCATTATTAATAGAACCTCTGTAACAAACGTGCATGAAATGTCTCATTCAGCCAAGTATTAGGAACCATTTTTGGGACTACTAGAATTTCCAGAGGCTAAGGAAAGGGCTATGTCTGTACTTTCCTGAAATCTAATCCCTAAATTACTCCCAGTTCAAGGGCACTCGTATACACATTAGCTCCTGGCAAATAAAACAAGCTCCAGACTTAGCCAACACTGGAAGGTCCCTGCAGTTTGGAAGTATCAAAACGCAAAGCCAGACTCTAAAATGCCCCAACTGACACTACCTAGAGGACAAAAATTAAGTCCATACATTTCAACTATTTATTTTAAAAACAGTTGGAAAGTTTTCAAAAAAATCCAGAAGTGGTGGCTGAGCTGTACTTTTTCAGGCGCGGATCTCCTGTGGTTGGTAACAGTCACCTTTATTTTTAAGGAACAGCACCTTCTCACTACGCCTGGGCCTCCACCTTTCTAGATTGACACTGTGGTTCTCAGCCTTGGCTTCCCATGAGAATCACCTGGGGGTATTTTAAAAGCCTCCGTTTGTTGAGGCAGCACCTCTGAGCACTTGAATGAGAATCTGTGGGCAGGGCCCAGGCGGCAGCATTTTGAAAGCTTTTTCGAGGATTGCATTGTGCAGACGGGTTTGAGAAGCTGGAACAGCAGCCGAGCCTATCCCCAGTACAGGGTCCAGCTTTCTTGGGTTCCTCCCCTGCAGGGGTGTCCCCCACTGATCACCTGTTCCCAAGGTTTTCACGTTTAAGTCAGAAAGGAGATGGTGTCTGTGGCAGGCTAGGGCCCTGGTTCTAAGTTCCTGGTACCAAGTTCCATCTTGCTAAGCCCAGGGCTCCAGCACTCTACCCTAAGACATCCATTCCCACTCATCGTTCCAAGATGTTCTCTTCTTTCCCTCCTGCCAATTGCTTAGAGATTGGATTCCTTTCATGTTGTTTTTTGTTTGTTTTTAATTGAGACAGAGTCTTACTCTATCACCCAGGCTGTAATGCAGTGGCATGATCTTGGCTCACTGCAACCCCCACCTCCCTGGTTCAAGTGAGTCTCCTACCTCAGCCTCCCAAGTAGTTGGGACTACAGGAATGCAGCACCGCACCCAGATAATTTTTGTATTTTCAGTAGAGATGGGGCTTTGCCATGTTGGGCAGCCTGGTCTCGAACTCCTGACCTCAGGCGATCCACCTGCCTCAGCCGCCCAAAGTGCTGGGATTACAAGCGTGAGCCACCTCGCCTGGCCCTTTCCTGGTTAACCATTTGGTCTTCCAGGCATGAAGGAAAAGAACAGAAATGCTAATACCAGTATGGGCTTCCTGAAAATCCCCCGGGAGTGGCAGGTCACTGAGGCACCCCCGGCTCTCCATGTGTACCTAAGGGCTGTTCTTACACAGGGAGGGGTCACTGGGCTGGGTACTTTGAAGATTCCCTGTTGGGTCCTTATGCCCTCAGGGTTTGTCCCGACTCAACAATGAGGCCCCTGTTCATTACTCTGTGCCAGTGGTTCTGAGTCACAGCAATGCCGCCCTTGAAAGGCAGTTTTGGGTATTTGTGGAGAGTTTTCTGGTTGTCCCAATGTTAGAGGCAAAACTGGCATTTAGTGTGTAGGGGTCAGGGATGCTGAATCGGGATGTCCTACAGTCAGCTGCCCAGGAAAAACTGTCCCCCACCCCCAGCACGACCTGGTCACGTCCCACTGGACATATGCGTAAGGAAAAACCCTGCTTATAATGATCCGAGTGTAGAGGCCAATTTTATTTTATATTTAAACACTTTTGCAGCCTCAAAATGTGCAATAAAATTTTTCAGGAACGTGTAAAGTGAGGGAGAGTCGTATTCTGCTTTGTTCAAAGCTTTCAACCAAGTCATTCGCTATTTGGGAAAAGTCACATTACCAGCCATTCACAGCGTTCGAGTCCCCGGTACGACTCGTCTCTGAATGTGAATTCTGCTGATGGGTGCGTGCATGGCACGGTAATAATTATACCTTTGTTATAGTGCCACTAGGACATTGTATTTTATTTTTGAAACAAGGCGAGTAGGTAGGAGATGTCATAAGGAATTTCATCTCGTACAAAACATTTGTAACTAAAAGGGGGCTTGGATCCATTGGAATTGAGACTTATCCTTGAATTTCAAAGGATCACTCTGAGAGGCTGAGGTGCCTACTCACAAGTCCCTGCCGAGAAGCCGAACTTCGAGAAAACCCTTTTAGGAGGCACTTGGGGGCCGCTTACCCTGGTCTCCAGCAGCTGAAGTTCCCGAAGGCACCAGCAGGAGGGGCGCGGTGAGGCCTCGAGGGGTGTGGTGAGGCCTCGAGGGGTGTGACCAGAAAGGTGGGGCGTGGCTTAGCTGAGGCAGGTTGAGGCAGTACCTGGAGGGGCGTGGCAAGGCCAGGAGGAGGTGGGGCCTGGTACGGGTAGGACCTAGGCTGGGCTTGGCTTGGCTTGTCTGGGGTGTGGTCTTTCTGGCAGGTGAAGCCTTCCCTGCAGTCCCAGCTCAGGGCCCTAGAGTTGTAGTTGACCACTTGGGGCTTAGGGGAAGAGGAGTACCTATCCCAGGTTCCAATCCAGATTCACCGCCTTTCCAACAATAATACTAGATGAGAACATTAGCCTTTTAAGTGGAAGGGGTCTCTACCTACGCATCTTTTGAAGGTGAGGCAACCAAAATTTGCAATCTAATAATCCCACAAATGGATAATTTTCTGCATTGTGCTCATTCGTCTGATCCAGGAATGAAAAACCTCCCCTTAAAGCCACCTTCTTTCAAAGGGGCAACCTGAGCAGCCCCCACCGCAAGCAGGATGGCGAGTGCCCAGAGGTGCATACTGCACTTGTCACCTCTTGCCTGTTCTCAGTGTCCTGCAGTGAAGTGGGGGAGGGATAAATTACAGGAACTTTTTCAGTGTTTGTGAGGATTAAAAGACAATAGATGCAAAACACCTTAGCATTCTACGTGGCCCATAATAGGCAACAGATGGCAGTTATTGCTGATGTGTTCACAGACACAAGGATTAAGGACCACCCAATACGTTGGGCAATTAAAATATTAAGCATTTTGTGCAAATCGAAGGCATGCACTGTAAGCTCTCCTGCCTTCTTGGCAGAGAGTGGTGAGCATAACTTAACCTTCCTCGTTCCATCAGGGCGAACATTTGCTTCTAAGGTGGGCACCTGACTTGGAGCTAGATGGACATGCACCTTGGGAGGGCCTGGGACTCTCTTCTCAGAGGTGCTTTTCGGGTTATTCTTTCGGACATTACCTTCTTAGGAGCATAGATCAAAGAATGAGTGGTTGCCCGATGCCAGGGCTATGTTTTCCTGGACAACGTCAGCTGGCCTCTTTTGCAAAATTACCTTTTGAATTTTCAGTTGAAGCAGCTGTCATTCCTCTACTTCCTCCAAAAAATTTCCTGCTTGCTCTGAAATGCCTTTGCATTTACTGAGCCTTGGAGGTGGGGAGGACCTTAGCTAGAATTACAAGGTGGGGCATTCAGGAAGAGGCCCAGGTTTATGTTTTAAATGTGGCCTGCGGGGAGGGGAGTGGCCAGACCTGCTCTCAGCACCCAGTGGATGTGTCCCTCTTACCCCATGGGTCTGGCCCCTTGCACTCAAGCCCAGGAATGAGCATCATCTGAGGAATATGGGTTGGGGTGACCTGGGAGCACCTTCTCCCAAGCCTGCACATGTGACTTCACAAAAGAACCATAATTCTGAGCCATGATTCCCAGGGCCTTGGCTTTTCTCCATCTGTGTAAATGTCTATTTTACTTTGGAAAAAAATCCAGTCACAAGTAGCATTAAAAGAAAACCAGCTTCTTTAAAAATGCTGTAACGCTATTATAAGTTCTGTATTATACCTGTCAGTGCCAGGTGCCACCACTTCTGTGAAGCACCAGACAAGCCCGTTGCTCTGCACTCCTGTAGCCAACTGCCAGGACTGCTCGCACTCCCCCACCTGCATCAACTGTGACTTGATCTCCCCGGTATGTGTGCCACGCTTTCCCCAACTAGACTGATGCCTCTCAAGGGCAGAACTGGTTCCAGCTGTCACCGCAGCAGTAATAATCATCATCATTAACTTTTTTTGTTTTTTAGACAAAGTCTTACTTCTTGCCGAGGCTGGAGTGCAGTGGCACAACCTCGGCTCACTGTAACCTCAGCCTCCCGGGTTCAAGCGATTCTCCTGCCTCAGCCTCCTGAATAGCTGGGAATACAGATGTGTGCCACCAAGCTCAGTTAATTTTTTTGTATTTTAATAGAGAAGGGGTTTCACCATGTTGGCCAGGCTAGTCTTGAACTCCTGACCTCAGGTGATCCACCCGCCTTGGCCTCCCAAAGTGCTGGGATTATAGGCGTGAGCCACTGCGCCCGGCCCTCATTAACTTTTGAGTGCTCCGTATGTTTGACTCTGTCTTCAGAATTTTGTATACATCGTATTTAATCCTCCCAATGATCCTTTTTAGTAGGTGCTATTATTCTCCATGAACAGGTGAAGAAGCCAAAACACACCCAAGGTGGCACAACCAGAAAGCAGCACTGATGCCGTGGGCCAGATGCCTTCCTCATCCCATGCTACGTGCAGAAGATGCTCAGTGAGGGCTGGATGGACTGATCGTTGAATAAACCTGAGAAGCCACATGGTTTATTTCTAAGAATCTTTTTAGATACAGTGAATAACTGAATGGTGAACTTAAAAGACAGGCAGGTGTGGTGGTGCATGCTTATAATCCCAGCTACTCCAGAGGCCGAGGCAAGGGAATCACTTGAGCCCCGAAGTTTGAGGCTGCAGCGAGGTATGACTGTACCACTGCACTCCAGCTTGCGGGGACAGAGCAAGACCTTGTCTCTTCAAAGAAAAAAAAAGAGAGAGAGACTGTCTTAACTGAGTGTCTGTTAAGTGTAGTTTAGCAAAATCTGAAAACCCAAGAGCTGAGCTCATCCTGCCCAACATCATTCACTGTAGATATTCAAAGAACCGAGGTGCTATCGTGAGTTTTTATTGTTACAGTTTCTAACTTGGTCTTGAGGTTTCCCTGTCGAGAGTGGCCATAAGCCGAGATAGCCCCTCTTTAGGGAAGCCCTGATGGGGTGGGGTGCAGTTAGGTTTGGGTGTGTTGGTCAGCTAAGGCACAAGTGAGGAGGCGAAACCAAAAATGCACCAAACAGAGGAAATATCTTACTTACAGATTCCAGGGAGGGTGGTGGCGGGGCCTTCATGAGAGGTCTGGAGGCAGTGACAGCAGAGCTCAACCAAGAGGTGGGGAGAGAGTGAGAGTGAGCAAGCCTGAGGGGCTGTGCTTCTATCAGGGTCCAGGGGCGTTACCCCTTAGGCTTTCCCATGGGGGTCGTGGATTGGTTAGTTTCAAGAAAACACGTGCGCAGGGGAAATTTATTGACACGACTCTGGTATTAATCATCAGGTTTTACCACGGGCCCGCAGGTGTGGGGCATGTTGGGTTTTTGGTTGGTGGGATGAGGAAGGAGCCTGGGCTGTATTTTTCAAACCACCACACTGGGAGGCGAAGTTTTAATGAGGCCATAGAGGGCAGGGTACAAGGTTTCAAACAACTAGGTTGGCCGGGTGCGGTGGCTCATGCCTGTAATCCTAGCACTTTGGGAGGCCGCGGCAGGCGGATCACGAGGTCAGGAGATTGAGACCATCCTGGCTGACACAGTGAAACCCCATCTCTACTAAAAATACAAAAAATTAGCCGGGTGTGGTAGCGGGCGCCTGTAATCCCAGCTACTCAGGAGGCTGAGGCAGGAGAATTGCTTGAACCCAGGAGGCAGAGGTTGCAGTGAGCCTTGATCGTGCCACTGCACTCCAGCCTGGGCGACAGAGCAAGACTCCGTCTCAATAAATACTTAGGTCAGGCCTAAAAATGGGTACCAAGGCAGGAGCTATATTGCACTAATTTAGACAGGCACCTCCTGGGTCTGTGCTGTGATAGGAAGTCTTTGCAACACCTGACTCTGGTTTCTCCAATCATGGTAGTTTCTCCTCCAGTTTCCTGAAGAGGCAGGCAGCACTGGCTCGGATCTCAGGGCAGTGGATGGGACTGTGTGGAGTTTTCCCTTACCGGGTGAACATGTCCCATCCTTCACGACATTGGCTGAAACTACCATCACCTCTGTGACCTTGTCAGAGCTCTCTGGGAAGCCTGAAGCTAAACTGAAAAAGTGAGCCCACCATCTGCTGTTTTGCTGCTTATAAAGAATTTTCAGCTTGTCCATAAACAGAAGCAAATAAATTGGCATGAATTAGCTATGAGATATATTTATATATAAATGAATATAATGTCATTAAGGTGATTATGGGACATGATTGAAATGTTGGACCCTAAATACTTTCCTAAGTGCCACCTGAAACACGGGACTGCCATTAACATAATGAACAGAGATATGAATATTTCTGGCGGAGGCATCCTGAAGTAAGAAAGCCTGAAACTCAGAAACACTGAACAACTGAGTTCCAAAAATATTTGCTTTTTACATGAAATCACCAAATGAAACATTCTGAGGTGAAAAATCTAAGTAGTTTCCTGAGATTGTTCCTGTGGTTAATTCATAATCCTGGTATTGTTTTCACTAATTTTCTTCCCCCACACCTTTTTTTTTTTTTTTTTTTTTTGAGACAGGGTCTTGCTCTGTCATCTGGGATGGAGTGCAGTGGTGTGATCATAGCTCACTGCAGCCTCCACCTCCCAGGCTCAAGCCATCCTCCTACCTCAGCCTCCTGAGTAGCTGGGACTACAGGCACACACCACCATGCCCACCTAACTTAAATTTATTTATTTATTTTTGGTAGAGATGGGGTCTCATTATATTGCGCAGGCTGGTCTGGAACTCCTGGCCTCAAGTGATCCTCCTGCCTCAGCCTCCCAAAATGCTGAGATTACAAAGCATAAGCCACCGTGCCTGGCTTCTTCCCATTTTAACAAATGAAAACATATGGTGTAAGCGTATTTCCCTCTAGGCCAACAATAATTTTTTAAGTTGAGGACTCAAAAGAAAAAAAGCCAAGTGATAAAGACATTTTATTTCCACTTTACTTCTACTGGAAGTTTTTTAAAAAGAGAGAAAATAATAAGAGCCCCTCCAGGAACTGAGGGTGGAAACTCTGTATCCAGGTTTGCTTTCTGTCATCTACACCTTGATAAGCCACAGAGAAGAAAGCGAGCCAACAGGCCACATCCAAGGCACCACACTTGCAATTAATTTATTAGGAACTCATCATTAGTCACCCCAGAGCTTTCAGAAAAGTAGTGTCCTCTGAGTGGATGTGGTTACATCCCTCAAAGCGGAAAAACATTTAACTCGGTAACAGTTACATTTCGTTCTTTGACTAGGAAGTAGTTATAGTGACAAGGTACAAAAAATAATAAGCATGCAGCCCTTTATTTAGTTTTGCAAAGTCTCTGCTTATAGTTCTGTATATTACATGACTGTGTTATACAAATACATTTATTTACAAAAACACTCTAGCTGTGCAAACTTGTTGCTTTTTAAAAATGTATGGATACTTCCATTTCTGCCGGTCCCGATATATACTTTTAAAGCATGCATAAAAATTAACTTTGGTGTGGGAAAACTACTCTATGTGCTGTCACATACAGTATTTTTATGTCTATGTATATTTATATATTTACAAAAGTTTTTCGGTTTACAGAACCGTACAGAGTATACATTTTAAAATCCACAATGCAAGAGCGTGGGTTACCAGGTCTCAGAAAACAAAAGAAGGGGTTAGATACGCCAAAGAAAACAACTAGAGAATCTCAACATGTTAAAAAAGAAAAAAAAAAAAAAAAGGAAGGAAAAAAGAAAGAAAAGAAGCAAGCAAAGAAAACTAGCTTGCTTGGGCTAGCAAATTATTATACACACTTTTCATGGCAGTGCAATAGGTTTGATAAATTGCCTTCTACACATGCCTGTCTGTAGGGCTCATGTAGAAGTTCATTGGTTTTATAGTCTAGAACACTACTTTCAAATGTACAATGCTATAGTATCAAAATGTTTTGGCAAAAAAGATCTTGAAAGGAACCATGAAGTTTTGACAAAAATAGAAATCTGTAATAAAGCTAAATAACACTAAAATAAAAGGAAATATTATAGTATCTGTTTTACAATTTGTATAGTCACACTTGTGTAATTCTCTGTTCACTTCTAGTCTCCGTAATGAAAAATAGTTTTATACAAAACATACTAAAATTCTGGAATCATACATGTTTTATATGCTTAAGACAATTCTCCTGTCTCACACGCACCTTTCTCTCCCACCAGAACCTCTTTCTGTAACACATGCTTACTGCATTTTATAGGTATTGAGTATAGACTGTAGACACTATAGCAACTAGGTAAAAAGAAAACCAAACAAAACGAACGAGCTTTACTGAAATCTATTAATCCAGTATTTAGCACATATTTAGCATTAAGCCTCAAACGATACAGCAATATGTTACATTCTCTTGTGAAAACAGTTGTTGTAGACTGTTAATTTTTTTTAAATGTAACTCCGACTTGTGCCTAATAGGATTTGACCTTTAAGAGGTTTCTTTTGCTGTGGATGGGGTGGCTTTGCTTGAACTTCCATTCTGTGCCTTGTAGCTGGTGAGGCTGGGAGTATGGATGGTCCTGGTGCCCTTGGCACCTTGATTCAGTGAGACGGAGGAGGCAGGAGAAGGAGGGGAGGAGGAAAATGACAAAGGAGGGGGTGCTCGGCCATTTTGACTCTGCGGTGAGAATGAAAGATGGTGACCTTTACCTGTATGAGTGAGGCTCTGAAACTTCAAAGAGCCATTAGAGACAGAAGGGATGAGGGAGGCAGAGTGAGCAGGTGGTCCTGTTTGGGGGCTGAGAGGGTTAGAAGCAATCGATGGTTTAGTAGCAGGTGGATTAGGGAGGTTAGAGCTGTCACCACTAGAAGAGGGCAGAGAACTGCTTTTCCCAGAGCTGGGAGAAAGGGCTGGAATCTTAGAAGCAGGTAAGGAGGGGGAAGTAGGCTTAAAGTCCCCACCAGATTTCTTAGCACTTCCATTAGCCTGCAAATAAAGATGGCGGGAGACATTTTGTCAGAAAGGCGGTCACATGATCAACCCACAGGGCCTGGCAACACAGCCCTTCTGAGAATAATTCAATCAAAGAAAACCAACCAAACACAGTTCAAGGCCTGAGCTAAGTCTTGTTGTGCTCTACTGGACCTGGTAGAAACCCCCCATGTACATAGCAAAGGATGGACGGGAAAGGAGGAAAGGAAGAATACATTTGTGAGAGGAGTCCCATCATTCCAGCTCTACCATTTCCTGTGTGCCAGGTGGGCCATGCGTCTGGATAATTACTGGGGTGGGGGTCGGGCATTGTGACGGAGTGTTAATGTGCTTCTAACACAATACAGTCAACATAGACGTTAGTAGTGGTGACGTTAAGGGCAGTTCAACCACAGGTTGGTTTGTCTCTGCTTCCCGAGGTGTTCAGATGAAACACTACATTCACCAAAGAAAAGCCACCTGGTCTGGCACCGTGTGTTAACAGTTAAAATTTGGAGTTTGGAGTCACAAAGTAAAAGATGTTTTATTGCAAGCATGCAAAAGCGTGGTAAAAAAGTGTAACAAAGGTTTATTTAGACTTTCTTCATGCCCCCAGATCCAGGATGTCTATGTAAACCGTTATCTTACAAAGAAAGCACAATATTTGGTATAAACTAAGTCAGTGACTTGCTTAACTGAAATAGCGTCCATCCAAAAGTGGGTTTAAGGTAAAACTACCTGACGATATTGGCGGGGATCCTGCAGTTTGGACTGCTTGCCGGGTTTGTCCAGGGTTCCGGGTCTGTTCTTGGCACTCATGGGGACAGGCATCCTGCTCGTCTGTGGGGCCCCGCTGGAGCCCTGTGGGAAGGACCAGTGAGAGGGGGAAGAGAAGGAGAAGCGCATGAGTAGGTCATCTGTGAGGCTGCCCCACGATGTGCAGAGAAGCTCAAGGTGAGAAGCCACAGCCCTACATGCAGGACAGATCTAGGAGACACCAACTGGGGTTAATCAGAAGAATCAAACAGAATCAACTGCTCACTACTGATCAAACGGATTTTAATGTGAGTATCAGAGCAACCATTTCAACAGCACATGGCTGACCCAGCAGCCTCGTGTTTACCCAACACCAGTCAGCAACAGAGGCAAAAACAGAACTGATTAGCTGTTAGATACCTAGTTGTTGTTGTTTGGAAGGTGAGGGAGAAAGTATGAAAGAAGGGTTTCATGGCGAACAGACAAAAAAAAAAAAGCCACCTGAAAGAAAGCAATTAAGTTACAAGACACCTTTCACTAATGGTGATTATGGCAGATTTAGGAAAGCAGCTGGGTCTTTTCATTTTCCAGCAGACCAAGATACCTTACGTGAAGCTGAAGGTATCGACGTAGGGGGCTCTAGGGCAGTGGGACCTTCATCCGGAACTAGCAAGGGTCGGGGAGAGGCCTCTTGGGCTATGTGGGATGAACTTGCAACAGAATCTCTGTTGGAAGAACATGAGGTATCAACTAGGGCTTTGGGACTCATTTCACTGATTGTATTTTCGAGCTGTTTAATGGTCTGCTCCAGGCTATCCAATGTTCTGTAGGTGTTTTTTCTAATTTCATCAGTTCTTGAAATCGGAGATGTACTCTCGATGCTGGGCTGCTCTTGCCTCCTCACTGTGTTTTCAGGGGTGTCTTCAGGTTGAGACCTAGCGATTTCGAAGCGCTTGGCTTCTTTGTGCTGTTTCAGGGTGCCATCCTCTTCCTCTTCTTCATAGACTACCACTTGCAAAGTCTTCTTCCCTGTTTTAGTTCCGGTGCGAATGGCTTGAGTGAGAGCGGCGAGTTGCTTCTTAGGGAATTTGAATTTAAACTTTTTCTTGGGGCTTTCAAACTGGTCATCGGTCGCGTCCTCACCCTTGCATTCCGAATTTGGAGAATCCACGTGGCTGAACTTGTTCAGCTCCGTTCTGTTCATTTCCTGTCCTCCTGGGTTTCTGGTCTCTGTGGCCAGGGAGTGTGGCTGTGACTTTGTTTCCACCTGTTGTCCGGTTCTAAGATTGCCTGGGGCCACCTTCTTATGAGACATCTGGGAAGTGTTATTATTCTGGACTACAGAATCCCCATTTTCCTCCTCTTCCTCCTCCTCTATCTTTTCCTCCATCATCATTCTCTCTAATTCCTCATCACATTCCTCAAAGATAGTTGAAAGTCTCTTATAGGCAGACCGGATGTCCATGGGCTCATCGAAAATGATGATCACTGGTTTCTTGTCCAGGCACACGACTGGATCCTCATTGTCAGTCCCTTCTTGTCGGGGGGTCATCTCTTTTCTGGCATCGATATTAACCGTCTGTATGTCTTCTCCCTTTTGGCTAACAATATCATGCACCTCCCCACTGGAAAGAACCTGGACAGTGGTTTCGGTAATCATGAAGGCAATATTGTCAGTGGCTGCATTTTCTTCAGTGGGAGAACTTGAACTTGATTCTCCATCCTCATTAGGGTTCACGTTAGCATGCCTTGCCTCCTTGGGTCTTAGAACAACTTGGCCAAAATCTGTCGTGATAACCTCTTGATCTTCTGTTTTAAAATCATGCACGCTTGATTCTGTTAGTCTAGTGTGAGAGGAAACGTGACACTTATCCGTATTTTGCTTTTCCATCTCCTTTGTCTTTCCGTAATTCAGCGTCTGGTTCTCGGTGTCAGGTATAGAGTATTGCAGGCCTGAGATTTTAGACCCTTTGTTTATTTCATCTTCTAATGGACTAATGCCAGAGAAACCGAAACTGGCCTTAGGCACAGTTTCCTGGGAATAGTTTCTACTGTCTCTGAGTAAACTCATATTGGATATGGAATTTTCCTTCATTATGATCTCAGTTTTATATTCTGATGTTCTTGATGCATCAGAAATACTATTCTCCATTCCTCTTTCCCACTTAGGAGGGTCACTAGGTCTTACAGCCCCTGTGGTAACCTGAGAGGGAGAACGGAGGAGGGAAACCACACACGTTAATCAGCAATGGATCTGCAGAGGCAGGTACTTAATGTGCATGGTATTGGTCGGAACCCAGATCTGGTGAACTCACCTTTTGGAATTCCATTTGGGGGCCATTTTCATATTCAACATCAGATTTCCGTACATCTTCATGGAAAAATTCCAAATTCTGGTAGAATAGTGTAGGACATGTTACTCCACAAAACCACATCCCCCCAAAAAAGTGGACTATAACTAAATCGTTCCTTTAATTACATTTCTAAGACATGCGGGCCACGCATATTTCTTACACACCAATCCAAAGCCTACAGCTGTTTACCTTGGATTGCTTTGTTCTCCAACTGCCAAAAATGCCCTGTGTTTGCACAAGATGAAAATCTCAATTAGCAAAAGATTTCAAGAATTTAAAATTTTGTAGGGGAGTGGTGAAGAAAATAAAGGGACAGAGTCATTACTAACATGTCCTCTTTTCAACATCAGATTGTGAGCTTAGCAGAATTTAAAACCTGAAGAATTGTGAAAAGCACAATGTATGGGCTGACAGAAAGTTTTGATCCTAATCAAGATCTGCCACTAAACTGTGTTACTTTAGATAAGTCACTTTACTTCTTTGGCCTCAGTTTTCTTGCCTATAAACTTAGGAACCAGCCCAGGGGAATTTTAGTTCCCCTTACAGCTCATTATTTCAGTCCTCCCTCTGCTTCTGTTATGGAGATTATCCTATAAAGACATCTGCCTTGGTTGGGTTTGGCATTTGGGGACGAAAAAACATTATTTTCCCCTGATCAAATGACAGATTGAAATGCAGTTTGTACTGCAGGTGTCGAAGTGCCAAAATAACCTTCACACTCCTCATAGCCACGATGACCAAATCCAAATTCAGAGTGATCATGCTGTTACAATATAACCTCAATTCATATCCATCATGCTGTTACAATAGAACCTTGGTTCATATCCATCATGCTGTTACAATAGAACCTAAACATTCACAAAGCAGATATTTGAGGTTACATTGGTGACGGTGACGTCACGACTCAGCTTTCATTCTCTATATTTTCCAGTGTAGACTGAAGATACATGTCTTAGGGTCTCACCAAGATTCAGGAGTGAAGGATCCAGTGGTGAGGACCCAGGTATTCAAGGCGCTTCACCTGGAGGCCTGGCCTTTCCCAAGGTGTATCAGTAGCCTCAGGCCCTGACATAACACTAACACTAGTGATGCCTTGTCGGTTCCAAGGCACTGCTGCCCTTTCTTCATGCTGAGGTGATTGATTATAGCAGGATGGAGCACAATTCCCATGAAGGCTGCTTGGTTAAAGCAATGACAACACAAAGCACAAACACCCGGGCCCAGCCAAAGTCAACCCAGAGCAACCCCTATGACCTTACTTAAGAATGGAAAGACTGTTCATACACGCCTGAGGAATGACACACAAACAACGCAGTCAGAATTAATCACACGCAAATACTGTGCAAAGTACAAGGTACACGAGCCACCAAATACCTCCTGTTTTACTTCTGCTTGCTCCCCAGGAAGCCCCCAAACAAGTGCCATGATTCGGCTGCTGCAGCGGAGCCACATGGCTTCTTTTGTGGGATTTTAAATTTAAAATATGAAACAATGAATACGTCAAGTAAAAGGTTTTAAAGAAGAAAAATAATTGAGCTTCCTGTAATCCCAGCTACTCGGGAGGCTGAGGCAGGAGGATTGCTTGAGTCTAGGAGTTCGAGAACAGCCTGGGCAACATGGCAAAGACTCCATCACATATACGCAAAAATAAAAAATAAAAATAGGCTATGTGTAGTGGCTCATGCCTGTAATCCCAGAACTTTGGGAGGCTAAGGTGGGTGGATCACTTGAGGTCAGAAATTTGAGACCGACCTGGTCATCACGGTGAAATCCCATCTCTACTGAAAATATAAAAATTAGCTGGGCACGGTGGCGGGTGCCTGTAATATCAGCTACGTGGGAGGCTGAGGCAGGAGAATCGCTTGAACCTGGGAGGCAGAAGTTGCAATGAGCTGAGATCGTGCCACTGCCCTCCAGCCTCCCGGGCGACAGAGCAAGGTTCTGTCTCAAAATATATGTATATATATATGTAAATGAATTTAAAAAAAAGGTTTCAGCCTAAGGTTACAACTCCAAATATGGAGTCAGCATATCATGCTAGGACCCAAATGAGAATTTGCCCCCTGAATCGTGGATGGATTTGGCATGTGATCTAAAGACACACACGTGGCAGATGTTCTGGGGGTCTATTTACTGGAGGTTAGGGCTGGTGTCTGTTGGTTGGTCATGGCCTGTGCCATTCCCATCATTAAACGTTTCAGGCCAGGCATGGTGGCTCACACCTGTAATCCCAGCACTTTGGGAGGTGGAGGTGGGTGGATCATGAGGTCAGGAGTTCGAGACCAGCCTGACCAACATGGTGAAACCCTGTCTCTACTAAAAATACAAAAATTAGCCAGGCGTGGTGGCACACACCTATAATCCCAGCTACTCAGGAGGCCGAGGTAGGAGAATTGCTTGAACTCAGGAGGCGGAGGTTGCAGTGAGTTGAGATTGCACCACTGCACTCCAGCCTGGGCGAGAGAGCGAGACTCGGTCTCAAAAATAAATAAATAAATTTCAAAAATCCCCCCTGTAATATATGTATTTTAAAACTGAGTAGTAGCATAAATGCTCTAATGGAAAGTCACTAGGATAAAAATGTGAAGTTTGGTTTTCACACGACCTATACTTTTTATCACTGGGCTAGAAAAAAATGAATGAATGTATCAAAGCAAGTGCAGGAGCTTGGTCATAATTGTCATGCAAACTCACAGTGATTTCTTAGTCTTAGATGGTCAAGACTCTGGGTGAAAGGTAATTATGCCTCTTTAATATGTATTTATAGGCCCTGGGATTTGGATTATGAAGACAACTGGAAAAGCACTCAATAGGCATATGGACAATAAACCAAAACGAGAGACAGGGTTACAAGAAAATTGCATACAAGTGAAGAACTAGGCTGGAGTTTCAGTGATGACAGGAGAAAAAATGCTTAAGAAAACATCCGATTTATGGAAGGGTAAATACTTAGCCCTGGAAGAGGTTAATAAGGACCCAGAATTGGGGATAAGAGAAGTCTGATATACATGGTCATTCTGAAGAAGGTTAATCTACTGAGATTAATTATCCAGAATAAGCACCTGTGACTAAACTCAGTGTTGGGCACTCAATAAAGACCTGCTTATTAGCCAGTGGATCCTCAACTGAGATAAATGAGACCAATGGGATATGGATTTCTAATTATGGGGCAAGAAATCTCATGCCACTTTCTAGCCAATTAGAAATGCACGGTGGCTCACGCTTGTAATCCCAGCACTTTGGGAGTCTGAGGCGGGTGGATCACCTGAGGTCAGTAGTTGAAGACCAGCCTGGCCAACAAGGTGAAACCCTATCTCTAATAAAAATACAAAAAAATTAGCCGGGTGTGGTGGTGCACGCCTGTAGTCCCAGCTACTCGGGAGGCTGAGGCACGAGAATCACTTGAACCGGGGAGGGGGAGGTTGCAGTGAGCTGAGATGGCGCCATTGCACTCCAGCTTGGGTGATAGAGCGAGACTCCATTTCAATTAAAAAGAAAAGAAAAGAAAAGAAAAATTCTACAATGAGACAATAATGGTCTCCAGAGGGATCTTTGAGAAAGTCCAAATTCCCAGTCAGTGTTCTAGACAGAAATGGTCACATTAGCCTAAGTATAACATGCTATACCAGGCCTTCCATGAGTTAGTTTTAATAAGCCCTCATAAGGAAATTCCACATACTGAAAAGACCAATATATTTCCGGCTGGGTGCGGTGGCTCACGCCTGTAATCCCAGCATTTTGAGAGGCTGAGGCGGGTGGATCACGAGGTCAGGAGTTCAAGACCAACCTGGCCAAGATGGTGAAACCCCATCTCTACTAAAAATACAAAAATTAGCTAGGCATGGTGGCAGGCGCCTGTAATCCCAGCTACTAGAGAGGCTGAAACAGAGAACTGCTTGAACCCGGGAGGCGGAGGTTGCAGTGAGCCGAGACCACGTCACAGCAATCCAGCCTGGGTGACAGAGTGAGACTCGGTCTCACAAAAAAAAAAAAAAAAAACCAAAAACAATAAAAATCAATATATTTCCAACATGGTTTCATGGGTTCAGTTCAAATTAGTAGGTTTTCTTTCTTTTCCCTCCCTTCCTCTCTTTTTCCTTCCTCTCTTTTTCCTTCCTCTCTTTTTCCTTCCTTCCTTCCTTCCTTCCTTCCTTCCTTCCTTCCTCCCTCCCTCCCTCCCTCCATCCCTCCTACCCTCTCTCCCTCCATATCTCTCTCTCTTTCTTTCATCTCACTATGTTGCCCAGGCTGGTCTTGAACTCCTGGCCTCAAGTGATTCTTCCGTCTTGGCCTCCTAAAATGCTGGGATTACAGGTGTGAGCCACCATGCCAGGCCAGGTTTTCTTCATGAGAAACATTTATCAACAATAACCCCCCTTGGATATAGCGAGATTCCCTTCCCCCATTAACAGTGTCACATGTCAATTTATGTGGCAGAGAGTTTACACAAGGGTGCCGTGGTGGTTATGAGCCAGGGGGAAGCAAGCTGGCCTCCTTGGCAAGGCCTCTTGGCTGGGAGCTGGGAGCCCAAAACTGTGTCTCTTGAATGGTTGTGTTAGAATAGCCTTTCAGTTTTGTGATACTACATCTACCTCCTTGAGCTGTCGTACATGGACTGAGGTACCCATCTGTAGTAGCTATTGGGCTCTCTTGCATCTGATTAGTTTGATTTTGTTTAAGGAAAGCTAGAATCTTTGAATTCTGAAAGATAAGTCCCTGGAGAAAAATGTTAGGCCTTGCAAGCTTTTTATCCTGAAGTTTAGATGGAAGCTTAATTCAAGTAAGATGTCTTTATATCTGAAAATCAGAGATGCTCTAGGTGCAACTTAAAGTTGCATTTCAAACATTCAGGCTATGGTCGTTTCCCTAGAGTGCTTACTTATACAATGACAGCAGACTTTGTTTCAGAGCCTGGATTCTTTTTTTGACATCACACATGTATGTTAACACTAAAACTATACTGAACTTACTATCTTGGAAGGTACACTTTATAAATGGATAATACTTAGCAAAAATTCTGTTTGGCATCCTTGGACGTTTGTGCAAATACACATTTGTATGTTTCCATGAGGTTACACCAGTGTGTGGTGGTAGATACTTTCTACCATGCATTTTCTTTCCCAAATCAAAGGTTTTTACTTTTTTTTTTTTTTTGAGACAGAGTTTTGCTCTTGTTGCCCAGGCTGGAGTGCAGTGGCGCAATCTCGGCTCACTGCAACCTCCACCTCCTGGGTTCAAGCGATCCTCCTGCCTCAGCCTCCCGAGTAGCTGAGAATAGAGGTGTCCACCTCCACACCCAGCTAATTTTTTGTATTTTAAGTAGAGATGGGGTTTCACCATGTTGGCCAGGCTGGTCTCGAACTCCTGACCTCAGGTGATCCACCTGCCTCGGCCTCCCAAAGTGGTGGGATTACAAGCGTGAGCCACTGCACCCAGCCGATTTTTACCTATTTTTCTTAACATATATAGTTGTTTTTCTTTTTTTCCCAAAGGGTCTTACAAATTAGAAAAACTGCTAAATACTTGGTTGCTGTTTCTATATATTTCTTTCTAGAGTTGTTCTAGAAAGTACTGAAAGGTGTTCACTCTTTAGTTTGGGAAGATAGTGTCTAAATTCTGCATATACTATTGTATGCTGTGGGCTGGAACACAGTGTTTGCTCTGAAAACCTGAGCAAGATATCTCTGATTTTAACCTATGCCTGTGTCTCCATTAGTTAAAAAAAAGAGAGAGAAAAAAGACAGAGGGGACAAAGGTCGAGTATAAGAGCCGTGTTAGTGTCAGAGCAAGGAAGGAAGGACTCCCAACCGTGTGGCAAATGTGCAGTTGCCACGTTACCTTCTTCTCCTTGGGTGGCACTGTGGCGCCCGACCTAGTGTCTTTAACGTGACTGTCAGCCCGGGATGGCTCAGCATGACTGTTTGAATTTACATCCATAAAGGAACACTTCTGGAATGCCTAAGGAATTAAAATACTGAGGTTAACAGGGATCCAAGGGTACTGAGGAGAATGGAGGGAAACAGGCAGGAACAACCAGACGCTTGTGGACCCCAACCCGGGTCCTGCACGCAGGTTTAGGCCAGGGAGGCAGCACCCTGAAATCCTGCTCCTCACGTGCTCTCATGTTGACAAAGCTGGCTTGGAGGCAGAGTCCGAGGCAAAGGCTGCCTTCCTTTCTTGGGGAATGCCAAGATAAAATAGACATTACTACCTTTTCTGCCTGTCTGGGGTGAACATAAATTGGTACTTAGGAGGGCTTCTTGCTTTGACATTTAAAAAATGCTCAATATGTAAATAAATTAAAACAAAAAACTATCTTTCTTTTTTATTCCTCTTTTTTTATGAGTTTTATTGAAATTATACAGCAAAAGCTCACAAGACGTTTTAAACCTTTAAGTCTTACAATAAAAGTACTCTTAGCAATCCTTCTCTGAAATAGTAACAGGTACTACCGCGCTCCGAGGTGTTCTGAGGCTCATTTAGAGTAAAGTGATGCTTTTAAGCAACGATGTCATTCCGAGTGGCCTAGGAGCTGCCTGAACCCTGGAGATTTGTCTCTGAAAACTATAAGAGCCAACTGTTGGCTCTTGTGAACTTCAGTCAGGAAGGTCAGTTCTCAGACAAAGGGAGAAAGTATAGACATAGACTGTGTCTACAGGGCTAAAAAGGAAGCGGGCATGTGGGCAATGCCCAGATAATATGATCATGAGAGAAGGAGAGACTGGTAACTCAGGGACCCAAGTTTATGGACAACAGTGGTTCTCAACCAGGCTATATACCACCCAGGTTAAAAAAAAAATACTGTTGTTCTCAAATACTCTTGAGACCCCACTCAGAGAATACACAAATCAGAATCTCTGAGCTGTAGGATTTTTTTTTAACTCCCAAAGTAATTCTAATGTGCAGCTAGGATTAAAAACTATTTTTATTTGTTTGTTTGTTTGTTTATTTATTTGAGGCAGAGTCTCTCCCTGTCGCCCACGCTGGAGTGCAGTGGTGAGATCTCAGCTCACTGCAACCTCTGCTTCCCGGGTTCAAGCAATTCTCCTGCCTCAGCCTCCCAGGTAGCTGGGATGACAGGCACCCGCCACCACGCCTGGCTGATTTTTTTGTAGTTTTAGTAGAGATGGGGTTTCACCATGTTGGCCAGGCTGGTCTCAAACTGCTGACCTCAAGCAATCTGCCCACCTCAGCCTCCCAAAGTGCTGGGATTGCAGGTATAAGCCACTGTGCCTGGTGAAAGACCACTTATTTAAATGAATCAGCCTAAATAATTGCCTAGTGTTTTCTTTATGTCAAATGTTGTCATTTGGAGATATCTCTGCCAGCAGAAAGAATAATGTATGTCCTCCCTCAGTAAACATTCCAACACTGGTCCTAAAATCTGAAGGTGGCTGATGAGGGACTTTCTCTGGCCTTTTCTTCCATGACTGTTTGCTCCCCTGTCTCTGCTGTACCTGGTCTCCTTGCTGTTCCTTAGTCATACCAGTCCTAGCTTGCCCCGGATGTGTTTGGTTTATCCGCTTACTTAGAAAGCTGCTTACAAATGCCAATTGCCATCTCCTTTGAGCTATTAGACCCTCGATTTCAGAGCCTGTGTTTTCTTCTGATGCCTGGAGATGTGGAGCACAGAAAGTGGTTCCACAACTGTCCTTAGAAGGGGCCACAGCTGCTCCTTGTCCTGCCTTGAGAAGGTGCAGAAACAAGAGAATCATTATGGCCACTGGCCATTGATCGAGTTGCGGATTTAGCAGGCTGGGTTTCTATCCCAGCCAGAGGGCTAACAGGGTTTGGTTAAGTTAAGGTTAGAGCACTTCATTCACCACGCTTTTTTTTTTTTTTTTTTTTTTGAGACAGAGTTTCACTCTTGTCACCCAGGCTGAAGTGCAGTGGTGTGATCCTGGCTCACTGCAACTTCCACCTCCCGGGTCCAAGTGATTTTCCTGTCTCAGCCTCCCGAGTAGCTGGGATTACAGGCACCCACCACCATGCCCAGCTAATTTTTGTAGTTTTTAGTAGAGATGGGGTTTCGTTATGTTGGCCAGGTTGGTCTCGAACTCCTGACCTCAGGTGATCTGCCCGCCTCAGCCTCCCAAAGTGCTGGGATTACAGACATGAGCCACCATGCCTGGCCACCACTTTTATTATGTAACCACCAAGAATATGACATGAAGCCAGATATGCCAATGTCTGTACAGTGGTCAAAGAGGGCATCAAATATTTAGACTTCAATGGAGAAGAGTGTCCCTCAGTGGTGGGCTGTAAGTGGCTGCAACAAATTTAGTATTTCTCTTAGAGAGGTGTAAAAAATTATCCACAAGCCTGAAAGATACCAGCTTTATAAATCTGTAGTTCCTATGAAAACAATTATCCAAGCCTTCTAAAAACCTGCAAATAGCCTGATTGGTTGCGGGGATGTCCCAGGCTAGTCTGTGAGTTTTAGTGAAGTGTGAAAGGGCTCACGTATGTGACAAATCAACCAGCAGTTCTGTTTTCCCTGCAAAATCCAGGCAGCTCAATTTTGGCAGTTATTACCATGGAAACCAGAGTAGAACAAGTGCAGTAAAAACAATGTAGATTGAAAATTCTCCCTACTCCAAAGAAAAGAGGAAAATTTATGGGTTGGCACAAAGCCATTGGTACGTCGGTAAAAAGCTAACATGTTTTTGAGCCCCAAGGTGCTGGTGTTCCAACTATCTGATTGACAGAAAAATCCTATAAGAAGCATGAGGCAAATGAAATACTCTACACAAAGTTTGTTCTAGGAATTGTTTATATGTCTCTGATGAGACAAGTTCTCAGGACATAGACCTGGGGTAGAATCACATCCGTGATGGGAATGTGGGATCAGTTTTGGGCACAGCCTTGGCACGCCATCCTTCATCCTATGAGTGGACTGTGTCATAGTTAAAAAATAAATATCTAAAACTGATACAGTATCATTTCTCAAATAGACCAAGGAAAATGGAAAACAAAATAATTCAGCTTTTCAGAATATCTGAAAAGATGACATTGATATTGAACAGGGACCTGGTTATGGACCACAGGAGGCCAGTCATTGGCCTTGAGTCCATGATCCAAGGTCAGTGGCTCTAAGTGGTAAAGCCAAGGAACGGGAACCCACGTAACGTGTCCTTCAGTCTGTCCTTATCAAGACAGGACAATGGCTGGTATTTCTAATCCTTATCTTACTTGCTTTTGAAATGAAGCAGAATCTCTTAAGATGGAAAGAAAGGAAAGTCAATTTTACAGCCAGAGGTAGGAAAGCGTGAGTTGTTTTGTGAAATGGTCATTCCTTGCACATCTTATAGGCATCCTGAGAGCCTTGTTCAGCGCCATCTTGGGAAAGCAAAGGCTAAGGCCAGAAGACACAGCTTCTATGGTCCCGGTCCATGCGCTTCCCTGGCCTTCTCGCTAACAAATCTGTGAGTGCCATGGCTGGAGAGACCCAGGCGGGAGGCAAGGAGCCAATGTCAGTCACCTCATCCACATACCTGGAGTTCTGCCATTATTTTGTCTCCTTCTTCTTCTTCTTCCTCCTCATCCTTTGAGGAGGAGGTGGTGACAGGCGGTGGGGATGGGGTCCAGGCTGAAGCAGGCTCCTCTGCTGGATATTTTGTAGCTCTGGTCTGTGGGCTTGGTCCAGCATCTTCACTGCTTGCCTGTGGGAGATTGAAACAACAGATAGTGGTTTAACATCTCCTAGGTGCTAGCAAAAAAGGGACAGATCGTATGGTCCCTCACTGTCTAGAACACTTGCTTCCTAGATCTTAGCTGAGAAAATAGCTGAAAGGCTATTTTATTCCTTTGCATTTAGTTTGTATTTGTGTTTGCATAAGTTGTCATTTTGGTGAATGGATTAAATAATTATAATATAATTGGAACTCCTCAACATTCAGTGTCTTTGATATGGTTTGGCTGTGACCCCACCCAAATCTCATCTTGAACTGTAGCTCCCGTAATTCCCACGTGTCATTGGAGGGATCAGGTGGGAGGTAATTGACTCATGGGGGCAGGTCTTTCCCGTGCTGTTCTCGAGGTGGTGAATAAGTCTCACGAGATCGGACCGTTTTATAAATGGGAGTTCCCCTGCACAATCTCTTTCTTGCCTGCCACCATGTGAGAAGTGCCTTTGCTCTTCCTTCATCTTCTGCCATAATTGTGAGACCTCCCCAGCCACATGGAACTGTGAGTCCATTAAATCTCTTCCCTTTATCACCCAGTCTCAGGCATGTCTCTATCAGCACCCTGAGAACAGACTAATACAGTCCTCATGAAAGGCCCTCCCATACTGCATCTCTTTGGAAATTGTGTTTTACATTTAACATGAAAGCTAACACTTGGTTAGTTAAGTGGAATTTAAAGCTCATTGAACATCTTTCTGTATAGACTCCCACAACGGTGTCAGCTCACCTCAGTTACCTTTGGAAGATAATCTTTCTTGCGTTTCCCCCTCCTACCCTCATTTTCAATCTTATGATGCCCACATGGGAAATAGCTTGTGATTTGCATTTCATATTGTTGCAGCTAAAAGTAAAATAAGGATAAAACTCATGGTCTGGGTCTAGTCCAATCATACTGGCTGCCATTGTTCCATCTGTGGTGCTTCCTGGGGATCTTGTGTGGTCGAGTTACTACTTCTCTGCCTCACTACTTTTTATGTTCCAACAGAGAGAACCTTGTCTAAGGGTATCATCTGAACCCAGAGGCCAGTTTACCAGGGCTTAGCCTATCAGACCTTAGCGGTGATGTTCTCCTTTCTGCCGGTGTAGACCACATCGCCTGACCTCGTGGTGGTGAGTCCCGATCCTGGCAGGTAGCTTCGACGAGGAGGTGGCGGAGGAGGAGGGGGCGACTTTCCCCCCAGCTTTTCCAAGTCCTGTTCCGAATTTGGAGAATCTTCTGGAAAACAGTGCACCATTACAAGAATAATCTTTTTTCAAGAAAACATCCAGAAAGTCTGGTATATTGCTACAAACCCAATGCAATCTGATTTAAAAATTTTCTGTTCTCTCCATAGAGCAAGGATTAAGTGTATAGACCCTAAAGAGTGACTGGATTTAAATCCCAAAAAGACCCTGCACAAGTTACTAAACCTCTCTCGGTCTCAGTTTTCTCATCTGTTAAATGGGTAGTATAATATACTTTCCTCTGGGGTGTCATAAGGATTGAATGACTTATACGCTGAGCTTGGCATAGTGTAAATGCTATGTAAAGTATTACCTACTATTATTAAATAACATTCTTGTTATGGAAAAAGCTGAGTATTACTTGGATAGATAAAAAAAAAAAATTGAAGCCCAAAGGCAAATCCATAGCCCCTGGCTTGGCCTCCAAATACTTCATCCCTCAGTCTGAAAAAACAGTATCAGCAAGAGGGGTTTCTGCTGAAGGTCAATGTCAGAGTAGAATCTGGCTTAGGGAGGGCCAGAGAAAAAATGGGATGCAAATGAGAACAAAGAACAAAGTTGGAGAGGAAGTGGATTTGATTTTTTTAATTAAACAAATTTTTTAATTTTTTTTATTTTGTAGATAGGGTCTCACTGTCACTCACTCTGGAATGCAGTGGTGTGATCAAGGCTCACTGAGGCCTCAGCCTCCGGGGCTCAGGTGATCCTCCCACCTTAGCCTCCCTAGTAGCTGGCATTACAGGTGTGTGTCACAACACCTGGCTAATTTCTTTTCTTTTCTTTTTTTTTTTACAGGCGGGGTTTCTGCCATGTTGCACAGGCTGGTCTTGAACTCCTGGGATCAAGCAATCTGTCTGCCTCAGCCTCCCAAAGTGCTGGGATTACAGGTGTGAGCCACTGCACCAGGCCTTTTTTGTTTTATTTTTGAGACAGGGTATTGCTCTTTCACTCAGGCTGAAGTGCAGTGGTGCCATCACGGCTCACCTCAGCCTCAAACTCCTGGGCTCAAGCAATCTTCCTGCCCCAGCCCAGAGTAGCTGGAACTGCAGGTGTGTGCCACCATGCCCAGCGGATTTTTTAATTTTTGTAAAGAGGGGGGTCTCACTATGCTGCCCAGGCTGCTCTTGAAGTCCTGGCTTCAAGTGATTCCTCCTGTGTTGGCCTCCAAAAGCACTGGGATTATAGGCATGAGCCACCACGCCAGCCTTTATCAATTTTTGATCACTACCCATATTCCTCCATTATCCAAGTAGTCAGAAAATTCACACAAGGGGAAATACAAATGGTATTTAAAACTCTACACTTAGAAATTTGCCTCCTTAATAAACAAAAATACATTAAAAATGATAACTCCATGACAAATAAATTAAAATGACAGAAACTAATGTTTACAGGTCACGGATGCTACCTTTACACATCTCTGGTAGCCTGTCCATCACTGTACTGTTTCTGAGACCAGGTCAGAGATGCATTAAAAAAGAAAAAACAAGAGCATTTTAACTAAGTCAAAATACCTTGGGGAGTAATTTAAAAGTGATTTAGGCAAATTTAAAAAATCAGATAGAATCAAGAGCCAAAATGAGGTAAGTGAACAAAATGTAATATGTTTTTGTTGTTCAATCATGAGAAGGAACAGTTATGAGACCTATATAAAACATCAAAGGACTCTATGACAAAATTAATAATGGGGCAGAGAGAACAGAATTACACAAGATAAAAATGTGATGAGCTGGCCGGTGACTCAGGCCTGAAATCCCAGCACTATGGGAGACCGAGGCAGGTGGATCACCTGAGGTCAGGAGTTCGAGATCAGCCTGGCCAACACGGTGAAACCCATCTCTACTAAAAATACAAAAATTAGCTAGGCGTGGTGGTGGGTGCCTGTAATGCTAGCTATTTGGGAGGCTGAGGGAGAAGAATTGCTTGAACCCAGGAGGCGGAGGTTGCAGGGAGCCAAGATCATGCCACTAAACTCCAGCCTGGGTGACAGAGTGAGACTCAGTCTCAAAAAAAAAAAAAAAAATGTGATGAGCTAGGGCATTTTCTCCATCAGAAATTCTCCACGGGGACTGTGAGAGGAAAGTCACTTTGTGTGAGAAGAGCCGCCCCGCCCAGGACCCTAGACAGACCTGACACAGCTGGATGGTGGGGAAAGGTGTAAGAAAAGCCTCTTAGCACAGACTGAGGGGGAGGGATGCAGTGAGTGGAACTTTAGGGGATGAAATGGATGAAAACTGGGGAGGAGACAAGTGCAGTTGGTCCTCTGCATCCATGGGTTCCACATCTGTGGATTCAACCAACTGCAGATGGAAAAATATATATATATATATAAATTCCCTCCACATTCCAAAAAATAAAACTTGAATTTGCCTTGTGCCAAGTACTATGTTGAATCCACACAAATGAAGTAATGTGTAGGCATTGTATTAGGTATCATAAGTAATGTAGAGATGATTTAAAGTATATGGAGGCAGGCAGCAGAATCACACTGCTGAAGTGTTCTGGCCCGTAAAGTATATGGGAGGATGTGAGTAGGTTACATGCAAATACCATGCCATTTTATACCAGGAACTGGAACGTCCTCAGATTTTGGTATCCAATGGGAGTCCTGGAACTAATCTCCCATGGATACCAAGGGATGACTGTACGGTGGTTATAAATGGAATACACTTTAATGTTTCTCAACATGCAAGTCAAGATGGGGATTCCTTTCCAAATTAATTTTAGTTGCTGGATAAGGCACTGTGGAATGTGACACTGCAGAGACATTAGACTGCAAGTAAAATAACATCCGGGTCCATAATTTTAAGATCAGAATAAGACGCGTGGCTTGTAACTGATAGGATATTTAATAGGTTGAGATTCTTAGAAGTTATATTATTATTCACATGTTGGCATTTAACTTCCATAGTTGAGTTGGTTAAATACATATTCTAATAATTTTGATTAAAAAATGCAATTTTGCCTTATGATCTAATATCCCCCGAGAGCTCATAAAAGCTACCATTTTCTTTCTGCAAAAGCTCTTGTCTTAAATGCAGGCCTAATATTTTCCCAGCTCTTGCTGTGAAGTATCACAAATGCATAGAAAACGCAAACACTATGAATTTAAATTTTCCTTTATTGGCCATTATTCTAGAATCCTAACACAGAACTCAGCTTCTCTACTGTGGTTAGCATAAAACAGTAGTAGTGAAATCAAGTGTGGCTCAAGCCTGTAATTCTAGCTACTCTGGAAGCTAAGGTGGGAGGATTGCTTGAGGCCAGAAGTTCGAGACCAGCCAAGGCAACAGAGGAAGAAACCTGTCTCTAAAAAAATAAAAAAAAATTAGACATGTGCAGTGGTGTACACATCTACAGCCCTAGCTACTTCTTGGGAGGCTGAGGTGGGAGGATTGCTTGAGCCCAGTAGTTGGAAGTTATAGTGAGCTAAGATCATACCACTACACTCCAGCCTGGGTGGCAGAGCAAGACCCCATTTCAAAAACAAAAAAAAAAACAAAAAAAAAAAACAAAAAGAGAGAGATAGTAGTAAAGATCTAAGGAACACCAGAGGATTTGCTCTTCCAGGTTTTACATTTTGTAAGATTTGTAAGAACTGAGACATTGGTTCTGTTGATGAGTATGTGCTGTCGTGGATGGCACTGTATTTGCCCAAAGCCATGTACCTCCATATATTCCTGCTGTGGGACCGGAACTTACCTGAAAGTTCCACCTTGTCCACTGGGGCATCTCCCCTTGGCAGTGGGCCTGTGGCTGGCGGCATCTCCAGATTTGGTATTGACTTCATGATATTGGCCTGAGCTTCTTCTAGGAGCTTCTCAAACTCTTTCCCATTATAGTGATCCAGATTTTGCCTTTTTTCCTCCCATTTCTTTTCTGCTTTCTGGAGGAATATAGCACGTAAAGGAAGTTACGTGGACACATAGAGGAGAACAACGGACACTGGGACCTCTCAGAGGGTGGAGGGTGGGAGGAAGGAGAGGATCAGGAAAAATAACTAATGGGTACTGGGCTTAAGACCTGGGTGATGAAATAATCTGCACAACAAACCCATATGACATGTTTACTTATGCAACAAACCTGCAATTGTACCCCTGAACTTTAAAAAAGATGCTTTTAAAAGTATTTTTTCTACTACCAAGATGTATTTTTTTAGAGGCAGGGTCTCAATCTGTCATCCAAGCTGCAGTGCAGTGGTGTCATTATAGCTCACTGCAGCCTCCAACATCTGGGCTTAAGCAATCCTCCTGCCTCAGCCTCCTGAGTAACTAGGATTACACATGTTCAGCCACCACACATGGCTAATTTTTTTTTTTTTTAAGTAGCAATGGGTTCTGTTACGTTGCCCAGGCTGGTCTTAAACAACCTGCCTCAAGGAATCCTTCTGCCCTGAGTGAGACATGAGTCTCACTCAATTAAAAAAAAAATTAGGCTGGGCATGGTGGCTCATGCCTATAATCCAAAGTGCTGGGATTACAGGCATGAGCCACCATGCCCAGCCTAAAATTTTTTTAAATTGAGTTTTCATTGTAGAAGAGATGTCCAAGCAAACAAACAAAACCCACAACACTAAGAACAAAAATCCTGTGTCTTAGTACCACTTCTATCAAAGAATTGCTATATGCCCTCTGGGTCACATTGTCCTACTTATAAAATGAGGGAGGAGGTATTATTTAGATGACCTGTAAACTCCTTTAAGTTCCACAACAGAGAGTTATACATAAAATGCATTTTAAAACATCTGCATACTTTTTAAAAGAATGTTTTCTGTGACTTTTGAACCAGCACATTAATAATTCTAAGGGGGCAGAGTGGAAATTCACACCAAGATTAGTGGAACCTTATAACCTAAGAATTGGCAAAGATCATTGAATCAACATATGGGAACTTTGAGGTCCAGCGAGATGGAGAATTTGCCCAAGTTTCATTACATATAAATAATAGCCACCACCTTCACCATTCTAACCCTCCTTTATTTTTTCTTCCTAGCATTTATTACCACCTGGCATATACTTTTTTTCTGTCTCTTCCTACAAGTAGGTAAGTGTCTTGAGGGCAGAGACTTTGTCTCTTCTGTTCACTGGCTTTCCCCCGAGCCTACGAGGGCCTGGTACATAACAGGCTCAGTAATCTCTGTTGAATGAATAAAGCTCACCCCATTTGTCAGTGGCAGAGCTGGCAGAAAAACCCAGGCCTCCATACCTGTGGATCAGGGCATTTTCAGAGATGACTCGTGTCTCCTCTCAAAGCGTAAAATACACACATCACAATGATAACTATGCCCACTAGGTTCTCAACAGAGATTTGTTAAATAAGAGTGCCATCATACTGACATCCTTTAAATGTTGAGATGTTTAAAGTGGCAAGACGTCTTAAGTGACGGATCTGCCAATTCTTAGGAGGAAATGTCTTTCCCTCCCCTGCCCTACTAGGTACTGGGAATAGAATCACACTCTGTCAATCACATTTCTGTACCCTTGTGATATGCGTTTTTAAAATAGCTGGCTCTGATTAGAGGCAAGCCAGGGCCCTTGCGACACAGAGAAACCACCTAGTGTTCAGAGGCCCCGAGGCTGCGACCGTGGCTGTGGCAGTTTTGCCAGGTCGTCTCGATATACCCAACCTGACCTCTCCACTGGTGACTTTCAGTAGAGGCAGGAGGGTTACGACAAGGTTGTTGGGTGATAAAGCAAATGAGTGGAGGAAAAGTTACGAGGCAAGAAGAAAAAAGAAGTAGAAAAGACAAATGTGTTATCGGAGCACTGGTACCAGCCCTTGATAAAAAGAATATTTAAAAACATAATATGTCATTTGATCTTATGATTTTTAAGACAGGGTCTCACTCTGTCGCCCAGGCTAGAGTGCAGTGGCGTGATCTTGGCTCACTGAAGCCTTGACCTCCCTGGGCCTGGGTGATCCACCCACCTCAACCCCCTGAGTAGCTGGGGCTACAGGCACGCGCCACCATGCCCAGCTAATTTTTGTATTTTTTTTGGTAGAGTTGGGACTTTGTCATGTTGCCCAGGCTAGTCTTGCACTCATGTTCCAGTGATCGACCCGCCTCGGCCTCCCAAAGTGCTGGTATTACAGGTGTGAGCCACCACACATGGCCTCATGTCATTTGGTCTTAAGACCTAGTTTTCTCTTTTCATTCTGACTGCTCTACCGTTCATTCTTAGATGACTATAGTAATTTCTCATCCAGCTCTCTTAATTCTAGACCCACCACCTCAATCAATTCTGTACGTTGTTTCTAGATTAATTTCCAGAAGATGCCATTTAAAAAAAATCACGGATTAGAGCTGCAGCATTTCTCTGATACCTTCCAAATAAACTCCAAACATCATGGACTGTTTTTCAAGCACTCAAGTCAGTTTCCAGCCCATTTCCCCAGTCTTAGGTCCTCGTTCTTGTTCCACTTAGACAGGCTTAGTCATGGTCCCAGACTTTGATCCAGCATTTTAGTATCCTAGGATGCCCTCACCACCCTCCCATGCTAACCAGGTTCCACTTATCATCTAGATGTGTGGCAGACCCTCCCCAGGCTGCCTTCACCTCAGTGGAGTGCTTGAAGCCGGCTTGTCCTGGCCCAGGAGAGCTGATTGTTACATTTCTCCCAACTTCAGCAGTAGTGGTGTCATGTCATAACTTGAAATCAGCCATGGTTGCGATATTTACACCATGGAAATTGGCAAATGCCACACACAGATCTGCACGCACCCACTCTGCCCCCCCACCCCGCCGCCACAACCGCTACCAGAGAGCTGGTTGTTAAACATTTACCAGCACACTGCTGTCTCACCTTCCTACAGGCCAGGTGTCTCACCTTCCTACAGGCCAGGTGTCTCACCTTCCTACAGGCCAGGTGTCTCACCCTTCTCTGAAACCACATGACCTATCTCTTAACCTGGCCACTGAATCCCACTTCCACTTCCAAAACCCTGTCTCTGATCCATACACAATCATGTCATCATCTGACCTATAAATGCTTTAAGGGAAAGGTCCATGTATCAGACTCCTTTATGGGGTTATGAGAAACAGAAATAGGACTCTACCTCGATAGACACTGCCCTGTTCTTGGCACTCACACTGTGGATTTCTTCAATGAACAAGCTCTGCATGGCAGACCCATTCATGGGTATCTGTGGGGACTGCGGAGCCTGCGACATCTGCAGAGTGGAGGTTGCTTCCTGGGGGACGGCTGGGGAGCTGGCCACGTGAGGCAAGTTCTGAGCAGGGTTCAGCAGGGCCACGGAGTGCTGGGAGGGCTGGATGACCACAGGGGAGCTCTGCGCGTGGCGAACCATCATGCCGGACAAAGGCACCACTTCCGACTTCGCATCGCCAGGGGCACCTGTGCTGTGGAAGGGCTGGCCGGAGGTGTGGGCTGCCTCCTCCTGACTCTTCAGGACTTCTGCGGCTGTGGCCTTTTCCATAGCCATGTACTGTGCGGCTTGGGCTGCGTCCGTGCCTTTCAGGAGCCCATCAGTGACATGTCTAGGAGAAACCATGCACAGCGGCATTAACCCTCATGTCACTTTCTCATGGTGGTATACTTGCAGGCTATGTCATCCCAAAGCCAGGTGAGAGTCACACATCCCAAAGCTCAGAGTAGCCGCTTAGGGACATGTATAGACATATCCCTTTCTGCTGGTGCAGTTGTGCTCAGACCCTTGCAACTCCATCATTGTTTGGGGGGTGGGTAGAAGAAAATGAATCATGAGTCTAACAGCAGCCTCTCTAACTCCTCCGCCTGATTCTGGCCTATGCAGCCCTCAAATATGCTTAGTTCTAAGCCAAAAGTTTGCTTATTCCCTCCTCCTTTCACTGCCAAGCATCTTGGGTGGGCCGCCCACATTCTAATTCCTTCTGTTTGCTCTTCTGTATCTCAACCTGTTGCTCACTGGCTTCCCCACCTGGATTCAACGAAGTCTTGCCACAAGGTACACAGTGACTCGAAATCTAACGGTCGTGTTTATTCCTCAACTTCCTCTGGTGTTTGGAGTCATTTGAAGCTATATGTCCCTCCCCACCCATGATGTAGTGGAAAAGACAGAGTGTCTGGTGTCAGATCTGTGTTTGAATAGCAGTTAGTTCATGCTTTATATAACGTTGAGAACTTCGCCTCTTTAAGCCTCAGGTGCTTTTGCATAAAATGGAGTGATGAAGATGGGGATGACGATGGTGATGATAATGACTTCCTCAGGACCTGTCGTTAGGACTAACATTAACATTGTAAAGTTATGTGTGAGGCAATGTCAAACATGGTACTTGACCTCTAATTTTTAGTTAGTCCCTCATCCCCTTTTTATTATGTTACTTTTTTTTATTTGAAAAAAGACATTGCATTCTATAACTCTTCTGCTACTCAGTGCTCTTTCTTTTGCTGTTTCTTTTTTTACCCCAATCCCTTAGATTCTTAGAGATCCCCAAGGATTTGTTCTCTCCTTTCCCTATCATTCTGCCTCAACCATCTCTTCCATTTTCTTTTCTTTTAAGAAACAGGGCCTCGCTCTGTTGCCCAGGCTGGAGTGCAGTGGCTCAATCCTAGCCCACTGCAGCCTCAAACTCTTACGTTCAAGAGATCTTCCTGCCTCAGCCTCCTAAGTAGCTGGGACTACAGGTGTATACCACCCTTCCTGGCTAATTTTTAAAATAATTTTTTGTAGAGATGGGGTCTTGCTCTGTCACCCAGGCTGGAGTGCAGTGGTGTGATCATAGCTCACTGCAGCCTTGAACTCCTGGCCTAAGTGATCCTCCCATCTCAGCCTCCTGAGTAGCTGGGATTACGAGCACGTGCCACTGCACCCAGTGATCTTTCCCATTTTCAATAATCATCTCCATGAAGCTGACTTCATGCTCTGTCTCCCAGGCTGGAGTGCAGTGGCACAACCTCGGCTCACTGTAGCCTCCACCTCCTGGGTTCAAGTAATTCTCCTCCCTCAGCCTCCCAAGTAGCTGGGATTACAGGCACGCCACCGCCTGTAATACCTATGGGAATTCACTATGTTGGCCAGGCTAGTCTCCAACTCCTGACCTCAAGTGATCCACCCACCTCAGCTCCCAAAGTGCGGGGATGACAGGTGTGAGCCACTGTGCCTGGCCAGTGAAGGTACTTCTGGCAACACAAATTTTGCATGCATATGTGTTTTCAGTGAGTGTGGAGTCCTGGAATTTTCTTTGCAGTGAAATTCCTGAATGTCTTTTGGTCTTTACTCCACTGTGACCTCTTCGGTGAGCAGGTTTACCTTTGGTAAGGAAGCCTGGCCCAGGCCACTCAAAATGCTTTGTTCCTCTTTTCTAGGTGGGACCAACAGTCTCACAGATACTCCTTCAGGAGGTCATTTAAGAAAGACTTTGTTTACTTCTATTACATTTCTTTGAACTGAATTCATCTATGCCCCTGAAGTGAAGGAGGCTAATAAACTATTTCAATCAATTTTTCAACTTCAAAATGTTATTTTAAAAAACCCACCTTCCGATGATTTTTTTAAAAGAAATGGAGTCTTTCTCTGTTGCCCAGGCTGGAGTGCAGTGGCTCAGTCATAGCTCACTGCAGCCTCATACTCCTGGGCTCAAGGGATCCTTCTGCCTGTACCTCCTGAGTGGCCACCACACCTGGCCTTTCAGATGATTTTAAAACAATGTTTACTGTGTCTATTAATTTTAAACCCTAGGATGGGCTCCACCTAGCAATCCTGTGTTGAAGAATTAGAACCTCAAGCCATATTGCAATAAAAGTTCAAGGGTGAGAAGGACTTGGGGCTTTTCCTCAGGACACTGGATGTGTCCTGGGAGCATGGTGGAAGGCTGAAGTCCCAAACGTCCACTCTCGGTTTCCCAGTGCACCCCTCCGCAGGCCACCCCCAGCACGATGAGGGCCCGGTCACCTCCGCAGCATGGTCAGGACGTCTGTCATGCTGCGCACACGCTTCAGGAGACTGTCCAGCTTGTGTGGCTCCTCCTTCAGAAACCGCACGGCCTCCACTTCTATGCGCAGGATGGCTCGCATCTTGTTTTGTAAGGTTGGAAATTCTCCTGCAGGCCCAAACCAGCAGGTGAATTGGAGGAGAAAAAGCCAGAACGACAACCCTCATCCCGCACTCCGATACTGGACAGAGAAGTGCAGAGTTCACAAGCCACAGGGTGGCTCACACATCTTCAGGTGGCAGTGGGTTAAGAGCACAGAGGAGCATTGGAGAAACTCACCTTGGGCAAGGGTAAAGCTCCTCTAGGCCTGTTTCCTGTCTGTGTATTTGGGATAAAGCCAATTGACCATTAGGGTTATTATTATTACTTTTTAATTTGACTGGCTGACAGGGTCTCACTCTGTCATCCAGGCTGGAGTGCAGTGGCATGATCAGAGCTCACTGGAGCCTCAAACACCTGGGCTCAAGCGATCCTCCTGCCTCAGCTTCCTGGATAGCTGGGACTATTTAGGTGCTGCACACCACCATGCCCAGCTAATTCAACTTTTTTTTTCTTTTTTTGAGATGGAGTCTCCCTCTGTCACCCAGGCTGGAGTGCAGTGGCATGATCTTGGCTTACTGTAACCTCCGCCTCCTGGGTTCAAGTAATTCTCCTGCCTCAGCTGAGTAGCTGGGACTACAGGTTTGTGCCACCATGCCCAGCTAATTTTTGTATTTTTAGTACAGACAGGGTTTTACTCTGTTGGCTAGGCTGGTTTCGAACTCCTGACCTCAAGTGATCTGCCCGCCTCAGCCTCCCAAAGTGGCATGAGCCACTACGCCTGGCCAGAAAAAAAAAAAAAAAAAAACTTTTTTTTTTTTTTTAGAGATGGGGTTTTGTTATGTTTCCTAGGCTGGTCTTGAACTCCTGGCCTCAGGCGATTTTCCTGCCTTGGCCTCCCAAAGTGCTAGGATTGCAGGCGTGAGCCACCGTGCCTGGTTACAGGTTTTTAATTTAATTTAATTTTTTATTTTTTGTTTTTTATTTTTATTTTTTGGAGACAGGGTCTCACTCTGCCACCCAGGCTGCCAGGCTGGAGTGCAGTGGTGCAATGGTGGCTCACCATAGCCTTGACCTCACAGGCTCAAGAGATCCTACCACCTCAGCCTCCTAAGTAGCTGGTACCACAGGCATGCACCACCACACCTGGCTAATTTTTTTTTGTGTGTGTGTGTATATATATATATATATATATATATTTTTTTTTTTTTTTTTTTTTTTTTGGTAGAGATGTGAGTCTCTCTATATTGCCCAGGCTGGTCTTGAACTCCTGGGATCAAGTGATCCTCCCACCTTGTGTTTTTAACGGGTTTGGCACATGCATCCCGGTGCACTGTAAGAGCCTAGCAAATAGAAAGTGTTACTGGAATCATTTAGTGTGAAATCTTACAGCACCCACTCTAATACCAGCTCCAAGAAGAGGGGGATGTGCACCTACTTTGTGCTGTGGGGTATCCCAAGTGTCCAGAACAATGCCTGGCACATGTAGACGTTTAATAAATACTTGCATACATGAATGAATCCTCTATGTGGCAGATTTTTAAACACCGCAGGAAAGACAGCTCAGACTCCTCCCCCGACCCAGCAGAAAGTTTACCTTTCAGGGTAGCTACAGCCTCTCCCACTTGACGCAGGAGGAAAGCCCCGTCTTCCACGTCTTTCAGAGTAACCAATCGGCTGGCTGCCGTGGAGTCCTTCTTCAAGTCTTCAACAAAGTCTTCCAACTCGCTGCGGGAGCAAGGACACCAGCACATAGAGCTGAACACGAGGCCTCACAGAGGAAGAGGAGGGGCCGAGTGCCCGTCTCAGCCTCTGATTTTGTGTAGAGCCCCAGCTCCTCCCCCCTGCCTTTCGTGTGGTGGTGGTGGAGGGGGGTCGCTCATCTTTTAACAGTGGCTGGGAACATTTTGCAGTGGTGTGAGGCAGGTACAAGGAGGGTTTTCCAGGGAATGTTCTACATTGGCCAAAGGGACGATTGTGCCTGGCTAACAGAGGACCGAGTCTTTTTATTCAGTGGTGCTGATGCCAACAGAGGGACAGAAGGAGGGATAGGTGGGAGGGTGGGGTAGGAGAGAGAGGGAGAAAGAGAGAAAGAGAGAGAGAGGGAGACCGACCTGCGGTGCAGTAAAACAAGAAGCCCACAGTGGTTAATATCAGGCTTTTCAACTTCAGCATTTGACATTTTGGGCTGTGTAATTCTTCGCTGTGGTGTGGGGAAACTGCACGGTACGATGTTTAGCAGCGCCCCTGGCCTTCATCTACTGGATGCCAGTAGAAACCTTGCCTACCCCAGCTTGTGACAAACCAGAATGTCTCCAGACCCAGACATTGTCCAATGTCCCTGGGGAAGGGGGAGCAAAATTGCCCCTAAATGAGAACCTCTGGTTTATACTGATTGTCTCATCAACAAGGATGAACTCTTCTCCAAGCTACCAAGAGAAGAAATGATTGCAGAAAATAAAAATGACGACAGACGTGGTGTCTGTGGATAGAGGGGAATGCTAGCTCCAAGAGACGGAGATCGGAGACGAGGTCTCACCCTTGAGAAAACAACCACCTCCTTGGCCACATTACTAACCCCATCCTAAACACCTATAAATCTACGGAGAAAAATCTCAAAGGAAACAGGGATAAAGAACTTTCAGAAATGCGGACCACTAGGGGGCAGTAAGTGAACAGCGATTCCACCTCCTGGAGCCCGGATTGTGGAGCCAGCGTCCGAAAGAGAAAAAGGAATGCACAGTGTCGTCTGCAAACTGATGGCCCTCGAAGGCCCTTTCCACTTAGGTGGGCAAGTGGATGGAGCTCTGGATCGCATGGCAGCTGCGGGAGGGGTTCAGGCAGGATGCCACATGTGTTCAACAGGATCCAAGGGAAAATAACAAATTCCTCCCCTGCAAGAAGTGGGATGGAGTTTTTGGTGATGTCTTTGATTCTGTTATGAAAAATAAACCAAAATTGCTTGTGGCCATTTCAGATGAAATGATGCTACTTCAGGACCAGAGGGAGAAAGCCTCATCTGCTCATTGTCCACGTCTGTGAACTATGGAAAGGGGCCCAGTGTTCTGTGAACACACCCACGGGAAACTTCCTACAGCTATTGGATTCTTGACACGAAGAGATTGTGCCACCTCACTGAAGGGCTCTAAATAAATATGGTAACTTCGTGTGGAAAAGTTCTTTTCTATTGCACAACCAAACAGAATGACTTCCCTGTATTGACTGGACACAGGGTCCAGTCCTGCAAAGCTTTGCTGGAAGAGCTAAGGACCAAATATTTTCCTGGTTCCGTGAACAACCAACATGTCTGTCAGTGCGTAATTAATACTTCAAGGAGCTGTCATCTGACTCAAAGTCAGTCTGCCTAGAATTCTGTTTTGATCTCTTCTATACAATATGCCTCTTGGATTTCACAACCTTGCATACGGAGACGCTTAAACTTCACAGCTTTATGGAATATACAGAAATGTATATTGATACAATTGTACACAACAATATCACTTCTATGCAAACGTTTATGATACCTACTTTAGATAAAACATTAAAAATCAAATTTGTTCATTCAAAAATGTAACAGAGACATGGGGCTAAAATGAATGCTGGAAATAAATTTTTGACATGGTAATCAATATGACTTTTAAAATATCAGCTTTGCTCCACAGAATGTCAGATATTCATAGACGTCACAGTTTACAGCATTCTATTTGTTTAAGTGGCTTTTCATCCTAGCTTTGTTAAAAAGAAGCATGCAGTTTGTTGGAATGTATTTCACTTGACTGTTATTAGAAGACCAATTATTATTTTCATGTAGAAATTATCTAGACCCAATTTCTTTTCATAGTTTTATTTTTTTATTTTTAGACAGTCTCTCTCTGTCACCCAGGCTGGAGTGCAGTGGCCTGATCTTAGCTTACTGCAACCTCCGTCTCCCGGGTTCAAGTGATTCTCTTGCCTCAGCCTGCTGAGTAGCTGGGATTACAGGTGCCCGCCACCATGCCCAGCTAATTTTTGTATTTTCAGTAGAGATAGGGATTCGCCATGTTGGCCAGACTGGTCTCTAACTCCTGACCTCAAGTGATCTACCCACCTTGGCCTCCCAAAGTGCTGGGATTATAGGTGTGAATCACTGTGCCCAGCCCATCTCTTCACAGTTTTAGGCCCAAGTTTCTTCTCTCTGCCTTCTGAATGGCTCACCAGTAATTCAACCTAACATGCTCCACAAGGAGACTTATATTCTAGTACTTGGAAGAAGAAGAAGGAGAAGAACAAAAAGGAGAACGAGGAGGGAGAGGGGAAGGAAAGAGGGATATCACTGTTCTGATATTCCAGAGTTGAAATTTCTGGCTTTTAAAAAATAAGCTCTTTTTAAAAATCGACGCATAATAGATGTGAGTTTTGGGGTACATGTGATAATTTAGTACATATAATTTGTACAGATCAAATCAGTGTACTTGGGATATCCGTCACCTTAAATATTTGTCTTTTCTTCATGCTAGAAACATTCTAGTTCTTCTCTTCTAGCTATTTCCAGCTGTCTTTTATAACCTGCTGTCTTGCCATTCAGATCTAGCCATCCAATCAGTTAACCTACTTTATACCTTATGGAAGGAAAATTTACACTACCATTATTAAAAGGATATATATGTATATAGATATTTTTAGTTTTTTTTTTTTTTTTAACAGGGTTTTGCTCTGTTACCCAGGCTGGGGTGCAGTGGTGTGATCGTGCAGCCTTGACCCGCCAGGCTCAAGCCATGCTCCTACCTCAGCTTCCTGAGTAGCTGGGACCACAGGTGTGTGCCACCATGATCGGCTAGGGTTTATTTTTAATTTTAATTTTTATTTTGTAGACATTGGGTGTCCCTGTGTTCCTGCGTTGCCCAGGCTGGTCTTGAATTCCTGGGCTCAAGCGATCTTCCCACCTCAGCCTCCCAAAGTGCTGGGGTTACAGGCATGAGCCACTGCACCCAGCCAAAAGGATATATATTTCAAAAGGTGTTTTAAAGAAGAATTTTGAGAGCTAGTCTTAGACGGTGAATACCATAGGACGTTTTGCATTTGACTTCTTTCTTACTTCTACTATGTGGTTCAGGCCTCACTGCCTTTTGCCTGACGGATACAGTAGCTTCCCATATGGTCTCCTAGTCACTGATCTATTTTCCTCTTAATCAGTCCGGCACATGATCACCAGAGGGACCTCTCTCCAATACAGCTCTAGCTTTGCTACTTCCTTGATCAAAAACAAAAACCAAACAAACCCAAACACTCAGTGTCTTCCTCATCATTCTAGGCAGTAACTCTCAAATGTGAAAGTGCTTCAGAATCACCGGCTTTGTTTGTAAACTGCAGATTCCTAAGCCCCATCCACAGAAATTGTGAATCTGGGGTTGAACCCCGGAACTTTCAAGAAAAGCCAGAAATCCAGGTTTCTCTTACAGAATCTTCCAATCTCTGTAGGCACAGCCCAGACAGGCATCAAGCAGGTATGTGAGGCCTGAGTATGGTCTAAGATACAGGAAGTCAGTGTGCAAATGGGAATGACACTCCCCAAATATGGGATGTTATTAGTATCTTGCACCCAACTCTGCTGCCTAACTGGACTGCTCCCCAGTTCTCTAAAGACATCTTGCATTTTCCAGGCCAGAAACTTGTTGGTTTGCAGGGTTCTACTGCCTGGAAGTCCTTCCATCTCTAGCCTCTGCTGATGCAATCTCCCCATCTTCAAGGCCACCTCAGTTGAGTTTAACAAACCATTTCTTTCTTTCTTCTTTCTTGTTTTAGAGATTGAGTCTTGCTCTGATATCCATGCTGGAATGCAGAGGTGCAGTCATAGCTCACTGCAGCTTTGAACTCCTGGGCTCAAACGATCCTCCTGCTTCAGCCTCCTGAGTAGCTGAGACTACAGAGGCATGCCACCACAGCTGGCTAATTTTTTATTTTTAGTAGAGACAGGGTCCTGCTATATTGCCCAGCCTGTTCTTGAATTCCTGGTCCCAAGTGATTCTCCCACCTCAGCCTCCCAAACTGCTGGGACTATAGGCATGAACCATTGTGCCCAGCCTAACAAACCATTTCTGAAACTACTATGTGCAAGATACTGTTTGTGGCCTGTGGGTCATACAAAGAATGACTTCATTCAGGTTAAGTCTTCCTGATCCCTGGGTTAGTCTCTCTTTTGTGTGGGTACAACTGGTACCTGTAAATCCCCTGTTCGGGGCTATACTCCTATTTATCAGGTTGCCTTTGCTAGACTGAAGATCCTCAAGGGCTCTTTGCCTCTTTTACTCATCTGTGGCCTTCCCACAAATCCAACCAGATAAAGCCCTCTTATGATATGTTCGTTCCACTACCTTTTCTGTCTCATTCCTATGCTAGGCTGTAATCTCAGAGTATTATTGAGATTAAAGATGGCTTTTCTAGGCCAGAAGTGAGAATTATCTCAGCTAACCAATAAACACAATTTTTAAAAAGAAGAAATTTACTGGCCGGGCGTGGTGGCTCATGCCTGTAATCCCAACACTTTGGGAGGCTGAGGCAGGTGGATCACCTGAGGTCAGGAGTTTGAGACCAGCCTGACCAATATGGTGAAACGCCGTCTTTACTAAAAATACAAAAATTAGCTGGGCATCATGGTGTGCACCTGTAATCCCAGCTACTCGGGAGGCTGACATAGGAGAATAGGCTTGAACCCAGGAGTTGGAGGTTGCAGTGAGCCGAGATCATGCCACTGCACTCCAGCCTGGGCAACAGAGCAAGACTCCAACTCAAAAAAATTTTTTTTCATAATTTTATTGGAAAATTTATATAAATGTTTTTAAAAGGATATATATTTTTATTTTTATTTTTACTATTATTTTTTGAGACGGAGTTGTGCTCTGTTGCCCAGGCTGGAGTGCAGTGGTGCAATCTCGGCTCACCACAACCTTCCCCTCCCGGGTTCAAGCAATTCTCTTGCCTCAGCCTCCTGAGTAGCTGGGACTACAGGCACACACCACAATGGCCAGCTATTTTTTTTGTATTTTTAGTAGAGACGGGGTTTTGCCATGTTGGCCAGGCTGGTCTCGAACTCCTGACCTCAGGTGATCTGGCTGCCTCGGCCTCCCAAAGTGCTGGGATTACAGGTATGAGCCTCCGTGCCCAGCCAGGATATGCATTTTAAAAGAAGTTTTAAAGAAGAAACTGGAGACCTAGTTTTAGATAATTGGGCTGTCACAAAGACATTTCAGACAAATAACAGCCTTACCAACTCATGGTGGGTGATTAACTCTGTCTATAAATGTGTGAACTAAGTAGAATTTTGGAAGCTATTTTGAGATATGGATGAACAGCAGCCTAATTTAATTTATTAGGAAAAGAATAACTCAAATTGATGTTTTTTTCCCTCTAGACTGCTGAGAGGGACACTCTAATTTTAATCAAACACATTAGGTTGGCATCCAGGGCGACACGAGCCACAGCTCCAATAGGAGATAGGTGACTGAGCACAATGCTTTCCATCATGGAAATCTTTTCTCATTATGGCCATGAGAAGAGTTTGCAAACTGCTCCCTTACAATCCCCATTTGAAAGATTTAAGTTTTCCAAGAAACAAGAGAATTATCAACACTGGAGAAACCCCTCAAAATTACTATTCATTATACTAAAAGGTGAGATAGTTCTATGATAAATCTTCATTGCATACCAAAACATACAATTACCATAAAAGATGTGCCTGCCTGGTGACGGGGGAGTAATAAAATTCTGCTCATTTCAATAGTAGGACTTGATAGATGCTTTCAATAAGAACCTTAAATAACATTCATAACAGCTAAGGAAGCATTTTTCATTCTGGATCAGATACATTTTACATTTAAATTCTTCTTTTGCAATTTTAACTACAGTTGAATAATAGGAAGATAATTTTAGAGCTGTGTTATTTTGGCCATTAGTTTTAATTTATTGAGATGAAATATAGGCTTCCTATTTGCCATTGGGTTTTGCCATTTACTCCTTTTAATTTTGTGTGTTGCTGAGCCCTGGAGGAGAGTATGAAGCTGCAACTCTCTCTGTTTTTTTTTTTTTTTTAAGAGACAGGATCTCCCTGTGTTACCCAGGCTGGTCTCGAACTCCTGGACTCAAGCAATCCTCCCGCCTCAGCCTCATGAGTAACTGGGACTACAGGTGTGAACTACCATGCCCAGCAATGCCGCAACTTTTAAAGAAATTCAGTCACCTGAGGGCCACTGAATTTCCTGGGCCTCCATGGACAGGTGCTGAAGTGTCCACATATACCAGCATCAGCAGAACTCTAACTTTTACACAGTAGGTGCTCAATAAAGAGAGGGCAAGACCACCAACTGGGAAGGACCTCCTTCTTAGTAATGATAATTTTCCTTTGCAGGTGAAACAGCTCAACATGCAAGTGACTGGCACTCACCACAACTTCTTGACGATCTTCTCTTCCTCATGAAGATATTTTTGTCTCTCTTGCTCCACTAGGACGCGCTGTCGCTGCACGGGATCCTCCAGTCTCTTCATTGTTTCCATCACTTTGCCACTGATTTCCAGCTCGGCCTTCTTCATCATTGCCCTCAGCAACTCCTGGTTCTGCAGCTGTGAACACAAAAAAATCAACCTCAGTGGGCTCTGCCTGCCTGAAATGGAGGCGAGTGAATGCCTTGAAGTCTTCGGAGCACTTTGGGTAGACAGCCCTGCGGCTGAATCTTTACTTATTTCAATGAGAAAGGAAAGGGAGCAAAGACTGTACATAATGTGGCTTCTTCCACCAACATCTGAATTTTGGCAGCCAACTGGCAACCAGACTGCCTGCAAGACAAAGGATCCTTTTTCTACTCTGGTCAATGCATCATGGACAACAGGCGTAAACTCTCACTGATGTATCTTTAGAGGGAGCAGCACAGGGCACCTGCTTTGGAGCCAAGAAGACTTTGGGTCTAATCCCATACTCTCTCTCTAGCCCACTGTGAGACTTTGGGCCCATTATTTAGACTCCCTTGGTCTTCATTTCCTTACCTCTAATGATGGGGAATCCACTTTCCTTGGCCATTCTTGAGGGTTACATGAAATACCGCATGGTGTAGAATGGGAACTCAACACGTGGTGATTTGGCTATGAAATACGTCAGTATCAGTTCAAAGAGGATCTGTGTCCTTTTCGTTCACATGGTTCCATGTACCAAGTACCATGAAATCACAGATGCTTAAAACATAGGACTTTAATGTTGGCAATGATAATGATTCTGGATGAGTCCAGGGCTTTTGGCAATTTATGAATTTCTCTAGATTGGAGGTAGGCTACCTGTATACAGAACTCACAATTTCCAAACAGTTCCGAGAACATTCTTGTTTCTCATCCCAGAGAATATAGGAGGTGGGAGCTTTATTCAGGCTTCGCAGGAGTCTGGTTGAGCACTTGAGTCCCTGGAGCAGGACAATTTTCTAACAGCAGCTCCATCGAGTGAATTCACTCAATCAGCCTCCATCACAATAATGATATTATGCCTAGTATATTATCCCCAAAGTTCCACTGAAATATCATTTAACAAATTTCAATGGTTTCCTGTTTTCCGGTTTCATGGACTGGTTTATCATCTCATGGGGGTGATGATGTCTTTGTCAACTGTCCATTATCCATGTAAATTGAGGGGAAATGCAATCTGACCATGTCACCACCTGCTTAAAGCCACATCATGCCTTCTGTTTTCTCTGAATAAAGATAAAACATTTCAACACAGGCCACAAGCAGAACCACCATTAGGTCCCAACATCAGCACTGCATGGTGATGAACTGGCCTCTGGGGAAAGACTGCCTGGGTTCGATTTCCAGTTTTACCACTTAGTAGATGTGTGTCCATGGGCAAGCTATTCACCTCTGTGTCTATCCAAAAAAGGGGTAGTAATATCTCATAGCTCGTAGGTTGGTCATGGAGACTCGGTGAGACAATAAAATAAAGTGTCTGGCACCAATCTAAACCTGAACACGTACCAGCCATTGCTAACAGGGAGGGTGAACTAGTGGGTGGAGCCTGGCATTTTGTCTGGGAGGGAACCACATAGAAATGTATCACTTTTGGTTACTTTCTCTACAGGACTCATGATCATGCTCTCACACCACTTTTGCTAATGTCTTTTTATTGTGGTATTAAAAGCCAGTCAGTCACTATTTTGCTAAAAGGCATCATTTTTTTGCTTGTTTGTTTTTTTTGAGATGGAGTTTCACTCTTGTTGCCCAGGCTGGAGTGCAATGGCACGATCTCAGTTCACTGCAACCTCTGCCTCCCGGGTTCAAACGATTCTTCTGCCTCAGCCTCCCAAGTAGCTGGGATTACAGGTGCCCACCACACCACCACACCCGGCTAATTTTGAATTTTTAGTAGAGATGGGGTTTCTCCATGATCATCAGGCAGGTCTCGAACTCCTGACCGCAAGTGATCTGCCCGCCGCAGCCTTCCAAAGTGCTGGGATTACAGGCATGAGCCACCGTGCCCAGCCAAAAAGCACCATTTTTAGAGACAGTGTACAGAGAACAACATCCTCCTATGCTCTCTCTGGCTGCAGCCCATTCTCCAGGCGCTGGGCAATCTGGTCGCTTCCCTTGTGGCTAATCTCCCTCCCTCCATGCACCTGGCACTCTGCTCAAGCCATACATCATTTCAGTTCTTCATAGGGGCCAGGCTCCTTTTTTTTTTTTTTTTTTTTTGAGACAGAGTCTCACTCTGTTGCCCAGGGTGGAGTGCAGTGGTGTGATCGCAGCTCACTGCAACCTCCGCCAGACTCCTATTTGCCAGGCCTTTGCACCTGCTATTCCCATCTCCCAGAATGCTCTTCCCTCCACCTGGTTAATTTCTGCCCTCCACAGAGTCTCTGGTACACTGTGTCTGGCATATTAGCAGAAAACTGAAAATACATCTGTTGAATGAATGAACTGAATGAATCAGTAACATTGATAAGAACAGGCAACAATGAAGAATCCAAAATTCTTCTCTAAATGGTTGAAACCTGCTGTGACCCATGGGCTTAGATATGTGTTGGGATCAGCTCTCCTGTGCCTTGTCTTGCTCTCACTGCGGGGATGTGGCAGGGCTACAGGTCAGCACTGTTCATATCGGTTGATTAACCACACACAGCAAAGCCACGTGCTATCAAGATGATTTGCTCAACTTCAGTCCCTGTGTCCAATCCCACAGAGCTCCTGCCTTTGAAGGGGGCGGGAATGAGTGATGACAGGGTTGTGAGGGGAAAATGAGTAGATAATTAAATGGGTCTAAGAGTGACCAATGCCTGGGTCCCAACTGAGAGATTCTCATTTTACTGGTCTGAGGTACCGTCTGGTTGTTGGGAATTTCTAAAACTCCTCATATGATTCGATTTGCCACCAAGGATGATTTCATGGACTAAGAAAAGGGCTTTTGAATAGACAGATGATGTCACTGTGCCATGAGCTATGGGGCACAGCAGGGCACCTAACCCTCCTGCCCAAATTTTAAAACAAGCTTACGTAAATCTGGGGTCTGGTTAGATAGTGGATATTAACAATGGATATCATGCTAGAAATTATTGGTGGAATATTTAAAATTCATAAAATTGAAAGGTGGGAAAAGTGAGGCCCTGAGAAGTCAAAGGACATGCTCAGGGTGTGCTCGGCAATTAGAGAGCACAGTTAGGATTAGAACCAGGTCTTCTGAATTCAACTCATCAATTTCCCCACCACCCCAAGTTGTTCTTCTATCAAGGCAGGGAGCATGCCATTTTGTTCACAGCTACAAGCAGCGTGTGGCACATGGTAGGTACCCAACATATACAGTTGACACTTGAACAACACAGGTTAGAACTGCATGCATGGGTCCACTTATATGTAGATTTCCTTCCTCTTCTGCCACCCCTGAGACAGCAAGACCAACCCCTTCTCTTCCTCAATCTATTCAATGAGAAGACAATGAGGATGAAGACCTTTATAATGATCCACTTCCACTTAATGAATATTATGATTTTCCCTTTCTTATGATTTTCTTAATAACATTTTCTTTTCTTCAACTTACTTTATTGTCAGAATACAGTATATATTTGACACAGCAGGCATGTGAAAAAAACAAATATAGTATATAATATGTACAACATACAAAATATGTGTTAATCAACTGTTTATATTATTGGTAAGGCTTCCACTCAACAGTAGGCTATTAGTAGTTAAGTTTGGGGGAGCCAAAAGTTATGGATTTCTTACTGCATGAGGGGTCAGCACCCCAACCCCCATGTTGTTCAAGGGGCAACTGTATTTGCTCTATGAATGAATCGCAATATAACGTTTCTGAGAAGGATAAGAAATATTGGAAAATACAACGGGGCATAATGTTTAAACACAACTAGACTTACTCCACTAGAAGAGGAGGAGAGGGAGAGGCTCTGTTTCAATCCTAGGCTTTATTATCCTCCTGTCTAGAAAGCGGGGCCTTACAGGATCCTGCTGAGGGTACTAAAGAGGGAAGCTGTCATAGCTCACCGGCTGGCACGTGGGCAATGAGGAGTGAATCATGAATGAACAAGGTCTACATAGGTTCTCTGTCTGCTTTCCCAGTCCCCCTGCCCTCCCTGTCTGGTGTTCTTGCCACTGTCTCCAGGCTGCAGGACAGTTCCTGCTTATCTGAGCACAGTGTAAAAAAGTGCTAAAGATATGATGTGGATCACCATCTTTCTCTAAATGCTTCAAGTAAATTACTTTTTGGAAGCTCAAATTGTTAAGTTGGTTTTTGCTTAAGAGGTGATACCTACATTTCAATAGTTAAAATCAACTGTCTTGAGGCACAAAGTTTACAGACAATAAAACATATCCATCTTAAGTGCACCGTTCGATGAATTTTGACAAATGTATACACTGATGTAACCACTGCTGAAAGACAGCTATATATTTTATCATCCTAAAAAATTCCTTTGAGACCTTTTACAATCAATCCCCAAGCCCCAGCCCAAAGAAACCACCACTCTGCTTTCTGTCATTATAGATGAGTTCTTTGTGTTCTAGAACGTTATAAAAATGGAATTATATAACATGTGCTCCTTTGTGTCCAGCTTATTTTGTTCAGAATATGTTTTTCTGAGATCCAGCCCTGTTGCTGAGTTTTTCAGTGATTCATTCTTTTATTGCTAAGTGGCATTTCATTGTACAAATGGATATAACAAAATTTTAATATTTGTGTACATTGACTTGATTCTTGTGATCTTGCTCAAGTCACTTATTTCTAGTAGCATGTTTTGTAGATTCCATTTAATGTTACACATATATAATCATGTCATTTGTGAGTAAAGCCAATTAGACATTTTACATTTCGATTTGTGTGACTCTATTTCTTTCTCTAGCCATACTGAACTTGCTACAATCTTCAGTACAGTGTTAAACAGATGTCAGAGTAGGTTTCTTGGCCTTGCTCCTGATTTTATGGGGAATGTGTTTAGTGTTTCACCATTAACTATGTTTTCTGTAGGTCATTCACAAACATTGTTTATCAAGGTAAGGAAGCTTCCTTCTACTTCTAGAGCGCTGTTTTTATCATTGATGCTAAATTTTGTTACATGCTTTTTCTGCATTTATTGAAATACGATTTTTCTGTTAATAAGGTCAAATACGTTGATTTTTTTCGTATTAAAACAATCTTGCATTCCTGGAATAAAACCCCAGGATAATGTATTATTCTTTTTATATATTGCTGGATTCAGTTACTAACGTTTTGTTAAGGATTTGTTACATATATTTTCGTGAGGGATATTGGTTTGTGGTTTTCTTCCCTTATAATATTTTTGTCTGGTTTTGCTCTTAGGGTAATGCAGGCTTCATAAAATGAGTTAGGAAGTATTCTCTGTTTTCTGAAAGACTTTTCTTCCTTTCAATACTTTAAAGACGTCATTCCACTGTGTCCTGACTTGCCTTTTGTTTCTGATGAGAAGTTGGCATTAATTCTTAATTGTGATTCCTGTATGTAATGGGTTTTCTCTCCACCCCCAGCTGCTTTGAAGATTTTTCCATTTATCTCTGGTTTTTAGCAATTTGACTACCATGTGCTTTGGTGCAATTTCCATTGTGCTTACCATTCTAGGGGTTCACTGAGCTTTTTTGGTCTGTGGATTTACAGCTTTCATCAAATTTGGAAAAAATTCAGTCATTACCTTTTTGAATATTTTTCTCTTTCCACTTCATCTTTTATTAATATTGTCTCACTGGTCACTACATTTTAATTCATTTTCTTTAGTCTCTTGTCTCTCTATACTTCAGTTTGAACAGTTTCCATTGCTGTTTTTAGGGTGACTGACATTTTGGGCAGTGATTAATCTTCTGTTAAGCACATTTGGATATTGTTTTTCAGCTCTTGAAAGCTCCACTTGGATATTTTTTATATCTTCCATTTCTTTCCTCATTATGTTCATGTCTTCCTTTAAATCCTTGAGAATAATTATAATAGCTGTTTTGAAGTCCTTGCTGCTGATTTCATTATCCCTGCCATGTCTGGTTGGTTTCTCTTGACAAATTTTTCTTAATGTTATAGGTCACATTTGTCAGCATCATCACATGTCTAGTAATTTTTGAGTGGATATTGGGCATGGAGCTCTGAATTTTGTTGTTTTCCTTTACAGATTTTGGACTTTCTCTGGCAGACAGTCCAGTTACTTGTGGATCAGCTTTGTCCTTTAAAGGCTTATTTTTAAGCAGTTAGGTTAAATCAAGGGTAGTCTTTCCTCTGGGGCTAGTTTAGTCCTAAGACTGAGGCACAGTCCTTCTCCGATCTCTACAAAATGCCCAGGTGCTCAACAAGGCCTCTTCGCTTTTTGCTTTTCAAAACGTGAACATCTCCCAGGCCTGTGTGAACTTCGGGAACTTTTTGGCTTACAGCCCCCGACTTAGTTTCTGCCTGGCTTAGCGGTTGCTTTCACACTGTACATGCTTGGCTTAATATTTAATAACAGACCCATTTATTGATGTACTTCTTTCTCTGCAGAGCTTTCTTGTGTTTGGTTCTCCAGTCCACCAGTTCTAGCTGTTTCAGCTCTCTCTAAACTTTGGTCTTATCTCCTCAACTCACTGTCAGTGCCATGCTTGGGTTTTTCCTTCCTGCACCAAGATCTGAAAAGTGCCTCCAGACAGAAAGCTGGGTCAACTGTAGGTTTTTTCCCCCCATTCTCCTAAGGATTACGGTCCTGTGTTGTTTAATTTCTGAAAACATTTGTTTCATACATTTGCTTATTTTTCAGTTTTCTAGTTGCCCACAGTGGGAGGGCAAGTAGAGTTGCAGTTATTCCTCATAGCTAGAAAGATAATTTATTGAAAATGCTTTGCCATTTTTATAAGCACTCTTGTAAAATAAGAGACAGAAATAATGCTCTTGTCCATTAAAATTTTAATTGGACCAAATAAGTTATCCAAATCACTTCATGGAGAAACTAGCAAATGCCTAAACCTAATTCCCCCAACCTGAAAATGGACCTATATCTCACATACTCAATTTTGATTTCTTAGGTAAAATCTAAGACTATCAGTCTTGCCAACAATGGATAATGTAATTGGACTGATTTTGCTGTCTAGCAGTGACATGGAACAGTGGTTATACCACAAATCAGAAAGATTCAGGAGGAAAGCCAGACCTCAGAACGACTCCTGATCCCACCTGGATCTGTTCCTGCAGGCTTCAGGGAACAAGACAAGGGATGCCTGGTCACAGCTATATAACCCATGTTATTGGGGTGCTGTCTCCCCATCTTAGAAAGCTTCTTGTTGTCTGAAGATCTGACTAGACCTTGGCACATTGTAAGCAGCCTAATCGTCAAGCCCTGTACTAGTTCCGTTTATTATTTCTGCTTGGCAGGGGACACGGGTCTGTTGCACATGGGAAACTCCAATATGCTGTTCTCAGGGATCCGCATTCCCGTGACCATTGTTATGCATGTCAGAAGATAAATGAGACCCTGGCACATTTCCACGAGGCGCCATCTCATAAAAAGACACATTAAGGAAATTGTATTGAATTGTATCATTTCAAATACATAGGGCTCTATGCACTACTGTGTTTATTTTTTATGTTGATATTTTACCTCCTCCTTCTCTTGGGAAGGGACAGTAAATTCTCAGGAGTCCTACAAATGTAATGAACAACCCAATTTTTTATTTATCAGGAAGCAGAATAAAGAGATTGGGGATGAAAGAAGTAGGAGGTCGCCATCCTCTCTTTATGCCAAGCCTATCTGGCCTCCACAGAACCTGTACCATCTCTTCCAGAAGCTTCTCTCTCTCTCCTCAGCCACCCACAAGGAGGGGAAGAAGTGCAGTCACTTCTGTAGATATGGGATGACTTTGGTAAAATCCAAGTACTGTGGCATTTTGGGAAAAAGATGTTCATTATTTAGAAAAAGTGGGCTTTTTTTCAAAATGATATCAGGAAAGGTAACAGGCAAACATAATCATCATTGGAGGAGAACATCTGTTAGGCACAAAACCTTGACAAAACCCTTTCCCATTGTTGCTAGCTAATTACAGACCCAACCGTTATTTGGGAATGGGAATATCACACTATAAAGGTTCCATATAGCTCTCATACCAAATGTAGCTAGCAGAGAACATACTAGATTAGCCACTGGGAATGAGGTGCATTGTTTGAAGTCAAGGCTTTAAGTCATTGGTAATAGCTGGCTATCTCAACATTTCCAGGAGGTGTCTTCATGGACTAAGCATTCATATTACCTGTAGCCAAGAGGTAAAAACAGTAGTTTTTACCCTGGAATGTTCTAGAGTCACCAGTGCCTAGCCTCCAGTCCGTGCCAGTGAAGTCAGACTCTGGCCATCGTGCCTGAGCACTGGTATTTTTGCTAAGGGTTTCAAATAATTCTAATGAGTAGCCAGGATTGAGAACCACTCTTAGACCGATAACTCCTGTGAAATTGGAGAGCAGAAGATAACATGAACAAGCTTTTAGTGGTTTCCTTGATCTTCTGCTTAGGTTCCCCTTGTCCCATTGAAATCTACCCACCCCATTGTGTCTGCAACAAATTTCTATTCCTGAGAATAATCCATCAGTTTTGAAAATGAAATGCTCAAATAGGATATGCTCTACAGTCTAGGATTTTCCAATGATTTAATTATCTAATTACTGGAGCTGGCTGCCAAGCACAAATGGTTTTATTCAGTTTCACTATTTTATAACACAGTTCAAAGAATATTTGAATTTCTAATTCAATTTTTGTTCTTTTGAGACTAGTCTAGTGTTTCGTATATCTCTAATGATAGCTCCATTATTGGACTTAGAGCCACTGTGCGGCTGCAGTTCATTTTTGGTATATAATACCGCACATGTTGAAGGAGAATTGGTGCCGAGATAGCTTAATTATTCTAAGCTGTTTTTGTCTTAAGTAGACTCCCTCGATTGAAAAGACAGAAGTTTGATGGGGAGGAAAGCTGAATGGGACCCAGGGAATACAAATGCAGAGGTAGAAACAGTAACAGCCAGGTTAGGAAACACCATGCTTATTTTTCCCTGCGAGTCTGCGCTTTAGAACTGCCCAACTTCCCAGGCTCAAAAGCACATTTGCTCACTGTTCTTTATTCCCAGAAAGCCAGAAAAGTTGAGTAGTTCTGGAGCAATAAAGAAACTTGTGTGGTTAACACAGCATTCCTAGACCTTGACCAAAGACCTTCTTTGTTTAAGAAAACTGCTCTTTTTCACAAAGCTGCACAGTTCAAGGGTTGCAAGGCGAGACAAGTGTGAGAGATCCCTCCCAGCCGGCCAGAGGACCAAACTACGCCAGCCACTGATGGGGTGACGCTGTAGCTACAGACATCAAGAGAGCCTTGGTATCAAATTCACCTCTAACGCCTGTGAAATTCCCAGGGGAAGTGCGGCATTTATGCTAAAGCAATTCCATCCCTGTCCCCAAACCAACAAATGCTCACTTTTGAGAGCAGTTAGGTACTTCCATACAAATGATATGTATGTTTTTCTTAAAGGGCGCAATGAGGAGGTAACAATTTCGAAATGGCCAGCAGATGGTGCCAAAAGGCAGGAGCAGTGAAGGGAAGGGCTTGACCTCCAGGAGCCCCAGGTAAGAACGAACTTGGGAGCCGATAGGCCCCCTCTGAACTGCAATTGTGTCCTTTGGCCTGCAGAGTACTCAGTAATTAGTTTTCAATTACTTTCCAACATTTTTAAATGGCGGTAATTCATATAAAACCTGTGTCTCCAGATTTGCTTGAAATATTGAAACATCTAGAAACACTGGATACTTATTCTATCAGGTTAAGAGCCAGTTGGAACTGAGTGGCTACTATCCTTTAAAGGGGCCAATTTACTGTGGTCTCTCCTCCATTTCACTTGCTGTTACTGCCCGGACACTGAAGACATGTGACTTTGTCACCCCCTGACACAACCCAGCCCAACCCGTACACTTCATTTCATTGCAATGTGTCTTTAAAATTGCAAAGCGAGAGGAAGCTAATGCAAAGGATGGGGCCATCACAGACGATGAGATTCACTAGGAGATTTAAATGAATTTGCATCAGATGTTCAAGGTATCTGGGATGTTGCCTAAGAGACAGAGTAGCCTTTGGAGATCAGAGCCCTCACTCTTCTAGCAACCGTCATGATCCATGCTGGGGCCTTGGGGCAGGTCTCTCAAACCAGCTGCCTTTCTGTGTGTTTTCTGGTAGGCAGAGGGCAAGGGGAAATTGTTTTCTTAGCTTTCATTAGGTGGTTAAACAACTTAGGGCTTGTGCTGTCGCTGTGCTGAAGAAGCAGAACCGATTGGAAGCCTTTTTCCTATTAGAGGAAAGGGCTCAGGAGGTTGCATCCCCATGGCTGCTCCAGGATCCTGGATACATTTATCTTGTTTTTTTTGAGACATAGTCTTGGTCTATTGCCCAGGCTGGAGTGCAATGGTGCTATCCTGGCTCATGCAACCTCTGCCTTCCACATTCAAGTGATTCTCAAGTCTCAGCCTCCCTAGTAGCTGGGACTAGAGGCACACCCCACCATGCCTGGCTAATTTTTTTTCAGTATAAATGGGGTTTCACCACATTGGCCAGGCTGGTCTTGAAGTCCTGACCTCGTCATCCACCTGCCTCGTCCTCCCAAAGTGCTGGGATTACAGGCATGAGCCATGACACCTGGCCCTATCTTCTAGCACTATTTGGATTATGAGCTTCTGGAAGTCAGGGAGGATATCTGTATAGAGCCTAGGCCAGCACTGTATCCTCAACGACCAACCTACCAGCCAGGGCAGGGAGGTGGGAGAAGGTGCACAGAGCAAATATGTGGTCTCATGCAGAGATGCACATCTCTACCTCCTTATTACCCAGGAGACAGCTTATTCTGCTTTGGCAGATTTACGGGATTTGTTGACCAAGATTCGTGACCTGAAGGGTCACTTATCCTGATTCCCGTAGAGTTTATATATTCCTTAACAATGGAAAAGAGCAAGGAACGGATGGATCACAGTATCTGAATGAAATGCAGATGTTTTTCGTAACAAATCACCATGATGGCTTTTTTTCCTTATGAATTCATCTTCTATTCTAAACTCATAGTTCTAAATACATCACAGATCCTTGCAAAAAAAATGAAAAAAAAAAAAAAAAAAAAAGCTTGGCTGACTATCCACCTTTGTCCCCGTTCAGTGTGGAGGAGGATGGAGCCTCCAAGCTGTCAGAAGTCAGCCTTCACTGGCTGTCGGCATGCTCCCCGTGGCCCCTCTCCTTTCGGCTCTTCTCCAAAAACAAATGCCCTAGAGTCTCTTCCTGCGTAAAAGTACGCACAGCTTAAAGAAGTGGTTGTAGGCCAGACGCGGTGGCTCAAGACTGTAATCCCAGCACTTTGGGAGGCCGAGGCAGGTGGATCACGAGGTCAGGAGATCGAGACCATCCTGGCTAACACGGTGAAACCCCGTCTCTACTAAAACATAGAAAAAATTAGCCGGGCGTGGTGGCGGGCGCCTGTAGTTCCAGCTACTCGGGAGGCTGAGGCAGGAGAATGGCGTGAACCCGGGAGACGGAGCTTGCAGTGAGCCGAGATCGCGCCACTGCACTCCAGCCTGGGGGACAAAGCGAGACTACGTCTCAAAAAAAAAAAAAAAAAAAAAAAAAAAAAAAAAAAAAGAAGTGGTTATAGATTGACTATAGTTGCAGTGGAAGGCTCTAGACTTGGATTGTGTGTGTGAGAGAGGAAGCCATGCTGTTTCTATGGTTCTACATTCTCTAGGTCTTCACGGAGCCCCTAGGAAAAGGAAGGTAGGAAGAGCTCAGGGCAACCGAGACAGAGGCCGCCGTGCATGAGGAATACCTGGAGCTGCCGCATCTGCTGGAGCTGGAGCCTGAGTTCCGCCACGCTCCGCCTCATCTCAAGCAGGCTCATGTGGATGGCTGAGGTGCCCACAGGTGGAGGCTGGCTGGGAGGCACCGTGGACTCCAGAGCACTGAGCATCTTCCCACCAGACACATGGGGCGTTCCTATGAGAAAAGTGCATCAGAGAACTCAGAAGGCCACAAAGGAAAGTCTAAGCTATGCATCCCATCCCAATGCAGATGACTGGTAATTCTAAAAAGGCCTAATTCTCTCATTACAAAAAATATGCATATATATGAATCACACAGTGTTATGGTATGCAGTGTGCAATGATCACATTCTAGAAGTTTAGTAAGAAAGTGCCATAGGAAGACAGGCCACAGAGCTGCCTATGCTCCTATCTATCTATCCACTGATTGTTCTATCAATTGATCAATTTTGTTTATTTTTTTTTTATTTTAATTTTTTTTTCTTTTCTTAACCCCTGGAAGTAGAGCTTTTTTAAACACACAGGTTTGCATAGAGAAAAGCTTAGAAGTGTATAAAACAAAGTGTTAACGGTATCTCCAGCTGTGCTTTTCCAATATAAGGTTTTTTGTTTGTTTGTTTACTATTTTTTATTTTTGAGAACAGGGTCTCACCGTATTGCCCAGGCAGGTCTCGAACACCTGGGCTCAAGCTATCCTCCTGCCTCTGCCTCCCTAAGAGCTAGGATTACAGGCGTGAACCACCGCACTTGGCCAATTTTTTGTATTTCTAAAATCTGCATACTGAATATCTGCAATTTTATAATAGAGAAAACTAATTTTAAAATTCTGAGACCTAATATAGAGTGCTTATGTGCCTATTTTCTGCACAGCAAATGTAACCTAAGGACATGCAACTTATTTCTGGGCAGAGATTCAGCCAATCGCCAAGGGGAGATTAGTAAGAACTGGGTACTGTCCTGAATCCCTTCAGATTTCCAAAATGAAAAGAAAGAGGGCATCTGCACACAACTCCTTTAGTAAGAAAATAAGGCAAGATGCAAAAATTCTTCAGGAGGGGACTCTAAAAAGGACAATGCAATTCTATTGATACAGGTACCTGGAGTAGAGGCTGGATCCATGTTACTAATAAAGACACACACACACACACACACACACGCACACACTCTTCTGGAGTAGAGGCTGGATCCATATTACTAATAAAGACACGCACACACACACACGCATGCACACACTGTTCTGGAGTAAAGGCTGGATCCATGTTACTAATAAAGACACACACACACACGCACACACACTCTTCTGGAGTAGAGGCTGGATCCATGTTACTAATAAAGACACACACACACACACACACACACACACACACACTTCTGTTCAGTTCTCTTTCCTGTAAAGCTTTGTCACAGGCCAGGCTGGCCTTGCAGGACAGAGCACTGCTGGCCACTTGCAGACCCTGGAGTGGCTATAGTGTGGTGGTACCCTGTCTTTCCATCCTGGCTCAGTCATTTCGGGAACCTTTCCCGCTCCAGCACACACAACTCAGCCAGGCCCCAGTGGAGCTCAAAGTGGCTCATGAGCCAGGGAGCTCCCTGAAACTATCCTCTTTCTTGCTTGGCCTTGGCGATGCTGATGCTGCTGGCGCCCCATGGTCTTCATCCATGAGTGACCATCCAAATAGGGCCAGTCTCCCAGCCCCTCTAATGGCCCTCTTGGGGAGGCAGCAGGGGAGCAGGCCAGAAGGCATTTTAAAGAACTGACAATGGAGCTCCAGGAGACCCGATAGCGAGCTTTTTGTTATGTTTCTTTCTTTCTTTTTTTTGAGACAGAGTCTCGCTCTGTCTTGTCCAGGCTGGAGTGCAGTGGCATGATCTTGGCTCACTGCAGCCTCTGCCTCCTGGGTGCAAGCGATTTTCCTGTCTCAGCCTCCCGAGTAGCTGGGACTACAGGTGCACACCACAACACCCAGTTAATTTTGTATTTTTAGTAGAGACGAGGTTTCACCATGTTATCCAGGCTAGTCTCGGACTCCTGACCTCAGGTGATCCACCTGCCTCGGCCTCCCAAAGTGCTGGGATTACAGGCGTGGGCCACCGCGCCCAGCCACGTTATGTTTCTAAGCCTAAATGGTCACTCACATCACCAGTCATGGCTCTGACCAATTTCTGGTGGTTCCTCCACCCCTCAAATCAAAATCATCCTCGAAAGAGCAAGATTTGTCATCTCTGCTGTTGTTCAAAAGGATATTCTCCAACTATGAAAGTACCAAGTAAAACATATCTGATAACATTTCCAATGACAGCTGCATGTTAGAGTTAACAGTGCCTTCCAATGTCAGTGATTCTGACCACAATCCATTGGAAGTTTTCCTTACAGAATCAGTCAAATTACTTTATCATCATTCCCCAGACAGAGAGGGATAGGCACTCTTTGAGGGATAGGCGCACACACACTCACAACATGCCATATCATTTCTGATAACAAGGTATTTCTCCAACAAAGATGACACTGTGCTACCTTCTGTTTGCTACTAAGAACCATTCTGCTAATTCCTCAGCCAAAGGAAATCACACATTCTTTCTATACCTCTTTCTCCTTACACATTCTGAGGCCACCAAGGTACCTCCCTCCCCTCGATCTTTTATTCCATGGAGGAAAAGGCTGAAGACTAGGTACTAGTTGTTACAGTTGAATGCTGATAACTGGTTTAAGAAGATAACTTTCACAGCGCAATTTTTTTGTTTTAACATGGTTTCGCTCTGTCACTCAGGCTTGAGTGCAGCGGTGCAATTCCCCGAGCCTCAACCTTCCTGGTCTCAGGTGATCCTCCCACATCAGCCTTCCAAAGCTGGGACTATGGGTATGTGCCACCACATCTGGCTAATATTTTTGTATTTTTTGTAGAGACGGGGTTTTGCCATGTTGCCCAGGGTGGTCTTGAACTCCTGGCCTCAAGCGATCCTCCTGCCTCGGCCAAAGTGCTGGGATTATAGGCGTGGGTCACCATGCCAAGCCACAACCAAATTTCTTAATGGAATCTATACTCACTTAAAAAAATCTTCATCTATAACCTCTTAATCTCCTATATTTGGTACATGTCATAGCTCCTTCATTCTCTGAAATGGCTCTTTATGTTCATTTCAGCGATCTTCTAGTTGTCACCCCTGTGGACTCTCTCCTTTGCTTCAATGTGACACTAAGCTTTGTCAGCCACTTCTTTTCCTTTTAGTCACTTTGAAACTTTCCATGATCTTCTTCCCTTTCTGCTGCTCCGTCTTGGTCAATCTCTTTTCTAACTCCTTCCTCTGCCAACCTTTTAAATCCTGATATGTTGTGTCCCTGGGTCCACTTCTCTTCTTGCTGGACATACTTTCTAGGGAGGCCACTTCTGCTACCACCACCCACCAAGGTCTCCCGCACCCTCGTCAGCAGCACACAATCATCTTCAGATCCACATACTAACGCCTTCACGCCACTACTGAACTTTTCCATAAACAAGTCAAATTCATTATTTCCACTCGTCTTCCACAAAGCTCTTTCTGTCTCTGTGGGCCTAATTGTATTATATATATAATTTCAATAACTTTTGAGGAACAAGTAGTTTTTGGATACATGGATGAATTGTATAGTGGAGAAGTCGGAGATTTTAGTACACCCATCACCTGAGTAGTGTACTTTGTACCCAATTCGTAGTTTTTTTTATCCCTCATCCCCTCCCACCCTGCCCACTTCTGAGTCTCCAATGTCCATTATAATACGGGCCTAATTGTAGCCAGTGGCACCACTATCTACTCAATTATCAGCCAGTCAGGCTGTCACTTTTTTTTTTTTTTTTTGAGACAAGGTCTTGCTCTGTCACTCAGGCTGAAGTGCAGTGGCTTGATCTCGGCTTACTGCAGCCTTGACCTCTCGGGCTCAAGCAGTCTTCCCACCTCAGCCTCCCAAGTATGTGGGACTACAAACATGTACCACCACGCTCATTTTTTGTGGAGACAGGGTCTTGCAATATTGCCCAGGCTGGTCTCAAACTCCTAGCCTCAAGCAGTCCTCCCACTTCAGCCTTCCAAGGTCCTGAGATTACAGGCATGAGCCACCATGCCCAGCCTGGCTGTCACTCTTAATAGCTGTGTCGCTTTGGAAAACTAACCTAACCTCCCTGAGCTTCTGTTTCTTTTCATGTAAAATATGGGTAATGACATCTTCCTTATAGGGTTTTGTGTGTTAAATGATCTAATGCTCAGTATAAAAACCTTTGAGATGGGAGGTTCCATCTGTTCTCTTTCCACAGTAAACTACACATTCCATAAGTAGCCAGGAAGTCTGGGTTTTCCTTTACTCTTGGCCAGATGAGTTCCTTGACTTCTATATAATTCCGTTTACTTGTCTACAGAACAGGGATAATACTTGTCTTGTAGCTGACTTCCTAGCATTCTGGAAGAATTATTATATTTTGTGCACTATACAAGGCTGCTATGGCAACGAAGCCCCTGTGGACGATATCTCGCCCTGATACGTTAGAGTGAGAAAGTCCAAACCTAGCAGAGACGTGGGGAGTGAGTCCACGTGCTCATTGCCAGTGGCGTTGCAAATCAGCTCAGCCATTCAGAAGAGAAAACTAACAGCATGTCACCAGTGGCACTGAACTGTCCCTTTGGACCCACCGATTCCACTTTGGGAAATATATCTGAGGAAATGACACTGGCTCCTTTCCCCACATTTGAAAAGAAATTGACAAGAGTTTTTAGAACAAAGAAATGAAACAACCTATATATCTTTAAAGGGACTGAGGCATCTTAACATAAAAGGAGTTCAAATGGGAGGCATTTGGACTATGATGATGTGTGTCACGTGTGTGGATGTGCATTCAGTTTTCTTCTCTGGAACATGAGAATAAAAACTGTACCTCTCCCTAGATGCTGCGGTAAGGAGTTCATGAGTGAATGCATGAAAAGTGCATAGGAAGCACTCACTACATATTTATTCTTCTTCTTCTTCTCTATAAAGCAAAAAGAAATAAAAGGAGAATACAAAACAGCACGTACATATTGCTTAGAGCAGTGCTTTCAGATATGAATCATTTCTAGAATGGATTATAGAAGGATGGGAGCTTTTAGTATTTAGTAGTTTCCTTTCTTCTCCCTAAGTTTACAATCCATTTTAAAAAATGAATGAATTAAGTATCTCCGAAACAAACTGGCAATTGCTCTGAAGACAAGTTTAGCAATTTCCGTGAAATAATTCTCTGGCTTCGGCCAAGGCCACTGATTGATTTCTAAGCAAAACAACAAATCCCGTCAGGATCAGGAATGATGGCAGAGTGGCCCTGTTGGCTTTGTAGCTAAATTGTGCTCAGCCAGAGAAGAACCACGACCAACAGAGCCCTAAACTGAAGTCCCCAATTCTGTCTACTCTACCGTGCTGCACAAAACTAGTACACGTGGCTTCCCTAAATTTGGGGTTTCACCCAACTTGCCATATGCTTTCTGTGTAATTTAGTATCTGAATGTGTTCCTGCTAAGGATTTCTATTTCTAACCCGATGAGAGGGAAGACCTCATCTTCTTGCAGAGGCCTGGCTTGAGACTGCTGGATGAGACATTCATTGCAAAGACCTGGATACTAGTGAACGCCACTACTAACAGAACTGGGCTGTCTTTCTGGGGAATGCTGGCATTTAAAAAGCAGGCCTTGTCATCTGTCATGAGATTAAAAAGATAAAATAAAAAGTAGGCCCTAGTCCAAGTACTCCTTTTTCTCCCATCTGGACACTGGTCATTCCTTATTGGCTACTGTCCCTTCTCATCCATCCCCATATTGCAGCTGGGCTGATGTCCTTCCCCAGTGTACAACCTTCCGATGGCTTCACTTTGCACTTAGAACAATTTTAAATTCCCTTGACTGGACAACCCTTCTTCCCCCTAAGTCCTCTTCATCTTTCTGGGCTTAGTTTATGTCACTTTGTCTGGGGACTGCCCTTGGTATAGGCTAGTCCTATTGGTGAAACATTTATCCTGCACTTTTAAACACTTGACACACATAAAATTACTTGTCCCATTTCCATCTTCCCCACTGAATTCTAAGTTCTAGGCAGGCAGCCCCGTGTCTGCAAGATGACCACCGTGTGGCCATATCAATGAACAAATGAATGAGCGAATGAATGAAAACCGAAGGGAGAATACAGTGCTTTGCCCCCGAATTAATGAATAAATCTGGAATTTCAGTATTGGCAGGAATATCTAGGAATCCCCTGACATCATACCAAATACGTGACTTAGGGAAATGTTAAACATTTCTGAGACCAGCCAGGGCTCATCCCAGGCAGCCCACAGGCCTCCTACAGCTCCAAAAACACTTACTTACCTGCACTATCTGTGTGGTTCCTGTTGGCTGTGGTTTTCATCATTTTCTCGCTGAATAAAAGAAAAAGAGAGTCAGCTATGCAGTTTCCAAAATGCCTTTTTTTTTTTTTTTAAAGCCCATTCCATCCACTATTTGAAGCAATTGGCAGTGATGGGATTAAGCAATGAAGGTATTTTAGCATCAGCATCACAATTGGCCAGGATGGAAAAGGCTTCCCAGGTGTGCACCTGACACTGGGGGTGGAATGCAGCCAGGCTCACTTGTGACTTTCAGATGATGGCGACGTGGACACGCAAGGGTGGTGGTTGCAGGCACTGCACGGTGAGTGGTCCATGAAGCCACATGCACTGGGAAGCCCATTTACCTTCTTGGGCCAAAGTGTTACTTTCGACCAAGAATTACCAGAAGGAGGAAAGAAAAAAAGCAACCAAACCCCCCAAAACAAAAAAATAACGCCCATGATCCATAGAGATGTGAATATTTTCAGCCTTGAAATGATTACAAGAAAACAGATTTGAATGAATGAATTATCTTAATGATTAAAAGAGAAACAGATTGAATTATTTTTTTCATTGGCTTTCTTCTTTTTTACCTAGACGCATCTTTGCTATAACTTGTAATGGGCCCTTTAAAAAGCGCAGACTGAACAAGGCCAGTTAAACTGGCAATCTGTTTCTCCATGGCTTGCATCCTCTCTCTGTAAAACAAGAGAATTGTTTGTTAAAGCTTTATGGACTTTCAAACCAGTTTGTCCGGGTGAATGCACCACCTGAGGGTTATAAAAGGTACCACCTAGAAGGCCGTGGAAGTTCACCCAACCTGGCTCAGGAACATGAAGAGCCGCACATCCTTAGCTCAGGTCAAGATTCGTGATCAGTGTTCAGTATCAAGCCAGTGACCTGACTGGCTAAAAAAAGACACAGCACGGACCAACTCAAAGACATCTCCCTCGGAAACACTCCTGTTTGCACATCCTATGTTTTTGAGTCTTTCTGCCCTGCTTTCTTTCTTTCACCTTGCACAAAAGGGCTGTTCCCTAGCATTCGCAGTGTCCCAGGCCAGATCTCACCTAGCTGCACACATTTCTATGCCGTACACCTCAGCTGGGAGGCTGCGGAGTGGTTTTGGTGTAAATGATGGAGCTGTTTGCTGTGTGGGTAGTAACACTTGTGTCACAGCTTAGGGGCAACACAAACATGTCTCTTCTTTAGACCATGGAGAAATATGACTGAAACCCGGCCGGGCGCGGTGGCTCACACCTGTAATCCCAGCACTTTGGGAAGCCGAGGTGGGCAGATCACCTGAGGTCAGGAGTTTGAGACCAGCTTGGCCAACATGGTGAAACCCTGTCTCTGCTACCAAGATTGCACCAGTGAACTACAGACTGGGCAAAAGAGTGAGACTCTGTCTCAAAACAAAACAAAACAACCCATTTATTTGAAGGTAGATGATGTTAGATCTAATGTCATAGGAACTTTAGCCTGGAGGTTTTTATAGAATCACGCAGGAACACGAATATCCCTAACAGCTTGGCCATCTCAAGATGTTAATGAAAAATTTCCCAATGATTTCCATATACAGATACTGTTCCTCTCTCTCCAGGGCTCTTTGATGTTTCATTACAGTTTAGCTGGCATTTGAAATAGACTCACATTTCTAGACCTCAGACAATGGACGTTTCGCAGAACTATTGCCATGTTTTCAACACATTGTTAAAAACAACAATACGAGTAAGTGAATAGAGGCTTCACATGTCACCTCATGTGAATTCAGTTATGCATATTTGTTAGTTCAAAACAGGAAAAGGAGAGAGAGGAGAACAATGTATATGGCATGGGCATTGCCTGTGCTGTTATCTCCCATGAGTGAGTGTCCTTGCATGAGCCTGAGATAAGAGAGGGGACCTCACTCCTCACTGCGGATCTCAGTCCCACAGGCCTCTGGGTTTGTGAGTGGTGGGGATTCCCATGCTGCAAACAGTATATTCTTACACTATTAAATACATGCTGGCTAATTTATCTGATTGTCAGTGGAAAAAGTAATGATGGTCTGGCCGGGCACGGTGGCTCCTGCCTGTAATTCCAGCACTTTGGGAGGCCCAGGTGGGCGGATCACCTGAGGTCAGAACTTCGAGACCAGCCTGGCCAACATGGTGAAACCCCGTCTCTACTATAAATACAAAAATTAGTTGGGTGTGGTTGTGCATGCCTGTAATCCCAGCTACTCGGGAGGCTGAGGCAGGAGAATCACGGGAACCTGGGAGGTGGAGGCTACAGTGAGCTGAGATCGCGCCACTGCACTCCATCCTGGGTGACAGTGCAAGACTGTCTCAAAAAAAAAAAAAGTAATGATGGCCTGTTCTTCCACTAGAAAAAGCCAACTGATTAAGCTGGTGCATCTGCATCCTGAATTTTGTGACAATCAAGATGATATTCAAGGGTAATTTTGTCCAACTCAAGCATTGCGGCCTTGAGTTTTGCCTTTGGAATGTAACTCTCAGTGCCATATGTAACACTGATCTTAATTTTGTAATTGGAAGCTTCTGATATCAGAACTCCATGCATTTTCTTTAGTTTAAAATTGAAGGTCTGTCACAATACTGAGTTTCTTGCATATAAGTCATGCAGTCTGGATAGTTAAAGGTTGCAAATCCACCAAGGAGGAAAAAAAACACCAAGCAATTTTAAGTATTAATAGTATGGTCTCTCTGCTGTAATAGAATGGAAATAAGAAATCTCAAACGGTGAGTGTGGAAATATATCTCCACGGAGTGATTTGCAAATGTTTCCAGGTACACCAGCCGATGCTAAACCTCTCAGCCATATAGCATTTCAGTCATACCTTGGCAACCCTCTTTGCCATAAAATAGTCCACATATCAAAGAGAAACAATGGTAAGAAATTCAAATAAGGAAAGCAGGTTAGTGAACATCCATCAGCAATGTCAAGCTTATTGACCCAAGTCACAGTAGCATCTCAGAAAAAATGGGAGTGGTGGTTGGTCACTCTTCCTGCCACATGGGGGGCACAGACTTGCACACACTCTTGGGAAATGAATGACTTCCTCGGAAGAATGCTCAGCCCCAGGTGAAAGTTGCCCAGTGTCCTCATTCGTCCCACAGGGACTCTATCCGCAGTGGTGCTGGAGTAAAATGAATGACAGTAAGAGCAGAGGTGCATTCAGGGCTACCTTGAGATGTACCACTTTACTGCTTTTCTTCAATCCTAGGCAAATGCAAAGGATATTCCTTTAAGAAAAAAAAAAAGGTAACGTGGCATTTTTAGAGTCTAGACAGCTTTGGTAAGGAAGTTGCTTAAAGGGTTCTGTACAGCTGGAGTGTGGGATAGGAAGGCATGATGACAACCTTAGTACATGCAGAAGACAGTAATATTAAGAAATGCAAGAAATAGGTAGGTCTCATTTATGTAGAGACTAAATGAGACTCTGCTAAGAGGGAAATGGCAGAGGGGAGTCCTGGGATTCCATCGCTGGCCACAAGAACAATGCTGGTTAGGGCTAGACCAGCCTTCTTTCTGCTTCCAGTCTGGTCAACAGGTTTCATTACATCGTCCAACAAAGGAGAGCATCAGCATTAAAATTCAAAACAGGCTGGGCGCAGTGGCTCACATCTGTAATCCCAGTGCTTTGGGAGGCCAAGGCAGGTGGATCACTTGAGGTCAAGAGTTCGAGACCAGCCTGGCCAACATGGTGAAATCCCGTCTCTACTAAAAATACAAAAATTAGCTGGGTGTGGTGGCACATGACTGTAATCCCAGCTACTCGGGAGGCTGAGGCAGGAGAATCACTTGAACCCAGGAGGCAGAAGTTGCAGTGAGCAGAGATTGCACCACTGCACTCCAGCCTGGGAGACAGAGCGAGACTCTGTCTCAAAAAAAAAAAAAAAAAAAAAGGAAAAAAAAAAAGAAACAAAGCACCTGAATCATTCTGGATAAACAACATTGCTGCTCCTCTACTGATTCATCCTCGAGGTTAGAACTATAGAATGTCACAACACAGACCACGTCATCTACACATGGAAGTCTGGGGAGCTGCAGACACACCTTCGGCATGTTCCTTGGCTCAGTGAGTACTCAGCTTCTACCCTGAGCTCCCACCAGGTAATAGTTTTAGGGTGCAGAGAGAGACAACTCCCAAACAACATCCTATTCTTCTTTAAGGCTGACATTGACAGAGTTGCAGAACGGTCTGGGATAAGAGTCTGGGTGCTTTTAGAACAAAAGGGCTATATGCACTCCAGGTACCCACATGCTTGGCTTGCCTTTTTGTATCTGTGAGGAAGGGAGTGAAGGCTCCCTGGATGGCCTCGTTCAGGGCATGTCACCTGCAAGGCCACCAGGAAAGAGACACGCTGCATCAGAGATACTGAGTCAGGTGGCTTCTCATCTGACATCCCCCCTGGAGAGTTCAGATGCTTGACAGTAGAGGGGAAGCCATTCTCTCCTGGGTGGGAGCACACAGAGCACCGAATACAAGTGTATGCTCTACTCTCTTGACCAAAGCCACTTCACAAAAATACCATTCTTTTGACATATGGTAATGAGAAAACATTTTCCCTCCTATTTAATCGTCAAAGTGTGTCTGGTTTCAGGATTCATATTGGGGACATTATCTGATTTATACATTAATAAATAAGATTGTCTTTCCATTTTATGGTTGGTAATCTGGAAACAATTTTATGGTTTAAGTAAATTACAGCAACTGGAAACTTATGCAGCCTTCTCCCATGATGAAATGTTAGGAAGTGTGTTTTAAAGTTGAAAGGGAAGAAAGCAAAGTGCCATGGAAGAAGAGAAATGAACACAACCCTGTCATTTTATTGCAGTGGCAATTTTTCATGCTCATCATCAGAATATTAAAGACATTTAGGCTCATTCTTGCCAATATCGCTTGGTTTAAAATATGACAGGACTGATACAATTACTGTTGAAAAGATGGCTTAAAAATGATTTCGTAAACCATTTTATATCATTCCACAAACCATATTTATGTGATTAGTGTATATGGTTAACTAGTCATTTAATGTCTTAAGTCAGCCTGTCTGAATGAGTCTTCTCATGATCCAAACATAATATTAATAAAAAAACTCAAGTCAAATTCAGGGAAGTGCTGTTTCCAGTGTTAAAAGTCCGATTACTCTAAACAACTTTCCTGCAAGCTCCATGTCTGTCTGTGAAGACGAAGCAAAATTCATACCGCTGGTGGTCTGTTCTGCCTTTGGAACACAGAAAAGGAAAAAAAAGAATCTGTGTTTAGGGGATGATTTTTAGCCAATGACTCCATTTATAGAACCTTTTTTTTTTTTTTTTTTTTTTTTTGACAGGTTCTCACTCTGTTCCCAGGCTGGAATACAGTGGCATGATCATAGCTCACTGCAGCCTCAACTCACCGAGCTCAAGAGATCCTTTCACCTCAGCCCCCCAAGTAGCTGGCACCACAGGCATGCACCACCACGCCTGGCTAATTCTTTTGTATTTTTAGTAGAGATGGGGTTTCACCATGTTGCCCAGGCTGGTCTTGATCTCCTGGACTCAAGCGAGATCGGCCTCCCAAAGTGTTGGAATTACAGGCATAAGCCACCATGCCTGGCCCACTTATATAACTTTTTGATTCAAGTTTCACCTTGATTTTTTTTTTTTTGACTAGAGACTTTGTACTGACCAAAGTGTCACTAAGCCTGAATTAAGTCCTTATTATATATCTAAGTAAATGAATGGCTATTAAGAAACAAGTCAGTAGCATATGAAGCTGGCGATTCCCCTATTAAGAATCCCAAAGGATTTGTTCTTAAGTTTCCAGAAGACATATTACAGAAGATGGCTGAAACCAGCTAGCCGAGCTGATGTGATTAGTCCCTAATCTGAAGCATTAACCTTCCTAACCAGTTAGGGGATGATTTTTAGCCAGTGACTCCATTTATAGAACTTTTTTTTTTTTTGAGACAAGGTCTCACTCTGTTCCCAGGCTGGAGTACAGCACGAATGATCATAGCTCACTGCAGCCTCAACCCACTGTAGTCAGTAACAACTGCAGTATTCTGGCCTTCTGAGAGTCCCTACTAGGTGGTTCCGCCATTTGCTTCTAGTTCTAAATTTTGCAATTTTTTTCTTTGTATTCCTGCTCATTCCCTGTCATCTCTCTCCCCACCCCAGAAAGTGTTACATGGCCAAAGAGTCAATCAACAAATATTTTTGAGCCCTTAATACGTGCTAGGTAACATGCTAGCTGCCGTGGACACAGCAGAGGCACTGCATCCCCTTTCCCAGGCATGCCTTTCTTTGACAATGTCAATTTCCTTTTTTCTAGGAGCAATCTACCTGAACTAAAACTCTTTGATCTTGGCAGTGCCGAAGGCATTTTTCCAGGATGCAATAGTGAACAGGTTTAAAGCGAGGCTATGCCCTTGTTTGTTCATGCCCTGACTCTGGTATGAGGAAAAAAAAACCCAAAGTAATTAAAGACTGTTTTCAGACGAGTTCAACAAAACAAAGGAATTTAAATTGTCTGAATTTGTGGTAAAGCTTCAAATGTGACTCTAAGCAATGACCTTTCTATTTCTGCCAGAAGTTAACCTATTGGTGGAAAAGCTGTGTAACTAAAGACATTGTTCCCCAAACTCCCAATACATTTAACTTCTCATTGACACATTTAGATCTATTTGGGAGACACTGGTGTAGTGGGCAGTCAGGGCTGCCATTTCTTCTCCCCGGGCCCTGTGCTTATGGCATGAGCAAGAAGACTGGCTACGTTCTGTCTCCCCTAAAAAGCACTTCAATATTTTGTTTCGTCTAATGTCTCAGTATCTCCCCTGCTTTGGAATTCTTGACTATCTCATCCCTAAGTTCCCTACCACTACCCAGGAAATCCCCTCCCATCCCTGGTGCTCCCATCCACCATACCCCAGCTGCCATCCTTTGTAGCTTCAACATCCATACTTACAACCCCTACAGAAATTTGGCACTATACAGCCTCAAAATCTTTACAGCCATCCTCTGACCTTGAGTTCTAACTCAGAATGGTGTTACTGTCTAGATCTGAAACTCCAAGACCCCCTCTAAGTATGGCGATTTTTTGTTGTCTTCATTTCTCTTATTCATACAAACTATTTCTTTATCTGTAGCCTGGCCTTGCTTTCTCCACCTTCGATACTGTCTGAACAGTCTCTGGTCATTTCTCCTGCCTCTTACCCAGGTTGGACCCTGAATACTTTCAACATTATCCCAACTGAACCCCATTGCATCTGGGCTATTTTTCAGCCTTGCTGTTCCCATGCTATACTGACGTTGCTTTCTGAATGACAGAGGAGGGTAATAAATGAGAAGAAAAGGCCCCTTGTGCCCCTTCTATTTCTTCCTATGTCCTCTCCTTCTGGTAATCTTCAAGGAGACAGAGTTGGGGGAAACCTTCTCATTAGGCACTTTTCCCAAGTCAGGAAAGAGTCTGTAACCTAACAAAGGGGCTCATCTAAAATGTTCTGCATTTCACTTACAGTGCAGGAAGACAGACACATTTAAGGATACCTGTAAAAAAAACAGGCAAAAATGAAGCTCCATTTACAAGGATCTAGAGGAAAAAGCTATTTCTAATCTTTCTTCATAAATTCACTGAGGTGTTGACAGAATGAAAACTGGCAATGAGATGTGGAAAGGGAATGCTGTGGCGATGATGGTATTCTCTCTAATAAATAGTTCTTCACATACTCCTAGGGATGCTGTTTATTTTCTTCATGGCCTCGGGAGACGATTGATTATCATGTCAATTTCAGTTCACTTCCACCATCACTTTGTGCGTGAGCACCATGACGGGCGCTGAGAGTCAGTGATGCTGATGCCTTTCTTCCTGATCCTAGGCTTCGGATGACTTGGCTTGGGTGGGCATGGTGGCTACAGCCCAGCCAGAATTCTGTGGGGTTCCTCTGTGCTCAGTGCTATCAATAAGGTACTCCTGGATGGTGGAGACGGAGCAATAGGCTGCGGAAGAACAAGTTCTTATAATAGGTGAGATGTGAATGATGCTGAAAAGAATGGCAGAATTTATCCGGAGGGAGAAGAAGAAGGAGAAGGGAGCAGTGTTCTGAGCAGGGTTCCAGGGCAAGCGGAGAAGCCGTAGACCAAATACAATTTAGTGGAAGCAAAAACAGTGGACCAGGAATTAACTGTGTTTGTTCTCTGACTCCATCCTTACAGCGGTGACCTTTCTTTCAGCCATTAATCCAACTGACATTTATTGAGCACCTACTGCATACTAGGGAATGCTCCAGGCACTAAGGACATAGACATGAACAAAACAGACAAAACTCCTTGCTTACGTGGAGGTTACATTCTACTGACCATTAGCGAAATAGATGATAAACCTTAGACACCAACGAACATGAAGGAGAAAAAAAAATCTGGGAAGAGAGATAGAAAGAAGAGCTGAAATTTTACGCAGGGTGAGCAGACAGGGCTTCACTGAGAAAGTCACTTTTGAATAAAGACCTTAAGGAAGTGAGAGAGCAGGCCATGTGTGCTGTCTGGAGGAGGAACGTTCTAGGCTGTGGGAAGGGCAGGTGCACTCACACATATACACTCTGCCCAAGGCAGGAGCATGCCTGGCAGTACTGAGGAGAGCTGGGGAGGCCAGTGTGCCTGCAGTGAAGGAAGGAAGGGGAGGGTGATTGAAATGATGTCAGAGGGGCAGACGGTTGACCTGTCCAGGGCTTGTGGCGAGGGGAATCAAATCATTTATTCTCCACACCAGGATACTTCAGAAAGTGGACAGGGGAGCCATTGGTCATTGCAAGTATTGTACAAGGACAATAGGGATACCCTGGAGCTGTCCCAGTCCAGCCGAGAAGGGCATTCTCCCTACTTGTGTGTCATCTTAGGGACTCTCACTTTGACCCTGAGTGTGATAGGAACCATGGGGAAGTCTGAGCTGAGGTTGGACGTGAAAGGTCTCATGTTTTAACAGGGTCACTCTGGCCCCCTCCACTGAGAACAGGCTGAAGGTGGCAGGGACTGAGTGGAGAGACCTCTTGGGAGACCACTGCAGCAAGTCAGGTGAGAGCTGGAGGTGGCTTGGCCCAATGGGTAGCTGTGAGGTCGAGAGCAATGGCTGGAGCCAGGAAACCTCTGAGTACAGATCTTACTGTTCTCTGGGTCTGGGTGTCCAAACGCAGGGTTGGGGAGACAGCAATCAAGATGACACCAAGACTTTTGGCCTGAGTGACTAGATGAATGAAGCTGTTGTTACCTGATGTGGGGAAGATAGGACTTTATTTTTGGGCATGCTGCATTCAAGTTCATTAACAGACATCCACGGGGAGATACAAATCTCCACTCAGAAGTCACTTAACGTCTCTGGGTCTCCGCTCCTTAACCATCGAATTGGGAAAACAACTGCCTTACCTGTCCCAAAGGCTGTCACCCTACAGAGACATCAAAATGAGGGCAAATGAGAAAAATGTGTAGCGAAGCACATTATAACCTGTAAACCATTGAGGATGTGTAAGCCTTCATGATATCCCTTTAAATTCATTCATTCAACAAATATTTCTTGGGCCAGGCACAGCTCAAGATGCTGGGGATATGGTGGTAAAAGCACAGGGCTTGCCCTCATGGAACTTACATCTGGGGCACGGGAGACTGCGGGGGAGTGTTGCAACTTCAAGTGTCATGGCCAGGAAAGGCCTCCCTGAGCTGGTGGCATTTGGCAAAGCCTTGAGTTTGGAGAGGAGCCAGTCAGTTAGACATTTGGTGGAAGAATGCACGAAGCAGCAGAAAGAGCAAAGGTGAATTCTCCAAGGTCAGAAAGTCCTGGACAAGGTCAATTACAGGAAGTGAGGGAACATGGAGTTGAGTTCTTGGCAGGCCACGGAAAAGGCTGAACGAACCCTTACTCTGTAGAGGAAACAGTCTCAGAAGGCCCCTACCCCTTGTTAAACAGGGGTACCCATTCTCTCACACCCACTACCCACAGAAATCCAGCCTCACTTAGAATCCTGGAATTACATAAGTTTCTGGTTGGAAGGGATTTACATAAATCCCATAGCTCTTCCCATTCTGGGTCTGTGATCTTGAATGAAGCTATTAAAAAAAAAAAAAAAAAGCGGGCAGGTCCAACCAGGAGGTCCAAGCTCAGTCCCACCCAGGCCTGGTGTTCCCCGCATGCACAATTGGCTTCCCAGGTTCTAGCAGTGCTCTGCCCAGCACAGCAAATGCACTTAGGGAAGGCTCCAGGCAGCCTTTAATCTATTTCACAATTCACTTTCTGTGTAGGCTGTTCTGGATGGGACCAGGAAACAGCCCCAAGTCAGGAATAAGGACACAACCCCCCTCAGATCCGAAGGGCTGGCACAACTCTATGGCTTCATGGTTTTATGTCAATGAAAAATTTATTCATAGAAAACTGTCCAGTACACAAAGTGATCTAATAGCTATTTTCATTTAAATTGCACAGAACTTGTCCCTCTGCCAGGCACAGTGGCTCACACTTGTAATCCCCAAATTTTGGGAGGCTGAGGTGGGGGAGGCTTGCTTAAGCCCAGGAGTTCGAGGCTGCAGTGAGCTATGATTGCACCACTGCGTTCCAGCCTGGGTGACAGAGCAAGACCACATCTCTAAAATAATAATACATTGAAAAATAAAAATAGGCCATACACGGTGGCTCACACCTGTAATCCCAGCACTTTGGGAGGCCGAGGTGGGCGGATCCCTTGAAGTCAGGAGTTCAAAACCAGCCTGGCCAACATGGTGAAACCTTGTCTCTACTAAAAATACAAAAAATTAGCTGGGCTACTGTGGTGGGCTTCTGTAATACCAGCTACTTGGGAGGCTGAGGCAGGAGAATTGTTTGAACCCGGGAGGCGGAGGTTGCAGTGAGCCGAGATCATGCCACTGCACTCCAGCCTGGGCAACAGAGCGAGACTGTTTCAAAAAAAAAAAAAAAAAAAAAAATATATATATATATATATGTATATCTATCTATCTATATATATGTATATCAATATATATGTATATCTATATATATATACACACACATATACATATATACATATATATACACATAAATATAATAAAAATAAAAATAAAAATTGCACAGAACTCTTGAGTAGATTATCATCCCCTTATTAGGACAAAAGACACTGAGGCTTAGCCAGGCAGGGCTTTTCTTAGGGAAACAGATCAATTAGCTTGCAGGCTTTCTCGGATCCAGGGCTCTCTGTGGCACTGAGCTGCCTCCCTTAGTGACTCACATCTAGGGTGAGGCACTTCACTTCCTGTTGGCTCTCTGCTGGGTGCCTAGAGCCGCCACTCCCCAGGGCAAGCCTACACCCTGCTTTATGAAATCACCTGTTTTGCATTTTCTTTCTCTTCCCTGAGGCTAATCTGGAACATTTGTGTTCTGGAATTGACATCTCATTTTTTGCACAGGTACAAACAGGTAGGAATAGCAGTTGCTTCATGTTATGGGCCAGCTGAACACGGCCAGCTAATTTACCTTCAAATGAGAGACGGTGTCAGGAGAGATGGTCTCTTGAGTGGACCTCATGGTGACTGTGGAAATGAACTCCCCACTCTCGCCTGCTTTAGAGCTGTAAATCTTAGGGCGGACTCAAAAGAAATAAAATAATGACTCTTAGGGAAAAGAAAAAAACATTTGCTATATTTGGTCTCTCTAGTGCATTTCCTTTTTGTTTTGTCTTAGTTACTTGTGCTTGCAAAGACAAAATGTGAGGGGGGCCACGGCGAGTCCTGAGCTGAGGCTCGACATGAAAGGTCTCACGTTTTAACGGGGTCACTCTGGCCTCCCCAATGAGAACAGGCGGAAGGTGGGCAGGGACTGAGTGGGGAGACCTTTTGGGAGACCACTGTAGCAAGTCAGGTGAGAGATGGAGGTGGAGTGGCCCAGTGGGTGGCTGTGAGGTCAAGAGCAATGGCTGGAGCCACCCTTAAGGCAGCAGGATAGCGAAATGTCATTTAACTAGAGTAGCTCCCATCCTTGGACCTTTAGGAAGTCTCCTTGCTGTTTCTCCTGCTGTAAAGTCAGCTATTAGGACCCAGTATTCTCCAAGGTCTCTTTAGCTTTGAGGATGGACAAGGAGACAGAGGAAGTATTTACTGGTGATACAAGTTGGCCCTGCATGAGTATATACAGACTTTTTTTTTTTTTTTTTTTGAGACAGGATCTTGCTCTGTTGCCCAGGCTGGAGTGCAGTAGTGCAATCATAGCTCACTGCAGCCTCCAACTCCTGGGCTCAAGTGATCCTTCCACCTTAGCCTCCTGAGCACCTAGGGCTACAAGCATGTGCCACCACACCTAATTTTTCAAAAAGTCTTTTGTAGAGATGGGATCTCACTCTGTTGCCCAGGCTGGTCTTGAACTCCAGGGCTCAAGTGGCCCTCCTGCCTCAGCCTCCTAACATGCTGGAATTACAGGCATGAGTTACTGCACCCAGTTCAATACAGACTTTTTAAGATCTGTGATTTTTGAAAGTTAGAATTCATGCTTAGACCCAGCTGTATTTTTTGAATCACTTCATTCATGAAAAATGAAGTCCAGAATTCAAATAAGGACAAGTGTAATCTCCATGGTTTCCGCCAGACAGAAGGACAAGTAAATCACAAGAGAGGCTAAACTATGTGTCCTGTGTGTCAACAGAGTCTAGGATTATCAGCTCCTGGGCTATTTTGACGATCCATCTTTAGGTTGGGTGGGAACCCCACGATTCTGCATTAAGCTGATTTTGTCATCTTTTCAGGAGGCTTACTCTGCACCTAAGCTATTCCTCTTCTCTTTGAAGTTCTAGTTGGCAAAGGACCGAGTTATCTGAATCTCACAGTATTTAGTTTTTTCTGGCTTAAGTTTCTGGTCTCAGACTTAGGGCTTCTGATTGAGAGCACCTCATGAATATTCAAAGGAGATACAGCAGCACATTTTAATTTGATCTAATTAGTGACAGACGACGCCTTTTCCTTTTGAGATATTGATTTGTTTAAAGTAGCACACAGACCTTGTGGCTGCTATTCCATTGGCATTTCTGACAGAGTATCCCTGGTGTAAGAATAGAGCTAGCTGCATAAATCTGTTAGTTGGTCTAGTATGTTTATCAAGTATCTGATGCCTGAACTCAGGAGTCTAAGGAATAACTAGCAAATATGACTTAACCATGAAATTCCACTCCTGTGAACGAAATAACAATTCAGTTGGTCAGCACTTGATTTCTGAGACTGGCAAAACATCATATCGAGATGTCATTTTTATAGGTACCATGATGGTAAAAGTATAGCAAATTTTGGATAGAGACTAGTTGGTCTTTCCCAAATGACATCTTTTCATTACGTACATGCCCTCAATTCTAGACCATCTCAATGTTCTCAAGAAGGCTCTGAGACCCACATAACTTTGGGAAAATGTTCCCTTTTCTGAATTCATAGCAATTACCGTCTGTATCACTTCTTTGGAATTAATTATGTACAAGCAGACCCCAAATTATGGCAGGCTTGTCATTGAAAAGTTTACTTGTACTTTCATTGTTTAGAACTTGGAATAAATGGTGGTTGGATTTCCAGCTGGCCCATGGAAGCCTCTTTAACCTACAATGTATTATTAGTCCTGTCGTCGTTCCTCATTGTTTTCAAGGAAAACGTGTCCTGACTTCCAAGCTGGACTTTGGGAAGCTGGGAAGAGATCTTTCTCTGGAGCTCAAGCCTCTGGGGGTGCCATGTGACTTGGCATGTCCCCTTCTCTCCTCTCTGACTCACAAGGAGACATTGTCACTCTCAGGAATGACAAGAAGAGCATCCCTGGGCATCACCAAAGCCAAAAGAAATATCACGTGTGAAATTCAATGATTGTGGTTGTTTCTCAAAAACAGGTATTCAGTAGGCATTTGTAACTCCGAAGCTTCCTGTACTTAAACCGTGACAAAGCTTATATGTTTATATTAAGCTTTTAATATTTTATGACTGTCTTCATGGTTTATGTTCCTGGTGTATGGGAACCATATCTCAGTTTCTTTGTATGCAGCAAATCCTCCAGTCCACAGCTAAGCACATAAGAGCAGCTCAATAAACATTTATTGATCCATAATTACAGCTACATGAAAAAGCAATTCAGACAAGAGCTGAATCAGTCAAGCACTATTAGGCATCAAAACAGATAACCTAATGATTTCACGCATACCTGGCTTAGCTGTCTTATCTTCAGTCTTATAGCTCAGATGCAGTTTTAAAAGGATGCCCTGAACCTAGCTTGTCTTTTTGCCCCTGGACCCAAGCAGATGTGCAACCCTGGCTACTTTCCTGAAATGAACTTCGAAGCAGTTTTGATACTCTAAACATTCTAATTTGGATCTGTAAGCCCAGCTCATTCTATTCTGTGTTCACATTTAGTTTAATTCTCTCACCCTTGCTCACCTTACGTGTTTTCTGATATTATATTCAGAAATGTCTCTCCCTGCTTCTTCGGGGAGTTCCTCATCCTTGCCAACTCTGTGTATTTACATTCCTCTTTAGTAGCACTTAGTAGAGTGCTTTGCTCAAACTAGAAACTCTCAGCCACTTAGTATATCCCAGGCTGCCATAACACACTGAACTGTAATGAGTTGTTGCATCCTGTGGGGTAGATACTATTATTATCTCTATGTCACAGTTGAGCAAATGGAGGCAGAGCAAGATTCGGTACTTTGTCAAAGGTCCCATCTGCTGGCAAGTGTTAGAACTGGGATTTGAACCCAGGCACTCTGGCTTGGAAGTCCATTACAAGTTACTGCCTCTGAACAACTGGTTGATGAGCAGATTGACTGACCTGAAGGTAGTCATAGCAAGCTCTATCAATAATGAGTTGCTTTATCACGAGGAGGAGGGCAGAATGGAGGTAATAACTGTCCTGGTCCTTGCCTTACGAATGTCACAATTTACATTGCTTGAACATGGGGTATTCTTTCATTTCTCTATTTTATTAAAAGTAGAAAAAGTTCAAATTTCCTTTAGAGCAACGTTTCTAAGCTGGGGCATTTTGCCCCCCTGGGCAGGGCATTACAATATCTAGAGATGTCTTTGATTATCCTGGCTAGGTCAGGATTGGTAGTTGGTATTTGCTACTGGCTTCCAGTGGGTAGAGGCCAGAGATGCTGCTAAACATCTGCTACGGTTTGGATATGGTTTGTCCCCACTAAAACTCATGTTGAAATGTGATCCCCCACGTGGCAGTGCTGGGAGGTGGGGCCTAGTGGAAGGTGTTTGGGTTATGGGGGCAGATCCCTCATGAAGGGCCTCATGCTGTTCTCAATGTAGTGAGTGATTTCTTGCTCTCGCTTTTAAGAGATTGGATTCATTCTATCAGTAATGAATTTGTTCCCATGAGAGTGAGTTGTTAGGAAACCAGACCCCCCTCAGATTTCTCCCTCTTTGCCTGGGTTCACTTCTCCCTTGACCTTCTCTGCCATGCTATGATGCAGCACAAAAGGCCTTGCCAGAAGCTAGGGCCATGCCCTAGAACTTCTCAGCCTCTAGAACCATGAGCTAAATAAACCTCTTCTCTTTACAAAGTACCCAGTCTCAGGTATTTTTTATAGCAACACAGAATGGACTAAGACAACATCCTACAATGCACAGGACAGCCCCCTACAGCAAATTATCAGGCCCAAACTGACAACAGTACAGAGGTTAAGAAACTCTGCTTTACCGAGATGCTAACTGTAACTACTTAGGATATCGCTGATGTGGCTCACTTTTTACTATACCAGCAAGAAAGGAAAGCAAGTAATCCTTCTTTTCCCATCATTCAAACTGACTGTCCTCTAGGAGGATAAATCATGGTTTAGGAAATCTTCAAAGGTCTTCCAGTCGCAGTGAACATTTTTCAATGACATAAATCTGAATTTAGACTTTCATTTGATCAACTGTTTAACCAAGGATCCATCTCACCCCTAAAAGTTACCAACATAGTAACATTGAATCCTCATAAAATGAGAAAGTGATGTGAAATGATTAACAGCAGACACAAGCTGCCAGTTGCCATGTGGGCTTCCTCCTGTACACAGAAGGTTCTGCTAAGTCTACCATGCCTCAAAAATCATAATAGAAACTCAAGTTGTTTGCTTTTCTGTAGTTATAGGTGCTCGGAATGGGCAAAATTTTTCTTCCTAGTGTAACTCTATGCTAATTTGTCGAATGTAGCTGCTCTAGGTATAGAATAGTGTAAAAATACAATCTCAGTTCAAGTTTACTGGGTCCTGAAAAATCAATTTGGAGGAATCTGTTACATATTTCGAAGGCAAGGTAGTCACTTTGCGATAAGCACTCTTGAATTTTGAGTGTTATTTCACTAAAGGTATTTTACATTACAGTATATGATCCAAACTACAAATAGAAAATAGCAAAACATAAATGTCCCAGAATTTTACAATTCTTAAGGGCTGTTTTATGTGCCATGAATAGAAATAATGATGCTGTTTAATGAAGTAATTTTACAACCTAGAGAAGACAGAGCCTCAGGCACTAAGCCATTTGTCACACATGGTCTCCTTGGGCAGTCTCTCCTGGTCACTAGGACTATTCTCTACTTGGAGTCCTAGCTGAATGGAAGTCACTTGGATAAAACCACTTCATCACTCAAGATTGCTTTCTTTTCTAGAAGCTCAGACACTAGAATGGCTGTTCTGAAAGTCAAAGCAGCTATGATCTGTCACTGTACCCCAAAGTCCCTGGTAGGAGACCCCTACCATCACAAGAATGTTATACCATAGACACTGTGTTCTTCAGATATTCTAGATGCAATTTATTATTACTAGATGCTCATTGAAGCATCTTTAGAAAGAAAGAAATGCCAAATTCATTAGCACAAGGTATGTGACTAAATATAAGACTGAAGACTCAATTACTTAGTCTTGAGTGAGCTATTTTCAAGTCAACAGAGCTGTTACCAAATCATGTTCCTTCAAAAAAGCTACCACTGGATGTCTTCAAAGTATGCATGTGGAAGGAAGAATTTTTCCCTCTGATTTCTAACATCCCACAGTTATTTGGGCTACTATATTGAAGTGCTCTTCAGAACAGCATAAGAACCCAGCAGTGCCAACAGAAAGCACAGCCACCGATTTCTCAGCCTCCCACTGGTGTTTTTGCAGCTTCACATCTTCGATGTAAAATGTCACTTGAGACTCTCATATGAAAAACACTCTCATATTTATTTGCTTTTTAATATTATGAAATTGCAACAGAAATTGGATTGGTTCTTTATACGACCCTGTGCTCATGAAGTTAAGCTTTAAGGGGTTGAAAATTCTTTAACAATACTTACACAGATTAAGCATTTCTAAATAACATCATGGTATAGATGAGACAATGGATTATAATTTTGTGCTTCGGTAATTGTTTCTGATGTTCCTGTTTTTAACATTTTTCTTTGACATAGTACTCAGATGCATTTAAAAAAATGAAGTCTACCAAGAATGCTGTCCTCTTTCTTCCCCTATTTCTGCATAATTGTGCTAATATACTAGCTAGGGCAGTTATATTTAAAATGGCATGTGTATATTTAGCAGCATAATTATGCAAATTCTACTGTGTTTATGATTGTAAATATCCTTTAGGAGCAGTTACTTAGCATCTAGTCCTGAAACAATTTTTGAAGAATTCTGGTTGAAATGTTTAGAATTCACTCCTGAATTAACTTCTCTGTTGTGTGGAGGTGGGGCTTATAGTTCTCATTTGCAAGGCAGAATACTGCACAGTGGTAAACAGCATGGAATATGTAGAATTCTTTAATAGTCCTGGACATTTTATGCCACCTACTGGCTTTGTGGCCTCGGGCAAGTTACTTAACCTCTCTGAGCCTCAGTTTCTCCATCTGTAAAAAGGAGATGATGATAGTACATATCTCACTGGGTTGTCATGATGATTACATCATATAATGTATAGAAACCACTTCACATAGTGCTTGGCTCATAAAAGGCTCTCAATAAATGATAGGTGCCATTCACCTCCTTCCTATACATTCCCCAGGAATGCTACATGTCAGCCTAGTTACCAAGATATCTAAAAGAGTTCAGGGCCAGATTCTGAGCTGTCCTTGGAGGAGGAAGTATGGCATGAGCTTCACCCTTGTCACTTTGTCCCATGTAAGAAACAATGGGGGAAGCATGTAGGAGTGCTGAGGGCAAAAGTTCCAGACTCAAGTTCTTTTGACCAGAGAATTATTCTTCACCTTTGACATGTGACTGAGGGGAGTTAGCGGGGAGTGTTTAGGTCTTTCAGCAATAGTGAGTCTAAATGTAGAGAGAATGTGTAGGTGTGTCTGTCTTGTGTGTGTGTCGTGTGTCTGTGTGTGTCTGTGTCTTTGTGTGTCCATGTGGTATGTGTGTGTCTCTGTGTGTCTGTGTGTCTATGTGCAGGTCTCTAGGAAAAGAGAATCTAACCGGCCCACATATACCCAAGCATTCCAATTCCACCCTCTGGAGATAAGCTGATTACAGGTGGGGAGTCACCTTGGCAAGATGTATGAGATAAAATTTTTCCTGTGCTATTTTACATTATGGGGAATGAAAAATGTGAACATGTAAAATTACATTCATAATTACAATCATATGTCAGAATACACTGGTGATAATGACTGTATTTTAGGTGAATATTCATCTGTTTTGTCAGTTTTTCTTATATTGTTAATCTGGAAATAGAATAATTTGGATTTTCTAAAAAGGTTTTCTAACATGTAAAACTGAAGTCCATAGAATTTTCTGAAATTTTACAAAATGGAAGTCTCTAGGGTTGGCAGATCTTTTTTAAAAAAGGGAGTGGAGGCTCTCAAAGAATACCCATAGTACCAAAAGCTAAAATCTTTCAAGATTTTGATCCCATACAGAGATGACTCCACAGGTCAGCAGAGGGTTTGTTTTATTCTCTCCATAACTAAACGTCTTGAAAAGTGAGGCTCAAGGATGTACATTAAGTTGTGTGTGCGTGGTAATCACACAGATGACACTGAGCTAGGTTCTGGAAAGAAGGCAGACACCATCTTTGGTTGGCCAAAAATTTTGATAATTTCAGCACTATTCCCAAAAGAATATTACATCTAAACTAATCTGTTTTCATGCAAATTCAGGTTTTTATCATCCAAGAACCGGGGTGGAAACAGTTCAATATGGTCATGGCAAAATCAAGCTCCTGATGCTCTTTTATCTAGGATAGGTCAGTGTGGGAGGTAGGATTCTGGCTCTCAACATTATATGCAGGAGACAAATTATCTTTATTGTTTTCTGGTCTAAATTCTTGCTCCCGTAAGTTCCATCCCCTCAGCAACATACCATTTCCCAACCAGCACCTCAAAGCCTGCCAAAGGGGACAGGTGTGTTATCCTTTCTGTGAAGTATGCAACACAGGCTTCCAAGACTTATCGCACATCTTGGTAGATTCCTCTCCAGATGTCACATTGGTCTGTTCCCATGAACCACTATGAGTGTTTATCCTATACCCCTTAGCTGTCTGCAGTGACGGGAAGAGTCCCTTTCTTTGATGCTTAGAATTTCACTTCATGAGGACTTTGGAAAGGAGAGAATGAATACTATTTTCCAATCCTTATTTTTTCTTAGTCCTGCATCATCAAGCCATTCACTGTTGTTGTTATTCTAGCTACATGAGAGAGTTAGAACTTTTGTTTCATTAATGATCCCAGAACTTTCATGTTCTTTCTCTTTCTGTCTCCTGGAATCTTTCTGCTATGATATTCCCTGTAACTGAACAAGTAAGAAGGGATTGCCCTTTCATAATAAAACTGTGCTAAAGAGGACTTCAGGGCTTTCTGACTTGTGTGTGAAAACAGTAAGGTAGACAGGTCACATTCCATTCACAATTTTGGCCTTCTTTTTACATGGTATATAATAGTAAGTGATATTAACATTTTTTAGTGAGAAGCAGTGGTTCTAATAAGGTATTGAATAACTGAATATCTAGACACCTTATTTTTCTTTTTTCTTTTGAGATGAAGTCTTGCTCTTGTCCCCCAGGCTGGAGTGTGATGGTGCGATCTTGGCTCACTGCAACCTCCACCTCCCAGGTTCAAGTGATTCTCCTGCCTCAGCCTCCCGAGTAGCTGAGATTACAGGCACCTGCCACCACACCCGACTAATTTTTGTATTTTTAATAGAGATGGATTTTCACCATGTTGGCCAGGCTTGTCTAGAACTCCTGAGCTCAGGTGATCCACCTGCCTCAGCCTCCCAAAGTGCTGGGATTACAGGCGTAAGCCACTGCACTTGGCCTGGACATCTTATTTTTCATACCCCTTGATTCATATATAACAATAGGTAGCAGCATGCTTAAACCTTCTTTGGACTCAATTTCTTTGGCTAGATTTTTATGATTATTATGTTGACTTGTTTCAACCAATTCAGGCTAGAGAAATTCCCTTTATCAAAATTAGCTTTTCTATTACTATATGAACTTTGGAAGGTTTTCAAGATAGAGTAGGAAGCTTCTGAATTGGTAAATTATAAAATATGTCTATTTAAAAAGAAATTCAAGTCCCCAGAGAGTCTTTCCCTGGAAAAATTTTGCTGATTTCAGCACCACTCCTAGATAAATATTAAATCTAAGCCATTCTATTTTCATGCAAATTCAGATGTTTATCCTCCTAGAAAACAGACACATTATTTCCACTTCCCACAACCAGATGAGAAAACAAAATTGTATTCCACAAGGAAAAACACAAACTGCCATTTCCAACAGTTAAAACTGAAAACACTCACTCCTTATTTTCAGCAGTAGCAGATCAATTATTATGACCTTTTGATCTTTTCATCTGTCTTCTGCTAATGACAATTTTCTTCCAAATTATTCAGATTTATACAAATGATAATGCTCTTAGATCCATGCTCCAGAGGCACAAGGGACTGATTACTATTGTTGCTGCACCTGTCTTCTTGAACATGGCTTAATGACTGTAACCCCTGCCAATTTAGAAACTATTTGCAGACAATGGTGGCTTTGACACCACTCTGTGACTCCTGCAGCATCCACAGGACATGCTGCAGAGATGGGTGCTCAGACATTTATTCTGTCGGTTTGACCCCTGTAGAGCTGCCCACAGTGACACATGGGCCCAGGTACCACCCTCGGTCACCCTCACTGCACCTTACCTGGTCTCTCTGTCTTTGGGTATTGTCGCCGTGCTGTAGGCAAAAACTTGCTTCTCCATTAGAGGAGGGCCGAGGTCTACAAGGCTGGATAATCCTGCAGCGCTCCGTGGCTTTTCTATATACACCAAGGTGCCTGGCTCCTTTTTAAAGGCCTGGCGGCTCGGAGAGGCCCGGTCTGGCTGCATGGTGTGAGGGGGGCCGTGGGCATTATAGTGAGCGTGCATGTCTATCATCCTCAGGTCACTGACTCTGTGAGGAGAGGCAGGGGGTGTTTTGGAGCCCAGTGTAGGCAAATGGCTATCCGGATATTTCCTTGATTTCTGTCTGTACAGTGATTGTTCCATATGCATTTCCGCTTGCATTGAGGGGTTACAATAAGCACTCGCTGACCGGATGGCGGTGCGGTGATATGCAATGATGTGGTCGGGGACATCCAGTGGGTGTCCACCATGGGATGAGGCTATGCTCATCCGTCCCTCGTGATAAAGGTAAGGATCAGCATAGAAACCCTCATTTCTGTACATTGCAATGTTTTTGCCACTCATGTCTTCATCAGGCTTGACATCTCTTCTTTCTAAAATGGCGCTTGGGCTTGGAGAGATGGGTCTGGAGACTGGCAGGCTGGAGATTCTGTCCCTGGGGATGGTGGCATTGCCAGGAACAACCATGGAGCGGGTGCCCCCATAAGGAATTCTGGACGGGGAGGGGGGCATGGAATGGGGCACTGGAGTAGACGGTGGGGAATTTGGAATCGCATGGGGTGGATGAGCAGTAGATCCGGGGCGAGGGGCCCCAGGGCCATCTCCTCTTGCATAAACAAGTTCTCTCTGCATCTGAAAAGAAAACAAGGGATCAGAAAGTTGACTTTGATATTCGTGTTTCAAGAGAAGTCTCAGTGTGTAACCGTGTGACTTCCCCTGCAAGATGTATACACCCTCATCCTGGAATCTGTGAATATGTTTCCTTACATGGCAAAAGAGACTTTGCAGATGGGGTGAAGTTGAGGATGGTGAGATGGGAGATCTTTATCCTGGTGAACTCAAGGCAATCACAAGGGTCTTTATATGCGGAGGAAGGAGGCAGGGAAATCAGCTCCAGGGGAGATCTATGCTGATGGAAGTAGGGTTAGAAGAGTTTGGAAGGTGCTATGAGAAGGGGCCATGAGCCAAGGAATGTGGGCAGCTGCTAGAAGCTGGAAAAGGTGAGGAAATGGATCCCACTCTGGAGCCTCCAGAGGGAGGATGACCCTGCCGACACATTGATATTGATGTGCAAAATCCATTAAGGACTTCTGATCTCCATAAAAGTAAAATGATACACCTATGGTGTTTAAAAAAATCATGACGTTTTAAGCCACTAAATTTATGGTAATTTGTTACAGCAACCACAAGAAATGAATACACCTGATGGAGAGTGCAATTTTGTGGGATTTCAGGAAAAAATAGTGTGGTGGCTTAAATTTTAATGTCACAGCTTCTTAGAGATGCTGCTTAATAAATGCAGGTCTAGTGTATCAATAGTGCTCACGCTGAGTCTTCTAAAACTTGTCCTGAGCACGTTTTTCTACTGTTAGCCCTGGGAAATAGTAACCATGTTTCCCATCTTTCAAAGTGGATACAATCTAGGGAGATGAGCAGGGGGAAAGGAGATGCATGGGGGAAAACCTGGAAGGGAAGTTTCATTCATTCACCAACTCTTCATTTGAGCCTATGAGAAATCAGCATGGAGAGGCTGGAAGGAAATAATTAAGCAATAAGAGTACAATGGCAGTGGACCCTTGAAGAACACAGCTTTGAACTGTGCAGGTTGACTGATACACAGATATCCTCCCTCCCCTGCCACTCCTGAGAGAGCAAGGCCAAGCCCTTCTCTTCCTCCTTCTCACCTATTCAACATGAAGTTGACGAGGATGAAGACCTTTATGATGATCCACTTCCACTTAATAGAAAGGAAACACATTTTTTTCTTCCTTATGGTTTACTTAAGAACATTTGCTTTTCTCTAGCTTACTTGATTATGTGAATACAGTATATAATATATATAACATTCAAGCTATGCGTTAATCGACCATTCAAGTCATCTGTAAGTGTTCTGGTCAACAGTAGGCTGTGAGTAGTTAAGTTTGCGGGGAGGTAAAAGTTCTACACAGATTTTTTTTTTTTTTTTTTTTTTTTGAGATGGAGTCTTGCTCTGTCTCCCAGGCTGGAGTGCAGTGGCGCAATCTCAGCTCAGTCACTGCAATCTCCACCTCCTGGGTTCAAGTGATTCTCCTACCTCAGCCTCCCAAATAGCTGGGATTACAGGCATGTGCCACCACACCCAGCTAATTTTTGCATTTTTAGTAGAGACGGGGTTTCTCCATGTTGGCCCGGCTAGTCTTGAACTCCTGACCTCAGGTGATCTGCCTGCCTCGGCCTCCCACAGTGCTGGGATTATAGGCATGAGCCACTGCACCTGGCCTCTACACTGATTTTTTTTTTTACTGTGTGTGGGGGACTTAGCATCCCTAACTCCCACCTTGTTCAATGGTCAACTGTAATTTGCAACTATGTTACTGTGTTTAGCAAGGGAGTAGAATAAAAAAAAAAATAACTCAGGATATGATGATTTCATATATTTTTGCTTTGGTCAAGGTGCAGTGGGGAAATGACCACTGAGATTCTCCAAATAACTGAGGGAAGGAGAGACAGGCTCCATCCATTCTTCAAGTTCTATTGGTGAGGTCACAGGAGCCCACAGTCCCTATCCTGACTTCCAGGAGATGTGACAGAGAAGAAGGGTATAAATGGTTGGAGGGTGGATGAGGGAGGGACCCGAGGAAAGAGGTGGGGGCTTGAATGGCAAGAACCAAGATGAGCAGCCAAGAGACCCCATGATGTGGATGATGTGGAAGACAGTAGGGATAGTAGAGGCACCAGGAGAAGGTTGAAAATGAAACAGAGCCTAATGCACAGGATACAAACTAACTGCTTCTTTATCACAAAAATTCACTGCATGTAGTAAAGAGTATTTACCAAGCACTTGGTAAGTGCCTGGGGTTATTCTAGGATACAGTTCTAAAGAAGCCCCCAAGTTCCATGGAAACTCCCAAGCGCCATGGAGAGGGCACCTTCTTTCTTAAACTTCGTAGATAAGAATGCAGGAACAACCAGTGGGACTCCCATGGCTTCCTTATCTTGCTCCTGGAAGGATCCAGCGGTGTAGAATCCCTGCCCTGCAAGTTTTACATAGACAAGTGGATTTCATAATGAAAGTGACCAATGAGAAGTGCAAATAAGGTGCTAATATGTAGCAACAAAAGGGAGCCCTTTTTGAATACATGACCTGGGCACCACGGAATTGGCCTCTTGGCTCCTATAGGGGCTATTTCTGGGCCCCCTGGAGTATGCAGGCTCCTCCCTCACAATTACAATTTTATCTCCACTTCCTCTCTACTCCCCTCCCAAAACACACACAGAGCTCCCATTATGATAGGCTAATCTGTTCTCCCTTCTCTAAACCTAACTTGTGATATCCTGATGCTGTCCTCACTCCAGGGTCTCTCTCCCCATGTGCTAGTTCTTGGGGATCCATATGAAGGTTCGAGGTCAGGCTCCAGGTGCGTCTGCTCTGCATGGCCCCTGCCCTGATGCTCCAGCCCATGAGGACCTCCCTGCTCATTGGACACCCTCATGACTCAGGTGCTCAGTGCTTTAGACCAGAAGGAACAGTCCCAAGGTCATTGCATGATAATACACCTGACTGATGCTCATTCCAGGGAGGCTGGGCAACCGCGTGACACAGGTTTTGCAGGAGAGCGACACGGATCCTCTATAAATACCTCTCTCACTCTGCCTTCACAATTCAGGGCTCAATAAAAAGCAAAGTATGGCTCAGCAGGAAGCAGCACAGGGCTTCACAGGTCATAAAATACAGGAGGGACTGGCTCAGCGAGCAGCGGATATGTGGGCAAATTCTCCACATAATCAGATTACACAATGCAATAACCAACCAAAACAAACATCGAGATAAATTCATCACATCGACTCAAATATGCCACTGTTTATAAAGCATTACACAGTGTCCAAGGCAAATCACATACAACAAATGGTAGGTACTGTTGTCATTATTGTTATTAATTCCAGAAAAATATTTAAAATATGTAGAACTGCCTGGGCACAGTGGCTCAGGCCTGTAATCCCAGCACTTTGGGAGGCCGAGGCAGGCGGATCACTTGAGGTCAGGAGTTCGAGACCAGCCTGGCCAACGTGGCAAAACCCCCTCTCTACTAATAATACAAAAATTAGCTGGGCATGGTGGCATGCACCTGTAGTCCTAGCTACTCGGGAGGCTGAGGCAGGAGAATTGCTTGAACCCGGGAGGTGGAGGTTGCAGTGAGCCGAGATAATACCACTGCACTCCAGCCTGGGTGACAAAGTGAGACTCTGTCTCAATCAATCAATCAATCAATATAATATCTAGAACCCTCTTGGTATGAACAACAGTCCTAACTAGGTCAGTCACTATTCCCTGTTCTCTTTTCCTTCCTTAGCCACCTTCAGAGTACATCTTTATCTGGGGGACTACGATCCCAATTAACCAGCAGAAGCTTTCCTCTTTTTGGCAGGAGTGTAAAAAGGGACATTAAGATTCTAGGGTCTCGGTGCAGTGGTTCACGCCTATAATCCCAACATTTTGGGAGGCTGAGGTGGGCGGATCACTTGAGGCCAGGAGTTTGAGACCAGCTTGGGCAACATGGCAAAACCCTGTCTCTATAAAAAAATACAAAAATTAGCCAGGCGCAGTGCATGCGCCTGTAATCCAGCTACTCAGGAGGCTGAGGCACACGAATTGCTTGAGCCTGGGAGGCGGAGGTTGCAGTGAGCCAAGAATACACCACAGTACTCCAACCTGGGCGACACAGCAAGACTCTCTGTCTCCAATAAAATAAAGTAAAATAAAATAAAATAAAATATTCTAGAGAGTATAGAACTGTCCAGAAGGATAAATAATATTAGTAAAAAGAAAATGTAAAATTTATTTAAATTCATAAAAAGTTGAGTACATTTCTTTGAAAACAGCAAAGGTATTTACATAGGTATTTTAAAAACATGCTTGGTGACATGCAAAAAATGGTTAGGAGATATATAAATAACCTTTAAAATGAAACATTTAAAGATCTAACTAGAATATCTCAATAGATTTACTAGTGGTATGTATAGATGAGATTAGAAAGAAATATAACAATTAACTAAAAGTAATTCTGATACATTGTATTGGGCATTCATGTGGGAAACACCAGTGATAGTCGAAATATTTTACAGCTAATATCCAGTATGGCATGGACACCAACCAACCAGAATGGGACCTCAGCCAATGAGGACGGCTGCTTGCCATGAACAGTCAGCAGCCCGGATCTGGAGCTAATCCTGTGTGTCTTCCCTGCCCTGTCCACTTCAAAATAATCTTGCCATCATCCAAAAGGGTCACCGAAAGAGTCACCATCAATCTGAGTTATCCACAGTGGCGCTGAATACAAACATTCGGTTGTGACAGAATTGGTAATCTGAGGTTGAATGTCTCTATCAACACAGGTGACTTAGATGTTGGAAGTCTTGGCAGAATTCTTATGTTGGTTTGCCAAGCTGTGACTGACTTTCTAAGACGGAGTTTTAAAAAGAACCAGGATCATGTATTTCATCCTTGGCTCTAAACAGAGCCCAAGAAGAAAAATGACACAATGATCCCAATATAGAGTGGGAAACATTTGTTTTAAAACCACAACTAGAATGAACCCTTACGATCAGACAACTTGGGAATCCTACCATAAAAGACAGGGACCAACCTAAGGCAACTCGCTCTTAGGATGTGGGGGAAGGTAAGGGGACATCACTGGAGGGATGTTTTCAAGTCTTCAATGTGATTTCCAAGGTCACACTTGCAATAAAAAGTAGAATTTAGAGACTCCAGAATCTGATAGATGGAAGCAGCATGATGGTTAAGATTGTATAATTCACAGTTTAAAACAAACCCAGCCTTTGCTGCGGGTATTCTTACTAAGGAGAGATCTTCCTAGAATCTGTCACCAACACAGATTTATTTTGTTTTGGTTTTTAACTGTTATTTGGCTAATGAGTAAAGACATGGCATTAAATACATACTGGGTTTTTCCTGCGCTGGTACTCAAAGTCAGACCTTGTGGGAGAAAATTATACTAAACTTACAAAGAAAATAAATAAGCAACACACACACACACACACACACACATACACACACACATACACATACACACATACGAGTTGCCATTCACATTAATATATCCCAGTCCCTTATTCTGCCACTGATCTCTCTGATGCTACTAATCTTATCATCTCTTTTCCCTTAGTGAGTTTAAGTAACTAGCTATGTTGTACCATTGACACTTTTTCCCCACAGAATTTCAACACTAATGTCATAATGTAAGCTTTAAACAATTTCATTTTACAGCAAGAAAGAGATGACCGACACAGAAAAATAAAGATTCTTCTAACCCCTTATCTGAATACAACACAGATAACTATTTGCCTGCACCTAAGCCCAGACACAGAAAATGTTCATTCAACTGCACTAGATATAATGGCAATGTATGAACAAGACTGTTCTACCTCATTCATCTGCTTGGCTAGGCACTGTCTTTTCTTCTTTCCATTACTGCCCAAACCTCTATTGTCTCTTCATTATTTGAGTTCTTCCAGTTCTTAGAAAGAGGGTAGTTTCTTCAAGAGCCTCATCATAATAGCAGGCTGACAGGCAGGTGTCCCTGCCCACAGACTGCACACGGATCAAAATGCTGTTTACACCATACTTCTGAAACACCAGAAAATATCTGGGGCCATTTCAAATTAAGATCTGAAGTCTGAGTTAGAAATTCTTACATGTAGCTATATATTATTTCCCAAAAGAACCATAAGTCAAATCGAATATCACTCATTCAGAAGTTTCTTGAACGTAAGATAAGAAACAACATATTAAAATTGTTTCCAGAAAAAAAAAACCTAGTATAAAAAATATTTGTTTAAAATCATCTTGGGAAACTGCCTCATGTAATCATGTCTGTGGAGCATTTATATATATATATATTGCTTGTGGAAAAGGAATATTATGTACAGTTTGTTGTATTTCAAACCCCACCCTTCCAAGTCTAGAATTTGTAAACATACCACTCAATCAGACCACACAATGAAGTAAGCAGAGAAAACTGAAATGGAATCTTAAGACACTCTTTCACCCTCAAAGAATTAAAGCCACTTACTTTTTCTTAAGGAAATCACCTGTGTAACTAACGCCGTGAGTAAGCACATTCGCTCAGGTCCTGATTACATGATTCCTTTGTTTGCTGGCTTCATCTAAATCCTTGGTTGCACACTTGAATATTTTAGACAGCTTCCTCTTCAGAAACAAAATCATCACAAAAGACACAAAGATCCTAAAATGTTTCTCAGCTCGAGTGTTCACAACCAATAAAGACCATTTCGTATTACCCAGTTTTCGGAGAGAAGCTGACACTGGCATGGATAAAAAGTAACCTTCCCCGTGATAAGTCAATTTCTCCTCCCCTTGGAAATTAGTCACTGAATAACCTCAGCCCACATCCAACCACAGGCTACCTCACGGGTGACTCAGTCCTTCAACAACTGCTTACAGGGAAAACACCAATGAAGGAACTTTAAACGGCCTAGGTAAATGGGTTAACAGCAAAGGAAATATTACAAAATATATTTCGCTGAAGGCAAACAGGATCATTAGAAAGGGCAAACAACCAGCCACCGAGAAATGAAACTGTCAAAAAACCCAACATACTCAATCCAGAGGAGCCAACTTTCAGATCAGTTTTCTGTTGACTTAAAGGTGCTACTGCAAAAACCTAGACCAGCACCCAATACCCACTTTGCTGCCAGACTTTTGAAGTCTGGGAATTGGCAGCTGAAGGAAACGTAAGCCTCTTCTCCTGGTTTAACACCAGAGGGAAAACATGAGGGAGATAAGGAGGCTGTCTATTAATTAACCAGCCCTGTTTTACCACGCTGAACTTTGGGTAGCAGCCATTAATCAGTCCTACATAGCGCCGGGCAAGGAACTGCAATCACCCTGGAAAATACATCTGAAACGAGAAGGAAAGATAGAGAGGGCAAACCAGGGCTGTGCAGAGGGGATTCTGGAAAGGAAACCAGAGCCCTTCTGCCCCACCCTAAACAAGATGAAGGACGAGAAGGTAGGCGATCCCCAGAGACCTCTGGCTACAACCGCTGTCAGCACAGCTGGTATCTTCCAGGGGAACAGGTACAAGAAGGTGCGTGTCCACAACACGAAGTGACTTGTGCAGCTCTCAGCGGAGGACTGGCATTAATGCATTGCTAGCAAAAGGTGGGGGAGAAAGGAAGCATCTCCTGCGCTCCCAGGCAGGCTCTGATTACCATCATGTTTTCTGAGCCCTTGGGGACTGGGTGGAACCGAAAGCTATCCAAGTGGGAATACGGTGACAAGGAACTCCACTCACTGGGCTGGAAGCCCCACTGGCTTCACGCCACACCCAACTACCACGCTCTGGGCAGCCTGTGCATTTTTAAAACATTTTAAGGCTTTTAGAGGTTGTTCTTGCTGACCAAAAGAATTCCATGACGTCTTTCAAGTTCAAATCCAGTCCTTTGCAGGCTTTCTAAAAAAACTGTTTACTGCCATCAAATCACTTTGTGGTTATTAAAGAAGGGGGCAAATGGAGCACGTGACATTGCCACCCTCCTAAGATGTCTCACTAGGAAAAATATTTGGATGAAGTGGTTGTAACAGATGCCACCTAAGAGGTCGGAAAACAGTAGAAGGAATGTGGAAGCTCTTGACTTTTAATCTAATCAGCAAGGGTTTGTTATTTCTCACCAGAGTATGGGAGGCACACACTATCAGCTTCTGATGAATCTGGTATACATTAGGCAGGTTTTGTTTTGTGTCTTCAGTCAAGCACGTACTTTCCAGGAAGGGGGATGGAGGAGTGGTCCCCCTTGTCTGATTAGGCCACGATGCCGCCCCTATCACATCCTCCAAAGACCCTGTCTTATGGCGTGAGGTGTGCTAACAGACATGGCTCTTATAATTCTTCTTTACCTGCTTATTATGGGCAGGGTTGCTTGTCCCAGTGACTGTATGTGAAGGGTCTGGGGCCAGGCTGTCCCCCAGGAAACAAACAGTGAACTCTCTGTCTCTCTGCTGCTTGGCTAAGCAAGTCATGCCATGTTCGACATGTTATCCCATATCTGCTATGGGCTAGGTGCTATGTGGCTCACGCCTGTAATCCTAGCACTTTGGGATGTGGAAGCAGGAGGATCCCCTGAGCCCAGGAGTTTGAGACCAGCTTGGGCAACATAGGGAGGCCCAGCCTATACAAAAAGTAAAAACTTAGCTGGGCATGCTGGTGCATGCCTGTGTTCCCAGCTACTTGGGAGGCTGAGGTGGGAGGATCACTTGAGCCTGAGAGGTTGAGAGGCTACAGTGAGCCAAGATCACACCATTGCGCTCCAGCCTGGGTGACAGAGTGAGACCCTGGCTCCAAAAAAAAGCAACAAAGGGTAAAACCACAAGAAACCATGTCCATTACGCTAGAGAGAGGTGGCTTCTGTTGACCCTGTTACAATGAGAGTCGGTCGGTTCAATGCGAGAAGAAGTCTAGTTTACCTCTCCCTTCTCTTCCTTCCTGCCAGGTTCACAGCAATTTCCTTTCACTTTCAAAATGCTCCAGGGCACTGTCTGTAGCATGCATGCATGGATTCGTCATTACAAGAGCAGTAATTCACTGTCAGGAGTTTGAAAGCCAGCCCAATCCTGCGGTGAATCAGGATGAGTTAAATGCTCTTTAGCAAGCGCCAAGCTCACCCAAGAGAGGTGGAGTTCAATCTCCAAAGGCCCCAGAGTACCTGCTAATGAACCAGACAAGCCAATTTCCTAAACAATATCCTGGTGCCATCTAGGACCCAGTGGCTTTATCTCAGTGGAAGGCACATTCTCCAGAGAAGGGCTCTTTCAGGCTAACTCACCATAAAGTTTGGTTCAGTATGAGTGTGTGCAACCACTAACACCCCCACGCTTTGGTTTGATTACATCACCAGATCCTTCTCTGCCTTCTCTACCTTGGGACATTACAGCCATTACTACGTTCCTCTTCCCAGCAGTGTATAAAGTGTCCCACTCTTCATTTTCCCTCTTCCTTTCATTGACTAGGCCTAAAAGCAAAGTGGAAGCAATGTATTCTTTCTGAGTCAGTGTTAAGAATGGACGTGCTAGGAAATATTCAGGATTACCTCAACAGGAAGTAATTTTTATGCTCTGGCAAGGCCAATAGTATTGTGACACATATTCATTCCTATTTTCCCTTTCATATTCATTTCTTCATTGGCTTTAAAAAAATTACATTTGCTCAAAGAAAATCTGAACTGTGCCTATAGATATGAAGATGATATTAGGAAGGGAAGGGATTATTACGTTGAAAAAATTTCAAATTCATCTTGTTTGCATTGGTAAAATTGGGAAGATTGCCATTTGTAAGGTTTTAGTTAGCCTATTGTTTCATTTGATTGTAAACGGAATGTCTCCCAGACATGAGACAGACAGACAGACAGACTGCTGCCAAAATTATTTAATTCCCAGGAAAGAGATGGTCCAGTCAGCGGTTAGCTTATGGCTATATTTAAGATGAGCGTTATTTCTATAAATCTTTTGACAGAGGAACTCTACTGAGCCCTCCAGTGGCCAGACCTGGCTGACCAGTCCTGGGTCCAACAGTGATTAAAGATCTCAATCTGGAGCAGAATAGAGAAGTAATGTTAAATAAATCATTTCGCTTCCAAGCCACAATCAATAATTGTGCAGTGCTGTAGGATGGATAAAAGAAAAATGTCCTTCTCACTGACACTCAATCTTCTGCTGGGCTACTCCCATGTTCCCCAGGCCAAGGACAACCTCCTTTTGTACCAAAAATAGTTACAGTTTGTAAAATGATATCTTTTTTATGCCACTTGCAACAGATGGTACAAATAATTCCTTCTCTTATCTCCATCTCTGCACATCCACCCATTTCCTGGACGAACCTTGTTCTTTTATGCACAGCTCCCTTTTAATGTTTTCTAGATTGGATGCTAGTAAGTTATCTGCGGCACCCAACTACAACTTTTTAGCGCCTTAGACTTTATTTTTCTCTTTATGACAGTTCTTGAAACTACTATGTAACTTGTCAACCACATGTTGCCATATAGGATATACTGCTTTATTTGCTTGTGACACTTCATATTCTAACAAGAGATTTTAAATCCCCGTGCTCACCATACCCCACCCACAAACACTCCAATAATCACATAGCAGTTTGCAGTTTACAAAGGGCTCTCAATTGTGACATTTCATGGGCTCCAGAACTCAGTGAAAGACATAGAACAGGTGTCTTATGTCTTTTTGAATAGTTGGGAAACAGAAGTGCAGGGAGTTAAGAACCTCACCCAGCTTCCCATAGCTGCTAAGCAGTGAGGCAGCAAGAACCCCAGCTTCCTCGGTTGTTTGCGTGTGACCTGCTGTGCACTTCAGGACACTGCAAGCTATTCTGCAAAGAACGATGTTCCTCATGCCTGCCCACGCGTGATCACTGATGGATTCCTTATTCGATTTCTGGCCATGGTGTGAAACATGAACAAGTCTGTTGAGAAGTACCTCACTCCATTCACAGGTCCAGATTTTCACAGCAAAGGAAAAGAATCACTGGGGCATCTCACTGGGCTTCGGCTCGAATGATTTAGAGCCTCTCTTGACTTACAATTAGGTTTTATCTACTTGCCTCAAAATGAGTAAGTTATATAATTAGTTATATATTAGTTATATTTAATAGATATATCAGTATATATGCTTATATATATTATACTTATATATACCTATCGATATTATACATCACTCAGTACTATATGGATATCACCATATCACAAGTTATACATATGTATACATATACATATATGTACACACAGAAGCATGCACAAAGTCATCATCAGTCACAGGCACCGGATTACTTATGAAATAAAATATCTGAGCCTTAGCTGATTAAAATCCCTTACCATTACAACCCTAATTCCATTATGGGGTGACATTCTCAGGACCATGCCCCTCAGAGATGCATGCACCACCCACAGAGGCACAGGGTCTCCATCGCTGCACTCTATGCTCTTCTTTCTTTTCACTGGAGAAACTGACCAAATTGATTATATCGTGAACAAAAATAGCTAGGTAGAGCATTATATAACTTTAGGATGATTACAACAACGTGAGAATTAAAATGTATATATGTATTTTAGTTTGATGATATAACATACCTAAATTTACACAATGAGGTGATGTTGATCTGTGTAGAATTTTATGCTATACAGCCGGGTGCAGTAGCTCACACCTGTAATCCCAGCACTGTGGGAGGCCAAGGTGGGCGGATCACCTGAGGCCAGGAGTTTGAGACCAGCCTGGACAACATGGTGAAACCCCATCTCTACTAAAAGTACAAAAAACTAGCCAGTCATGGTAGCACACACCTGTAATCCCAGCTACTTGGGAGGCTGAGGCAGGAGAATTGCTGGAACCTGGGAGATGGAGGCTGCAGTGAGCCAAGATTATGCAGCTGTACTCCAGCCTGGGCAACAGAGCAAGACTCTGTCTCCCCACCACCAAAACAAAACAAAACAAAACAAAAACAAAAACAAAAAAAGAATGTTATGCTCTACAATTGCAGTTTAAAGGACAGATATGAAAACAGCTAGATGGAGTGTTATATAACTTTAGGATGATTACAGCATGAAAATTAAAATGTATATATATTTTAGTTTGATGATATGATATACCTAAACTGAAACAATGAATTGATGTTGATCTATGTAGAATTTCACACTATACAATTGCAGTGTAAAGGATAGATGGTTTTCAGAGCCCGTGAGAGAAAATGGTGGTAAACACATTGGGGAATGGCAGATGTCAACTTGGAAACCATATGGCCATTTATTCGTGGTCTGTCAATGTCTTCTCACAATGGAGCTACTCAAATCCCAGGATGTCTGTTTCTGTAATAACTCCTTTCTCACAGCCTCATGTGGTCTCAGCTTCTTACTACCAATTGCTCCCTAGTAGGTTTAACCCCTTCAGGCCTGTCTCATGTCTACCTTCACTGTTCCTCCTTCTTTGATTATAGCTTTTCTGAAACCAACTCTGTGGACCTGGGTTACCGTCTTAGCCCGTCTACAGGAAACACATTCCATTGCCTGCATTCTGCTGTGTTCATATTGATCTCAGTAGGATATGTGTAGGTTCTATTACCAAGCAAAAGAAAAAACATACAGCATAAAGTGAGCTGTGTCTGTGGAGCAAATTTTAAAGGGTATGTTATGGATGACTTCTGATGAAAGGTGTTTTAGTTGTGCCATTATTTTGATCCTCAGCCAAACAACATCAGCCCATGTGTCAAGAGAAGAAAGGATTGTCTGAGGGAATAGTCCCAGAGGGTAACACCGAAAGACAGTAATTCACAGATCTGCCAGGTTCAATTTTTCCTCAAAATAAACATGAAAAAAACAATGATGGGGACCTAGATTAAAAAAGCCCTCATGCCCATTCTTCCTGGGTTCAGAAGAGCCGCCTGCTCCACTGTGAATGATCTTCACTGTGAACTTTTATTCAAAAATAAAAGAAGTTCCATGGGTATCCTAAGTATACGGAGTGTGTGAGCTGGGGAAATTCTCACGTGTAAGGCTAGGAATTGATGCCATTTGTTATACAATTTTATAGGCTTATGAATGAAAATTTTGTACTTTCCCAGTTTTCATTAGTTATGAAAAAATGTAAGAGGTTCCAGGTTTATAAATTAAATGAGTATAGCTTTGAAAACCCATCTGCTTTCCTTGGGTTTAGTTGAAGTCTGTGGCAGAGAACATGAGAACACCTGCTAGTTTTGGGGCCAGGCCAGTGGCTCTGAAAGCCCCCAGGTATGTTTCTCCGCAGTCGGCACAGCAGGGTGATGGGGGAAGAACACCAAATGGGGAGTCCCGGAACTAGCATTTTGGTCCAGGTGTTAACATTGTTTTCTTTCTTTTCACTTTTTTTAGTTTTAAAGAGACAGGGTCTCATTCTGTTGCTCAGGTTGTAGTGCAGTGGTGTGATCATAGCTCACTGAAGCCTTGAATTCCTTGGTTCAAGTGATCCTCCCACCTCAGCCTCCTGAATAGGTAGGATTATAGGTGCACACTACCATCCCCAGCTAATTAAAAAACATTTTTTTTTTTTGTAGAGCTAAGAGCTCACTACATTGCCCAGGCTGGCCTCAAACTCCTTGCCTCAAGAAATCTTCCTGCCTAGGCCTCCCAGAGTGCTAGGATTACAAGCGTCAACCATCACGCCTGGTCAACATCCCTTTCTTTATCTGTAAATAAGAAATCTCATGTAGACTTTCTCTAAGGCCCATTCCAATGATGAGATTCTGTGGGTCCATATATTTACAGAGTAGCTACCTATATACAAAGCCCAGGGTTAAGGCTGATGAGGGAAAAGGGATCTGTAAGACATGATTTCTACCTCTGAAGAACTTACATTCTAGTAGGAAAAATAAGGCATGTACGTGAACATTAAAATATGAGAAAGCAAGAATAACTTTGCTAAGTGTCAAATGAGTGCAACAGACAAATACTCTGGTAGTTCATAGAATAATGAGGTTCTTATGGTGGGGATGACTGAGGAACACTTTTCTGAAGAGGTGAGAGTGGGTTCATGAATGATGAATAGAATTTCAGCAGGTAAGAAAGAGGTCCCTTTCTTAGGTATTCCAGGCAGGAACTAAGGCATGGTCAAGGACAAGGGATAGGAAAGTCCAGGTGCCCTGGGGGAATGGCTAGACTACCGACCCAACCAGTGAGTTACTCTCGGACAGTGGTTCTCCAACTCTCAGATGGTGGGCTTCAGAATCACCTGGAGAGTTTAGTAAATCAGATTACTGGGTCTAACATCCACTGTGTCTGATTCAGTAGGTCTCGGGTGGTGCCGAGGAATCTGTATTTCTAACAAGTCCCCAGGTGATACTGACCTGCTGGTTCAGGGAATACTCTTTGAGAACCACTGCTTTAGTGAGTAGAGGGACATAGTAATGCAGGGTCACTGAACGTTCACATCACAATCTCCATTCTACTGTGAGCTTGGTTAAATCCTTTGGACAGCAATCATAATTATCTAGAATTTCTCTATTATAAATATTGTCAATTAAATCTGCCAAGAGAAGATGGAAATAGGGAAGAAAATGAATATTTTGGGTGACTTCCTATTTACCAATGCTTTCCAAAATTACCTCATTTAATTCTCATCTCATTCCCATTAGATACATTATAATTCCCATTTCACAGATGAACAAACTGGGGCTCAGAGACTTCAAATATCTTACCTGAAGTCAGATAACAGGGCCAGGATCTATGAAGTGCTAGAATAATCTTGCATTCTAGTGTTAAGAAATCAGTGTGGAGGTCTGACCTTTGAATCCTCTTCAAAGGAGGGCAGTGGTTCAAGAACCTCTGAAAATGAGTACTATTTCTGTCCCAGATCAGGTCCATCTGTATTGAGTGTTGCCAGAGTCACAAGAGAAGGGTCAAATAGACCAAGCCATGTTCATGTTATCTACAAATGTGGGGAGCAAAAAAAATCTTCTTCCAAGTAATGACTCTAGGGTACTCACGAGCCCCACAAGACTGCTCCATTTCAAAGGAATACCTTCGTGTTTTCAGTTCAAATAGCAAGTCAGTCAGCCAGCCAGGGAGCATGGCTTGGAAATCTGAGATGGTCAGCAAAACTACTGCTTCTCCTTATTTGGATAAATAACAGCCTCAAAGACAACCAGTTTGGGAGCTGTACATGCCCTGAGGCCGGGCTTGGCAGGCATCTCTGCCCACGCCCTGCCATGCCTTTTGCTGCACCAACAGCTGAAGGAGTTTAGCCAAATATTGACCAATCCCTTCTTCCCCACCAGGCTCTGACACCGACAGAAGCCTCCTCTTCAGAGACACAATCTGCTTCCCTGTGTCCCAACAACAAACTGCCAGGTGGGCCTTTGAGTATCCCTATGTTTAAGTCAAGCCCTGTACTCCTGACACTGAGTAGCTCATGAGAAAGAACAGAAGCAAGTCAATAAGTCATGCTCCATATGACGAAATGCCTACCGAGAGTAAGGAGCTACACACTGTCTAGTTGCTCTTCTTACCCGTTGCCTCCAGGAAGGAAAGACTTCCTTCCCACACAGGATGTAAGGCAAGTGAAGAAAATGCTTTGTAATCTATGGAGCACTTTTCAAAGTTCATGATTAGGGCTGAGCACAGTGGCTCTCACACCTATAAACCTAGCACTTTGGGAGGCCAAGGCGGGAGGATGGCTAGAAGCCAGGAGTTTGAGACCAGCCTGGGCAACATAGCAAGGCCCTGTCTCTGCAAAATTAAAATTTAAAAAATTAGCCAGGCATGGTGGTGCATGCCTGTACCCTGGCTACTTGAAGGCCGAGGTGAAGGATGGCTTGAGCCCAGGAGTTCAAGGCTGCAGTGAGCTATGATTATACCACTGCACTCCAGCTATGATTATACCACTGCACTCCAGCCTGGGTGACAGAATACGATCCTGTTCCCCCCAAACCCCGCCACCCACACACACATACACACACACACACACACAAAACAAAAAACAAACAAAAAGTTCTTGATTAGCACCAAGAGCTTTCAAGTCACTTCAAAAAGAATCAAGCTGCAGGCTGAACCAAAGGTAGCTTATCTTCCCTCAATGCCCAACCCAACCTCCCCAACTCTTTTTATCTTTGCATTATCTTTACTTTTCAGAAAAGCAACGTTAGAGCAACACTTCTCCCAGAGAGGACAGAAGATAAGTGACAATAAATAAAGGGGATTTCTTAAAATTAAGGCAGCAAGACACTGGTGCCATTTCGATGACGTTTCCTCCAACACACTGAAGTACACAAATTAGTTTCCAATTTTTTTTTTTAATTAAAAAGGGTTTAATTGGCCGGGCACAGTGGCTCACACCTGTAATCCCAGCACTTCGGGAGGCCCAGGCAGGTGGATCATTTGAGGTTAGGAATTCGAGAGCAGCCTGGCCAACGTGGTGAAACCTGACTCTACTAAAAACACAAAAATTAGCCGGGTTTGGTGGCAGGTGCCTGTAATCCCAGCTACTCGGGAGGCTGAGGCAGGAGAATCACTTGAACCTGGGAGGCGGAGGTTGCAGTGAGCTGAGATCACACCATTGCACTCCAGCCTGGGGGACAGAGCGAGACTCTGTCTCAAAAAAAAAAAAAAAGGTTTAATCCTCCTCATCAATCAGTACTCCTCCACACCATCATCTCAAGGAAGGCAGTGGGGTGTGGTGGATCGAGCACTGGATTATGACTCAAAGGGCTTGGTTTTTCCCTGCTGGGAATCTCTTCTTGGCTGTGGTCTCATAACTGTGACTGTAGTCCTGACACTGAACTCTGAGCCCCTGATTCAGCTGCTTACTTGCTTCAGTAAAACCTTCTTGCACTTTCTCTTCTGGTGCTGTGAATACCTAATGAGTTCCATCATTGTTGTGTCACTGAGCACGCATGATTATTAATATCATCAGCAAACATTCACGGGCCCACTCAGTGAGCTGTGAGGCAGAAGAAAATGAATAAAACGGAAAATACTCACTTGAATGTATTCACAGAAGGATGAAACGAATGACACATTCGTTTTGGAGATACAAGAACTGGCAAAAAATGAGGACTCTGGATGCAGCCAATGTAAGAACATCATACTGTATTATATTTCAAAGATATCATATTTGAGAAAATGGTCCAGGCTGGACATGGTGGCTCACGCCTGTAGTCCCAGCACTTTGGGAGGCCGAGGCTGGTGGATCACTTGAGCTCGGGAGTTTGCAACAAGCCTGGGCAACATGGTGAAACCCTACCTCTACAAAAAATAGAAAAATTAGCCTGGTGGGGTGGCATACGCCTTTAGTCCCAGCAACTTGGGGGACTAAGGTGGGAGGATCTCTTGAGCCCGGGAGGCGGAGGTTGCAGTGAACCACTGCACCACTGCACTCCAGCCTGGGCAACAGAGGGAGACTCGTGTCTCAGAAAAAAACAAAAAGTACTTTTCCTCATTCCTATTCCCAAATTAATTGATCATTCTGAACCCAGATCAGGCTATATGTAAAAGACTCCCAATTCATTTCGTAGTGTTACAACAACAAATAGACTCAAATTGCAATTATCTATAATCACTGTGAGATGGGTGATTACCCACATCTTGGCATTGGATCATTCTCTTTTCCTTCCCATCTTACCACCTGGGAGAACATCTCTTTTGTGAATGAAAAGAGCACCCGTGTCATTACTTGTCTGTGGCCAGAATGCAAGCTTTGGCTGCTGAAGAGGAAGCCGAACTAATTAGCTCAAGATATGTGTTTAGAGGCTCTCAGAATTTCAACTACATTATCCATTCTAGTCCTGTCCTACATTTATATCAAAAACAGGGAACTGGGTGCTTTAGCATGGTTCTTGATAGAAAAACATTTATCTTGTAATAATGCGCAAAATTAATTTTTGGCAGAGCAAAGATTGGGAATTTAATGCAAATGTAGAGATGTTTTGTTATTGCACATATCTGCCAAGACAGCTTTGCACATATACTCACTGTATCTATATTTAAAATATAAAATTATATTTGGGTAGTTTTTATATTAAGATACTCTATGTATATGAGTACATATCTGTCGATAAAAATTCTGTGCCAAAATTAAAAATATCAAAATTCCACATCTGACTCATTTTTTGTGCTCTAGTCTCAAAGTGATACTGAATAGAAACTTATTAGCATTTCAGTAAATTTCTTCAGATCATTGTTACGAATAATAAAAATACAGAAACATTTTAAAACAACATATTTCAGTCTTAAAATGGTCAGATTAACATAATTATAGCCCGAGGTTGCCAACAGTGCCACATTTCTCATTTTCATGAAAATGCAGAGGTTCTCTCAGATTGCAAGCTAATAGGCTCCTTGGTCTAAATATATACAGTAAAATCTGCAACAAATTTCTGAAGCATTAAGATCTGAACCCTGCAGATATCTGGTGAGCGAGTTGTGTTGCAGTGGAGCAGATTTTTTTTTTTTTCCTTGCAGTTACACAGCTGCTAGAAAACATATTTTTAGATTTGCTTTTAAAGGCAAGCAAAAACGGTTTCCACTTTGTGGATTTCCATCCATGATGTATCCGTCATGATCCCTCAGTCCCTACTGCAAGGGGTCAACCATCTACAACATGTTCTATTCCGTGCCCTCCTTCCTTGTAAGTGACTGCAAGGACTGGCACTAGATGCTCATTCTAGACGAAGCTATCAGACCCTGACCACCAGTCCTATGCTTTAGAGGTGCTGCATTTCATGAAAATCATGCATGGAAGTTTAAGCACCCTACAGATCAGGCCCCTGCTATTTCTGAATTGCCCCATCATTGGCATTGGTATGATTCCTTATTGTTGTTTGTGTTTTTCTTTGGTAACTCTTCCTACTCTATCAAGGGTGCGTGAAAAGGAACAGTTTCAAAGAGTGAAATCAGAACAAGGCAAAGCACGACCTTTGATGTCACAAGAAAAGAAGAAAAGGAAAGAAATCAAATACATGTGTCGATCAACTGAGTCAAACATATTTTCTGTTTCAGGAATATGGAGTGAGTTAGTGCTGCCTGCACAATGGAAAGAGGTCCTCTAGCTTAAATGAAAAGCTAGGTAGTCACACCTTTTATCTGGAGAGACCTTAAATAAATAAATCTGCTCAAAAAACTATTTAATGAGTAGTTTGTCTTTTCTGCCAAATAGTACGATGCTGATCGTCTTGAGAACTCTTAGAGAGGAATTAGAATTCATTTGGACATCAAAATGGTTTTTTTTCGTTTTTCTTTTTTTTTGCCAATTGTATGCTTTTAAATCAAGTTTTACCCTGTTCCTTCCTTGAACCCTCAATTTGGGCTTCATCTTAAAGCCTTGGTTTTTATACTTCATACATTAACAAGATACTATCACCACTTTGGCTATATCTTTGTATCAGCTGTCCTAGTACTCATTTAATAATTTTCTTTAAGTCAGTTTTAAATTGACTTTTTCTCTCCTTAGTCGTGACTAAGAATTATAGTTGTGACTTAAGGAGTTAATGAAAAGTAACTCTCAAGTTCTTTGTGCTACCAGTCTTTCCAACATTCATTCAAAACAACATCATATAATTATTACCATTTACAAACTGCTTTTCTAGTTGCCACCTAAAATCACTGGTTCCAAGCAATGAACAACTCTGAAAGTAATGTGAGGAGTCATACATTAACATTTCAAACAGCATAACTGCAGGAGCTATTTGCCACAGCAAAGAGGCTGTTTTTTAAAATAATGCCATAACACTGTACAATCTTGCTGAGCCAATATTGCTCTATTCAAAGTATCTCATAATTTGAAACAGCTGCTATTTTTCAGTTGACATGATGGCCTATTCTCCTTCCATAAAAAATACTGGATAATCTAAATCTGGTTAGTTTAAAATCCATTTATTTTTAGTCCAGGCTCATGCATTTCCAATTAATCAGCTCTGGCCTAACTACAGGATTTCTGGTTCTCTTTTAGTAAGATAATCCAGAAAAGAGAGTTGTCCTGCTTTCTAGAGGATTAGCGAAAGCTGGCTGGACTCAGGTACCACAAAAGATGGCTAAGAGAAGTCAAATAGATAGTCAAATAGATAGTGTTTTTCTAAATCAATCAAGAAGACAAACCTCATAAGATCCAGAGGGGTGAGAACAAAAGCAGAGAACAGGCTGAAATGGCACTGCATAGAGACAAGGGTCTGGTCTTGGGAACGGTGACTTGAGATCCAGCCCTATTTTTGTCACTTCTTTATTTTGTGATCTTGACCATCTCACTCCAACCACTCTGGAACTCCTGGGTCTCAGGTTACAGGGCAATGGGTTACAAAAGATGATGTCTAAGACCTTCTTTCTATTTCAAAAATCCTACGACTCCAAATAAGTCAGGCCTCTTTCTTTCTTTTTTTCATTTTTAATTTTTGTGCCAACAGAGTAGGTGTATATATTTATGGGTTACATGAGATATTTTGATACAGCATGCAATGTGTAATAATCGCATCAGGGTAAATGGGGTGTCTGTCACCTCAAGCATTTATCCTTTGTGTTACAACATTTCAGCTATACTCTTTTAGTTATTTTTAAAAGTACAATTAAATTATTTTTGACTATAGGCATTCTGTTGTGCTAGCAAATACTAGGTCTCATTCATTCTATTTTTTTTTTTTTTTTTTTTGAGACAGTCTTGCTTTGTCACTCAGGCTGGAGTGCAGTGGTGCGATCTCGGCTCACTGCAAGCTCAAACTCCCGGGTTCACCCCATTCTCCTGCCTCAGCCTCCCGAGTAGCTGGGACTACAGGCGCCCGCCACCACGCCCAGCTAATTTTTTTTTTTTTTTGTATTTTAAGTAGAGACGGGGTTTCACTGTGTTAGCCAGGATGGTCTTGATCTCCTGACCTCATGATCCGCCCGCCTCGGCCTCCCAAAGTGCTGGAAATACAGGCGTGAACCACCGTGCCCGGCCGTCTCATTCATTCCTGCTAAATGATTTTTCTGTACCATTAACCGTCTTTTAAAAAATTATTATTAGTTTCAGTGCTGTTTCTTGAGGGAGCACCGGTGGTGCAGGTCAGGTTTGTCTTCTCAATTACAAGTCTGCAGTAGCCAGCTCTAGTTCCTCAAAAGCGGACAGAGTATCTATGACTTCTGCAAACCACATGCAAGCAGAGATCACCTGCTCCACAAGAAAAACTAGGACAGAAGAAAATGTGTTACCAGTAGGCAAAATGTATCTTAAAAACACTTTTTTCTTTTTAAAAGATTAACGTGTTCTCTCCCTACCCCCAAATTTATATAAAAGTAACACATGCTCATTTGAGAAATGTTAGAAACAGCATCAAGAGAAAAATGGTCCCCTGGAAGCCCTCTATAGAGTAGGGTCTGGGACTCGGGGCGCCTAGGCTGATGTGGTAGACAACAGCCTAGTATGGTCTGGGATGCCTTGCTGGGCACCCACAAAGAACACAGAAAAGCAAGACCTCAGCAAGTGAACAACATGCAGGTACAAGGGATGCAACTTGAAAATGAAAGGACATATGTCCCCAGTCAAAAGCAATCTCCGCCAACACCTATACTTATAAGAGCAAAGAAAAGGGATGTGGTTTGGATATCAAAGGGCAGAGGGATGTGGCAAAAACCTCTCATGTGCACTCCAGCCAGCCACGGCTCAGAACTCTTCGGGAGCTAACCCTAGGACCTGTTGGGGAGAAGGAAGGTTCTGCTCCAATCAACTTTGAGTTGTGTTGGTTGTGTAGCCAATCCTGGATTTTATGCTGAACTGGGGCTGGAAGCCTTGATCCTGAAGCCTGTGTTGTGAGCAGCTGCATCCCCTGTTGATGCTGTTAGCAGTAATTACTTTGCATTACAAATCACCAGGATATTTTTGCTGCTGTGTTGATGTCTCAATCTTCAGGAGGAGGTGGGAAGAGCACTGTTGAAGGTGAAGTTCGGGCTCTCAGGCAGCTGAGCCAGCTGCCCTAACTTCAGAACCCTCCACCTTCAGCCTTAACATTCTTCCTGTCCCCCTCCTGAGAGCTCTGCCAGCAGCCTGAAGGGCAGTGGGCAGGCACAGTTAGCCAGTCTCCATTCAAAGATACTTTCTTGCTCCCAAATCAAGCTCACAAACAAGCTTCCTGCTCTGTCCTATGGAAACATTTTTTTATGAGCAACACGGCACATGAAGCAAAGAAGAGAGCAGGAAAGGTCTGTGTAGTAAAGAAGGAAGAGTCGTTTATCCAAAGTGCTTTTCTCTATCTCTACACTCTCTGATGTTCACTGTTTTCATTATGCTCTGAGTAAGTTGTAACCAGGTCCCTGGATAAACAACCAGTGTGATACTAGGTTTTGGATGCTACAGATCTAAAATAAAATAAAATTCCAGAAAAGTAAAAAATAGTTTATCCTGAAGCCACGTAAACATTATATATTATTATTATTTTCAAGATAAGTCATCTATATTTGATTACAGACCTGAAGCTCTCAGCTACTATTGAGGCTGTGCTGTCCAGGACTTAAAAACAAGGAAGACAGTCAGCCTGGATTTAAATCCCAGCTCTGTTACTTACAAGTGTGTGATCTTGATCTTGTTCCTCTCTGAGCCTTGGTTTTCCAAACTTAAAATGGGTGTAATAGTACCTATTCCATAGGGTTATCATGATGACTAAATAGAATAATAGATATTACGTAAACCACATTGGATAACAACTTCTCAGGTATATTAACTCATCTATAAACTGGGATAAAGATATCCACAGAAATATGAACAAGCAAATTCATGAACACATGTACTTTTGAAAGGAAACAGACTGATTTAAAAGGACATTGCTCTTATTAAATTCCTTTAAAGGAAATCAATGCAAAAATATTGTGAGTGAATTACTGCAAGAGTTGACAGAATAGTTATCTCAAGTAAACAAGATTTCTGTCAAAGACTTTTTCAGGCAATCACTAAACCTGCTATAAGAGATTTGTTATATCAAGCTTGTCATTTAAAACTGTAGAAGTTTTTAATGTGATTTCATACAGATTAAACTGCTATTTCTTTAAAATTTTTTCAAGACCAGGATAAAGGTTATTTTTATTTTTAAATTTAAAGTGATTTTCACAAGAACAAAACACCAAATAATTTTTCCCTGGAATGTTAAAGGACACATATGAATTTCCCTCCTTGCTTGTACCATGCCTTCAAATTATCGACTTTGCCTCAGACACTGAATGTATGTCAACAACTTCATGAAAACACTGAAAATTGTCACAGAGCACATAAATCAACAAGACCTGTAAAAGCAAACTGTGTTGGCACTTTAAATCCCATTCCAAATTATAAGGTTAGCCAGAAACTAGACCACAAGATTTATAGATTGAAGACCAGCCCAGTTTAATTTAAGTGGATTTCAAAAAAACAGAATAATGTCAATAACAAAGAGAGGTTTTCTTCTAGGCAGTGTGCAAGAAGTTAAAATAAAACCTAAAATTGCAATCGCCTATTGCATTGAACTTGAATACAGAAGACAAGTTAATGAAAGATAAACGTGCCAGAGCATGAAAAAAGATTCTAAAGATAATATCCTATCATAAAGGCACAGTTCTTACCTTACATTTTCCGTGAGCCTTTCTTTTCTAGAAGAAACTTTCTAGACTTGCAGAGACCTCGAAACCACCCCTCTCTCCAATGCTTTCAGCTTTGCCTGTCTTCATGGTGACTAAATGCAAGCCTTGGGTTTTTTACAGAAGGAAGCTTTTAGTCAAAATATGTGGTTTAAAGGAGCAGTATCCACTCTTGTTAAAACTATTTCACGGACATTCAGAGGTTTTGTTTCTACTCTATGAAAGTTAATTCTGAGTAGGAAGGCATTTTTCCTGTCCCGGAAATCAGCATAACTAAAACCAATGCTGAACTAACGAGAAATGTTTCTTCCATGTGTTCTGTCTGGCAGAAACTGCAAGCCATATCAAGGAAACACGTGATGTTTATAAATACAATATGGCTCATGTTGTCATAACCTCTCAATGACAAAAAATAAAAAAAAAAATAGTACAAGGAAAAGCAAGCAGCCACGCAGCAGGAAAGATGAGATTTGTATCACTTGGAAGTTGCATATCAGATGTGCATATATTACCTTTTCTTGCTTCTAAAAAATAAGACTTTATAACTGGAAGCAGAGAAGGAACAAGAAAATATCTCCCATGTTCTGGACAGCCACTGTATTCAAATGTGTTTGCCTAGCTAATCATTTCTGTAAGAGTCCTTCCTTATCAATCATAACAGAAACATCTTTTTGCCTCCCAGAAAAGCACAATATAAAAAAGATATCATTATGTATATCACTCATAAATGAGTTCCATAGTGTTAACTCCAGCAAATTATAGAACACAGGCAAGGATTTCATGAGCCTGAACTTATGTGAAAAATTATAGATGTCTGTATCATTATTGATTATTGAGTTAATTGATTATTGTCTGTATCATTATTGCTTTTTGCCAATATATCTTCAGGATCTTGCATGAGAGCTGAGACCAGAGGAAGGATCTGACTCACTATGGCTGATTGAGTGAATCAGTAAACGCTTACAGTAATGAAGTTAGGTTAACTGTTCAAAAATCATCACCCTTACGGTGTAAGTTTAGAGATATTTGAAATACTGACTATCGACTCAATCTAAAAGCAAGGGGCCAGGCACAGTGGCTCATGCCTGTAATCCCAGCACTTTGGAAGGCATGGAGGGAGGATCCCTGGAGCCTAGGAGTTCAAAGCCAGCCTGGGCAACATAGGGAGACTGTGTCTCTACAAAGAATTCAGAAAATTAGCCAAGTATTGTGGTGTGTGCCAGTAGTTCCAGCTAATCAGGAGGCTGGGGCAGAGGATCACTTGAGCCAGGGAGGCTGAGGCTGCAGTGAGCCATGATTGTGCCACTGCATTCCAAACTGGGTGACAGAGCAAGACCCTGCCTTCAAAATAAAATAAAAATAAAGCAAAATAAAAGCAAGATTTCTCCTAGTGAATTATAAACACAGCAAAATCAGATCTATCTTATTTAGATTTGTTGTCTAGGGATTTAGTTTACGTTCTACCACAGGTGAATTCAACTCCTGAAAACTCCAGCCCCCCCCACGCAAAAAAAGGTTAGATAACTGTGTATTTCTGATGAACACTTATTTTAATCTGACAAAGCAGATTTTTTCTTTATTGTTATTCTTAAACTTCAGGGTTATTAACTTCTTTTTTTTTGAGGTGGAGACTCACTCTGTCACCAGGCTGGAGTACAGTGGTGTGATCTTGGCTCACTGCAATCTCTGCCTCCGGGGTTCAAGTGATTCTCCTGCCTCAGCCTCCTGAGTAGCTGGGACTATAGGCACGCGCCACCACACCCAGCTAATTTTTGTATTTTTAGTAGAGATAGGGTTTCACCATCTTGGCCAGGATGGTCTTGATCTCTTGACCTCGTGATCTGCCCGCCTCAGCCTCCCAAAGTGCTGGGATTACAGGTGTGAGCCACCGCGCTCAGCCCAGGGTAATTAACTTCTATCAAATTATACTGATAGACTGAGGAAAGGCAGACATTCTTATTTCTCATTTGGGTCAGTGGCCAATAGCGGGATACATTAGGTAATGTGCTATAAGCCTCAAACACGTACCTTTACAAATCACTGTATCGCTCTTAGTAGATAAGGCACTAATTAACTGAAAGTTGGTGATAGAAAAGGGCTGAAGTAAGTATCTTTTTCTATCCAGGTATTTAATGAGAATCTACTCAGGGCAGGGCATTGTCCGAGAGAGCCACAGGGAGCGTGAAGATGAATGAAATGGAGACCCTGTCCCTGAGAAGCTTAGAGCTGAAAGACACTTAAGACGTGTGGACAGAAAACCAAACACCACATGTTCTCACTCATAGGTGGGAATTGAACAATGAGAACACTTGGACACAGGGTGGGGAACATCACACACCGGGGCCTGTTGTGGGGTGGGAGGAGTGGGGAGGCATAGCATTAGGAGATATACCTAATGTAATGACGAGTTAATGGGTGCAGCACACCAACATGGCACATGTATACATATATAACACATTGTGCACATGTACCCCAGAACTTAAAGTATAAAATAAATAGATAAATAAATAAATAAATATATAAATCATTCATTAAAAAAAGAATAAAATGGTGAAAGGAAAAGAAAAAGAAGCGTGCATCAATAACTCAGTGCAGTCAGGAAAAGGGGAGTGCACAAAGAGAGCGGGGCAGGGAGGTGAAGTTCTATGGAAGTTTCGAGAAGGGACAGTGAGTGGTGAGGTTTGGAAAGAAGTGAGAGAGGCTTGATGAAGAGAGTGGCTTCTGGGTTAGGTCTTCAGAAATGAGAGGCCCATGGACATGTGGCGATGACTCATCGACACACTGATGAAGACAGTGGTGGGAAAGGACGGACGGTAGTGACCACAGGCATGATTACAAAGGCCAGTTCTAGAGTTGGCCTGCCTGGCTCTAAATTCAGCTCCACTTCTCTTTAGCTGGGTAGCTTTGAGCAAGCACACTGACCTCTCTTAAGCCTCAGCTTCCACTTCTGAAACAGGAGAATAATAAGAACTTCTCTCACATTGTATAGGTGTGAAAATCAAATGGCAGTAAATACAAGCAAATTGCTCAGTATGGTGACTGGCACAGAGTAAGCACGTCAGGAATGTTAGTTATTGATACCGTTGTCATTGCATGAGTGAAGGGGATATTACAGGTGGGTCAAAAACGATCTCTAAATAGATTATCAGCTAGGAGTGTTTTCTGAAACTTCCATTTCTGTGGGATTCTTTTGTTACTACGGGATGACTTGATACTCCCTGAATCCCAAACCCCTCTTCTCAACAAGAACACTGCCCTGTGAGAAAAAGTGCTCTGAGTTCAGTGGCCACTGCAGACACACATACTAAATGGGCAACTCACTCTTTTTCTTTTCTTTTCTTTTCTTTTTTTAATGGATATATTTTTAGTGTGCTCAGAAAAGAAGAGAATGAAGCAAAATTAAATATAAAAAGATACCATGAAAGAGATGTATAATGAAATTAAGCAACCTACTCATCTGACAAAGTGCTAATATCCAGAATCTACAATGAACTCAAACAAATTTACAAGAAAAAAACAAACAACCCCATCAACAAGTGGGTGAAGGATATGAACAGACACTTCTCAAAAGAAGACATTTATGCAGCCAAAAAACACATGAAAAAATGCTCATCATCACTGGCCATCAGAGAAATGCAAATCAAAACCACAATCAGATACCATCTCACGCCAGTTAGAATGGCGATCATTAAAAAGTCAGGAAACAACAGGTGCTGGAGAGGATGTGGAGAAATAGGAACACTTTTACACTATTGGTGGGACTGTAAACTAGTTCAACCATTGTGGAAGTTGGTGTGGCGATTCCTCAGGGATCTAGAACTAGAAATACCATTTGACCCAGCCATCCCATTACTGGGTATATACCCAAAGGATTATAAATCACGCTGCTATAAAGACACATGCACAGGTATGTTTATTGCGGCACTATTCACAATAGCAAAGACTTGGAACCAACCCAAATGTCCAACAAGGATAGACTGGATTAAGAAAATGTGGCACATATACACCATGGAATACTATGCAGCCATAAAAAATGATGAGTTCATGTCCTTTGTAGGGACATGGATGAAGCTGGAAACCATCATTCTCAGCAAACTATCGCAAGGACAAAAAACCAAAGACCGCATGTTCTCACTTATAGGTGGGAATTGAAGAATGAGAACACATGGACACAGGAAGGGGAACATCACACACCAGGGACTGTTGTGGGGTGGGGGGAGGGGGGAGGGATAGCATTAGGATATACCTAATGCTAAATGATGAGTTAATGGGTGCAGCACACCAACATGGCACATGTATACATATGTAACAAACCTGCACGTTGTGCACATGTACCCTAAAACTTAAAGTATAATAATAATTAAAAACAGAAATGAAACAAATGTTTAATAAAGCATATTTTGTTTGTTCTAAAGTCTTAGTAGGAACATCACTTCAAAATTGCAAAACTTAAATGGAAATATCAAGGAAGGGAGGCTGTGGGCTGTGTATAAACAAGCAGAAACAAGTTCAAATCCAGTGTCCAACATTGATCAGATGTGTGAGCTTGGGAAAGACCTCTTTGGCTTCAGTTTTATCACCTGTGAAAACGAAGTCAGTATACCCACTTTGCCAGAGTTACTGACTAATTTAAATAATATGTAAAGTACTTAACACACTGCCTACTCTGCAGACACAAAAAGGTTTGCTATCTTCTATCTAGAACAACGATGGTAGAGAATGAATACTATTTATATCCTGATAGATTGCACCAAGAAATTAATAGAGTTCCTATACATTTTTACAGTTTTACAGAAAAAAGAAGTCAAAGTAGAATGTGCAACCAAAGGAAGATGAAAGTAGGAAAATTAAAAAGAGAGTCCAGGAATGAAGCCAACACACAAAACACACGCCACAAATGCCTGTACCCTTGCTGTGGGTGGGCCACAAATTTAATTCTAAGCTTTAGAGTAGCAACACAAAGAGGGAAAATGATCACTTACAAGACTCAAAGTGTCCATATGATAAAAATAAACCAGGAGAAGCACAACTATTTCTGGTGATGAGAACAGAGAGATATTTTTACAGTGGGTCCTCATTAATGATAGAAAATGAATAATATGGCATTTGTAGGACCATCAGTAGGACACTCAGCGCATCCTGTTTAACAAGTGTGTTTACTCTGCACTCACCAGGGGTTAAGATGCCATGACTGGTTTTTGGAGGGACGTGAAGATGAATCATCACATAATATGGCTTGTGGCTTTGAAGAGTGTACAGTCTTTTGCATGAGATGAACACACAGCTAAATGATTATAACACAATGCGAATGTGCAACAGGCCCCCAAAAGGGAAAGATGAATTCTGACAGAGCATTAGCGAAAGCTTCCTGGGGTAGGAAGTCTTTTATTTGGGCTCTAAAAACAAGTTTTTATTATTTTGTAAAAGATTTTATTATGGGCTGGGCATGGTGGCTCACGCCTGTAAATCCAGCACTTTAGGAGGCCGAGGCGGGTGGATCACCTGAGGTCAGGAGTTCGAGACCAGCCTGGTCAACGTGGTGAAACCCCGTCTCTAGTAAAAAATACAAAAATGTGCCAAGAGTGGTGGTGTGCACCTGTAGTCCCGGCTACTCAAGAGGCTAAGGGAGGAGAATTGCTTGAACACGGGAGGCAGAGGTTGCAGTGAGCTGAGATCGCACCACTGCACTCCAGCCCGGTGACAGAGTGAGACTCTGTCTCAGAAAAAAGAAAAGAAAAGAAAAGAAAACAAACAGATTTTATTATGAAAATTTTCAAACACAAAAAAGTAGAGAAAACAATAAAAGGTACCCCCATCATCCAGCTTTGACATTTTTCAACATTTTACCATTTTGTTTCATCTACTTCCACCTTTTTGTTTTCTTGGTTTGCTGCAGTATTTTAAAGCAAGTCCCATTTTTCATGTCATTTAACCTGTAAACACTTTAGTATGTTCCATCTTTTAAAACATAACCACTAACCTATTATTATGCCTAACAGAATTACCAGCTATCCCTTAATATCTCCTGATTCCTAACACATGTTCAAATTTCCCAAATAGTTTTAAAGATGTCTTTTACAGTTGCTTTGTTCTTCTCAAAATCTGAAGATGGTGCACAGGCCACATTTTGTTATTATGGTACAGAAGACCCCCGAGAAACTTAACTGTGCTCCCTCCCCCACTTTTTTTTCATGACTGCAATTTGCTGAAGGAATTAGACAATTGTTCTGGAATATGTTAGATGAGTAGAATTTTGAAAGGCAGATATGTAGAGAGGGAGAGTGAATTTGAGACACTTGGAAAAAGAGAACAGGAGAATGAGATGTGGGAAGTAAGAACTGTTAGGTGATTCAGTAGAGAGATAATGAAGGCTATAATTTCAGCAGCCACGGTGCCTGGGTTTAAATCTCTGTTCTGCTACTCTCTGGCTGTGTGGCCTTGGGGAAATCTCTTAACATAAGGAGCTGTCTCATCATCTGTAAACAGGGGGGCTTATACCAAGACCTGGCTCAAAAGTTTATCTTGAGGATTAAATAATTAACATTACTGTCCAGGCGCAGTAGCCCACGCCTGTAATTTGAGAGGCTGAGGCAGGTGGATCACCTGAGGTCAGGAGTTTGAGACCAGCCTGGCCAACATGGCAAAATCCCATTTCTTCTAAAAATACAAAAATTAGCCAGGTATAGTGGTGCATGCCTGTAATCCCAGCTACTCAGTAGGCTGAGGTGGGAGAATCGCTTGAACCTGGGAGGCAGAGGTTGCAATGAGCCGAGATTGCAACACTGCACTCCAGCCTGGATGGCACAGTGAGACTCCCTCTCAAAAAAAAAAAAAAAAATCCCACAAAAGTGCTTAATAAATGCTCAAATAAGTTAGCTATTGTAAGAATACTGGTACAGGCAGTGGCAGAAGGGTCATCTGTTAGAGGCCTTGCAAAGTGGAGTGGATGAACTCTGGTGACCAGCTGGATGCATGGAAGAATAAAGGTCAGGCAAGAGAAGAATCATTGGTAACTCAATGTTTTACATCCCTCCTCCCACATTCCCCAAAATATGCATGCATACACACACAGGCACACATGCATGTGCACACACATACACACACACCCTATCATAGCCCCTCCATTCTTCAAAAGGTAATCAAGAAGGATAAAGACTTGAGTGGAAAAAAGATTAGGAATTTTTTCTTCAACAGAATGCATTGGAAACCACGGAAATGATCTCCATATGAAGACACTTAGAAGCTGAACATTTGGGTCTTGAATTCTAGAGATGGCAGAGTTAGGGATATGGCTTCAAGGGTCAACCACACTGATGTAATAGTCAAACAAGTGGTAAGATAAAAATCACAAGTGCAAAGGTTCAGATAAAAAAGAGTAAATTTAAAAAAACAAAACAAATAAACTCCAAACTAGAGAAGCCTGCTTAAACACAGGCAAGAGGAAGAAGAGTTAGGGAATGAAGGAAGCTGAGGTGTCTGTGAATGCAGACAAGGTATTTAGACACAAAAGTGCCATGGAGACCAATGATTTATAAGGGGACCATTCACTGGTGTCAAATACAAAGATCAGTAGAAGAGGGGTGGGAGGCAGCAGTTACCTTGGGTATTGGGGAATAATTTAAGAGGTAGGGCCAATCTGGTAATTGTCTATATACAAGTAAAAATCAAAGACATGCAAGAGAAATTAAAGGAAGCAGAGAAGAGGGAGAGTATTAAATGATGAGAGCAGAGAGTCTTGGAAAGTTGTCTTAAAGCACACAAGAAGGTGGAGAAGCCCCCACACTATGAAAAAGCCACCAGGTTTGGTGACTAGCAAGTCACCCTCAAAGCAGAATTGTCCAGTTCCTTCAACAAACTGCTGGTATGGAAAAACGTGTACTTTTTGAGAGTCATGAAATGGAATGGTTCCATCTTCAAGTTGTACATTTGTGAATTTAAAACCCTGTGAGTACATATATAAATTTTGCAAAAGGGCCTGTTCCATATGGTGAGCTCAGTCCCTTGGGAACTGAATTATCAAAGCTCCTATCTGATGTAAGGAAACAAAAGCCACGCAATTAAATTAGATCAGGGTGGTGGGTAGAGAAACAGGAGCCAGGTATGCTGAGTTCCAGCCGAGAACCACAAGTCTCCTTAGACAGACTAGCCTCAAAAATGCTCAGCTAGATGCTAGATGAAAATTTAGTACACGTTTTCCCCACCAAGCATGCATTCCACGCACACTCTGAGGCCTAGTCTAGCACGCTTCCTGAGTAACACATTTCCAATCATAAAACCGCTCTGGGAAGACTGTTTTAGATGGAGAGTTTTACATTTTCTTTTCTTTCAAAGGCAAGATATTACATTCATTGGTTAAGGAAAGTCTCAGGAGCCCCTGAGGAGTTCTGGTGTGACTTTTGTTGCCCCTCTGCTTATTCCAACTGATGTTTTTCATGACATGCATGTTTATTGGTCATAAGCAGGCAGCTGGGAGGTCTGTGCCAGGCTGTCTCTGGAGGCTGGGGAGTGAGGTCTAATGACATCAGGGGCAGGACTGCAGTGACTGACTCATGTGAGTAGTTAGCATCGAATTCCTTCATGGCCACGCTCACATTGCAAACATAAGGGAGGACGGAGTTCCCTAACCCCACGCTGCAGCGTGGTTTAGTCTACAACAATTGATGCTTGCTCTGTTCTCTGTTTCTGTTCTCCACCATGGGCAGTGGGTTGTGCAGCTGGGCTCCAGAGGCAGGGCTCAACAAAGCTTCCTGCCCTTTAATGGCAATGCAGCCACATTCATCAAGAAAGGAAAAAGAATTCCAACCTGCAGAGCCAAAAGGTGAGGGCAGCTGAATTCCATGCCTTTTAGCGTCTGCAATCTGTGAACAGGAACCAAGTTGCAAACTGCAGGCATGATCACACCTAGCTGGCTTTGAAACCGCTTTCTATTTCTCATTTCTAAGTAATCTGCATTGAAACACAAAAGCTTTTCTGCTGGTTAGATGGTGAACATTTACTGTCCCTTCATTTGGGGACAATGATTGAGTTTCTCACACACACAAAATGAGGGCTTAAAGTAGGCTCTGGGTAACCCAGAAAAAGTGATCAGCAGGGTTTCATCTTGAAGTAAGAACAGAACCACTCTGCAGAAACCCACAGCACATGTTCTGCATATCCTGATCAGCTTTGTTCATACGGTCAATATTCGATACTCTCAGTCCTCACTGCTGGTCCTTACGTAGGTACCAGAGCTGCTGGAGGGTTAAAACAGGTGTCTTTCCAGCCACAAACAAGATTCTCAGAGGCGATTCTGGGGCACCGGTGTGGAAATGGCTCTATGTGATAGGAACAGAACTCTCAGCACCATGGAACTCCAGGGTGAAGGCTAGACATAGCAAAAAATAAAGATATTCAAGGAGCGAAGACATTGATGAATGTCTCCAAGAAAGAGAATAACAGAGTAATAAAAGGCAAATGGTGCTGTAATATTTAGTCCATGCTTCACGATTGGCATGACTCAATCTGTCTCCATGTGGCTCTGGTTTACACATAAAGTATAACTGGCAAAATAAGGCTGAAAATCCTAGAATTTCTGAAGTAGCGACACAGCTTTCAATTCAAGTCACACATCATTTCTGACACAAAAATAACAGCAGTTGAGTACGTGAGAGGCCTTTCCCTCCAGAAGTGTAGGCTCTGATCCCACAATGTCGTCATTCATATTCCAGTCCAGAAGGACAGACCTTCTCCCAGCACTTTCAGCTAGATCTGCTGGCTTCTTTTATGGTTCTAAACTTACCCAATATGGAAAGCAGAATGCTGGTCCCTGAAAGATGTCTGCATCCTAGTCCCCTCAACCTGTGACTACATCAGGTTACATGGAAAAGGGGGAGTCAAGATTGCCAGTCAGCTGACCTTGAAATAGGGAGATTTTTCTGGAGGATCAGGGAGGCTCAATGTCCTTAAAGTGTCCTTAAAAGTGGACATGGGAGGGTTAGGGATGTGAGCATGGAAGCAGGGTCAAAGGGAAGCTATCTTGCTGGGTTTGAAGATGGAGGAAGAGGACAGCAAACCAAGAAATGTTGATGACCTCTAGAAGTTGGGGGAAAAAAAAAAAAAAGAAAAGATTCTCCCTAGGGCCTCCAGAAAAGAATGCATACCTGCTGGTGACCCCTTATGTCAGACCAGAGACTTTCAGTCTACAGACTCTAAAATTTAAGAGAGTAAATCTGTGTTGTTTTAAGTCACTGAATTTGTCCTAATTTATTACAGCAGCAACAGGAAACTAATATGTACTATCAGGAAGCAGAGACAGCCTCGCTCAGGAACAAAACTGCAGCTCCAAGACAGAACAGTGCCTGGGTTTCTTTGGCAATAAAAGGTAATCATTTATTTATTTATTTTTCTAGCTAAACTTGAGCATCCAGCCAAGTGCTAATCTGTAGAAAAGATGAGAAAAAATGGCACAGTGTCTTCCAAATGTGTGTGTGTGTGTGTAGGGGGTGTACAGCTGAGAAGCTAATCTTCTTTTTACCTCCCAGTTTTGCTACAGAGGAATGTAGCCTTATTTTTAGAAACTCAATCCCTTTCTAGTGGACCTGCATTAATATGATCTTAAAATCTGCTTTTTCAGTTTCTCCTTCTTTTTTCTTCAAAACATCCCTGTGTGCTTTGAATGTTTGGATAATCTCCTGAGACAATCTAAAGCTAGAGAATTTTAGTTCCCAAATCATGCGGATTTTTGTATTATGACCTCAGCATGGCTCAGAGAGGATATGGTAATATTTAAGACAGTACAACAACAAAATTCTTCCAGGGTAGCTCCTGAATTAGAAGGTGAGAAATTGAATTAGAATGTTAGAACTTGGAAGAGCTAATGTAAGAGTATGAATAGATTTTCCATGCAATTGTGCACCTTGCTGTTTGCCTTTTTGTATGTTAGGTTTGCTTTAATTGGAGAAAGAAATGCAAGAGATCTTCTGAGTCAGTTAATATACTGTGGACCAGGGACCCTTTTATAGGAAGATTTTCAGAATTCATTTAAAGTAAGGACATAACTCCTTGCTTAAAGATAAATTAGGATGTGTCCAGCCTTATTTTAATCCCTTTGCCCTAAATAACCAGGAAATCTTACTTCTCTACCAAGAACAAATAATGATCCACTAGGTGAGATGAGTGCGGAGAACCCTCCAAAACTCAGTTGTAGAGTTCTGATTACATCAGGAGTACAAGCAAGAGGAGGGACGCTTTGACCCACTGAAGATAAGTAAAAATATGACAGAAACACTTACCCTCATGTCTCCATTCATAGTTTTTGGTGTGTGATTAAACGCATGTGCAGGATCCTTGTTGTACACTTTGAGGAGTGATCTGTCTTGAATGTTCCTGGAATCAAAAACATCGATAACTATGGCAGATGAAAGAAGCCTGACTTTGGCCATTTCCTTAGCCTGCCCTTAAAGATCAGGTAAAAAACATGAACAGACAATCCAAAGGCTATCTACAGTACGCCAGTCAAAAGCTATGTGACCATAAAATAGGCAATTATAAATACGGAAAAGAAGAAGAAAAATGACTTCAGCTTTTCTCTCCTTTTCTTGTTCCCCAAGAAAGTATTATTCCTCCAGTATAGTTCCCCACCCATAAATGTTGGGTGGCACGAACTTTCTTTCAAGATTCCGAGTATGGAAACTAAGGCTTTAAAAAAAAAAATAAAGTTCCAATATTTACAATACATTCAAAGAGATTTGGTTGATATTTAAATATTTAATTGTTTACTTTTCCCAAACACCTGGTTTGCTGCTTATCTAATGAATGTACATGAAAGAAGATTTTTTTCTTTTTCTTTTTTTTTTTTTTTTTTTGCCTTCAAACACTTTCGGCAACTGAAAGAAAAGGTATCTGGAGTCCAGAAAAAAAAAAAAAAACAGTACCAAAAAGATCTAATATCTTTACCATGCCTTTTTTCCTTCCATAGTGGGTTAGAAAATTAGTTTTTCTATATACAAATCGAATTGCTGGATGTGAAGAAATAGCAGCAGATAAATTCTTCTTTTTTCTCTGAACCCGGCTCTTAGAGCCAAGGTGTCATAACGTAGCAAAAGACAGGATCAGAGCCTACCTTAAAATTATCGAAGAGCACATGAATATCTATGAAGTCTCTCTCCCTCCATGTTCAGCTTTCATCAGCAGAAGGGCCACCCAAGGCCCTTTTGGCTCTGTCTACACTGTGATCCCTTCCAATGCCGGCTGGGCTAGCTCAGAGAAATGTGGGCAGGAGGAAGAATTCCTCTCTTCCAGGTGCAGCCTCATTTAGTGGGCTGACCCAATCACTGGGATTACTGGCTTGTGTTTCTGTTTTAACTGAAGTGGAGGATTCTTGGACTAGTCTTCTCTTTCTCCTTTAAATATCCGCCAGTAATTGCTTTGAAGCAATGACTAGCCCAAGCTTGCACGGTTGCTCCAGTAGCTTGTTAGAAGTCGGCTTGAGGGGGAACCAGCAGCCCTGTTATTAAAGGGGGCTGGGTGAATATGAAGGGGAGACTCACAGAGGTAAGGATGTGGGGTTTCACTAAAGGAGCTCCCCATTTGGCCAGAGGAAGGAGTCACAGGCGAGGACGTGAAAAACTAGAAAACCTCACGGGAGCCATGAAAAAGACTAACTGTGATTCTGGAGGTATTTAAAATGCATGAGGTTGGTTTATCATGACTTTAGAAACATATTCATCTGAGATGAACCAACAGTAAAGGCCGGGGTTGCATTTACTGTGGCAACATTTACAACACAATATTCTGACCTGAACTCTCCATAGCATTTCCCTAAGGAAAATATGAGGAGCCTAACACAATGATGAGATAGGCAACTGTTTAGCAAATATGCTCACGCTTCAGAAACACTGAAGGAAGTGCAGTGAAATTTGTCTCTGAACTTAGAAGATTAAAGTCACTGTCTCCAGTTGAAATCTACATGATACTTTTCTTTTGTCTTTTTTTTTTTTTTTTTTTTTTTTTTTGAGACGGAGTCTCACTCTGTCGCCCAGGCTGGAGTGCAGTGGCACCGTCTCGGCTCACTGTGAGTTCCGCTTCCCGGGTTCACAGCATTCTCCTGCCTTAGCCTCCCCAGCAGCTGGGACTACAGGTGCCCGCCACCACGCCCGGCTAATTTTTTGTATTTTCCGTAGAGACGGGTTTTCACTGTGTTAACCAGGATGGTCTCGATCTCCTGACCTCGTGATCCGCCCACCTTGGCCTCCCAAAGTGCTGGGATTACAGGCGTGAGCCACAGCGCCCAGCCTTTTTTTTTTTTGTCTTATATAATGCTGGTGGTGAAAATTTCTTCTACCATTCAAATAAAATATAATCAAGGCATTTAATGCATAAAATCAAGAAATAGAATAATTCTTTGGAAGCGACATGCATGTGCTCACATAGCATAAACATTACTGTCATCACCAAATAAAACATTGTCTACATTTGAACATTTTTAGGTTCTTTTTTTTATTTAAATCAAAGTAACTGAAAAGTAAAATTACAGACAAATTTATAAATCGGTGATCTTTCCACTTAAATATTTTAAATGAGAGTTTTTTAAAAATAACTTTAGGCTATCAAGCTGGGAGCAGTGGGTCACGCTTATAATCCCAGCACTTTGGGAGGCCGAGGTGGGCAGATCACTTGAGGTCAGGAGTTCGAGACAAACCTGGCCAACATGGTGAAACCCCATCTCTACTAAAAATACAAAAATTAGCCTGGCGTGGTGGCGCACACCTGTAGTCCCAGCTACTCGGGAGGCTGAGGCATGAGAATTACTTGAACCCAGGAGGTGGTGGCTGCAGTGAACTGAGATCATGCCACTGCACTCCAACCTGGGCGACCGAGTGAAATTCTGTCTCAAAAAAAAAAAAAGTTAGGCTATCCATACTACAACTTACGGATCAACAAGATCATCATTTTCACAAATATCAACATATTGACTGATGGTTTCATTTATGTTATCAACTAGATTTCCATTAAGGAGAATCATGACCTTTTCTTCTTTTTCCTCCCTCTCATTTCTTTTATTTTGTGACTACTTCTCGACTTTCCCAAACAATGTAAAAAAGAAGGCAAAGTAGCCATACTTTGAAGCTTGAGAAAAGCTCTAGAAAATGGTGACTCATTGTAATATAAAAATCCTTGCACAGGCTGCAAGACAGTGAGGCCCAATTACTCATAATAACCTCATCAGCCTTGAGCTCCATAATCAAGTGTGGCTTCCCTAAGTTGCATGTTTACTTGCTATTACTGTGTCCTTCAATTCCTCTAATTGCAAAGGCAGAAATGTAAGATGATTGTTGTAACTGGCAGCTCCATGTAAAAACAGTATGTGGGATTATATTACTACAAACATTGTCTTTAAATATAATGTGATTATTTCATGTTTCAAGTTTACGCTTTGTGAATGCAAAAAATTTCTTTTGGTGACAGCTTGATTAATAATTTAGTTTAAAAACAAACATGAATTTTTGGGTACCCATGAATATTTAAACACATTTTTAAAAAGCTGTAAGGTTGTGAAACAGATGTAGTATCTATACCTTGAGGCATGTGTCAAACTTTGAAAGTTCTAAATTACTCATACACCTGGGCACATGCCTAAATATGTCATTTGTGATCATTGGTAGATACAGATCAGTTTACATTTATTATGCACTAGAGGCATATTTTTTAAAAGTGGTACCCATTAATTCCATGATGAAGAAACAGGGCAACTTGCTATTCCCCCCAGGGTGTGGACTCAGAAACCCCAAGTTCTGCCTCCAGTGATTTGGTGAGGGAACATTCGAAGAAATCAAAAAGTTCTTGACCAAGAAGTGTGAACAGCCATATTTGGGGCAGAGCTTGGTACTTAGCTGGCTGTGTGCTTTTGAATAAGTCCCTCAAATTTTATGCGTCTGAGTTTCTGGTTCCATAAAATGAAATGGCTGGATTAGTCACTAAATAATCTGTGGAGTTCTAAAATGTTTAGAGACCATACTAGCAACTGATTGCTTGTGTTGATCTAAGTCCTGTTTTCCAGGTTGTTTGGTTGGAACAGATCAAATGAGTTCTTTCTACTGTATACATGACACCAAAATGACAATAAAGATGCTTTTGAGCCAGGTGTGGTGGCCCACGCCTATAATCCCAACCATTTGGGAGTCCGAGACTAGAGGATTGCTTGCCTCAGGAGTTTCAGACCAGCCTGGGTAACATAGGGAGATTCTGTCTCTACAAAAGATTAAAAATTAGCCAGATATGGTGGCATGTGCCGGTAGTGCCAGCTACTCGGAAGGCAGAGGTGGGAGGATCATTTGAGCCCAGAAGGTCGAGGCTGCACTGAGACATGATCATGCCACTGAGGTCCAGCCTGGGTGACAGAGCAAGACCCTGTCTTCAAAAAAAGAGAGATGAGGCCAGGCATGGTGGCTCACACCTGTAATCCTAGCACTTTGGGAGGCCGAGGCAGGTAGATGACCTGAGGTCAGGAGTTTGAGACCAGCCTGACCCACGTGGTAAAACCCCGTACCTACTAAAAATAGAAAAAAATTAGCTGGGCCTGGTGGTGGGCGCCTGTAATCCCAGCTACTTGGGAGGCTGAGGCAGGAGAATCGCTTGAACCCAGGAGGCGGAGGTTACAGTAAACGGAGATCGCACCATTGTACTCCAGCCTGGGCGAAAGAGCAAGACTGTCTCATAAAAAAAAAAAAAAAAAAAAAAAAAAAAAGAGAGAGAGAGAGAGAGGGAGAGAGAGATGCTTTTGTTTCTAACTGACTCTCAATCCCATCAATAGCAGGAGTCCATTTAGCTTAATTTTGGAGGATATTCAACTGGGGGCCCTGGGGAAAGGCCACCTGGAAAGTAAGATCTTTGGGTAAAGGACAACTCTTTAAGAAATGAATGGAAAGTGAAGATGCTTCTCAGTCTCTTTTCTTATGGAAAATAATACAGAGCCCACTGCTTTTATTCTAACTTGTTATGTGTAAATAACGACCCAGTGGGATCATTACCTAAAATGTCCACAGGGTCTTTCTATGGAGGAAAGAACACTTGAGGGGGAATTGGGAAAGTTCCAATATGAATGAAGTACTGCCTACAACTCTTAAGACCTCGATCAGGTCTCTCCGCTACCTTTTTGGGCCTTAGTTTCCCTAACCCTTAGATAAAATGGTGGACTGAATCATTTCTAATGTTCTTTTCAGATGTAGCATTCAAAAATCTGTGGCGGAGAAATTTGTCCTCGTTTTTATAAGCTATACCCTGTAAATGAATTGTAGAAAACCAGATAGTGAAATCATCTGACTGGGTGAAATAAGCCCAACCAATCAGGATAATGAATCTGCTTTCTTCACTAGGATATAAAGAAATTAGAATTTGGTATAAACTCTATGAAAGGGATATGATGGACCAAACAAAAAACAAAAAACAAAAAACAAAAAACAAAAAAACACTCTAAATGCAATATAGTGGGTAAAAAAAAACCCCTCAAAAACAAAAAAACAAAAAACAAAAAAAACTCTAAGGCAAAATGGCAGGCAAAAAATGATGTCACAACTTACCTTACATCATTTAATTCATAATAGACATTTCTGCTTTCATCTTTGATGTAAATGGCGACACTGGGCGATTCCAGCATTTTCATGGTGAGCTGCTGTGGAAAGGCACTTACGAAGAGAGCACGGATTGTGTCTGCACTTGTGATTTCATTCGGCATCCTGAGCTGCTTGGTTTCATCTCCATACTGGAGATAGAGAACCCCTGCACACAAAGGAAACAGTTATTAGTCACAGGTCAAGACTCAGGGGACACACAGCACAAGCTGAGCCACTTCTTTCCTGCTGCACTTAGGAACGTTCAGGACAAGCTTGGCAAGCATGTAACAAGAGATCTAGGTTTGGAATTTCCAAGGAATGCACTGTTTGGTTATTGTGTAAGTACTCACCTTCGTTCTTTGAAGTCCAAGCAGGTGTTAAAGAGCCTAATTTTCAAAAATTCAAGGGCTGGGTGCAATGGCTTATGCCTGTAATCCCAGTGCTTTGGGAGGCCATGGCAAGAGGATTGCTTGAGGCCAGGAGTTCGAGACCCACCTGGGCAATGTAGCAAGATCCCATCTCTTTGGAAAAAAAAAAATTAGCTGGGTGTGGTGGCACATGACTGTAGTCTCAGCTACTCAGGAGGCTGTGGTGGGAAGATCACTTGAGCCTCAGAGTTGCAGGCTGCAGTGAGCTATGATTGCGCCACTGCACTCCAGCCTAAGTAATAGAGTGAGACCCTGACTCAAAAACAAACATGCAAGAAGCAAACCTCTGGTAGCCTAAAGCAAAAGACAATACTTGGCCAGGCTCGGTAACTCACGCCTGTAATCCCAGCACTTTGGGAGGCTGAGGCAGGCGAATCACTTAAGGTCAAGAGTTTCAGACCAGTCTGGCCAACATGGTGAAACCCCATCTCTACTAAAAATACAAAAATTAGCTGGGTGTGGTGGCACATGCCTGTAATCCCAGCTACTCGGGAGGCTGAGGCAAGAGAGTTGCTTGAACCTGGGAGGTTGCAGTGAGCTGAGATCACGCCACTGCACTCCAGCCTGGGCGATAGAGTAAGACTCCATCTTAAAAAAAAAAAAAAAAAAAAAAAGGACGATACTTAATTCCTTGGAAAGGTATATTTAGAAATCTGACCTCATAGAGTGATTTTTTTTCATGTCTTTCATTAACTAGGAACACAATCATTATAGCCATGGGTAAGCTACATAGCTTAAATCTGTCTAGTCCATTCAGAAACATTTTCAGTGGAAATGCAACAAGATTTCTGTGGTTCTAATACATATTTATTGAATGTTCATATCGTGCTAGAATCTGGCACCTCAATGTTTCAGAAATAAAATGGAAAAAGCACAGGATCCCAGAGTTCCCAGGGGGTATGTGGGCCCCAGTGCACCCTGCCTCCTAGCACTCACCCATCTGTGGAGAGCAGCTCTGTTCCACGTTGATTCTGGGCTTGGCTGTGTGACTTGCTTTGGCCAATGGGATATTAGCAAGTGTGATGCAAAAGGAAAGCTTGATATGTGTTTGCACCCTGGAGTTTGTCCTCTTGGTGAGCTTGGTTTGGGGATGTTTCCTTTCAGAACTCAGCTTCTGAGGAGTCCAACCCAGCCACACGGGAGGTCACATGCTGAAGAACCACCCCATCTAAGCGCCCATTTTACAGCTGGAACCACTGAGGTTATGTGGATGAGCCGTCTTGGGAGTGGTCTCCCCAGCCCCAGGTGAGCTACCCCAGCTGATGCCAGCAGAAATGAGATGGCCCCTCCAAGCACTGTCCAAATTGCAGAATGATAAGCAAATAAATGACTGTCATGTGAAGTCACTATGCTTAGGGTGATTTGTTATTCAGAAACAGATAACTGAAACAGGATATCCACAATCCTGACACTGAATTTGAGTCTTGCTTTTTGTGAGAATCTACTGGGGGTGAACTACTACCACTGGAGTAAACTTTGGAAAGGGAGACTCAAAAGAGAAAAGAATGAATTCCGGTTCAATATGGCAGCCCATGTAATACATTTGTCTCTGCTTCCTCCAGAAATTCCATTAAAGTGACAATAAGGGATACAAAAGCATACATCAAAGAAGTAAGGGAATGAGAGAGGAACTAACAGTAGACAAGAGCAAGCTGATACCTAAACCTTCAAGGGAATAACTCAACATAAAACAGGCAGAGCCAGGGAAACTCAGGAAATGAGGCTCCCAACCCTTCTGAAGGTAGAAATGCATAGTGAGTTGAATGCATGATGCCTGACTGAACTTGATTTTAAAATGGTGTAGCACAAAGGTCCCCAGCCTTCAGGCCACAAACCAGTACCAGTCCTTGGCTTGTTAGGAACTGGGCCACATAGCAGGAAGTGAGCCATGGCTGAGCGAGGGAATCTTCATCTGTATTTACAGCTGCTCCCCATTGCTCGAATCACTGTCTGAGCTCCACCTCCTGTCAGATCAGCAGCAGCATAAGATTCTCATAGGAGCGTGAACCCTACTGTGAACTGCGCATGGTGAGGGATCTAGGTTGCATGCGCCTTAAGAGAATCCCATGCCTGATGATCTGTCACTGTCACTCATCACCTCCAGATGGGACTGACTAGTTACAGGAAAACAAGCTCAGGGCTTCCACTGATTCTACATTATGGTGCGTTGTATAATTATTTCATTATATATTGCAATGCAATAATAATAGAAATAAAGTGCATGCTAAATGTAATGCGTTTGAATCATCCCAAAACCATCTCCCCCTAACCCTGTCCATGGAAAAATTGTCTTCCACAAAACCGGTCCTTGGTGCCAAAAAGGCTAGGGACCACTGATGTAGCAAATGTCCATCTCTCTTCCCACCCCACCCAGCCAGGTAGCCACCCATCACATCCACAGAAGATGGAAGAGTCCACATCAAACACACTGGATTCTGGCTGACCAAGCATAGGGGAAGGGGCTGATATGCCCTCGACCGAATGCTGGCAAAGGGGCCAGCTCCTTAGTCAGGACACTGGAGGGTCCTCTCTAGGAATGCTGAATGACCCATGAGAAGAGACAAACTTTTGTGTGTATGTGAGAGACTGAGTCTTGCCTTGCTCTGTTGCCTAGGCTGGAGTGCAGTGACATGATCAGGGCTCACTGCAGCCCCAACCTCATGAATTCAAGCTATCCTCCCACCTCAGCCCCCTGAGTACCTGGGACCATAGGAGAGAACCACTACACCCAGCTAATTTTTTGTATATTTTTTTTAGTGATGGGGTTTTGCCATGTTGCCTAGGCTGGTTTTAAACTCCTGAGCTCAAGTGATCTGACCACCTCGGACTCCCAAAGTTCTGGGATGACAGCCATGAGCTACCATGTCTGGCCTGACAAACAGATTTTTGAGGGTCATATTCAGATTCTGTCTGGTCACCCCATAGCGAAGCAGCCAGACCCACATATAAAACTTCCCAAAATTACAACCGTGCCTCCCTCTTACATTAACTGACTCCCAAGATGTCACAAACATTTTTATAGAAGCTTCTAACACAAATGAAAACACCCAAAGAAACAGGAAAAAGAAACTCGGAAGAGAACAAACAGTCCAGAAAAAGGGGGAGCATTTGGAGGATAAGATCAGTCTCTAGGAACCATGAGAGCAGAATTTTAAAATTCAGTGAAGAAGAAAAAGTTGACGCAATCTCAGAAAGTGGAGGCCACCTCCCCTCCGAAAAAAAGAGACTGAGAGATGGGAAAAGAGAGAAGAGCAATATGAAACATAGAATCATGTCAGAGTACCCAGATCCCCAGTAATGGAGATTTGGGTAAAAGAGATCAGAAAAAACAGAGTTTTCCAAAACAATATTATAAGAATGTTCTTTTTTCCTTGTAAACTGAAGGACATGAGATCGCAGATTGTAAAAGTTTATGAAATACTCAACACACAGGTTTGTCACTGAGACATTCCAGAAGATGGGGAAAACAGAAAATCCTAAAAGCCCCCAGAACAGGTAAAAAGTCACATAGGAAGGATCAGGTATCAGAAAGGCAATAGCTTTCTCAACAGGAACTTCAGAAACCAAAAGATAATGGAGCAATGCCTTTGAAAACCTGGAGGGAAATATTTTCAATCTAGGTCTATACCTATCCAAACCATCAGGTCTCTATAAAGTTGGTTTCTCAGTGAAGCCCTCCCTAGCCTCCTCAGCTAGAATTTTAGTAGCCATTCTCCATACTATTTCTTACTCTTATACTTGCTTTATGTCTGTTTTCTTAGCATTTTCTACTCTATGTTATAATTCATATTTTAATTAGTGATATTGCTTATGATCAGTTTCTCTTGCTAACATGTAAGTTTCATGAGCTCAGAGATTTTTTTTTTTTTTTTATCTTTAAAGAGATGGGGTCTTGCTCTGTCACCCAGGCTGGAGTGCAGTGGTATGATCATAGCTCACTGCAGCCTCAAACTACTGGCTTCAAGCAATCTTCTCAAGTAACTGGGGCTAAGGGATTTTTTTTTTTTAAGTTTGTTGTTGTTTTCTACTGTATCCTTAGTACCTATGAGACTACCTGTTACATAGTAGTTTCTCAATAAATATTTGTTGAATGAATAAACGAATGATTTATTAGTCATTGAAAAGGAATGTCTCATTTGTGGGTCTATCTGAGCTATAAGAGCTTTTGCTAGATGATGTAACCAGCCTAGTAACCTCGCCCTTGGTTTGTATCCACAGTAGAGACACATTCTGAAGTGGCTGTTTCCTTGACTAGAGCAGTCCCTTCATGTCAGGCATAAGGGCTCCATGTCCCCTCTCCACTCATCCCTGTGTTGACCCTCAGCTTTTTCAGGGAACTAGTTTTCCAGAATCTCCATGCTGTTACAAATTCCTCAGAATGCGGAGAATACCTTTTAAGCCTGTCTGATCACAGATCACGCAATGTCTTGGCCCCACGTGGGATGTGTGGTGATTGTCCCATGTGATTGCTATGGTACATCAAAAGGCCAAAACCGCTCTTGAGGTCCATGCCCCAGCCATGCCTGGGCGAGGCCACTGCAGAAAGGCCACCAATGGCGTCCCTACAGTTAAGTATCACAGCCTCGCTCCCAGAAGATGGTCTGATTTTCATCCCCACATCTGCATTCTGTACATGCGTGTGCTTGAAATAGAATTTGTAGTCTCTGGAGCAGGAAAAAAAATGGGCCTAAACTATAGTTACCTCAGGGTCTGGCTGGTGCAGCTGCCAGCTGGGTGCATGAGTCCAGTCACAGAACGTGACAAGCCAGGCAGGATGGGAAAAATGCCTTTGCAAACAGAATAGTCTTTTCACGCTTGGCTTTTACACAGTTTGCTTTCTCAATTCAGGAAAGGTATTTAGAAATGCTTAGACTCAGAAGGAATTCTCTTAATATCCGATGGCGTTTTATTGGCATGATGATGAACAAAAGCCCACATGGTTTCTAGAGATTCCGCATGCTTTGGCACAGGCTTCCTCGCTCCAAGTTAGTGCTGGCTGCTCCAGATTCCCAGAGGTTGTCCAGGGGACTCTGCCTCCCAAACTCCCTTTTTATGAAGAAGGGATGAGGATGAGAGAAATGCATTTATAGGATGCCTGCCATATGTCAGAAACCATGTGTATGTATTTCATCTCATCAGCACAGTATCTCTTGTCAGATGGATACTATGACCCCATTTCACAGATAAGGAAATAAAAGCTCAGAAAGTCCAAGCAATTTGCCTAAAAGTTACAACTCATCATTTGGCAGAAGCTATATGTCCACTTCTGCCAAATTCATAGATGCCATGCTCTCTTTCTTGAAGCATACTTCTCCTGAAATCCTGCATTTAGCTCTGTCCATCTCCTGCAAGCATCCTCTCAGGGCAACCTGAGCTATCCTCACACTTTTAGGCTGACCATCTGCTTGAAGATGTTGAAGCGTGCTGGGTGCAGCTCAGAAAAAAGATTCCCGTCTTTACCTCAACCGAAGGGAATGCCATCACAGGGTTAGAATGGATCCACATGCTGGATGGGGGTGTGGGGTGGGAGGGGGAGGTGCCGAGCTCTGAAACCTGTGCCAGAGTGAGTGTCGATATGAACCTTGCAATGCTCAGTGTCCCCCTGAGAAGCCTGAACACTGAAGGGTTCTTTCACCTCCATGGCTTTGCAAAGGAATGTGGATTTTAACCAAGATCTCTTACTCACATTTTACAAAAAGCAGGGTGCAGTTGGCAGGTCACACTTGTGCCCACACATCTTCATTATCTTTTGCGTCTCAGAATCAGTTCCAGAATGTGGGACATCTTCTAAAATATCTTTATCTCAACATGGTATCCAAGGATATTCACCATGTGACCTCAACTCCTCTTCCTGCCTTATTTTCCCGAAGCGTCCCACTTTGCTAGGGCACCGCAGTGGGACTGGACCTCTTACGGTGCACATTCATCCCACACGCTGCGCCACGCACTTCTCACCACCTCTTTGCTTCACATATACATCAAGTCCTCTGAACAATCTTCCCCCATTACTACTCCATCATTTCCTCATCAGGAATGAAGGAATTAATTTACCTCACCGATGTGCTCATATTGTATTTTGTTGAGACTGCAAGCATGACTTTTTTTTTTCAGACAGAGTCTCGCTCTGTTGCCCAAGCTGGAGTGCAATGGTGCGATCTCGGCTCACTGCAACGTCACACCTCCTGGGTTCAAGTGATTCTCTTGCTTCAGCCTCCTGAGTAGCTGGGACTACAGGTATATGCCCCCATGTCCGGCTAATTTTTGTATTTTTTTAGTAGAGACGGGGTTTTGGTATGTTGGCCAGGCTGTTCTCGAACTCCTGACCTCAGGTGATTCACCCACCTTGACCTCCCACAGTGCTAGGATTACAGGTGGAGCCACCACACCTGGCTGCAAGCGTGGCTTTTAATCCTGCATTATGGTTTGTTGTATACAGTTTCCCTCACCAGATGGTAAGATAGAGTACAGAGTTAGGTACCTAGTAGACGCTCAGATACCTTTAGTTGAAACACATTAAATTATTCCTGTAATGTGGCCAAGTGAATATGATGTATGCTTGCCTTTTGGAATAGCAATACCATTTTCCCTGAAGGGCGTCTTCTGCAGGCAGCTGACGGTGACAATTCCAAATAAACTAAATGCCTCAGTTTCTCCAAATCCATTTTAGGACTATGCAGATCACCATCTGCAATACCAGTGGCAAATGGCTAATGCCTTAAATATATAAAGGATTCTTATTGCGTTTTCTGATGGGAAATAAGTTTTCAACTTATGAAAAATATTAAAATTAAAATAGCAAGGTAAGTTTTTACACCTACAACATTGGCAAAGGTTGATACAATAAATAGTGCTGACAAGGGATGGGAAAATGGATACTCCCACATATCACTGTTGGGAAAGTAAGTTGATACCATTTCTCTGAAGGGTTATTTGTCAATGTATCAAAAGCCCCCAAAGTACACATGTGGTTTGAAGCACTAATTCAACTTTTACACATTTAGGCACAATGACATCCTTACCTAGACACTCAATGAAGTATCAACTGTAGGAATAATATAAGGTGAGGGAGAATCTCCAACAATAGGGGATTGATTTAATAAGTAGTTCATTTAATAAATCTGTTCACTGGAACACTAAACAGTTATGAAAAGCAATTGTAAGAGAATATGGCAATGTGAAAAAACTGTATTTTATTAAATGACAAAGCATATCATAAAACAGAAAGGAACTAGATTTATACAAATCAATTAATCACCTTGATGACAGTGATGGACCCCACATTTTGTGAGCCCTGAAGCTTACACAATTTTGAGTGGCCTCTTTAAGAACAAGAATAACAACATTTGAAACAGAAACTTAGGTATAAAAGTGAACATTTATATTTAGAGGGGCCTGAAACTTGGTTTCGTTAGGTTCAAGTTAAGTCTCCTGAAATACCTGATGACTATACCCTAAAATGTGAAGGGTGGTAAGTTCACTCAGATTTCCTTATGATTTTCTGTATCATCTTTCTAAAATAAGGATGTTTTGATTTGATAATCTTCAAAGACAACTTCTGCACTAAAATCTAAAACTTTCATCTAAAAAATCGCTAAACGGACTGGCCAGTTAGGAATCCTACTCAGTTAACTGGGTAATTTTTGAAGCCAGAGGAAATAAGCCAAGGGCTGCTCAAATAAAAGCTTTCAGTAGAGTTGGTAGAATGTACACTGGCATCTGAAATGGGAAAGACATTGACATTTAAGGTAAGCAAAAGATTCCAGTACAGTTAACACAGTAGCATATCTTTAAGAGACTGTATTCAAGAGTCTTATGATTTAAAACTAAAAAGAGGCCGGGCGCGGTGGCTCACACCTATAATCCCAGCACTGTGGGAGGCCGAGGTGGGCAGATCACAAGGTCAGGAGATCGAGATCATCCTGGGCAACATGGTGAAACCCCGTCTCTACTAAAAATACAAAAATTAGCTGGGCATGGTGGCATGTGCCTCTAATCCCAGCTACTCGGGAGGCTGAGGCATGAGAATTGCTTGAACCTGGGAGGCGGAGTTGCAGTGAGCCAAGATCATGCCACTGCACTCCAGCCTGGCGACAGAGTGAGACTCCGTCTCAAAAAAAGCAAAAACAAAAACAAAAAACAGAACAGAAAAACAACACCCACAAAGAATATAACGTACTTAGAGGTACCCTAGAGGCAACGGTAGAAATGGCTTCATTAATTCACTAGACAAGTTCCCATCTTGTGCCAGGCCTGTGCCAGGAACTCGGGAGTACAAAAGCAATCAAAAAAGTCTCACTCAATCTCTTTCTTCTTGGAGGTGTTTTCTGGTCATCCTCTGTGTTCTAACCCCTGCAGTGGTTCTATAAATGACACTATTCTTTAGAAGTTAGCAATTCTTACCTAACACCAGCTGACATTTTGTTTCAAACACAGCAGCGATTTGAACAAGGGTGTGTGTGTTCCTCAAATGGCTCTAGGATACCTTCTGATGTCAGTAACTTCTCAAATCCCAGAGAGAACTCTCCCGCTGTTAAGTCCCTTCCTATAGGATAGCTTTTAAAGTAGGTGACAAAGCAGAATGATGACAATTGCCTTGCAAAGAAGAAAAAGATAATAGAAAATTCATTCTCCGCAGAAAGTCTGGATTTAAAAAAAAAAAAAATTTGGAATAACTTTACTCTTGGATTTCACTGTTTTTATCTTGAATTGGGTAAATACCAAATTTTTGCTGTATTCAAGAAGGATCTATCTGTCAATTATTTTTTTATTTCACTTAGTGACCTGATACTTGAGGACAATGTAAGACTTTGAGAGTCTCTAGACGAATCTTTATGAAGGACTGAGAAATTCCAGGCAATAATAATTTTAAGCTAAATTCCAATTTTGAATGTGCCCTTGGCCGGGTGCTGTGGCTCATGCCTGTAATCCCAGAACTTTCGGAGGCCAAGGTGGGTGGATCACTTGAGGTTAGGAATTTGAGACCAACCTGGGCAACACGGTGAAACCCTATTTCTACTAAAACTGAGGTGGGCAGATCACTAGGTCAAGAGATTGAGACCATCCTGGCCAACATGGTGAAACCTCGACTCTACTAAAAATACAAAAATTAGCTGGGTGTGGTGGTGCATGCCTGTAGTCCCAGCTACTTGGGAGGCTAAGGCAGGAGAATCACGTGAACCTGGGAGGCAGAGGTTGCAGTGAGCCGAGATGGTGCCACTGCACTTCAGCCTGGGCGACAGAGCAAGACTCCCTCTCAAAAAAACAAAACAAAAAAACAAAAATTATCTGGGCGTGGTGGTGTGCGCCTGTAATTCCAGCTACCTGGGAATTTGAGGCAGGAGAATCACTTGAACTCAGAAGGCAGTGGCTGCAATGAGCCGAGATTGTGCCACTGCACTCCAGCCTGGGCGACAAACTGAGTCTCTGACTCAAAAAAAAAAAAAGTGCTTTAAAGACTCATAAGTGTGAGGAAACCTATGTTAGCACCCTGAAAGAACATGTTAAAAGTTAAATCTAGGCCAGGGGCAGTGGCTCACACCTGTAATCCCAGCACCTTGGGAGGCCACGGCAGGTGGATCACGAGGTCAGGAGATCGAGACCATCCTGACTAACACAGTGAAACCCCATCTCTCCCATCTCTACTAAAAATACAAAAACAAAATTAGCTGGGTGTGGTGGTGGGTGCCTGTAGTCCCAACTACTCTGGAGGCTTAGGTGGGAGAATGGTGTGAGCCCAGGAGGCAGAACTTGCAGTGAGCCAAGATGGTGCCACTGCACTCCAGCCTGGGCAATAGAGCGAGACTCTGTCTCAAAAAAAAAAAAAAAAAAAAAGTTAAATCTATAGGAAGTAATATGAGAGAGTGTCTTGCCCCCCATAACCACCTGACAGAGGGCAGTCACTGGGCAGAGTTCTGCTTGGAGGCACTCATTCTCCACAGAAAGCCCTGGGGCTTACCCCTTTAACTTTGTTTTGTTTCAGACAAATTGGTGCAATTGGGATTCAAGTAAAATGTTAATATCATTGAAATGAGCATCCCAAGGCATTTCTCTAAACAATGGCTGAAAGAATCAATTGATGATTTCTGGAATTCAGACTGAGTGAAAGATGCTGATTTCCAGTGCTGTGATCCTCCTGGTCCTTCCAAATAGGTCTTCTTGTCCCTTTGCATGGATATTTAGAAACTTGTCCATGAAGAAGCTATAATGTAAAGTCACAACAGAACTTGTAGCAACATCAGTTGAGTCCTCATTTTCATCTCAAAGGTTACTCAACAATTAAGGGAGAAAATATTATAAGAAAATGCTGTGAGGAACACTATTCTAATTACGAATATGCTATAACTGTATCTGAATTCTAACACTTAAGATGAGCTGTGGTTTAAATCAAATATTATAATATCAATTAATGTTATAAGGCTAGTATAAACCTTGATATTAGAAAGAGAGAATGATATGGTTTGGCTATGTCCCCAGCCAAATCTTATCTTGAATTGTAGCTCCCATAATTCCCACATATCATAGGAGGGACCTGGTGGGAGGTAACTGAATCATGGGGGTGGGTCTTTCCCATGCTGTTCTTGTGATAGTGAATAAGTCTCATGAGGTGATGGTTTTATAAAAGGGAGTTCCCCTACACAAGCTCTCTCTTTGCCTGCCACCATGTAAGATGTGACTTTACTCCTCATTTGCCTTCTGCCATGATTATGAGGCCTCCCCAGCCATGTGGAACTGTGAGTCCATTAAACTTCTTTTCTTGATCAATTACCCAGTCTCAGGTATGTCTTTATTAGCAGCATGAGAACAGACGAAGACATAGAATAAGAAGGGATTTTACATTCAAATCCAAAGCCCTAAATAAAATATTAGTAAAGCAAATACAGCAATATATGAACAAACACATCATGATCCAAAATAATTTATCTCAGGAATGTAAGGCTGGTTTCACATTAGACAGTCCAGCCCTAAAATTTTCTGCAATATAAATAAAAAAACTATACACTTATCTTAACAGAGTCAGCTAAATGTTAAGAAAAATCCAACACACATTCATAACTTTTTTAAAAACCAGTAATTTAAAAATTAAAAAGAATGTTCTTATGTTTAGCAAAAACCTCAAACAAGTATCAGGCTCAGTGATGAAATGTTAGAAGGATTGTTTTAAAATTTGGAATTTTTGCTGTCACTGCATCCTAAGAACTCACTAGCATGGTGAATATAAGAAAAAGAAATAAAGGCAATATGGATTAAAAAGAGATAGCCAAAATGGTACTTGTTCATAGACAATATAATAATGTAAGGAAATCTGCAGATACACTATTATAACTATTCAATATAACTGAATGATACAGGATCAATATATAGGATTGACAGCAACCTGAAATACTAGAAAAAATAGAGAATACAGTTTAATAAAAATATACCACTTACAGCCAGGCATGATGGTTCACGTCTGTAATCCCAGCACTCTGGAAGGCTGAGGTGGGTGGATCACCTGAGGTCCGTAGCTTGAGACCAGCCTGACCAACATGGTAAAACCCTGTCTCTACTGAAAACACAAAAATTAGCTGGGTGTGGTGGCATAGGCCTGTAGTCTCAGCTCCTTGGGAGGCTGAGGCAGGAGAATTGCTTAAACCCAGGAGGCATGAGGTGGCAACGAGCCAAGATCACACCATTGCACTCCAGCCTGGGTGACAGAGCAAGACTCCACCTCAAAACAAAACAAACAAACAAACAAACAAACAAAACCACTTATAACATCAATCTGGCAATTTTGAGGAATAATAATAAGAGGGGGTACTTGCTCCACCAGGTATCAGCACTATTAAGCCAGTGTGGCTTGGCACACGGATAGGACAAACAAGACTACGCAATGAAACAGAGAGCCTAGACAAAGACACAGACTTTGTGAGAGCTTGATATATGACAGAAGAGGTCATACAAACCCATAGAGAAATGACTATTCAATAAATAGTGTCGGGAAAATTGGTTTTCCATATGGAAAAAGTAAAAAATACATCCCTTTCTTACACCATAAGTAAAAGCAATTCCTGATGGACCAAAGACATACATGTGAGAAGCTCAACTCTAAAACTTCGCATAAACAAAAAACTAAAAACACCACATGGTGTTGTCTCCCAGTGTATTGGTACAGGGAAGGACTTTAAAAAGAAACAAAGATCATAAACTATGCTGGAAAATATTACCTAATTAAACTGCATTGAAATGAGGATTTTGAACTACAAAAGACATTACAAACAAAGTAATGAAGACAAACCACAGAGAGAAGATATTTACAACTCACATGCTCTACCAAGGATTTGCATTCAGAATAATTAAAGAACATTTATAAAGCAATAAGAAAATAGACAATAATGGATATCCAAAAATGGATATAAATAGGCAATTCAATGAGAGGGAAACTCCAGTGGCCAATAAATTAGTAATTATGGACATAAAAATGAAAAATGTCACATCCTATTTTATTCTCGTCACATAGAGAAAAGTCAGAAAATATAACAGCCTCAAGTACTGGTGAGGATGTGGGAAAATACAGCCTGTTATTTACTGCTGGTGAGAGTGTAAATTTGCATAATCACTATTGAACCCTATCCATGAAGTTGAAGAGGTGCCTCCCATACCTAGCTACGTCTTTTAAGCTGACCATCGCAGAGAAAATCTCACATGTGGACACTTGTTCCATGGAGCTCATTGTAGCACCGTTTGTCATCTGCTTGTTCTCAGTGGGTTATTGATACATTGGAACAGTTAACAGCGGTAACAAATTATGAACTAGAACCATCTCTGTCAATATGGATGAATCTCAAAAACATAATGCTGAGTGAACACCGAAACTTATAAAAGGATACGTGCAGTATGATCCTATTTAAGTAAAGCTTTATAACACACAAAACAATAATATACATTGTGAGCATAGTGGAAGCCCAAAATGTGCATGGTAGTTACACTCTCCAACTCCAGCATGTGGTTAGCTCTGGCAAAGGATGGGGAAAGAAAGTGCAGGGGTTTTACAATATTTTACTTTAAAAGTGTAAGAGGGCTCAAGCAATTATGGAAACATGTTTTTCTCTTTAAAATCTGACAAAAACCTATATAGCATTTGCTATGTGCCAGGCACTGATCCAAACTCTTCCACATATTAATTCATTTAATCTTCTGTATGAGGTCACTACTATTATCCCCATCTCACAGATGAGGACCACTGAGGCAGAGAGAAGTAAGTTGTGTGACTTACCTAGCTAATTGTCTTCACCACTGTACCATTCTGCCTCTCAGACATTAAACAGACACTAACATCTGTTTATGGTATTACTATATTATGTTTTCTGTATTTTTTCCATTCAAAAAATTAAAGAAAAATCATTTTAAAAGTGACAAAAGAGAGCTGTCTTAATAGTTCCCCTCCCACAGAGCACTCAGATCTGACTCAGGAGGCCAAATCTGGATGTAGTTATGGCCCTTAGCTTCTGATGAGTGGTTATAGAAAGCAAAGAGCAAAGGTCAGAAAGAATGAGATTTTCTTTCTTTTTTTTTTTTTTTTTTGGAGACGAGTCTTGCTCTGTTGCCACCCAGCCTGGAGAGCAGTGGTGTGATCACTGCAACCTCTGCCTCCTGGGTTCAAGCGATTCTCTTACCTCAGCTACCCGAGTAACTGGGATTACAGGCACTTGCCACCACACTCAGCTAATTTTTGTATTTTTAGTAGAGACAGGGTTTCACCATGTTGGCCAGGATGGTCTCAAACTCCTGACCTTAGGTAATCCGCCTGCCTCGGCCTCCCAAATTGCTGGGATTACAGGCGTGAGCCACCGCACCCAGCAGAGATTTTCTTAAAGATAAGAACAAAAATGTAAAAGTTAAATAATCATGGCCCCAGGAAAAAAAAAAAAGTTGGCCTTTTAGGGATATGCAACAGTTTCCAGTGCATGTTTTCAAACTATCAAAAAGACTCTGGGTGTAATTTCTTTTTAAAAAGGGTTACAAACACTGCCCCCTAGGAGATTTATACTTCCTGCATTTTCTTCAATTACAGTGATTAGCAGATTTAGGCGCAGAGATTATGGACTTTAGTGAGAAACTGCCTGAGTTAATCTAAAATTTTTCTTGTGTGCTAAAGTATTGGTATTTTACGTAGTGATAACCAGTAGTTATTACAGAGGAGTGAATATATCTTTAGAAAGTTTTCAGCATGAAGTGCTATTTTTTATGTAATTTGCGTGTAGATTTAAAAAGCATCAATGTGAAGTGTATAAATTTTATTGTTCAAGATTTATTTTCTACTATTGGGAAAAAATTATTCTTTTTGAAAAGGCACAACCTGTTTGGTCCTCAAGTTGGGGGAGAAAGATACTGGGGAAGTATCAACTTGATTAGCTTTTCCACTCTGGTAAACAAAAGTCGGGATCCCAGGAATTTCCAGGATAAACTACTTTCCAAGTGGAAAGGAAACAGTGTTGGCTGGGCGCAATGGCTCACACCAGTATTCCCAGCACTTTGGGAGGACAAGAAGGGAGGAGGATCGTTTGAAGCTAGGAGTTTAAGACCGGCCTGAATAATATGATGAGATGATCTCTACAAAAAATAAAAAAAAAGCAGCATTTTTTTTTTATTGGTGGTGGCAGATGCCTGTAGTCCCAGCTACTACGGAGGCTGAGGCAGGAGGACCCGGGAGCCCAGGAGATCAAGGCTGCAGTGAGCTATGATTGTACCACTGCACTCCAGCCTGGGTGACAGAGCAACACTCTGTCTCAGAAAAGAAAAAAGAAAAGAGGAGAGGAGATGACAGAAAACCATGGTGCTTGCTCCTTTATACTTTTATTCCACTTAAGTTATGTTAATAACCAAAAAAAAAAAAATCAAGCTATTCTTTGACAACAAATATAAACAAATGTTAGCAGATCTGTGGCTGTGGGATTCCATTTCACAGGACGGACACCCTAATTTTTCAAGCTCATTTTTAAAAACAGTAAATGTGGGATGCTTAGATTCCATAAAGCCTTATCCTTGGGTACCACTTCTTCCCACCTCTTCCTTTTCCTCACTCTCATTCGTAGACTTCACACCATGGTCTCCTTCCTCTCCACTGTGTCTCAATGGCCAGCCGTCCACGGGGGTTCCCTGTCCTAGCAATTCTAGTCCGCATCAGTCTATGCTCTCGTGGAAATCACCCCCTTTCTAGCAGCTCAGGGGAATATTTTAGGGAAACAATTCCCATCAGTCTGTGAATGATTGGTCTTTGCCACCCTCACACTTAGGCGTGCATTTATTCATGTGGCCCTCAAGCGTGAGTGCCTCAATCAAAAGGTAACACTGCTCACGGGCAGCTATGGAGAGAGACTTGGGAACACTCAAATTTCACGCCTTGCTTTTTTGTTCCCCAGATCTACTGAAGAAGGCAACAAAGTTGGAAATACGGCCAGCCAGGGAGGGTGAGGCAGGCTCTCAGCAGCTGTTCCTCTTCTGGGCAGATTTTTCTCAGCTTCTTCTTAGGTATCTGAGGGGGAGGCTCAGATTTTTTTCCCCAGAGGGTGGGGAGAAAGACTGTGTGGGCAGTTTGAGGAAATTCATATCACGCTGGCCTTCATCTTGGAGCTCTTAAAAAAAACAAAAGACTCGCTGTATCTCTTACGTGACCTGAAAACATAAAGGAACCTAATCCATCCATTGCCAGCTCTCATAGAAATGATCAGCTTCCCTAAATCCTTGTGACTGACTTGATGGAAGTACAGGGATTAGGGGTATAAGTCCTGAAGGAATAAGGGTCAAACTGTGGAATGGAGGAGGAGTCTGGGAAGGGAGTCCTTGTCCCGTAATCCTTGCCTGACATTGGTGTATGCACCCCTCACACTGAGGGGTGACCAAAGAATGCTGTTTGCAGGGCACATGGAGGGAACCTGCCCGTGTAGTTGAGGAAAATCACTCACGTGTGCCTGAGCCTCCTTGCAAAGCGGAAGGGAGCTGGAGGGAGGATGAAGAGGAGGGAAGATGGCTTGCTGCAGGCTGGGATGTGGGGGGGACCCTTCCTGATCACATGATCCAGCCCACAACTGTGAGGGCTCAGAGAAGTCTAAAATCAAATCTGGCATCCTCGGTCATCGTGAAGGTAAATTTGTCAAAGTATGAGGATAGAACACATTTTATCTAATAGTTTGTTAGCTTGATTTATACCTTTAAAAATATTTAGACATGGGCATATACAAGCCTCTGGATTCTTGCCCCAGGCAGGCTTGTGTGTGATGCAGAAAGACAAGGGGTGTTTCCCAAGCGTCAGCATCAAAGCCAGGAACAGAACCTTCTCTGCCTTTTGGCATTCAAGTTGTGCTGTCCACTCTATGAACAGGTTATTTTATTTTTATTTCTTAAGTAGTGCTATGGAGGTGGATACCTGAGTACCCTCTACTTCTGCAGGGATCTGATTATTTTTGGTTTTATGCTAGTAGCAAAAACTGAGTCACGCTGAGCTGCTTTTAGGGTATCCAAAGTTTATATATTGGGGAACAACTTTTGTTACCATTTACGCTCTAAAGTTTTCCTGTTACTGTTATGTAATAATTACGTCGTTATTTGTTCAGTCTCTGGTTCACTACTGAAAGCTTTCAATAGGCTTTCCTAGGGCTGTTAGAAAAGTTTCCTCCCTTGTAACAGGGTACAGCTGCCCTGGGGACACTCTCAGGCAAATCCAGCCTGACTGCAGCCTGAAGCCAGCAGCCAGCCGGATCATCCCTTCCTAGGCTAGTCCCTGGCTCTCTGCCCACTCCCCTCCCTGGGTCTCCCTGCTGTTCCCAGCACAGCTCCTCCCACGTCCTCAGGCCCACGCCACAGGGTGTGGATCTGCTGGCAGCCTTGTCTGTGTCTTCTGCCTTTACACACCCTGCCCCTGTGGGAGAACTGGAATGTCCTTCTCTCAGCCCTGGCCAGAGCAATAAAGGGGTTCCTGAGGGAGCTACTGCTTTTGAGGGTCCAGAGAGATGGCACTGAAAAGGGCCCAATTCTCTAAGGCTGGGGATGAGTGCTCAGATCACAGTCTTGTGTGTGAGTGTGCAAGAGTGTGTGAGTCTCAAGCAAAGGCGGAAGGGGGTTGAGACCGATCTGTTGGCCTCATGTTCAGATCTAGGTCATTTGGTGGCTTGTGTTCTGGTAGGGAAGGGGGTTTTTACAATGTGTTTGTAAGGCTTATCTAATGTTTGTAAAGTCTGTAAAGTGTATCTTTATATGCTTTTTTTTTTCCCCAAGAGCAAGTGGGAAAGAAGAGTCACTGCTAGTGGAAGTACAGGTGCAAGGAGGGTAACAAGATATCAAGTGGCTGGGTGTGGTGGCTCATGACTGTAATCCCAGCACTTTGGGAGACCAAGGTGGGTGGATTACCTGAGGTCAGGAGTTCGAGACCAGCCTGGCCAACAAGGTGAAATCCTGTCTCTACTAAAACTACAAAAATTAACCGGGCATGGTGGCAGGTGCCTATAATCCCAGCTATTCAGGAGGCTGAGGCAGGAGAATCGCTTGAACCTGGGAGGTGGAGGTTGTAGTGAGCCGAGATCACTCCACTGTGCTCCAACCTGGGTGACAACAGAAAGACTCTATCTCAAAAAAAAAAAAAAAAAAAAAGAGAGAGATCAGGCTACCATGCTGCTCCAGACTGCCGGGCCTCCAACCATGCAGGGACTTTAAGAGCAGCCATCTTGGGGACAGTCATTCCCATGACTTAAATCTCCAAGGCTGGGCTTCACAAACCTAGCTTTCCAATCCGCCCTTAAAAAACTCCAGAAGACTTTTTGGTTGTACCTTTATCTTTTGTTCTCCTCTGATACCTTCTAAAGAGGCATTTAAGAGGCATCACACATGGCTACTTCCTCCTAGACATTTCCTTTTGAAGTTCTGGCGCTGCCTTTTAAGAGTCACTTCTGTTCTCAACCACAAGATCACACAATAAAGAACAAATGTCTGAGGGTGGCGAAACCATGCAGGGCCCCATTTGAACAGCTCTGAGAGTGGTGGGTGGGGCGAGTCCGCAAGGACAAGGTGCCCATCCTCCGATGGGTCCATGTCCCCAGATCTTCCCATCACCACCTGTAAAATACAACTCCTGCTTCCAGATTCACCATAAATCACCTTTCTCTCCCCATTACATACAGAGGTAGAAGTCCCCCTAAATGCCTCATGATCAAAACGACAATTGTTGGCTTTCCAACTCAAGGCACTGGGAAAAAAGCAATCAACCCTATAAGTACCCCCTCCCATCTGCTTTGTTACCTGAGGAACTTATCAAGCAAAGTCATCATACTGAGCTACCCCAATCATAACATGCATTAAACAAGTTGAGCACCTACCCCAGGTGGAAGGAATCTGCTTCCCTTACCAGCATCTGTGCATTCTGTCAGCTTTACCTTCTATAGTAGCAATTCAGCTCATATGTAAACATTATGCTTATATAACAAGCATAACAAAAGGGAGGATAATAGTCTGTGTCCCCTTTCCACAGGACAAGATAATTCAACCTATGTGGCATACTTATGCAAGGAGGAACAACTAAAGCAAAGCAGACTGGACTATTATCTTGATCCTTAAATAAATTCTTTAGGAATAGAGAACTGTTGATGAAACTTAGGACTGTTTTAGATTTACAGAGAAACAGTATTGCATTAAACTTCACACTTAAACAAAATGGGTATGGTAAAAGATGGATTTCATTTACTCTAGAAATATTTTTTGAATACCACCATGTACCTCAGTCTTCTAAAAGGAGGGGATACGATGGTAAGCTCAGAGATCATAGCTTCTATTGATGTAGATAGACACTAAACTCATAAACAAGTAAGTGTAGAGTGTGCCAAGACACAGGGAAAAAGACAAAACAGGGTGTGGGGACTAGAGAGCAGTGGGGTGGAAGTGGGCGGATTGCTATTTTATTCATAGTAGTTGCACATCCTGCTGATGTGAAGATATTTGGAAGAAGTGTGGAAGCGAGACTTGTAGATATCTGGGGGAAGGAGGCAAAGGGAAAAGCAAGTTTTCTTGAGACAAAAGTATGCTGGATGTGCTCCAGAAACAGCAGAGAGCTACTGTGTTTGGAGGGAAATGAGTGAGATGAGAAATGGAATGAGAAGAGGTTAGAAAGGTGGTAGGTGATCACATGGTGGAGGCCCTTGTGCTCTTGATTGAGCTGCAAGGCAACAGAGGATTATGAGCAGAGGTGTGACAAGATGAGGTCAATGGCTAGGGCTGCTCTGTTAAAAATTAACTACGGGGCTGGGCGTGGTGGCTCATGCCTGTAATCCTAGCACTTTGGGAAGCCAAGGCAGGTGGATCACCTGAGGTCAGGAGTAGGAGACCAGCCTGACCAATATGGTGAAACCCTGTCTCTACTAAAAATACAAAAATTAGCTGGGCCTGTAGTCCCAGCTACTCGGGAGGCTGAGACAGGAGAATCACTTAAACCCAGGAGGTGGAGGTTGCAGTGAGCTGAGATCATGCCACTGCACTCCAGCCTGGGTGACAGAGCGAGAGTCCATCTCAAAAAGAATTAACTACAAGGGACAAGGACTAAACTCAAGAGACCACCAGGAGTTAAGGCAATAATCCAGGAAAGTGATTATGGTGGGTTGGACCTGAGTGCAGGGTTAGATAGAGATGGTGAGAAGTGGCTGGATTTGTGCATATATTTTGGAAGAAGAGTGAATGAGATTTCTCATCAGATTAGATATGAAATGAGATCGAAAGATGAGTAAAGATGCAAAGGGTTTTGTTGAGAGCAACTAGCATAACAGGGTTACAATTTATTGAGATGGGGAAAACTGTGGGAGGAGATAGTTTTATTGGAGGAAATAAGAAGTTCATTTTTTGGACTTGTTGAGGTTGAGATGTCAAGTAGATGATCTGAACTATTAATCTGTATTTCAGAGGACACATCCAGGCTACAGCGGTCATCATCCTATAGCTGATATTTGGCACCATGCGGCAGGATCCATTCACACCGATGGCATGAATATAGAGAAGCAATGAGGTCTAGGGCAGAAGCCAGTGTCTATGGATGAGAAAATGAGATGCAACCAACAAAGGAGACCCAGGAGGACCAGCCAGTGAGGTCATAAGGAAGCTTGTGAGATGGAAGAGATGTCCAGGAAGCCAAGAGACGGGTGTGTCTTAAGGATGGGACATGGTCTACCATGTGATGTGTTGGCAGTCAAGAGAAGCAAGCACTGGTTAACCCATGGAATCATCTGTGACCTGGACCCGAGTTCTGTGGAGTGGAGGGATTGAAGGCATCAATGGATGGGTCCAAGAGAAATGACAGGAGAAGAACTGGAAACAGTGCTTTTAGATAATCCCTTTCTAGTCATCTAGTCATTTTGTCAACATAGGCCAGTAGCTTGAGGGGGAATGTGGCATTAAAGCTGAAACATGAGGTCATCCAATCTCGAAATAGTCCCAAATGATTGCTGAAGACTGACAAGCAAGTCAGATGAGACATGGCTCGAATGCCACCAGTAATAATAGAAATATTTTTAGAAGATTCAGATTTCTTCTCTTTTTTTTTTTTGGACCAAACATTTTTGTGATATTCTCACAATCTTAATGGAAAATTATAACAAACATAAAAATCACACGGGATCTTTCTTTTAGAATTCTGCAAACACAACAACTTTTGGTTACACTGATGATTCTGGCAGCACAGGTAGGGCTGTTCCTCTGCAGATGTTACTAACCCACCCTCGGCGATGCTCTAGTTTTATAAGGCATGTTTTGTGTACGAGTTGGATGTTACCTCTGTGACCTCGGTGGTATGCTTGGCTGGAATCAAAAGCATCAATTCCCATTAGCGATTTCCTACTGATCGTATCTAGTCTCCAAAATCCAAAGAAAACTAAAAGTTTTCAATGTTTACAGCAAGACCCAAGGAAACATACTAGTGTTCAATTAGATGAGAGCCATGACACGAATGAAAAAAAAAAGTCATGTTGGAGCTTTAATTTTCCGTTGTTTTCTTTCTCTCTGCCAGAATAGGTGTGACTCAGATTCTTTAGTGATACTTGCAAATATAATAGAAAAGGATGTCTCAATTTAAGAAAATTTATATATCTGTGTGTATATGTACACACACACATGCATACACAAACACACACTTTCTCATAATAGATAAACCAGAGAGTAATGTTAATATGTGAAAGAATTCACCAAGTATATCCTGTAAGTAGCAGTTAGTATCAAAATGCATTTAAAATCACAATTGTAAAATAATCAACCAAGGGTCTTGGGAATGTAAGTACAATAAAAGGGATAAACCAATAAATGTAAAGCTGAACTATAAAGATCCATTAATTATTTTTAAAGCCCCAAATCTCAAGTATCTCAAAATTAGTATACCTTCCTTGCAATTGCAAAACACATGTATATCTGTTCTATTCTGTTTACTTGAGAGTTAGGCTGACTTCTCTTTGAATCCTTTTGTGTCAATGAATATTAAGTAGGAACTCAGTCACACACAGCAGTAAATTAAAAAAAAACCTGTCCAACTGAATAGCAAAATATTGATCAAGTGAAGAGCAATTGCATGTCAGGACCAAATTTATTAATTAAAATGAGTCCCCATTTAAACACTATAGTTGGAATTTCAGCCCTAATCTGACATGCACAGTACATTCTGATATCTTTGCTGACTTCAGGTCTGTGGATATTGTTTTTAATAGGTGGTGCCTCTCTTACACGGTGAATTGAGAGGAAAAAAAGAACATAACACTGAGTCCTGTGTGTGCTGGGAGGCATTTAGTACACCTTATTCACAAGCGAGAAAAAGAAGACACGCACGAAGGACTGTGAGAAACAGATTATTTTAGGTACTTTGGGGGGAAAAAGAGTTACAATTTGCCCATAAAGAATGGAGAGAACAGAAATGTAGCTTTTATGCTGAAAAACAAAATGCAAGGGCAATCCAGTTTCTAATTCCTGTGCCAAAGCTGCTGTTCTTGATGACCTCGGTCAAATCATTTAAATTCTCTCAATTTGTTCATATAAAAGTGCTATTAACCTGCAGTTCCTCAAATACTATCCAATCAATGTTGGCTACTTGATTTTCACTAAATTTAAGAGATAGAGCCTTAGAAAAGTGATAGAGAACACCTTCAAAGTGTAAAATCAAAGTTCTCCTTTCAGCACAGAGCAATACATAAATAAATGTTATTGTAAATGGGTATCATTACTGTTAAAACCCTGAGCCTCATTACCCACCTGGTAAGCAACACAGGAAGCAGAAGGACATACCAGGAATCCACAGACATGGACTGCAGTCAAGATTTGCAGAAAAATGTGTGTGACCTTGGGCAAGGTATCTCTCTGTTTTCAAAACAGTTTTATTAGGCAAAATAATGTACAATAAATTACATAAATGCCCATCAATCAATGAATGGATAAAGAAACTGTGGTATAGGCCAGGCATGGTGACTCACACCTGTAATCCCAGCACTTTGGGAGGCCAAGGCGGGCGGATTGCCTGAGGTTGGGAGTTCGAGACCAGCCTGGCCAACATGGTGAAACCCTGTCTCTACTAAAAATACAAAATTAGCTGGGCGTGGTGGCGGGTGCCTGTAATTGCAGCTACTCAGGAGGCTGAGGCAGGAGAATCGCTTGAACCCGGGAGGCGGAGGTTACAGTGAGTCAAGATCACACCACTGTACTTCAGCCTGGGCGACAGAATGAGACCCTGTCTCAAAAAAAAAAAAAAAAAGAAAAAAGAAAAAGAAAAGAAAAGAAAAGAAATTGTGATATATATATGATGGAATATCACATAAAAAGGAAGAAATTAATGGCATTTGCAGCAACCTGGATGGCACTGGATACTATTATTCTAAGTGAAGTAACTCAGGAATGGAAAACCAAACATCGTATGCTCTCACTCATAAATGGGAGCTGAGCTATGAGGACTTAAAGGCATAAGAATGATAGAGTGGACTCTGGGGACTCAGGGGAAAGGGTGGGAGAGGGGTGAGGGAATAAAAGACTGCAAATTGGGTTCAGTGAAATGGCTCAGGTGATGGGTGCACGAAAATCTCACAAGTCACCATTAAAGAACTTACTCATGTAACCAAATACTACCTGTTCCCCAGAAACCTATGGAAATAAAAAATTTTAAAAAACTGCACACATCTAAAGTGTACAATTTGGTAAGTTTTGATATATGGATATACTTATGAAACGATCACCAAAATGAAGATAATGACTATCTGCATCACCCTAAAATGTTCCTTTGGGCCATTTGTAATCCCTTCCTCCAGCCCCTGAGCAATTACTGATCTGCTTTCTGTCACTATAAATTAATTTGCATTCCCTAGAATTTTGAAGAAATGAAATCAGACAGTATATACTCTTTTGGTCTGGCTTCTTTCATTCTGCATCATTATCTTGAGATACATCCATGCTGTTGCTTATCTCAAGAGTACATTAAATGATGCAACTTAAACTCAGTCAAATAAAATAGTAATATTTGACATAAGTACAAAAGTAAAGTGGTGTCAGGGTACTTGGTTTTGGAAAAAATGGAAGCCCCTTTGGGATCTGAGCCAATCTTTGTAGGTGTAGGGGCAAGAAAAAAAATCTGTCCCCCTGTGATTCTTATTTCCAAGGATCAAATAAGACTGTGTATGTAAAAGTGCTTCGAAAGTCCAATATAAACTACTGTATCATCCACGCCAGTTCATTAACTAATGCAACACATATTTATTGAGCATCTACTATGTGCAGGCACCATACTAGGAGCTTGTAAAACAGCAGTGAACAAAACAAGATAGTTGCTGTCATGGACCACCGATGCTGGTTAGCAAGAGACAGGTCATATGTCAGTTTAAGAATGAGCGTATACTATATCAGGTGGCTATTAGTCCTCTATAGGGAAATAAGGCAGGTTAGAGATAAATTTAACAGGGAAGGAAAGGATATTTCAGAGATTGTGGCCAGAGAGCCCTTCTTCAGATAAGATGGTGTTTGAATAAAGATTGATGAGGGAGAAGCCACTCTCCCACAGACATCTAGGAGAAGAACATATCAGGCAAAAAAGAACAGAAAGTACAAAGGCCTTGAGGTTGTTGCCAATAAACTAGGTTATTAAAGAAGCTGCCAAGATGCCAGGAATTGGAGCAGAGAGGTGAGAGGAGGGTGGCAGGGGATGAGCCAAGGCTTGTACTCTTTTATTCTGAATGAAATGATGGGCCACGCAGTATATTGAATAGAGGAAAGGTGTGATGTGACTCAGGAGTTGGAACAACTACTTGGGTTGCCCTGTGGAGACTGCTCGTGATAAGAGGGGAACCAGTTAGGTGGCTACTGCACAAGTCCCAGCAAGAGGTGGTGGTGGATTAGGAGTAGGGGATGTAAGAAGTGGTCAGGATCTATATACATTCGGAGGGTGGGTTGATAGCTCATGATTTATTTTCCCACATTGGTTTTATGAAATGCTTAAAAACAAAAATACCCCCAACTTATGAAGTGTTTGTTATGGTTCAGGCACTATACTGCACAATTAACTAATGTAATCCTCACAGCAATACTATGAAGTAGGTCCTATTTTTATATCCATTTACTGATGAGGAAACTGGAGCAAAGAGTAGTTGGATGATTTGACCAGCATCACACAATGGCAGATGATGGAGCTGGGACATGATCCCAGGCTGTCTGGCTTTAGAGTCTATGCTGTTAACCACATGCTATATGACCTCTCAAAATTAATATATAAATAATATTTTGCTCAAGATGAACCTAGACCAATAACAAAATTGAGAAATATGTTATATTGGCCATTCATGTAAAACTTAGGGTCTTAAACCAAAAAATTCAGAAACCTCTTTATTTTTTTGTTAAGAACACGACAAACCAATATACAAGTGGACGCTTTTCACGGGTCCGCCTGGATAAGGTGGGGCTACCAGGCCACTCTTCATGACCATGGCCATAGGAATGGCAGTTAAGGACTGCCATCAAGGTCACGCTTTCGAAAACACTAACTCTAAAATGGAATGGGACATGAACATTTTAGAATATTATGGCCATGTCTGCCTTCGTTTTGATGAGTTTCTTCTTTCTGATACTTTGCCTTTGGTTTTATCTTGGTGAAAGAATAGCTATTGGCTGGGCGTGGGGGCTCACACCCTATCATTCTAAGATTTTAGGAGGCTGAGGTGGGGGGATCACTTGAGGCCAGGAGTTTGAAACCAGCCTGGGCAACAAAATCAGAACCCATCTCTACAAAAAATAAAAATAGAAATGAAAAAATCAGTTGAGCTTGATGGTGTGAATCTCTGGTCCCAGCTACTTGGGAGGCTGAGGCAGGAGGATTGCTTGAACCCAGGATTTTGAAGCTTCAGTGAGCTATGATGGTACTATTATACTCCAGCCGGGGCAACAGAGTGAGACTTCATCACATGCGCACGCGCACGCACACGCACGCACACACACACACACACACACACACACACGTATCTTCATCAAGGACACAAAGTAAATAGTCTCCCATGTTATCATCACCAACGATTAAACATTGCTACGAGACATCCTGCTGTTCAGAACCATTTCTATAAAGCCAATCTTCCTCTCAGACTTCTTGGGAAATGTGTCAGGATTTTATAGATGGAGAAAATTAAGGTCTAGAAAGGAGAAGAGATCTGCCCAGGGTCTCTCTGGCTTATTCCATGACAGAGCTGCGATGGTAGTTCTGGGATCAGAATGTTCCTGATGTTTTTATAGAAGGCTCTGCGCTCACCCAGTGACAGGTGCTTTTGTTGTTTCATCAGATGAAACTATTATGAAAGAGTTGGGCAAAATCATTCTGAAGTCTTCACACAGAGGAGTGGCAATTGTACATGTTTTTAGAGTTTGAGGCTACATTTTGCTTAATGCTGTGTTTGGGTTTACTTCAATACTTCCTGCCAATGCTGAAATCTGTACACATTAAGGAAAGTAGGATTGTTCAATAATACACCTGATTATAATTCTAACTTCAGAAGGCAACACATTTCAAATCTTTTTTCTGGTATATTCTCTATAGTCATCTTAAGTACAACAGATGAGGCATAAAATCCTTTATGAGTCAGTAAATAGAAGCTTTGGCTGCATAATGTTTCAGGTAAGATAAAAGTACTCCCTCTTTTCAATTGTATAAACTGGAGAGCTTTAGCTAAAAGGAGAAAAAGACTGATAGACCCAGAGGGGCGTGTTCAGGTTTCTTTTATTTTAACCTGTCAACAAACATGTGCAACTAAGCCCTAGCACCTTTTTCTAGGACCCATTAGCAATGTGTGTGTTCATCCTGTATGGTGTGTGTGTGTGTGTGTGTGTGTGTGTTTGTGTGTGAATGTACCTTTGCATATTTAGAATTCAACATTTTAGCATCAGGAGAAACAGAAACAAGATTTACATATAGGACATCCATAGATTTGTGGTTTTCTTTGATCTTCAAAATACCACTTTTTCTTTTCTCATCCATATGGGACAATGTCAAAAATTTCATTTCTATGCTTATAGCTTGATGAAGAAAACACCAAATCTGAATGTGAATTGTTGCTCGTCATTCTTCCAAGTAGCACAACTCATTGAATGATGGGTTCCTGGGACACATGGCTTCACAATGACTGTTTGGAGCTGATATGAAAGGAAAGGGAAGATGTGAAAGCCTTCTATTTTGTAATCAGTTTTGTCCACACTTTGGTCAATGAAATCAAATAAAAAGGGAAGATAGGAAAGCTTTCTGTTGTGCCCATAGTTTGGAGATGATTTCATATTTCATTCTATAAAATGTAAGACTACTTCACCTTCAAAACACTGCAGCATTCCTTTTAGAAAATGCATTATTTCCATATTCATTATGCTCAAGAGGGGACAGGGAGGTTAAAAGCACATATGCTTAGGAGATAGAGAGCCCTGGGTTCAAATATTGACTTTACCACTTACCGCTCTAACTTGTACTTTATTCACCCCCTGTTTGGCATTTGTTTCTCTTCAATAAAAAGAGGAAAAAGCTACTTCCTTTCAGAATTATAATAGAGACTGTGATGTTAGCAGGTTTCCAGACACAGGGCAGATGCTCAGTAAATGACACCTCATATCAAAATAGCATCGTAGGTTTAGATACCATTCTGCCTTTTAATCATAAAAATATTTCAAGTATATGGCTATCAGTCTCCTTCTAGAAAATAGGAGGACTTTTAGGATGCTTTCATTCTGATCACTCTCTCTGGTCTTTTATTGTTTCTGCCAGGTATTTTTATTTTGCCTTACTTTTAACCCCCTTACATGATTTATTAGGATTTATGCTCATTTAGGTTTTCCAAAAACATGTTTACTAATTTATTTTCTCACCATTACTTCTCACATTTCAGTTTTTCCTTCTAGGTTTATTATCCTTCTTAGAGAAGTATATGTATTTTTATTTTGAAAAAAATTATAATAAGAAAGTTGCAAAGAAATGTACAGGGAGGTCGCAGGCACTCTTTGCCCTCCCTCCCCCAATTATATAACTATAGGGCAATAACAAAACTGGGTCACTGGCATTGCTGCAACCCACAGAGCTTATTCAGGTTGATACACATACACATGTATTTGTATGTGTGTATGTATTTGTTATTAATTTTATGTTGCTCTATACGATTTTATCACATGTATAGCTGTGTGTAACTACTAACACAATTAAGATAATTGTACCATCATAACTAGGCCCCCAAGTGCTACCCCTCTGTATTCAAACTCCTCTCTCCCACCTACATCCCCAGTCCCTGGCATCTACTAATCCGTTCTGCATCTCTATAATTTTATCTCAACAATGTTTTGTATCAGTGGAATGGTACAGTATGTAAACTTTAGAGACTGGCTTTTTTCTTTTTTCCTCACTGAGCATAAATCCAAGTCATTGTGTATCGACAGTTTGTCCCTTGTTGCAGAGTAGTATTCCATGGTATGCATGTATCGTAGTTGAACTATTCACCCACTGAAGGACAGACATGTGGGTAGTTTCTAGCTTTTGGCTCTTACAAACAAAGCTGCTAGTAATATTCATGTACAAGTTTCTGGGTGAAAACAGTTTTCATTTGTCTGAGATAAATGCAAAAGACTGCAGTTGCTGGGTCCCATGGCAAGTCCATTTTCAGTTTTTTTTTTTTTTTTTTTTTTTTTTTGAGACAGAGTCTCATTCTGTTGCCCACCCTGGAGTGCAGTGGTGTGATCTCAGCTCACTGCAACCTCTGCCTCCCGGGTTCAAGAGATTCTCCTGTCTCAGCCTCCCGAGTAGCTGGGATTATAGGCACACACCACCATGCCTGGCTGATTTTTGTATTTTTAGTAGAGACAGGGTTTCACCATGTTGGCCAGGAGGGTCTCCATCTCCCGACCTTGTGATGTGCCCACCTTGGCCTCCCAGAGTGCTGAGATTACAGGCATAAGCCACCGCACCCGGCCCACTTTTAGTTTTAAAAGGAACTGTAGGGGTGGGCTCAGTGGCTCATGCCTTAATCTCAGCACTTTGGGAGGCCAAAGCGGGAGGCTCCTCGCTTGACCCCAGAGTTCGAGACCAGCCTGCGTAGCATGGTGAAACCCTGTGTCTAAAATAAATACAAAAAATTAGCTGGGCATGGTGGCGTGCTCCTTTAGTCCCAGCTAGTCAGGAAGTTGAGGTGGGAGGATCACCTGAGCCTGGGAGATGGGGGCTATGGTGGAACTGTGATTACGCCGCTGTACTCCAACCTGGGCAACAGAGGGAGACCCTGTCTCAAAAAATAAAAAATGAATAAAAGGAACTGCAAAACTACTTTCTAGCGTGGCTATTCCATTTTACATTTCCACCAGCAATGTATAAGTGATCCAGTTTCTCTGAATCTCTGCCCGCATTGGGTGTTATCTCTATTTTTTTTATTTGAACTATACTGATGCATGGGTAGTGCTACCTCACTGTGGTTTTAATTTGCATTTTTCTAAAGGCTAATGATGTTGAACATCTTTTCATGTGCTTATTTACCATCTGTACCTCCTCTTTAGTGAAATGTCTCTTTCTGTAGTTCATCCAATTTCTAATTGGATTGCTTGATTTTTCACTATTGAGTTTTAAGAGTTCTTTATATATTCTAGATACTGGTCCTTCATCAGATGTGGTTTACAAATATTTCCTCTCAGTCTGTAGCTTGTCTTTCCATCCTGTTAAGGAGATCCAGGCTGGGCAAGATGGCTCATGCCTGTAATCCCAGCACTTTGGGAGGCTGAGGCGGGAGGATCACTTGAGGTCAGGAGTTCGAGAACAGCCTGGCCAAGATGGTGAAACCCCGTCTCTACTAAAAATACAAAAATTAGCAAGGTGTGGTGGCACATGTCTGTAATCCCAGCTATTCAGGAGGCTGAGGCAGAAGAATTGCTCGAACCCGGGTGGCAGAGGTTGCAGTGAGCTGAGATTGCACCATTGCACTCCAGCCTGGGCAACAAGAGCAAAACTTTGTGTCAAAACAAAATAATAATAATAATAAATAAATAGAATAAAATAAGATCCAATTATCAACTTTTCCTTTTATGGAACATGTTTCTGCTGTCACGTCTAAGAAATCTTCACAATGCTACAGTTCCTGAATAATACCTTCTGCTTTTTATCTAAAAGTTGTATGGTTTTCCATTTTACATTCAAGTTTATGATCTATTTTGAGTTTTTTTTGTATTAAGTGTGAGACTCAGGTTGAAGTTTTTGAGGGGAGATCCCATTTCTTCAGTACCATATGCTAAAAAAGCTATTGTTCCTCCATTGAATTGCTTTTTCACTTGGCCAGGCTGGTCTCCAACTCCTGACCTCAAGTGATCCTCCCACATCAGCCTCCCAAAGTGCTGGGATTACAGGCATGAGCCATCGTGCCCAGACTGGATCTCCTTCAGAGGATGAAAAGACAAGCTACAGACTGAAAGGAAATATTTGTAAACCACATTTGATGAAGGACCAGTATCTAGAATATATAAAGAACTCTTAAATTTTGTAAAAGACCAAGTGGGCGTATTTGGGTGGTTCTATTTTGGGTTCTTTATTCTGTTTCATTGACCTATGTGTCTGCCAATACTACAAAGTCCTGATTGTTGTAGCTCTATAAGCAGCCTAAAAATCTGGTGGAATAATTCCTCCCACTTCATTTTTCTTTGTCAAAATAGTTTTAGCTATTCAAACTCCTTTGCCTTTTTTTTTTTTTTGTTTTGTTTTTTGTTTTTTTGAGAGGGAGTCTTGCCTTGTCACCCAGGCTGGAGTGCAGTGGCGCGATCTCGGCTCACTGCAAGCTCCGCCTCCCGGGTTCACGCCATTCTACTGCCTCAGCCTCCTGAGTAGTTGGGACTACAGGCGCCCACCAATACGCCCGGCTAATTTTTTGTGTATTTTTTAGTAGAGACAGGGTTTCACCGTGTTAGCCAGGATGGTCTCGACCTCCTGACCTCGTGATCCGCCCGCCTTGGCCTCCCAAAGTGCTGGGATTACAGGCGTGAGTCACTGCGCCTGACCACTCGTTTGCCTTTTTATATAAATTTTAGAACAAGCTTGTTTATGTTTACAAAAAAAACTTGCTGTGGTTTTTATAGGAATATTTTTAAACCTATAGATCTTTTGGGAGAGCAGTGACATCTTCATTTGGCTGAATCTTCCTATCTATGAAAATAGTCTCTTCAGTTATTAGGTCTTTGACTTCTTTCAACAGCATATTGTAATTTTCAACATACAGATCATATACATGTTTTGTTTTATGTATACCTAAGTATTTCATGTTCTCTGGAGCAACTGTAAATGGTACTGTGTTTTTTATTTTGGCTTCCATTTGCTCATTCTTAGTATATAGAAATGCAATAGATTTTGTATGTTGATCTTGAACTCACTCATTACTTCTAGGAGAGTTGTTTTGGTGCATTCATTGGATTTCCTATGTAGATAATGTCATCTGCAAACAGAGACAGTTTTATTTCTTACTTCCCAAACTACATGCCTTTTATTTCTTTTTCCTGCCTATTGCAGTGGCTACCATGTCCAGAATTATGTTAAGAGTGGTAAGATCAGACACTCCTGGCTGTTCCCTATCTTAGAGGGAAAGTATGATGTTGGCTGTAGGTTTCTGGTAGATGCTCTTTATGAAGTGAGAAAGTTCACCTCTATTCCTAGTTTGCTGGGAGTTTTGTGTTTTTTTAATCATGAATTGTTGTTAGATTTTATCAAATATTTTTAACTGTCAATTAACATGATCATATGATTCTCCTTCTTCAGCCTGTTCATATGGTGGATTACTTTATAAATTTTCAAATATTGAACCAGCCGTGCATACCTGGAATAAACCTCGCTTGGTTGTGATGTATTATTGCTTTTACACCTTGATGAATCTGATTTGCTTATAATGTATTAAGGATTTTTGTGTGAAATACATATGGTAATAGTACTTTCAGTGAGTCTGTGAATGGTAAATACTCCTAATCTTGTTTATCTTAAAGTAGGCTCTTTTTGCCCTCACTCTCAAATAAAGAATTTTGCTGGATAAAAATATATATATATATATATATTGGTTGATGGTAACTTCTTTCCCTTGGATTTTGAAGCTATTACTCTTGCTTTCTGACTTCTTGGCTTATAAAAGCATGCTGGTATTAAGTTTTCTTTTCTTTGTAAGTAACCTGTCATTTCTCTCCAGCTGCTTTTAAAATTTTCTTTTGATCTTTGATGTTTTGCAGTTTCTCCAAAGTGGGCCTGTGTGTGTGTGTGTGTGTGTGTGTGTGTGTGTGTGTATGTTTCTTGCTTGGAATTTTGTGTTATTTTTCAATCTTAAGTCTCAGGTTTGTCTTCAATTCTAGAAAAATTCTCATCTATTCTCTCATCCACTATTGTCTTTCCCCAATTTTTTTCTAGCCTTATCTTCCAGAATTCCTCTCAGACATAGGTGGCCCTGGTTGCTTGATCCTGTCTCTAAGTTGGTCTTTCATGTTTTCTCTCCTCAGATTGTGAGATTTCCTCATATTTATATTCTGGTTGACTATTTCTCTCTTCAGCTGAATACTCTGGACTAGGGATTTCAATGATCCTGATTACTTTTAGGTTAATGTATAGGCTTGGTGTGATTGTCTCTAGTATTGTTCACAAATATTCCAGGTCCATTGTTGGATTGCACTTCCTTGTCCCCTTTGGAGGTAAGCATGGATCTGTGGCTTCTTTTAACCAAAGCATCACTTCTTGCAGAAGCTTTAAGAGCCAAGATTTGTTATGCTCCCTTTATCCTGCTTCTGTGACATGTTGAGATGGGGCTTCCATCAGCATGGGGACCCTGGGTGGCTATGACAGGCAGGACCTCTTGCCAAGCTGCACTGGGCAAGCAACTTAAGCAAGAAATAAACAGTGGTTGTGATAAGTGCTGTTGAGATTTGGGAATTGTTACTGCAGCATTAACTAGCCTATCCTGACTGATATACTGTGGGAAGTCCCCAAAATGCAGGTCAGGTAGTATAAGTCCAGGCTTCATCCCTGTGCACGGTTCCTGTCTAGGGCTTTTGTTTCTCCCAGATAATTTTTTTTTCTGCCCCAATTCTCAGGTCAGAGGCAAACCTCTTTGCTGCTTTCCTGGGATGTGATTAGAGTTCTATCTACCCATTTTTAAAAAATAAATGATCAGTTATTTGAACCTCTAGGCTATTTACGCAGGGGCGATTAGTCCATCTATCTGTTCATTTTCCTGTTGCTATGTTAAGTAGCAAAGTCCTAGTTCAAAGACATGGTACCCATCTCTGAAATATCCATGTCCATGGTGATTTCCACTTTGATATTCTTCTTCACTTTTGGAATCTGGAGATTTCCTTTCATCGCTTTCAAACTTGCCATGTATTATTATTATTTTTTTGTTATTATTATATTTCATCCTGGGTCGCTACGTGTTTGTGGTGACAAGGGGTACAGTTAGCATCTAAGATCCCTCATGCTGCTATATTGCTAGAAATCTTCTGATACTCATTCTTTCCTATTAGCATAATTTCTGTATTTTTTGGACTCTTTCTGAAGCATTATCCACATTCAACCTCACATTAACTCTCTCCATGCTGGAATACCTCAGTCACATTCTTAGATCTGATGGACCCAGGAACTGAAAGACAGAATTGAAAAGAACAGTGCAACACAGAGTGGCCATTAGAATTTAGAGATGGGATCTAAGATAACCTAAAATATAACTCAGTGACATGTTACCAATGAGAATAAAGACTATCAGAATTCAGCTGACCAATCTAAAATGTTAATTATTATAAAATAACTCATGAACTTAGCAAATGAAACACGATGTGAAAGGACAATGATAGAGCATTTTTTTGAATTGGGAAAGAGATGAGGTTTGAGTTAACATCATCGGTAAAAAGAATAAGTTAAAAGTGAGTACGTCACAAATGAGAAATGTCTTAATTTTAACCATTATGATGTAAATATTTCTAAATGAAATTTGTAATGTCCTACCTTAGAATGCAATAGACATTAAGAAAAAAACCTCAGTTCATCGCTATGACCATCAGCTAATTTACAGAGTACTTACTATATATCAGGCAGTGTATTAAGAACATGACCTATATGATCTCACTGGCTATGTACAACTACAGTTGACCTGTGAACAATACAGTTTGAGCTGTGTGGGTCCACTTCTATTATTATGGTAGGCAGCTAGTCAGGCATGAGCGGGGCAGGAGAGGGCTCCCTCCAACCCTACCAGGAAAGTCAGGCAACCATCAGGTGATGGTCAGGTAGTTGTTAATGGTCTCTCTAAAATAATAATTGGTCGCAGCCAGTACCAGGGAAAGGCAGTTTCCCTATAAATAAAAACACTTGAAATTGGTAACTGGCAGCTCAGAAATTGGGCCACTAGACTTTGGTTTGCACATTTAGAGACAAAATGGCAAAGCATGATCTTCTGGGGGCATGCCACTGGAAAAGGGAAGAATGCCTCAGGTGGGCATGTGTACAACTGCAGTAAACACACTGTGCACGCTCAACTCTTAAGTGTTAGCAGGTCACTGTGCATGCGGGCGGCCCATCCAGAGGAAAGAATCATGGGAAAAAGGACACAAGACCCCTGAAATATGTCGATATATAAAAATGCCACACTTGAGCTCCAAGGTGCCTGCTTGGGTCTCTTCCAAGTGTACTTTCCTTTCTTTCCTGTTCTAAAGCTTTCTAACAAACTTCCACTCCTGCCCTGAAACTTGCCTTGGTTTCTTTTTCTGCCTTAGGCCCCTCAGTCAAATTGTTTCTTCTGAGGAGGCAAGAATTGAGATTGCTGCAGACCTGTACATATTTGCCACCAATAAGTCGGATATTTGCCATTCTTAACAGTATGTGGATTTCCTTTTGCTTCTGCTACCCCTCAGACAGCAAGACCAACCCCTCCTCCTCTTCTTCAGCTTTATTCAATGTGAAGATGATGGGGATGAAGAGCTTAATGATGACCCACTTCCACTAAATAAATAGTAGTTTCTCTTAATGATTATCTTAATAAGATTTTCTTTTCTATAGCTTACTTTATGGTAAAAATACAGTATAGAATACATAGAACATACGAATATGTGTTAATTGACTACTTATGTTATTGGCAAGCCTTCTGCTCAATGGTAGGCTATTAGTAGTTAAGTTTTGGGGGAGTCAAAAGCTATATGTGAATTTCCAACTGCATGGGGAGTCAGCGCCCCTAATCCCTGTGTTGTTCAAGGGTCAACTGTACTCTGTGAGGTAGGTATTTACAGAAATGGCTCAGAGATTGATTAACTTGCCCAATGTCACAGACAAGGTAAGTAAAGGAACCCAGATGAGATGATCCTGATTACTCTACTGGCTGCTTCCGGGTACACTCAGTGCCCTCTTTATTGGGGGTGGGGTTGTGGGAACAGCTGTAGCTACAGGTGTGAATGGCACTGGATAGGATGGAATAACTGCTGTAGAGAGAAATACACCTCTGTGGCTCCAGCTTCATTGCTGGAATGTTCAAGTGATCACTACATGGTTATTAGTGGAATCTTATTATTATAGTCACTGCTCTCATAAGAGACCTTCCCCCTTTTCAAACTGTCAATTTCTAGTCATCCTTCAAAACCCAAATCAAATGCTACTTTTCATTAAAAACTCTCCCAGTTATCCAGATAAGATCTTTGTCGTTTTTACTTTTTCGTACATTGTAGTGGTTAAGTATGTAGGTTCTACAGACAAGGCTGCTTGGGTTCCAATCTTGGCTTTGCTGGTTGGTGTGTTAGATACCGCCTAGCATAGAATGAGTGCTTAGCAAATGTTAGCTACTATGGTGATGTTTGCATCATATCCTCGGTTAAGAGTTTCTTACATCAGCCAGGCACAGTGGTTCACGCCTGTAATCCCAGCACTTTGGGAGGCCAAGCCGGGTGGATCGCGAGGTCAGGAGTTCGAGACCAGCCTGGCCAACATAGTGAAATCCTGTCTCTATTAAAAATACAAAAATTAGCCGGGTGTGGTGCTGCATGCCTGTAGACAGGAGAATTGCTTGAACCCAGGAGGTATGAGGTTGCAGTGAGCCAAGATGGCACCATTGCACTCCAGCCTGGGTGACAGAGTGAGACTCCGTCTCAAAAAAAAAAAAAAAAAAAAAGAGTTTCTTACATCTATGCCTTCTCCATCAGAACACAAACTCCTGGATGGCAGAAACCAACCTTAATCTCATTTCAAAGCATCTACAGAACCCAGATTCTTTTCCCTGCTCACTCTGCTAACACTCCCATCTTCCTGGATTATTGCAAGACTCCTAACTGGTCTCCCAGCTCCTGTCCACACTGCCTTTAGTCTGTTCCAAACCCAGTAGCCAGAATAGTCTTTAAATCTGAAGTGGCGCCACTGATCCTACCTCTGCAATGAAGCAGACATTCTCTTTCCAATGTTGCCAGTGGAGCCAGAGTGTTTGTTTTGCAAAAGCCATCCAATATTTGGCCTGTTACCTTTCTGACATCATTCCGATCATAGTGGCCTTTTTGCTGTTCCTTGAATGCTCCAGGCATGCTCTTTCTCGGGCTTTTGCATTGACTGTTCCTCTGCCTGGAACTCTCTTCCCCCAGATATCTGCATGGCTTACATCTTCACATGCTCCAGGTCATGGCTCGAAGGCTGCCTTCTCAGTGAGGCTCCCCCTGTCCATCTTTCATAAAATTACAACTCTCCCATCTTCATGTCTTCAGCGCTCTCTGTATCCCTTCTCCTGCTTTATTTTTCTCCATAGCACTTATACCATCTATTATATATTTTATTTCTTTATCAGCTGCCTCCTCCAACAGAACAGAAGCTCCAGAAGCCAGAGGTTTGTGGCTGTTTTATTAAGATTGCCTGGTAGATACTTGGTGAGCATTTTTTTTCTTTTTTCTCTTTTTTTTGAGACAGAGTCTCACTCTGTCGCCCAGGCTGGAGTGCAATGGCGCAATCTCTGCTCTCTGCAACCTCCGCTTCCCGGGCTCAAGTGATTCTCCTGCCACAGCCTCCCGACTAGTTGGGATTACAGGTGCCTGCCACCACACCTGTCTAATTTTTGTATTTTTAGTAGAGAGAGGGTTTCACCATGTTGGCCAGGCTGGTCTCGAACTCCTGACCTCAGGTGATCCACCCACCTCAGTCTCCCAAAGTGCTGTGATTACAGGGGTGAGCCACCACGCCTGGCCGGTAAGCATTTCTTAAAAGAATCATTGCTGGCATTGGTATGTAGTTTTAATTGAGTTTTTACTCTTAAGAAGGCTCCTATAGGCTGGGCTTGGTGGTTCATGCCTGTAATTCCAGCAGTTTTGGAGGCTGAGGTAGATGACCACCTGAAGCTTGAGACCAGCCTGGGCTAATCGTGAGACCCCCGTCCCTACAAAATTAACAACAACAACAAAATAGCCAAGTGTAATTGATAGTACACACCTATAGTCCCAGCTACTTGAGAGGCTGAGGTGGGAGGCTTGCTTGAGCCCAGGAGATTGAGGCTGTAGAACTATGACTGCACCACCGAACTCCAGCCTGGGTGACAGAGCAGGACTCTGTCTCTTAAAAAAAGGCTCCTACATTATGTGGTTCCTTTTATGAACCAAATGGAAGCACAAGAACGTGCCTAGCCCTAGAATCAAGAAAGGCCAATTACTGAATCAAAGCATAGAGCATCTTGTTCCAAGGGAACTTTCTTTTCCAGGGACATTCTCAGGTGCACTGGCCTTAAGCACTGGTCCTTTGCCTCGTCCACACCATGAATGATATCAACATCTGGTTGCTAAACTGACCATGGTTGGAGCCAGAGTGTCCCTGGGGCAGGAGAAGGGCAGGACACTGGTGTGGGAAATCCTTGAATGAAGTAACTTGGGATGTATGTGCAGAGTGGCACAAAGGCATAAGAAAAGATTACCCTCCAAGACCGGAGCAACAGGGCGGAGGTCAGATGTTGAGTCTAAGGGTGTCCAGCAGGGGAAAGAGGTGGCAGATGAGGTGATTCAGAGATCAAGTAGGGATCAAAAATAAGAACAGCAAAGAATGGGGGAGAGGTCCTCCCTGCAAGGGCCTCTATGTTTTCCTGCCAATGTAAAATGACAACTTTCTATTCTCCACTGGGGACTGATTCACATGCCCTTATGTGGTGATGGTGGTCACTGAAATAACCATTTCATTCTTTCTGAGGGCATGTCTCACCCTCAATCAGTGGTCCCCTGACCTGCAGCATCCATGTCACCTGGGAAATTGTGAGAAATGCAAATTATGAGGTCCCACCCTAGACCTACTGAATCAGAAACTCAGGAGGTAGGGCTAGAAACCTGCGCTTTAACACGTCTCCTGCTAAAGTCTGAGAATCACTGTTCTGTTAAAGAAGCATCATGAAACTAGAATGCAGCAGGTAAGGAGACAGAGACCGGCAGCAGGGGTGCTATTAATATTTTACCCAGTGGAGGGCTCTCTGATGGGCAGAGGTCTAGATGTGGGTATGGGAAACTGGCGTTTGTGGGGTGAATCAAAGCAGAGAGCGGCAGGGATGTAGGTGCTGGGCGAGACTGCTGGAACAGCCAGGAGTCCGGGGTGGCTGGGTGTAATCAGAGCTTCATCCGGGAAGTCTTTGATTTATGGATATTTTAAAGTCAGTCCTTACATAGTTACCATGTGTCTTTAGTTATACTGAAAATTCCTTAAATACAAGAACCAGATTGTATATGTTTTTAAAATAACTCATCATGGCACCTTTAGCAGTGCCAGAAACCAAATCGATTCTTAATAAACACATGAATGGAGATTAAAAAAAAACAAAACAAAACCCGAGAGTGGGCAAAACTTGGGGCAGAAAGAGAGGGGAAAACAAGTAATTTATTTTTATCATGTTTAGCTTTATATTATAGGGAGATGTTTAGCCAGGGATGTCTGAAAGCCAATTAACACCTTAGCAAATTCTGCAAATGAAAAGTTGGTGGGAATATCATTTTTAATGACATTAACCAACTTTTGAGTAGCCAAACTCAGCAGGCTGAAAATAGGAGCTTCGCTTGATAGGATGCAGTTAACTCAGTTAGATGTCAAACAACTTCCACGGGCTGAATTTGAGGATGGGGCTTGAGAATCGCCGAAAAGAAAAGTAGCCGTGCAAATGGAGTCTATATGCAAAAAGGTTTTAAACTTTCCCCTTGGAATGCTAAGAAACCAAGCTGATGTGCTGAAATGAAAACAAATTAAAGTGAATGGAAAGCTTGACAAACACAATTTTAATGTCTTGAAGAAAGACACACAATATGTTTGTGACAACTGTCATAAGCCTGACATTCCCCTCAAAGGAGACAGGACGAAAGAAGAAGACAGGAGTCCCCGTACTCATTTGTTCAGGCTGCCACAATTAAGTACGTGGGGCTGTGCTAAGGGGCTTAAACAACAGAGTTATTTTGATCAAGGTGTCAGCTGTGTGGGTTCCTTCTGAAGCCTCTCTCCCTGGCTTGTAGATAGCTGTCTTTTTCTTATGTCTTCACATGGTCTTCTCTCTGTACACGTCTATATCCAAATCTGTTCTTCTTGTAAGGACACCAGTCATATCGGATTAAGACCTACACTTATGACCTCATTTTAACATAATCACCTCTCCGAAGTTCCTACCTCCAAATACAGCCACATGCTGAAGTATTAGGAGTTAGGACTTCAACATATGAATTTGGGAGAGGGTAGGCACAATTCCTCCCTTAACAGCCCCCAAGAGAGTGACTCAGAATCACAAGAAACCGAAGAGCGTCATGGTGGTGCCTGGGGGCTCTCGCCTGCTGTCCTGCATGAAAGCAGCTTTCCTGGATGGAAAGTCTGGCTCCTCCCTGCTCCAGACAGAACCTCATCTCCAGACAGGGGCCTGCTTAGTTTCAAATCCATACCACAGAGCTAACTTGTGAAATCTGGATGCCAGTAGACCAGGACCTTTCACTAACTCCTCTGCCTAAGAAGACATAATCTACCCTCCAGCAATGCAGAACGTGTACCTTCCCATGTTCCTCGACTGAGCCAGAAATATGAGAAACTGCCCTAAATCTCAGTTTCTGGACATCAGCGGGCAGCCTTCTGGAGGCCACTGCTAGGATGAGAACACCAAGGATGAAGTTCTACTTGGGTGTATGCCATAAAACTGGCTTGCGTCTTAATTTTATTTCTAACATTTTTTAGACTGTTCTTTAAAAGCCGGTGCTAAAAATGTGGGGAACTTGTATCGAGTTAAATAAACCTAAAGGATCATATCTGAAAATTAGCTTTCAAAAAAAATTGACTCAGCCAGAAACTTTTAATTAAAAAAAAATAATGTGTGTAATATATTTTGCATTTATGAAAACAGTAAGGCATGGTGAACAGATTTTAGATAGAGTTTTCATGGCAAAGGGAAACAAAAGAGGCTGATAAACAAAATCTTTTTCCTCATACACAGTTCAGGTAACATTTCCTAATGTCTCATCTCTTGTTCCAACCAAACCATTGCAGAACATCTAAAAGTACAGCATCTGAATCCATAAATTTCCAATGTCATTCCCGGGGAAAGTGTAGAGTAGTAGCTGGTATTATTGGAACATATTAAAAATTTTGGAATTTTGTCACTGTGGGAGAAATGACTTTTCTAACTCTCTTTTGCCATTCAAGTCTTCAACAATGATCTGCCTCTCAAATATTCCTCTTCAGCTGAAGTTACCCAACCTGCTAAGACAACTAATAGCCAAGGACCAACCATCTGAGGGCTAAAGCAATTATCAAGACTACATCAACTTTTTCCATGTATTAAATTAGATCCCTGGAAATCTATAGATTCTAAGTTATGGCCTTCTCACTGCATGACTTAATACTGTGTTGTTGGATTTTGAAGTTTTATGGTAAAGATATAGCCACATGGAAAACATTTCATAAAACAACTGTGATATATAACTGCTTAGTAGATAATCAGATGTCAAAAACATTAAGATATAAGAGTTGTTGGAAGATAATGCCTTAAAACTTTTTTTTTTTCTAATGAGCTGGTATAAACCTCATCTTAAACAATGCAATCCATGTAATAATGCCTTACATTTCTTCTTTTGTCTTATATTCTAATATTAACTGCAATTACAGCCATCATCTTTATCTTAATTTTTCTGGAACACATATTTTACCCAACAGCTACTTGTATTAATTCTTATTTTAATGGTTCTTTGATATTTTTATTGGTTTTGATGAAGCCAGATCAAATCTAATTTGGATTTAGAAAGGTATAAATCATAGATAAAACTTGCCTACTTTCTTCTGTGTTGTCTTTGAAACTTGATGGAGGGTTCATTTTTGAATTAGAGTATTTTTCGCATCAGGAAAACAAAATCAGCTAGGTGTCTGGGTTAGGATGGGGTATCAATGGGTATAGCAGAGAGAGAATGGAATAGTTCACTCTAACTTAACGCCAAGACTGATTTTCTGAAATGGCTTTGGAAATATGTTACCTTTCCAGTTACTTAACCCTATAGCTCCATCTTCAGCACTGAAAAGTCTTAGGTTAACTTTATAAAAAGGTGACTTATACTCCAGGTTTAACAACAGCCTGGCTGCAAAGGAAGAAAGAGAAACAGGAGAACCTAGGCCAAGTGTGGTGGCTCACACCTGTAATCCCATCACTTTGGGAGGCTGAGGTGGGTGGATCACCTGAGGTCAGGAGTTCGAGACCAGCTTGGCCAACATAGTGAAACCTTGTCTTTATTAAAAATACAAAAATTAACCAGGTGTGTTGGCCGTTGCCTGTAATCCCAGCTACTTAGGAGGCTGAAGCACAAGAATTGCTGAACCCCAGAGGTGGAGGTTGCAGTGAGTTGAGATCACACCACTGCACTCCAGCCTGGGTGACAAGAGCAAAACTCCGTCTCACAAAAAAAAAAAAAAAAAAAAAAAAAAAGAAAGAAAGAAAGAAACAGGAGAACCTAAATCTTCTCTAAGACCTCTCTCACTGCTAAGACTGTTTCCTCCTCATAGTCCCTGATCACTGAAAGTCCCTCTAAAATAATGGTGCCTGAGGGTTGACACCTTTGTCATTCATCACATCTTCTCCTCACTTCAGGCCATGCTTTTTTACCTATGTCCCATCTGCAAAGTAATCCTAGAAGATATATTTTTTTTGGTAAAAGGCATAGAATCTCTCAGGTCCATATTAACTAAACAATTGCTTCAAAGTTTGAGAAATCTCTTCTAGAGTTTCAACCCAGGAATTTTAATCACAAGAGATTCCTAAGGATATCTGACCAACTTTGTTTTTTAAAGTAAGCACAAATGCATCATGAATCCACATGATCTTTTACAAGAACATTCTTTCTTATGGGTGAATTGGGAGCCAAGTGAGGAAACCTGGACAACGCTGCCTTTTTTCAGCAAGCCTCATATATGAAAATCCTAGTTGATAAAGGACAAACTGGGGGGATGCTTGTATCACAAAACATGCTTCACTATACTGAAGAAATTTTTGACATATTCCTTACAATGGTTAATTCTTAGCCTGAAATGTTTTACTTAAAGATTGACTCGGTTTTTAAAAAACTACCTCTCAGGACATTCATTACATCAAGTGCGAGAAAACTAAGAGAATGTTTTGGCAAATTAAAGTATTTAAAGACTCCTGCTGAGTATAAAGGACATTTATTCATTTCCTTCCTTCCCTCCCTCCCTCTCTCTTTCTCCCTTTCTTTTGAAATTTCCTCATAATTTTCCTTCCTTCCTTCCTTCCTTCCTTCCTTCCTTCCTTCCTTCCTTCCTTCCTTCCCTCCCTCCCTCCCTCCTTTTTTCCCCCATACTACTGGCCTATTTAATTTTTATTGTGTGTATCGGTTTTATTTTATTGTATTTTTTACCAGTTTAGCATCAGCTCATTTTTCAAATGAGATCTTACATGAAATTGCAGTATTTATAATATAGAACTTCCATGTTCTCTAGAACATAGTTTGAAAACCACACTTACAGCTCCCTGCCAAGCCTCCAGAAGTCATCAACCTATACCCTCCAGCACTTGTCCTATTTCCTGAAACACACAGAACAGGCAGCACTACAATATCTACAAATATAATAAGTTAGGCCCCTGTGCAGTCAGAGATCAGTTGTAGAGAACTGAACTGGTTCAGCCAGTTAAAAAAAATGGATTTATTAAATGGCTTGCAGAATCACTGGGCTGAATCTTCACAGTAAAACTGGGTGACTATAGACCTGGTTTGGTAAAGAGGAAGCTTCCTTAAACTCTGGTCAGGTGTGATTCCAAAGCCATGCTGCCTTGATTGGAAGCTGCCAGCACAGATGCAGAGTTGGGCCTCACCTTCACTTCAGTACTAGAGATGGATGCCTGCCCCAGCAGTCTCAACCCGATCAAGCTGGTGGCCGTGCCCTGGGAGCTTGGCAAATAATGCTGAAAAAAAACAAAACAAAACAAAACAAAAAACCCAAGTCTCCACAACTGCCTTGCTTCTCACCTTCCAGAACCCAGCACATTGGATATTCCAGAAAGAATCTGCTTTCCAGCCTCAGTGGTAGCAGCAGGTGCACTAGGAAGAGACTGGTATGGGTGATTCCAGCCAGACACCCTAACCACCCACTCCCAGCTACTTAGGCCAGGGCGCTGGTTCTGATGCTAGAGAGAATGCTCTGACATTTTGTTGTTGTGGTTGTTGTTGTATTTTCTTTCTTTCTTTTTTTTTTTTATTATACTTTAAGTTCTAGGGTACATGTACACAACGTGCAGGTTTGTTACATATGTATACATGTGCCATGTTGGTGTGCTACACCCATTAACTCATCATTTACATTAGGTATATCTCCTAATGCTATCCCTCCCCCATTCCCCCACCCCACCACAGGCCCCAGTGTGTGATATTCCCCACCCTGTGTCCAAGTGTTCTCATTGTTCAATTCCCACCTATGAGTGAGAACATGTGGTGTTTGGTTTTCTGTCCTTGCGATAGTTTGCTGAGAATGATGGTTTCCAGCTTCATCCATGTCCCTACAAAGGACATGAACTCATCCTTTTTTATGGCTACATAGTATTACATGGTGTATATGTGCCACATTTTCTTAATCCAGTCTATCATTGATGGACGTTTGGGCTGGTTCCAAGTCTTTGCTATTGTGAATAGTGCTGCAATAAACGTACGTGTGTGTGTTTATAGCAGCATGATTTATAATCCTTTGGATATATGCCCAGTAATGGGATGGTTGGGTCAAATGCTATTTCTAGTTCTAGATCCTTGAGGAATCACCACACTGTCTTCCACAATGGTTGAACTAGTTTACAGTCCCACCAACAGTGTAAAAGTGTTCCTATTTCTCCACATCCTCTCCAGCACATGTCGTTTCCTGACTTTTTAATGATCGCCATTCTAACTGGTGTGAGATGGTATCTCATTGTGGATTGATTTGCATTTCTCTGATGACCAGTGATGATGAGCATTTTTTCATGTGTCTGTTGGATGCATAAATGTCTTCTTTTGAGAAGTGTCTGTTCATATCCTTCGCCCGCTTGTTGAAGAGTTTGATTTTTTCTTGTAAATTTGTTTAAGTTCTTTGTAGATTCTGGATATTAGCCCTTTGTCAGGTGGGTAGATTGTAAAAATTTTCTCCCATTCTGTAGGTTGCCTGTTCACTCTGATGGTAGTTTCTTTTGCTGTACAGAAGCTCTTTAGTTTAATTAGATCCCATTTGTCAATTTTGGCTTTTGTTGCCATTGCTTTTGGTGTTTTAGTCATGAAGTCTTTGCCCATGCCTCTGTCCTGAATGGTATTGCCTAGGTTTTCTTCTAGGGTTTTTGCGGTTTTAGGTCTAACATTTAAGCCTTTAATTCATCTTGAATTAATTTTTGTATAAGCTGTAAGGAAGGGATCCAGTTTCAGCTTTCCACATATGGCTAGCCAGTTTTCCCGGCACCATTTATTAAATAAATAGGGAATCCTTTCCCCATTGCTTGTTTTTGTCAGGTTTGTCAAAGATCAGACAGTTGTAGATGTGTGGTATTATTTCTGAGGGCTCTGTTCTGTTCCATTGGTCTGTATCTCTGTTTTGGTACCAGTACCATGCTGTTTTGGTTACTGTAGCCTTGTAGTATAGTTTGAAGTCAGGTAGTGTGATGCCTCCAGCTTTGTTCTTTTGGCTTAGGATTGTCTTGGCTATACAGCCTCTTTTTTGGTTCCATATGAACTTTAAAGTAGTCTTTTCCAATTCTGTGAAGAAAGTCATTGGTAGCTTGATGGGGATGGCATTGAATCTATAAATTACCTTGGGCAGTATGGCCATTTTCACAATATTGACTCTTCCTATCCATGAGCATGGAATGTTCTTCCATTTGTTTGTGTCCTCTTTTATTTCGTTGAGAAGTGGTTTGTAGTTCTCCTTGAAGAGGTCCTTCACATCCCTTGTAAGTTGGATTCCTAGGTATTTTATTCTCTTTGAAGCAATTGTGAATGGGAGTTCACTCATGATTTGGCTCTCTGTTTGTCTGTTATTGGTGTATAGGAATGCTTGTGATTTTTGCACATTGATTTTGTATCCTGAGACTTTGCTGAAGTTGCTTATCAGCTTAAGGAGATTTTGGGCTGAGACAACGGGGGTTTTTAAATATACAGTCATGTCACCTGCAAACAGGGAGAATTTGACTTCCTCTTTTCCTAATTGAATACCCTTTATTTCTTTCTCTTGCCTGATTGCCCTGGCCAGAACTTCCAACACTATGTTGAATAGGAGTAGTGAGAAAGGGCATCCCTGTCTTCTACCAGTTTTCAAAGGGAATGCTTCCAGTTTTTGCCCATTCAGTATGATATTGGCTGTGGGTTTGTCATAAGTAGCTCTTATTATTTTGAGATATGTCCCATCAATACCTAGTTTATTGAAAGTTTTTAGCATGAAGGCTGTTTAATCTTGTCGAAGGCCTTTTCTGCATCTATTGAGATAATCATGTGGTTTTTGTCTTTGGTTCTGTTTATATGATGGATTATGTTTATTGATTTGCGTAAGTTGAACCAGCCTTGCATCCCAGGGATGAAGCCAACTTGATTTTGGTGGATAAGCCTTTTGATGTGCTGCTGGATTCAGTTTGCCAGAATTTTACTGAGAATTTTTGCATCAATGTTCATCAGGGATATTGGTCTAAAATTCTCTTTTTTTGTTGTGTGTCTGCCTGCTCTGACATTTTCTATGCTAGCAGCCTAAGAGCCTGACCATGAACTTATTGACCTGCTATGAAACTCCCTTCTGCGAATTTTTGTTTTTACAGTATTACTTTTCAATAACTACAAGGTCTTAGAAAAAACAAATTTCATAAATGTTTCACTTACTCTACAGAGCAATACTTCTTTTCATTTGTTTAAAATTCTTTTATCTTTTGGGCCAGGTGCAGTGGCCCATGCCTGTAATCCCAGCATTTTAAGAGGCCAATGTGGGAGGATCACTTGAGGCCAGGTGTTTGAGACCAGCAGAAAACACAGCAAGACCCCATTTCTAAAAAAAAATAAAAACAGAAAAATTAGCTGGGCATGGTGGTGTGCACTTGTAGTCCCAGCTACTCAGGAGGATGAGGTGGGAGGATTGCTTGAGTCAGGGACTTCAAGGCTGCAGTGAGCTATGTTTGTGCCACTGTACTCCAGCCTGGGCAACAGAGAAAGACCCTGTCTCTAAATAAATAAATAAATAAATAAATAAAATAGATTTATTTTTGAATATTCAAGAAATAACTGTTCACATTCAGACAGTCTCACATTAGTCTTACAGTTGTTGCCCCCTCTTTGTTTTCATCTTTAGAGACAGACAATTCATCAATTCCTTTGCCCTGATTTCCTACTCAGCCTTGCATGTACACAGGATGGAAGATTCTGGCAATTATGAGCCTTCTTTTCCTTAAATTCCCATAGGGAATGATAAGCATCAAAGTTAATCATGTTGGAATAAAAGAACAGCCACACAGATATTCAATAATTCGTCCCCCTGAGGAACTTCTCCCTCTAACCAGTCTAAAATCCTCCTATGCCACTTAAGATCATTTTTGCTTTTTCAGTCTGAGTGTTTCAGAGGCAGTTTGTTGCAGAAATGGGAACTCCTCTGGCTGCCGGGCTGGTCAGTGAGGTCTCTTTTCTAAAGCTATGCATTCAGAATATGGTCAACAAAGGAATCTGTCTGCATCAAGAAGTTGCTGCTGTTGTTCCTGTTTTCACATGAGTCTTATTTTCAAATTCCTGAGGGCTCACAGAAGAGTGGGAACATCTTGTGGCTACCCTTTCCCCGAAGGCCGACTACGCAGTGGCCAGACACCAACCCCCGCCCATGGTCACATTCCAGACAGGCATTTCTAAGACAGCACCATGATTAAAAGGAAACTACTCCATCATTAAGACTCCAGACCTAATATCAGCCCGACCATTTTTCATGGAAATTATTTCTGCAACCAAATTCTATTGGAAGGCGGTTTTCACTTTACTTTTTAGTCTTCCTTTCTCCTGGTCTTCTCTATTTTCACTGAAGAGAGAGTAAAGGAGAAGTGGCATAAATTCCACTGAAAAGAATTTCAGCTGGGCTCTGGATGAGAGGAAAGGGCAGGGAACCCATCACTCTGTGGAAGTACAGATTTAGACACGATAGGTTGTTGGAACCTGGCGTTGGGATAAGTCAGTGCTGCTGAACCCATCAATTTCTTTCTTTACCTTTCTTCTTTGTAAATTTCTAGGCTCTAAGCCTCAGAAAGGACTTGTGTGTTGCTGTCACTTGGCTCTGTCTGAATGTCAAAATGCTTCTCCCAAATGAGAAGTAGACACCTTGCATCCCAGGACAGCACCCGAGGGAGACCATTACACAGACACCAGTGATGTCTAAGACGGGTCCAAAACACAGCTACTGTTCCCCACACTTTCTCTTGCATGTCTTTTAACACCATTTGCGAAATGCACCATGCTCAGCCTTCCTGCATTTCTCCCAGCCCCCAAATACACTGAAGCAATAGAAATGAGGACTTATTCAAGTGGAGAAACTAAGAGGCAGGCAGGTTTATCTCCAGGCACAGGCAGACTGAAGTGAGGGAAGGCTTCCTCTCCTCTCAGGAGCCGGAGTGGTGTGAGGATTCCATCTTGTCCTGGCTCCACCCTCAAGTTGCCTAGCCCTCCCCTTTCTGTGCTGCCTGAGCTGGGGAAGGACTCCAGTGACAAACTGTGGCACCACGTGCCAGTGTACAGGCCGGGAACTGGGCTTTCCTCACTCTCCTTACTCCAGGCCCCGT